>NC_000005.10:38845598-39478123 GCF_000001405.40 Homo sapiens
CTCTGGGTTGGGATGACAAGTGCCCCTGTGGGATACACAGCCCCAGGCCTCATCGGTCACTCGGCTTACCTCTGGTTCCGCCGGCTGGCCCGTGCGTCCTTGGCCGGGGCAGGAGCAGCGCTGCGCGCGGGGCACGGAGCCTCGGCCGCCGAGTTTTCGGTTTCCAAGTTTCCTTCCCAGGCCTCTCCCACTTCCTCTTCTCACCAGTGCCCGCCCGCCCGCAAAGTCCGGGTTGTGAGGCTGCGCCTCCCCCAGGATCGCGGCCGCCTCCCCCCGGGACTGAAGGGAGGGAATTCCTGTGGGTCCCAGGAGTGCCAAGAGTGCGCAGCAAGACGGGAAATTGCAAAAGACCTCACCCCTCTGCCCTCCCCCGCGGTTTTCCAGTAACTCCCGCCCCTCCGCGCTTGCCCCGCAGCTGATTCATAGCCCCGGCCCGGGCCGCCTCTGCACGTCCGCCCCGGAGCCCGCACCCGCGCCCCACGCGCCGCCGAGGACTCGGCCCGGCTCGTGGAGCCCTTCGCCCGCGGCGTGAGTACCCCCGACCCGCCCGTCCCCGCTCTGCTCGCGCCCTGCCGCTGCGCCGCCCTCGGTGGCTTTTCCGACGGGCGAGCCCCGTGCTGTGCGGGAAAGAATCCGACAACTTCGCAGCCCATCCCGGCTGGACGCGACCGGGAGTGCAGCAGCCCGTTCCCCTCCTCGGTGCCGCCTCTGCCCAGCGTTTGCTTGGCTGGGCTACCACCTGCGCTCGGACGGCGCTCGGAGGGTCCTCGCCCCCGGCCTGCCTACCTGGTGGGTGAAAACTAAATGATTCATTCCTTACAGGCCGCACAGTGCCGAGTCGCCCATTTCTCAGACTGTTTGAAATTCACCATCCCAGCGCCTTTTTCTCAAATGATGGTGGAATGTTTGTTGAGTGGAAAATTCCCACTTGAATCCCTCTTTCCTCTCTCCCAACACATCGTGTGGAGGAGTTCATTGCTTCCCCTACCTCTCCTCTCGTAACCCTTGACTCCCACCTGAGAGAGCCATTTTTCTGGGAATCCGTGTATCTCTCCCACCTGGTCCCTAGCGTAGAAGCGGGAGGAGCTCAAGCACAGGTGGAGAGAGGAATCCCCGGGCGACTCTGCAATAGCGTCCGTCCGGGGCGCTTACCTTCTTCTCCAGCCACTTGAGTGGAAGTGGCCCTCTACATTCTGGAAACCTAGGCACGGAGGGGTTCAGTAACTTGTCCAAGGCCATATGGCTAGCTGTGAGGGCACTGAAATCCGAGCCCGGCTCTCGCAGGCCAGGGCTTTACCCCTGACACCGCGATTCCTTTCTCGATAGTTCTTCATCTGCCCTTCATCCACCTACCCATGCATGCCTGCATCCGTCCATCCATCCTGCCTGCCTTGCTGCGGGAGGCACAGTGCTAGGTGCTGCTGATGGAGTGGCTTGGTAACAGACCTGCCTTGAAAACACTTTGGGAACAAGATATTCAAGAGAAGTAAATGGAAGGGTCTATGAAGGCAGAGAAGATAGAATTGAATGTAGGATACTTAGTTTGAGCTAGAAGGAATTCTGATGGAGGAGAAAGAAATTTTTAGGTTTTATTCCCAAGATTAAAACTGACTTTGGAACATGGGTCAAACTACTTATCACCTCTTAGTTTCCTTGTCTGCAAATAATAATGGTTCATACTTACTGTGAACCAGCCCCTATTCTAAGCACTTGACATATGCTAGCTCATTTAAGCTTCACGGGTGAGGCGGGTACTAGTTTTTTATTATATTTTATTGAGGAAACTGAGGCCCAAAGAGGTTTTGTAACTTTTCTAGGGTTACACAGCTAGCAGGTGACAGTATCAGGATTTGGGTTTGGAGTCTGCTCATGATCACCGTGCTGTAGCTCAAACTCTAAGACTGGGTGGGGTGTTTCATTATGGTCTTGCTTTGTCTCTCTCCTGGGCTGCTTTAAAATGCACTCAGAGCCCTTGATGTCCCCAAACTCCGCTGTGTCTGAGAATCATTTCTTGAGCTTTCAAAGCATCAAACTCCAAACACAGCCTTCTATTCAGAATCTTCAGGAAATACTCAGTTTGTTTTCCCCGTAGCATTTGTTCAGTGCCTCCAGTGGCAGGAAGCTCACCACCTCACATTTTATTGTAGGAAGAGCTAGTTCTCTGCTGTAAATTGCCTCCTTGTGACTTACATCTTGGTCCCAGTTCCCGTTTGTCCCAGCAGGTGTGGCTAAGCCTTTTGTATCAAAGGTGGCTTTGAGAGAAAAAGGCTGGTCTTGGGTGTTTCTTCCGCAGGGACCCGAGCCGCATTGGGGAGAACACATAAACACTGGTTCTTTCCCCCTCTACCCTTTTCTTTAACCTGAACAGACCAGGAACACATGCAGAGGTGTTCCTGGATCTCTCATGTTTTTGTAACCCTTTTGTCCTGAGGACAAAACCGAATCAGGAGAACTGTTACGGTTTTCAAAGGGGAATCAGTGGTACTGTATTTAACAAGAAGAAGGTGTGTATTTTCCTTGTGGGAAAGGACTGGGGCATTCATTGGCTGCAGTAGAAGAGAATCTTAGTGAGTGTGGTCTTGCTCACTTACAGGAACTGTGAGCCTTGGCCCTCCTTTCGCTGGGGGAGAAAATCCTTCTTGATTGCTTAAAAAATGTGTAAAATGGGGGGAAAAAAACCCAAACCAAAACAAATAGAATATCATGGCCTTGCTGGAGAAATCCCCTCCTCCAAGCAGGCTTCTTTGTAGCTACATGAAGAGAGAATTTCTTTTCCAACAGCTGTGTTGGTGGCTTCATAGCCTTCCTTCCCTCCTCATTTTAGTTGTACTGGTCGCTCTGCATTTGTGCACTCCACGTTGTATTCTATTTTTGTGTTTTAAAAATAATACAAATAATAACAACTCATTCTCACTCAATATAGAAGTGAAGTGAAATGTAGACGTGCCATCACCATCCTCCCTCCTCCCACTCAGAAGAGGGAAGGTTAAGTTTGATAATACCATTCTAAGGCTTGTTTTTCTTTTCTATAGTTTTACATAATACATACATATACATATGTTTTAAATATGCAAATTATCTTACTATACTTATTGTACAGCTTGCTTTTTCACTTTCCAAGTCTTAGAGATCTTTCCATTGTCTCTAGATACCTCTTTTGTTAATGGCTACGTGTTATTCTTTTTGTGTGTGTGTGAGATGGTCTCACTCTGTCACACAGGCAGAAGTGCAGTGTCATGATCATGGCTCACTGCAGCCTCGACCTTCTGGGCTCAAGTGATCCTCCCACCTCAGCCTCCTGAGAAGCTGGAACTACAGGCACATGACACCACACCTGACTTTTTTTTTTTTGTATTTTTTGTAAAGATTGGGTCTCTCCATGATGCCCAGACTGGTCTTGAACTCCTGGGTTCAAGCAGTCCACCTGCCTTGGCCTCCCACAGTGCTAGGATTACAGGCGTGAGCCACTGCGCCCGGCCAGCTACATGTTATCCTAAAGTAGAAATAGAATGTAATTTATCCATCCTTTCCTATATTGATGGACATTCAGCATTAGCAACGTTGCTTCAGAGCAGATCACACATTCATCTTCCTGCTCAAGTGTGAGTATTTCTGTGGAAGAGAATCTGAGGAGAGGTATTCCTGTGTCAAAGGGTTTGCCCCTTTTTCCACTTGATAGATACGAAGTGGAAGGTAACGATGTAACTTAATATTTTTGTAAAGTTTTAGACAGCTGATCCAATAGCATTTATTTAATAATTCATCTTTTTTCCAACTCATTTGAAATTCTGTTTTTATCATTAAATAAATTCCTGTTTGTAAAAGGGTCTGTGTCAGGATTCTATTCTGTTTCATTGATCTTTTTTTTTGTTTGTTTTTCCCTAAACCAATATTACTCTGAGTTAACTACTGTAGCTTTATAGTGTTTTTGAAAATCTTGTGGTATATATTTGTGCTTTTTAAAACAACTTTTTTTATAAATCACATACATTTTCTCTTTACAAATAGCCTGTCAAGTTTAATAAAATCCTATTTTTAATTAAGATTTTATTGAGTTTATAATTGTTAGCAATTTTTAATGCTTTAATGTCCACTTTGGTATGAGCTCCAAGCTTTAAGGAAACTGTGTCATGTGAACTTTGGTTAATGACTTATCTGATTTCAAATATTGGCTACACATCAGATTAACTGGGTCAGTTTGGATAAATTACTTGTCAACTTTCTTATCCTTAATTTCCTCCTCTGTGAATGGGAATAATAATATAATCCTTTTCTTAGCGCTGTTGTGAGGATTCAATTAATAAATGCATGTACGTCACTTAGCAAAGCACCTTGTAGAGAGTTAGTATCTTATACATGCTAGCTGGGATCTTTTTCATATTTATATCCTACTCATGGTTTTGCAGAGTGCCCTATTGGTAATAGGAACCAGTAAATATTTCCTTTATTTATTGGTAGTATCCTAAGAGACAAAAATATATCATATATTTTAAATATAGTAGTGTTTCTCAAACTTGAATGTGCATATGAATCACCTGAGGATATTATTTAAATGCAGATTCAAGAGGTCTAAGGTCTGGCCTGAGATTTTGCATTTCTGACAAGCTACCAGGTGATGTCAATACTGCTGGTCCTTTGTCCACATTTGGGTGTACAGTCTTGTACAACTATTTAAATTTATGCTGCTAGTGATAGTACTTCCTATTTGTAATGAATATGATTGAAAGCATTTTTAAATTGATTTCTTTTAAAATTACATGCTAAAGAACTAAATTATAGTTGTTTTCCTTTCTTCCTTCTTCTCTCCCTCTCTTCCTTTATTTTTGTTAAAAGAAAGAGGGTTGGTGAGATCGCTAAATAGAATACCTAGCTCTGTTCTTAGATCTAGAGTCATTGAGGCAATTAACTATCTGGATTATTTTAAACTGTTGACTTAAGATGAAGACAGTCATATAAAATATATGCAGCCTGAATATGACATTTAATGTCAACTAAAGAAAAGCACAATTGTAAGTGGCTTCTGCAAATAGAAAAATGTAAGACATAAAGAACACTTGGAAAAATGTAAGACAAAATAATTCTCAGAAAAGAGTGATTGAGGTTTCATTGTTCATGTGTAATGCCAGCTTTTGAGAAGATGTGCATCAACAGAAGTTACGCTTTCTTGTGAGTAAATTTTTCATACACCGTGGTATTTCTTGGTCACCTCTTTCTACTTTCAATCTCCCTAATGGGGGATTTTGAGCAAATTTACTTCATATATATACTTCAGTGTGTCTGTCTGTCAGCCGGGGATGGTAGTATGATTTTTCTACTCAGGACACTGGTTACTTTTTGCATTTGGAAATAGATCATTAAAGTATCTACACTCTCTCAGAACCTAAGAGGTTACATTTTCTGTACAGAAAAACACGGCATCCTCCCAGGCTGATCCAGTAGGTAAAAACTGCCAACCTTTTTCAAGTCTGTTCAATACCATGGGTTGGACTGGAAACACAAACACTGTCAACTAGTTTAATCATGTTGGGATATATGGTTTCAAGTGTGGAAATAAGGAAATTGCCACTTGCACAAGACTGAGCTTAATATGTTTAAAACATGCACACACACACGTTTTAAGGAATGCTTTATGTTGCAGAACTGTATAACTTAAAGTGAGTTATCTATAATTTCTCTTATTCTGCCCACCTCCCTCCCTCCATCTCAGCTCTAAATTTATAACTTAGTAAGTGGGTGTGTCTTTGGGGCTGGTTTGGATCCCTCAAGTAGAAGAGAGCAAGCCAGAAACACATGTGCAAGAGATTTACTGGGGGAAGGACTTGTAAGGGGAAAGGGAGTAACTGTAGGCACAGAGCCTTCAGACCCAGTGCAGGTGTGATGCCTGTGGAAGGAGATGGGGAGGAAGGAAGGTGGGAAGGAGTTGCTTCCAGCTGCAGCCATTGGGTGGGAGCAGCCTGGGGTGTGTGAATCTTCCACAGATCTGAAGGGGCAGTGTCTGAAGGCTGTCAGTCATCTACGCTCTCTTGAAGGGAGCACTGAGGGGCACAGCTGCACACTGCCACAGTTCTCTTTCAGAGATGTTCTTAGGTATATACTGTTTTGAAACTGACTTATTCACTGATGTGGTTTGGCTGTGTCCCCACCCAAATCTCATCTTGAACTGTAGCTCCCATAATTCCCTCATGTTGTGGGAGGAACCCAGTACGAGATAACGGAATCATGGGGGCAGTTTCCCCCATACTGTTCTCGTGGTAGAGAATAAGTCTCACGAGATCTGATGGTTTTATAAGGGGAAACCACTTTCACTTGGCTCTCATTCTTCTCTTGTCTGCCACCATGTGAAATGTGCCTTTCTCCTTCCACCATGACTGTGAGGCCTCCCCAACCACGTGGAACTGTGAGTCCATTAAACCTCTTTCTTTTGTAAATCACCCAGTCTCTGGTATGTCTTTATCAGCAGTGTGAAAACAAACTAATACATTCACTCAATATTTTAGAATATTTTTCCATGTCAGTGCATGGATCTAGTTCATTCTTTTTAACAGTTGCATGTTGTTCCTTTGTAGAAATGCACCATAATTATTTTTCTGTTCTTTTTGAAAGGCTCTTGGATTTTTATTTTTTCCCTCATGTACACAGTGCTATAACAGTCTTTAAACACATTTGCGTACAACATGTGCAATACTCTGTCTATCATCTGTAGGGCAAAATTTCAGCAATAGAATTACAGAATGATTTCTGGATCAAGAGAAATACACATAGAATTTTAGTAGATGTGGTCAAATGGACCTCTGTAAGGTTGTATGCTTTGATCATTAGTGAGTCACAATGCTTATTTCTGTAAACTCTTACCAATGTGAGGTATTAAGACCTTTTTAAACGTTACCAATTGGATACTACATAGACATACACAGACATACACACACACACAATTGTCTTTAATTCTTAGTGATCTTGCCAAGTTTTTTGTAGGGAAGGGTGATATTTGTATTTCCCTCTTTTCATGAATTATGTATTCATGTTTTTCTACAGAGTTGTATGCCTGTTTTTACTTATTTCTAAGAACTCTTTGTATATGAGGGATAGCTCTTTGTGATACATATTGAAACTATTGTTTTCATTTTTTTTTTTTTTTTTTTTTTTTTTTTTTGAGACGGAGTCTCACTCTTTCGCCCAAGCTGGACTGCAGTGGCGCTATCCTGGCTCACTGCAAGCTCCGCCTCTTGGGTTCATGCCATTCTCCTGCCTCAGCCTCCCGAGTAGCTGGGATTACAGGCGCCCACCACCACGCCCGGCTAATTTTTTGTATTTTTTAGTAGAGACGGGGTTTCACCGTGTTAGCCAGGATGGTCTCGATCTCCTGACCTCGTGATCCGCCCGCCTCGGCCTCCCAAAGTGCTGGGATTACAGGCGTGAGCCACCGCGCCCGGCCCTATTGTTTTCATTTAAAGCACTAAAATGTTTCAATGTTTGTTAATCAGTATAGCTATCTTTATCATTCTTCACCCTCCCCCTACATCCTTATCTTTTTTGCTTATGAGTTTTATATCATGCCTAACAGATTATAAAACTATTTACCTATGATTTAATCTAGTACTTTTAATGGTTTTATTCCTTGCATTGATATCTTTGTTCATCTGGAATTTATTTTGCTGAAGGAAATGAGGCAATAGACTTAATGATAAAATTAACATTAACTGGGTTTGCTGTATGTAGGTTCTCATAAGCCCATTTAATCCTCATGCCAATGCTATAAGGTAGGTTATTTTATTCTTCTCCTTCTACAGAAAAGGACATTGAAACCTAGAGGGGTTAAATCACTTGTCATTGGCCATATGGTTTTTAAGTACCAAAGTAGGAATTTGACCCTAAGCATTTTATGTCAGAGTCCATGGTACTTAATTATTAATATTACAGCTTCCTTTTCCCACAAGTCTGCGTGCTATTGTTCCAGTACCATTTTGGGGAATGATTTCTGTGATCTCAAAAGTGATTTAAAATATCACCTTTAGCATATGTACATATTTTTTGGATTCAGAATACCCTTGGATTCCAGTTTTTCATTTTTTTATTTGGCTTCATTTACCTTTTAGAGACTCAGCTTTAATCCTAGCTGATGTCACAAATTGCAGAAATCTTGAACTGAATGTTGCGTTTTTAAAAAATCAGTTATTCATCAGCTAATTCAATTTTATAAATCAGGATTTACCTTATAACACTGGTGGAAACACTTAACCATTATCCAGTGGACAGGTTCAAGAGGTGGGGTGTGGGGGACGGACATGAAAGGAGAAATACTCAAAGCTTCCCATGGCTGTAGCTTCTGACTGTGGAGCCTTGAGGAGGAAGGGAATTGGAGTGAACACTTGTAAGTAATCAACCCTATGCTGTAAGGCAGAGGCCTCTTCAAAGGGGCTCTCAAATATATAACTGGCAGTACTCTTAAAAAAAAAAAAAAGATAACCGAGCCTGAGAATCATGCAGAACCCGCAAGAAGTAGCATTCAACTCTTTGTACTGCTGCACAGGACTCTTTCATAAATGCATACACCCAGGCATGAGACCTCCAAGAAAGGGCTTCTTCCTTTAAAATGGCATTTGCATAAGACATCATCAGGTCACCCAGCCAGTTTTGAAGTTTGTCAACACACCCACATTCTTGGGACGTGAATGACTCTTATCACGCTGCTTCTCATGGGCATTATTTGTGGTGAGGAAACTTCCCAGGAATATTTCAGTAATGACAGAACAAGAAGTGTGGTGAGGAAGGGCAGACTGAAATCCATTTAAAAAGTTGTGTTTTATTACGCATGTGATATTTTTCTGAGGGATTTTCATAAGCATCTTTACTGAGAATGAGATTTTGCAAAGAGACAAGATTTGATTAAGAAGTTCTACAAAATCAATGGGTAATTTTTCTTTCCTTCTTTTGCCCTGCAGAGAAGGAAAGTCAATGCAAGATTTATAAATTAGGCAATATTTGACAATAGTAAAAGTAGAAAGGCCTGAACAGATATCTATTTTCATTAAAAAAAGATTGAAAGCAAAGAAGAGAGAATGTGAGAAAATTAGTACCCATTTTTATTCATTTATCAAATACTTACTGAGTAGCAACTGTCTTCTGGGACTGACAGACAATGGGGAATAAGATCCAGGCCTGCCTGCAAGTGGCTTATAGTCTAGTTGGGAATAATGGAGACCTGAAAAAGAGAGAGAAATGAAGAACAGATTTGGGGAAAGGACCAAGTAGTGGGGATGAAGTAGGAAGTATTTTTTCCCTTTCTAAATTCTGCTGCTTCACACTTCCCTGACTTCCTTTTCTCACTGGAAGTTGGAAGTAGCAGTGCTCCTCACTGACAGTAGTCGAGAGAGAAAGCCGGCCGGGTGGATGAGAGAGCTGGCTGCCTTTCTTGTGCCAGAAGCAGAGCTGCAGAGGAGACACCACCAAGGTTGTCCCGGCCAGAGCAGCAGTGAGACTGTGTCGGGGCTGCAGGGGCTGTGCAGATTGCTCACCCCCACCACACAGCCCTCACCCTTGAGGCAAGCTAGGAAAGCCTGGCCCAATCTTGGATTTTCACTTGATCTGCAGGAGGGGCCACAGTAGAGGGTGTGGAGCAGCCCAGAGCTTCGTGCGCTGACCTCCTAGCTTTTCTGTCTGTACTTCTGGTTTGGTGATGGTCTAGTCTTATGGGTTTAAGTACTATGTGTAAGCACTGAGGATGCCTGAATGTATATGCCTAGCCAGGACCACTCCCAGACCTTCAAACTGTGTATCCGGCTAGCTGCCTGACATCTTTTCTTGGAGATGAAATAAGCATCTTGAACTTAACATGTGGCAAATTGAACTATTGATACAGACCACCAGGTGTGTTACTCCCACACTCCTCTGCTCCTCCATAAACAGTAATTCCATTCTTCGAGGGGCTCTGGTCAAAACTGTTGTAGCCATCCATGATGTGTCACTTTGTCACCACCCCTGTCCTGTCAGCTCTATCTTTTAAATCATTCTCAAATTCCACCACTGCTCACTGCTTCCACGGCTGTCACCTGCTCTGAGACCCTCATCATTCTTCCCTGGACCATTGCACTAACCCCCCCAACCCCCACTGCCACCGCCACACCCCCCCACCTGTTGTCCCTCACTTCACTGTTGTCCCTCACTTCACTGTTGTCCCTTCAATCTCTCATCCTTGCAGGCTTCTGTTCAATGTAAACCAGACCACGTTACTCCTCTGCTTAAAATCTACAGTGGCTCCCATCTGGCCCAGAGCAGAAGCCCAGTTTCTTCCCATATTTTGCCTGCTCTGTTCTGCCTGTCTGCATGCCCTCTAGATGTCTTCTCTGGCTCTCACCAGCTTGCTTGTTCACTCCTCTCTAGTCACACCTGGCTCCTCCTCGTTCCCTAAATCCTCCAAGCAGCCCCCAACCTCAGGGTCTTTGCAGAGTTTTCTCCCTCACCTCTGGGCTTTTCGTTGTGTTAGTCAGGGTCCCATCCATCAGGAAACAGTTGGCACACTTGGAATAGGACAACTTGAGGAGAATTTATTTACAAGGTATAGAACTGAGGACTTCTTGGGTCTTGGAAGCAGCTAACTTGGAATCATTGGTGTCTGTGTTTTTTCATACTGCATCAGCCATGAGGAAGCCTGTTCCTATGGCATTTATCAAAGAGGCTCCACAGTGTCTCTGGAATGTTCTGCCAGGTGTTGATTCCTGTTCTGCACGTTTTGATATACTTTATTGATTTTAGCAGAAGGTTTTTGGGCAGTAGCTAGGACTCATCTTCCCTCTGTCTGTGGTCCTCAGGTGGCCTGGGGCCTGAAACACAGGGGGTGGCCTTGTCCAGTCCCACTGCTGGAAATAATAATCACTTTGCTCATGTGTAGGCAGTGACTACTGTGTCCTGCTTGCCCCTGCCCAACATGTGTGAACTGATGACAGAAGAAAACAGGGAATCTGAGCACAAAAGCTAACCTTCTAGGATTCATAGCCTGACATATGTGAGAGACAGTATAAAGGGCAGGAATTCCAGATAAGACCATCTTGTGATCTTTTATTTTTGGTTTTAGAGATAGGCTCTGACACCCAGGCTGGAATGTAGTGGTGTGATCATGGCTCACTGCACCCTTGAACTCCCAGAAACAAGGGATCCACCTGACTCAGCCTCCCTTGAAACTGGGACTAGGGGCACGTGCCACCATGCCCAGGTAATCTTAATTTTTATTTGTAGAGATGGATCTTGCTATGTTGCCCAGTCTGGTCTGGAACTCCTGGCCTCAAGTGATCCTCCAGCCTCGGCCTCCCAAAATGCTGGGATTATAAGCATGAGCCATCATGCCTGGCCCAGACAAGACTATCTTGATGATTCTCAAAGGCTCTTCTTTGGTACCCAAACCATAGAAATACATCTTTTGTAAATACTCATGTCTTTCCATTGTGTTGCTTGACAGCTTTTATTCTCTAATTTCTGCTTACCCTTAAATGGCAAGTGGCTTCTAATTTTTAGTCTTAAGTTTTTCTGCCCTATAACCTTAATTTTTTGTGACATGTAAAATACTCGATATTCTAGGAAAACATCAAAATTTTAGAAACATTTTAAGTAGTCCTTTTTAAAAAACATTTGGCAACATGCACATCATTCTCTGAATCATCTGCTTTTAAATTTATGAGATGAGATTTCCTTTCAGTGGTGAACACCTTGCATTCCTCAAATGATATGAATGTGAAGAGGATGATATACTAAGCCCACAGAATATAAGGGATATTTTAAATTTCAAAGTGAGTGTCATTTTGGAGGATTTTTCTTTGACTTCCCCTTGCTTATGACTAGAAACTATTTCCTCTAGAATTAGTTTTCCCCCGGCTTTAATATTCAGTTGTAATACAAACTCATTTGAAATTTTATTTAAAATTGACACATAATAATTATACATAATTATGGGGTACAGTTGTGATGTTTCAGTGTATGTATACATTGTATACTGATCAAAGTAATTAGCATATTCAAAACTTTACACATTTATCATTTCTTTCTGATAACATTTAAAACTCTCTCTTCTAGCTATCTTTTTATTTTTATTTTTTTCTTGAGATGGAGTCTCGCTGTGTCGCCTAGGCTGGAGTGCAATGGTGCCATCTCAGCTTACTGTAATCGCCGCCTCCTAGGTTCAAGCAATTCTCCTGCTTCAGCCTCCCGAGTAGCTGGGACTATGGAGGCGTGCCACCATGCCTGGCTAATTTTTGTGTTTTTAGTAGAGATGGGGTTTTACCATGTTGGCCAGGCTGGTCTCAAACTCCTGACCTCAGGTGATCCTCCCACCTCAGCCTCCCAAAATGCTGGGATTACAGGCGTGAGCCACCATGCCCAGCCTCTTCCAGCTATCTTTTAGAAAATTGTATATATAATAATTGTACATAATTTAGGGGGTATATGTGATATTTTGGTACATGCATAAAATGCGTAGTAATTAAATCAGGGTCTTTTAGGATATCTATCACCTGAAACATTTATCATTTCTTTGTGTTGGAGAAATTTTTTCCTCCAGCAATTTTGAAATACACAATATGTTGTTGTTAGCTATAATCACCCTGTGGTGCTGTAGAACACTAGCCCTTGTTCCTCCAATCTAACTGCATGTTTGTGCCTGTTGACTGCCCCCTTCCTAACCCTTTTCAGCCTCAGGTAACCATCATTCTATCTTCTATTTCCATGAGATCCACTTTTTTTTTTTTTTTTAGCTCCCACATATGAGTGAGAATATGTGATATTTTTCTTTCTGTGCCTGGCTTATTTCACTTAACATAATGACCTTGAGTTCTATCCATGTTGCTGCAAATGACAGGATTTCATTCCTTTTTATAGCTGAATTGTATTCCACTGTGTATATATACCACATTTTCTGTATCACTTGTCTGGTGTACAACACAGTTTAATTCCATATCTTTGCTATTGTGAATAGCGCTGCAACAAACATGGGGGTGCAGGGATCCCTTTTATATACTTATTTCTTTTCCTTTGAATAAATACCTAATAGTGGGATTGCTAGATTATATGGTAGTTCTATTTTTAGTTTTTTGAGAGACCTCCATACTGTTTTCTATAATGGCTCTTCTAATTTACATTCCCAGCAACAGTGTATGAGTTCCCTTTTCTCTGCATCATTGCCAGCATTTGTTATTTTTGCCTTTTTGATACTAGCCATTCTAACTGGGGTAAGATGACACCTCACTGTGGTTTTGATTTGCATTTCCTTGATGATTATTGATGTTGGGCATTTTTGCCATATACCTGTGGGCCATTTGTATGTCTTCTTTTGATAAGTCTATTTGGAACATATGTCCACTTTTTAATGGAATTTTTGTTGTTATTGTTGAGTTGAGTTCCTTGCATATTCTGGATATTAGTTCCTAGTCAGATGAATGGTTTGCAAATATTTGCTCTCATTCTGCGGGTTTTCTCTTCACTCCGTTGATTGTTTCCTTTGCTGTGGAGAAACTTTTTAGTTTGGTATAGTTCTGTTTATCTGTGTTTGTTTTTGTTTCCTGTGCTTTTGAAGTCTTAGTGATAAAATTGTTGCCTTGACCAATGTTCAGAAGCGTTTCTGCTATGTTTTTTTCTAGTATTTTTATAGTTTAGGCATTATGTTTAAGTGTATAATCCATTTGGAGTTTATTTTTGTCTATGATGAGAAATAGGAATCTAGTTTCATTCTACTGCATTGGTATCCAGTTTTCCCAGCACCATTTTTCGAAGAGTATGTCCTTTCCCCAATATATGTTCTTGGAACCTTGGTTGAAAATCATTTGGCTGTAAAAATGTGAATTTATTTCTGGGTTCTCTAATCTCATAAATTGGTGTATGTGTCTGTTTTTATACCAATATCATGCTGTTTGGGTTACTGTAGTTTTGTAGTATATTTTGAAGGCAGGTGTTGTGAGGTCTCAGCTTTGTTCTTTTTGCTTAGGATTGCTTTGGCTATTTGAGATCTTTTGTGGTTTCATATGAATTTTAGAATTGTTTTTCCTGTGTCTATGAAAAATGTCATTGATGTTTTGATAGGGATTGCATTGAATCTGTAGATTGCTTTGGGTGATATGGTCATTTTAACAATATTATTTCTTCCAATTTATGAGAATGTATTTGTTTGTGTTTTCTCCAGTTTCTTTCATTAGTGTTTTGTAGTTTTCCTTCAACATCTTTCACCTCCATGGTTCAATTTATTTTTAGGTTTTTTGGTGTAGTTATTGTAAATGGGATTGCTTTCTTGATATCTTTTTCAATCAGTTTGTTCTTAGTGTATAGAAACACTACTAGTTTTTCTATGTTGATTTTGTATTCTAAAACTTTACTGAATTCATTTATCAGTTCTAAGAAGTTTTTGTGGAGTCTAGGTTTTTATATATACAAGATCATGACATCTGTAAATGGGGACACTTTTTCTTTCTCAATTTGGATGCCTTTTATTTTTCTCTTGCCTGATTGCTTTAGCTAAGACTTCCAGTACTATGTTGAATATGAGTTGTAAAATTGGGCATCCTTTTCTCATTCCAATTCTGAGAGAATAAATTTTGCTTTTCACCATTCAGTATGATGTTAGCTGTGGGTCTGTCATATGTGGCCTTTATTATGTTAAGGGTCATTTCTTCTATGCCTAGTTTGTTGAGAGTTTTTATCATGAAGGAATGTTGAATTTTATCAAATGCCTTTTCTGCATCTATTGAGATGAACATATGGTTTTTGTCTTTCATTTTTTTGATGTAACGTATCACATTTATTGATTTGCATAGGTTGAACCATCCCTGCATCCCGGGGATAAATCCCACTTGATCATGGTGTATTATCTTTTTGATGTGTTGTTGGATTCTATTTGCCTAGTATTTTATTGAGGATTTTTGATTCCATGTTCATCAGGGATATTGGCCTATATTTTTCTTTTTTTGTGTGTCCTTGTCTGGCTTTGGTATCAGGGTAATGTGAGCCTTGTAGAATTAGTTAGAGAGAATTTCCTCTCCTTTAATTTTTTTTGAATACTTTGAGAATTGGTGTTAGTTCTTAGTAAGTTTGGTAGAATTAAGCAGTAATTTTTTCTTTTGAGATGGAGTCTCGCTGTTGTCGCCCAGGCTGGAGTGCAATGGCACAATCTTGGCTCACTGCAACCTCCGCCTCCTGGGTTCAAGTGATTCTACTGCCTCAGCCCCCTGAGTAGCCTCCTGAGTAGGTGCCTGCTAACATGCTTGGCTAACTTTTGTATTTTTAGTAGAGATGGGGTTTCACCATGTTGGCCAGGCTAGTCTCGAACTCCTGACTTCAGGTGATCTGCCCACCTCAGCCTCCCAAAGTGCTGGGATTACAGGCGTGATTAGGACATTTTTTATGTCCTTGACTAATTCATAGACCCAATGGTCCTTCAGGAGCTATTTTTCCAAAGAAAATTTCCAAAGTTTCTCCTGTTATTGAATTCTAGTTTTATTCTGTTGTGGTTTGAGGAAACACTTGATATGATTTTGGTTTTTATTTTTATTTTTATTTTTTTGAAATTTTTATTGATCATTCTTGGGTGTTTCTCACAGAGGGGGATTTGGCAGGGTCATAGGACAATATTGGAGGGAAGGTCAGCAGATAAACAAGTGAACAAAGGTCTCTGGTTTTCCTAGGCAGAGGACCCTGCGGGCCTTCCGCAGTGTTTGTGTCCCTGGGTACTTGAGATTAGGGAGTGGTGATGATTCTTAACGAGCATGCTGCCTTCAAGCATCTGTTTAACAAAGCACATCTTGCACCGCCCTTAATCCATTTAAACCTGAGTGGACACAGCACATGTTTCAGAGAGCACAGGGTTGGGGGTAAGGTCACCGATCAACAGGATCCCAAGGCAGAATTTTTCTTAGTACAGAACAAAATGAAAAGTCTCCCATGTCTACCTCTTTCTACACAGACACCGCAACCATCCGATTTCTCAATCTTTTCCCCACCTTTCCCCCCTCTCTATTCCACAAAACCGCCATTGTCATCCCGGCCCGCTCTCAATGAGCTGTTGGGTTCACCTCCCAGACGGGGTGGTGGCCGGGCAGAGGGGCTCCTCACTTCCCAGTAGGGGCGGCCGGGAGAGGCGCCCCTCACCTCGCGGACAGGGGGGCTGGCCGGGCAGGGGACTGACCCCCCCACCTCCCTCCTGGACGGGGCGGCTGGCCGGGCAGAGGGGCTCCTCACCTCCCAGTAGGGGCGGCTGGGCAGAGGCGCCCCTCACCTCACAGACGGGGCGGCTGGCCGGGCGGGGGGCTGACCCCCCCACCTCCCTCCCGGACGGGGCGGCTGGCCGGGCGGGGGGCTGACCCCCCCACCTCCCACCCGGACGGGGTGGCTGGCCGGGCGGGGGACTGACCCCCTCACCTCCCTCCCGGACGGGGCGGCTGGCCGGGCAGAGGGGCTCCTCACTTCCCAGTAGGGGCGGCCGGGCAGAGGCGCCCCTCACCTCCCGGACGGGGCGGCTGGCCGGGTGGGGGGCTGACCCCCCACCTCCCTCCCGGACGGGGCGGCTGGCCGGGCAGAGGGGCTCCTCACCGGGCAGAGGGGCTCCTCACTTCCCAGTAGGGGCGGCCGGGCAGAGGCGCCCCTCACCTCCCGGACGGGGCGGCTGGCTGGGCGGGGGGCTGACCCCCTACCTCCCTCCCGGACGGGGCGGCTGGCTGGGCGGGGGGCTGACCCCCCCACCTCCCTCCCGGACGGGGTGGCTGGCCGGGCAGAGGGGCTCCTCACTTCCCAGTAGGGGCGGCCGGGCAGAGGCGCCCCTCACCTCCCGGATGGGGCGGCTGGCCGGGCGGGGGCTGACCCCCCCACCTCCCTCCCGGACGGGTGGCTGCTGGGCTGAGACGCTCCTCACTTCCCAGACGGGGTGGCTGCCGGGCGGAGGGGCTCCTCACTTCTCAGACGGGGCAGTTGCCGGGCAGAGGGTCTCCTCACTTCTCAGACGGGGCGGCCGGGCAGAGATGCTCCTCACCTCCCAGACCGGGTCGCGGCCAGGCAGAGGCGCTCCTCACATCCCAGACGGGGCGGCAGGGCAGAGGCGCTCCCCACATCTCAGACGATGGGCTGCCGGGCAGAGACGCTCCTCACTTCCTAGATGGGATGGCGGCCGGGAAGAGGCGCTCCTCACTTCCCAGACGGGGTGGCGGCCGGGCAGAGGCTGCAATCTCGGCACTTTGGGAGGCCAAGGCAGGCGGCTGGGAGGTGGAGGTTGTAGCGAGCCGAGATCACACCACTGCACTCCAGCCTGGGCACCATTGAGCACTGAGTGAACCAGACTCCGTCTGCAATCCCAGCACCTCGGGAGGCCGAGGCTGGCGGATCAGTCGCGGTTAGGAGCTGGAGACCAGCCCGGCCAACACAGCGAAACCCTGTCTCCACCAAAAAAGTACAAAAACCAGTCAGGCGTGGCGGCGTGCGCCTGCAATCTCAGGCACTCGGCAGGCTGAGGCAGGAGAATCAGGCAGGGAGGTTGCAGTGGGCCGAGATGGCAGCAGTACAGTCCAGCTTCGGCTCGGCATCAGAGGGAGACCATGTAAAGAGGGAGAGGGAGACCGTGGGGAGAGGGAGAGGGAGAGGGGGAGGGGGAGGGGGAGGGGGAGGGGGAGAGATGATTTTGGTTTTTAAAAATTAGTTGAGATGGCCAGGTGTGGTGGCTCATGCCTGTAATCCCAGCACTTTGGGAGGCTGAGGCGGGCAGTTCATGAGGTCAAGAGATCGAGACCATGCTGCCAACATGGTAAAATCCCATCTCTACAAAAATACAAAAATTAGCTGGGCATGGTGGCATGTGCCTGTAGTCCCAGCTGCTCAGGAGGCTGAGGCAGGAGAATCGCATGAACCAGGGAGGCAGAGGTTGCAGTGAGCTGAGATCGCGCCACTGCACTCCAGCCTGGTGACAGAGCAAGACTTTGTTTCAAAGAAAAAAAAATTAGTTGAGACTTGTTTTGTGGTCTAAAATATGGTCTATTTTGGAGACTATTCCATGTGCTGATGAGAAGAATGTATATTTTGCAGGTGTTGGATAAAATGTTCTGTAAATGTCTGTTAGGTCCATTTGGTCTAAAGTGCAGTTTAAAATCAGTGTTTCTTTGTTAATTTTCTGTCTAGATGATCTCTCCAATGCTGAGAAAGGGATACTGAAATCCCTAAATATTATTGTATTAGAGTCTATCTTTCCTTTTAGATTTAGTAATATTTGCTTTATTATATATCTGGATACTCTGGTGTTGGGTTCACATATATTTGGTATTTTTTAGATCTTCTTGCTGAATTGAGCCCTTTATTACATATAACAACTTTCTTTTTCTCTTTTTCTGGTTCTTAACATCTGTTTTATCTAAATACAGCTACTCTCACTTGCTTTTGATTTCAATTTGCATAGAATATCTTTTCCTATCCCTTCACTTTCAGTCTATATGTATCTTTATGGGTAAAGTTTGTTTGTTGTAAGCAGCATGTAGTTGGGTCATTTTTAAAAATCCTTTCAGCCTACACCATTCAAGTGGGGAATTTAATCCATTTACATTACATTCAAGGTTATTATTGATAGGTGAAGATTTATTCCTGTCATTTTGTTAACATTTTGTCATCCTGTTTTTTGGTTGTTTTTTATATTCTTTTTTCTTTTCTTTCTCTCTTATTGTTCATCATTGCAGTTTGGTGGTTTTCTGCAGTGGATATATCTGAGTCATAGCTCTTTCTCATTTGTGTGTCTGTTCTACCAATTAGTTTTATATTTTCACGTGTTTTCATGATGGTAGATATCATCCTTTCACTTCCAGATATACGATTCCCTTAAGCATTTCTTGTAGGGCTGGTGTAGAGGGGATAAATTCCTTTAGTTTTTGCTTATCTTGGAAAGACTATTTCTCTTTCATTTTTGAAGGATGGCTTTGCTGAATATAGTATTCTTGCCTGAAGTTTTTTTTTTTTTCTTTTAGTACTTAGAATATATCAGCCCCTTATCTCCTGGCCTTTAAGTTTTCTACTAAGAAATTCATTGTTAGTCTGATGGGGGTTTCCTTATATATGACTTGATGCTTTTCTCTTTCTTTTTAAAAAATTATCTCCCTGTCTTTGACTTTTGACTGTCTGCCTTTTTTGGGGTTGAATATCTTTTGGGATCTCTGAGCTTTCTGTATCTGATGTCTATATCTCGTGCAAGAATTGGGAAGTTTTCAGCTATTATTTTGTAAAATAGATTTTCAATGTCATTGCCCATGTCTTTTCCTTATAGAACACCAAAAATTTGAGTATTTGGTCACCTTGTGGTGTCCCATATGTCATGTAGGCATTCTTCCTTCATTTAAGTTCTTCTCTCTGTCTGTCTGTATCTCTGTCTTTCTCTCTCTGTCTGTCGCTTTTATGACTGAGTTATTTCAAAAGACCTGTATACAAGTTCAGAAATTCTTTCTAGTCTGCTGGTGAAGCTCTTGATTGTATTTTTTATTTCAATTATTGAATTATTCAAGTATAGGACTTCTGTTTGGTTCCTTTTAATGATATCATTCAGATATGAATTGTCCTGATTTCTTTGAATTGTTTATGTTCTATTGTATCTCTCTGAGTTTCTTTAATATCATTACTTTGAATTCTTTTTCAGAAATTTCATAGATTTCTTTTTCATTGGAATCTGTTGCTGGAGAATTATTATGTTCCTTTGGAGGTATCACGTTTCCTTGCTTTTTCATGTTTCTTGTGTCCTTACATTGCTATCTGAGCATCTGGTGAAAGAGTTGCTGTTTGTAATTTTATGGATTTGCTTTCATAGGGAAAAATTTTTTTCCTATAGCTGTATCAATAGTATTGGTTGGGTAGAGAGAGTGGTTAGGTTTTGATTCTGGCTGGACACAGTAGCATAGTCTCTGTATGATATATTTGGCTGTAATCAGCATTAGTAGTGTCTGTGAGTTCCTTGGTGGCTTAGGCTGCTGTTGTTAGTGGAAGCTGTGGTGAGATTTTGTGAAGGATGGGGACACCAGACAGGCTGGTTGTTGAGCCCCACTGGTGGTGGTGGCACCAGGCCTACTGTGTCAGTCCTTGGGCCCCCACATGCCCACCTGATGTACATAAGCACCAGTGGTAGTGGGGTTGGATGGGCCAATCCCTGGGCCTCCATGTGGCTTGCTTGGGTGCCAGCAGTGGCAGTGGTAGGCCAGGCAGGCAGACAGATCTTCTGGCCCTTGGGCAGCATGTGTGGTGCTGGTAATGGTAGTTGTGGCTGGTCAGCCCTCAGGACCCCAGGCAGCACACATGAGTGCTGGTGGTGGCTGTGATGGGCTGTGGCAGGCCAGTTCCCAGACTCCAGGTACTGTGTGCAGGTGGGTTCTGGTGGCAGTGATGATGGCAGGCTCATGCTCAGGCTTCCAGGAGGCAGGTGCAGATGCTGGTGGTGTTAGACTGGGCATGTTAATCACCAGGCTCCTGGATGATGTATGTGGGCACCAGCAGGCTGGGGGAGGCCTGTCCTCAGGACTCCAGAAAGTGTGAGTGGCTGCCAGAGGTGGTGGGCAAGACAGATCAATTCCCAGGCCCCCGCTTCATGTGTGCAGGCACTAGTGAGGGTGGTGCTATGTGTGGCAAGCCTGTCCTCAGGCCTCCCGATGTTGTGCATGAATGCTAGCTGTGGTAGGTGGGGCAAGTTGATCCCTAGGGCCCTGGACAATGCACTCAGGCAGTGCTAGTGACAGTGGTTGGTGGGGTGGACTGGTCCCCAGCCCCCCTAAAAGTACATGCAGGTGGGTGGCAGCCCTGATGCTGGAGGTGGGGGGCAGGTTAGAGTTGCTGTCAGTGACAGTGACCCCAAGTAATGGACTCTCAGGCTTTTGGGAGCACATGCTTTGGCTTCTTTTGTTCTGAGGGTAGCTTCCCCAGTGTGCTGCACCAGTTGTTCCCCCGGGTATAGACTGAGTGAGGTAGAGTGCTGGGGACACAGCCACACTGCTGGGTCCATCCAGCATTACAACACCACAGCCCTCTGAATGGATATTGGGTGATGTCCGCAGGGCTGCAGGAATGTGGAGAGCAGGGTCTGTTGGCCCCAGCACAGGATGTAGTCTTATGGAGGTGGGCTCTCAATATGGTCCTGTGCTGATGAGAGGGAGGGGGCGGGGACCCCACACACACTCCCTCTCTGGAGCAATGCCATCACACAGGCTCCAGAGAGCTCCCTATGCTAGTCTCAGGGCTGGCAAGGGTGGAGGGGCTGTCTTGTGGCTAGGATTATAGGAGTTCACAGTAGGAATATGAACCACTGGGGATCTCTCACTTAACTTTTCCTGGCACTGGGGAGTTTCTTCTTGCTCTGAGCCAATCCTGGCTGGGTCATCTGCTTTACCTCTCTCTCCTTCTCAGGGGTTCTCTGTCACTTCCCTGCTGAATTCCAGTGGTTTCTCTTCGATGCTCTATTCAACATGTGATTATCTACTTACTGTACTGGTCCTTTTAAGAGGAGGTGAGTGCCCCGTCCCTCTAGCCAGCCATCTTGAAGTCCCTCCCTCAGTGTATTCTATTTGAAGTTTTAAGTAGAGATTTTGGAGAAGTATGAATGACTTGTTTGCCAAAAATAGAAAGCAGTGGAAAGAGGTGCTTAAAGGAATATAAACAAAACCTGTTCTTTGCAGACTTTTGCTTCTGTTTGCAATTGGGCTTAGCTATAGACAGGTCTGACCACCCTAGAATAATTTGATGATGTGGTTTACCCTCCTTATCTTCACTGTTGTTCCCACTTTTCTGTAAAATATTATTTTTTAAAATAGAGGACATAGGCAGTAACAATTGATTATCTGGTTTACTGAATCGCTGGCTTTTGATAAAATCCAGGTGGCTGGACAGAGGCAAAAATCGGTTTCAAATTAATTGTTTCATTGTTGCCCTCTGCTGAGTCAGAGTTTGAAGGAGAAAAGTGAAATTCAGTGCTTCCCCTGACTAACACATTTGTTCTTAAATTAAGAACGTATTAACCTTTTTGAGGTCATCCAGCCTTATTCTTGATGTCCTCAGATTTTTCCCGTGGTCAAAGTACCTGATGAATCAGTGAAGCTCTTTGGCTCTTTACAATTCTTTTCTAAGGAAAGGAAAACCGGAAATTATTTGGAATAATGAAAAACTGTCTCTTGGGAGAATATGCTAACCTAGGTTAAATTTTAATGAGGGAGATAGGGAAGAATGGAGATGCTCTCACCTCCAAGTAATTTAAATTTAGCTCTCTTGAGACTATTGTATTTGGAGATAGGGAATAATGGAGATGCCCTCACCTCCAAATAATTAATTTAAATTTAGCTCTCTTGAGACTATTGTATTTGGAGATAGGGAATAATGGAGATGCCCTCACCTCCAAATAATTAATTTAAATTTAGCTCTCTTGAGACTATTATATTTGGAGATGGGGAAGAATGGAGATGCCCTCACCTCCAAGTAATTAATTTAAATTTAGCTCTCTTGAGACTATTGTATTTGTTCTCTTTCTAATCAGAGTTCGTGGTCCATATTTAACTCTTGTTTCTCTGCTTGACCTTTCTTTACCAATCTTTGCTTGGTCTGAATGAATTGGTTGATCAGTTATCCATTGCCACCAACCATCAGTGGCACACAGCAATAAGCATTTATTGCTCTTTCACCTGGGGTCAGCTGCTCTTGTCTGGGGTTGGCTGGCTGCTGGCTGATCTAGGCTGGTCTCAGCTAGAGCAGCTGAGGTGGCCCTCTCTGTTTCATGTGTTGCTCATTCTTCTTCTGGTTCCAGTAGGTGATACGGCTTGGCTGTGGGCCCACCCAAATCTCAACTTGAATTGTATCTCCCAGAATTCCCACGTGTTGTGGGAGGGACCCAGGGGGAGGTAATTAAATCATCAGGGCCGGTCTTTTCTGTGCTATTCTCGTGATAGTTAATAAGTCTCATGAGATCTGATGGGCTTATCAAGGTTTTCCACTTTTGCCTCTTACTCATTTTCTCTTGCTGCTGCCATGTAAGAAGTACTTTTCACCTCCTGCCATGATTCTGGGGCCTCCCCAGCCATGTGGAACTGTAAGTCCAATTAAACCTCTTTTTCTTCCCAGTCTCAGATATGTCTTTATCAGCAGTGTGAAAACTGACTAATATAGTAGGGTAGCCCATAAATGCTCTTTTCATGTCAAAGGTAGAAACACAAAAGAGTAGGTAGAAACTGGCACACCATCCTACCTGGCACACTATCACTTATGCCTCATTTATAGACCCAAAAAGGTCCCATGGGGCAGGGAAATATAGTCTTCCTATTTTGGGGGGACTCTAAAGTACCATGACAAGAGGCATGGATACAGGGAAGGGAGAAGTATGGGAGCCTTTATTGCCTCATCTACCACAATTGGCTCGAAGAAATTTGCCAGTATTGAAAATTAAATAAAATTTTCCTTCTTATAATTTATCTTTTTCAGAAAACCAGAACTGATGGCTCTATTTGCAGTCTTTCAGACAACATTCTTCTTAACATTGCTGTCCTTGAGGACTTACCAGAGTGAAGGTAAGAAGTGGAAGGAACAGTAAAGACAAAAATCACGTCGGGAACAAATGAAGTCATTGATGCTTTGGGAAAAAGTTAAACAGTTCTTTTTTCTTTGGGAATTACTTAAAATTCCTGAGTATCTCCCATGAGGAGATTTGTCAATCTCTCTAAGCAGTGGTTGCCTTAGTCTTGGCCTCTGTCATCTTGATGGCTCTCTTAATAAGCCACCCTTTGACCCTGACTTCCTGGTCAGTGCACTGGTCATTAGGGCAGTTGTAAATAGACCTAATCCCATAGAATTTCATGATGGATATATTTTATCAGACCATCATCGAAGTAGTTCTTTCTGTACCTTGCTGAGAAAAGACACTGGATATACCACACCAGTGCTGACCTCTAGGTTAGTACAAGTTTTTATGTCCCTCAACTATGTTCATTGAGAAGCTGTTAGCTTAGTAAAATATGAGTAAAAGCAATGAAAATATGAAACAATAGAAACTCTTTCAAGACTCTGAAAGACAATATGCTAAATGCTGAAATGTTTTATAAATAAATAATATTTGTCACTTAGCTACTCCCCAAGGGAAGATATTTTGAGATAAATTAACTTTATAAATAAGGTCAATAAGAATTTAATACCTCTAAAATATTTATTGATACTATATTACTTTGAACTTGTTTAGAAGTAGATCTTAGACTTGAGTTTCTATTGGTTCATAATTTTTTGTATCTTTCATCTGTATTTTACAAAGCTTTACATTTTCCTCTTCCTGTATTTATTCTTTGCTGTACTCCCCTTTTAAATGAGAGTACAGGTGTTTGCTCCTAGTAATTATCCATGCAGTTCCTGTCCACAGATTCATGAAAATGATCTTTGCGGGGAATATGCATAGAATTTCTCATCTTTCTTGAAACTCCATGAAAATATATTTGGAAAAAAAAAAGGAAACATTGTTCTGATAATTGCTCAATTCTCTGTCTGACATTCCTTTCATCTGGATTTATTTATTTTAGGTCCAGGGCACATGGGAAGACACTACTATGCTGTTTCTTTCAGCATCTTAAAAACCATAGTTTGATGTTAGTCTCTTCTAATCTGGGGCTGAAAGGTGGGAATTAGGATTTCTCATTTGTAGTATGTATACCTCTCGCTCACTCTGTCTTACTTGCTAAAATCTAAGCACAGTGCAACCAGACTGAGAGGTCAAACCATATAATAAGAATGATTTTCTTTTTTTTTTTTTTTTTTTGAGACAGAGTCCTGCTCTGTCACCCAGGCTGGAGTGCAGTGGCGCGATCTCGGCTCACTGCAACCTCTGCCTCCCAGGTTCAAGCAATTCTTCTGCCTCAGCCTCCTGAGTAGCTGGGATTACAGGCACACGCCACCACGCCCAGCTAATTTTTTTGTATTTTCAAACAGACCCACTGCCCCACCTCCAGGTGTAACCGAAATGCAGGTTCAGTTGCTTGCAGCTTGCAGAGTCCAATTAAAATGAGCAAGGTCTGGTATAAAAATAAAACCGACTTTTTATACCAAAGCTAACTTAGGGGAATAAGGACAAGCTTTCCTCCTTAAAGGGACTGCTTTGCTTTTGGAGTAGAAAGTGGGCACTTTTAAAGCAGGGGGCCTATGCAGTGGCAGAAGTGAGCAGGTAGGGGTCTGCATACTCACTTTGGTGCCTTATCTACTGGTTAGTTGAGTTGACATCTTCATGGGCAGAAATAGGCTGTAAGGTGGCTGAAAATTCTCCAGGTGGGAGAGAGTTTCACAGTGGGCATACTTTGGGTTGTAAATCAACTGTTACCTCTCAAGGCAGTCTCCTGGTGGGTGAGAGTTCCTCTCTGGAGCTTCTAAGCATATCATTATTAACAGATGAACTTGCCTTGTAGGGAGTGTCTGGTGAAGGGGAGATAAAAGGTTATAATTGCATTTCCAAAGGGCTAAGTAGGAAGTGGGGAACAGAGGGAATTGGGGAAAAGAGAAAATAATAAAACAATAGTAACTCATTCTCCTTTTCTTAGAAAAATGGGGTACTCGGTTACACAGGGTCTCCAGGAAATCCCAGGCATCTAACTCTAAGCTTTCAGCCCAGCTCATTCTCTAGTGAAGTTCCCTTTTCTGATCCAGCACTATTTACTATGTGCCTTCTACATACAAGCCACTCTATTCTCAGAGCAAGCTCTGCTGCTCATGCTTTCAGCTTCTTTTGTTTAGATCAGACATGCATTTCCCTGTTTTTCTATCAACCAATCTTCACTGCTGCTTCCAGCTTTCTCTGTCAAGCATGCCTTCTTTGGTAATTAATCCTGTCTTTGCCCTGACCTGTACTATTTGGATTTCTTGTCTCAATTTCTGCTGCATTTAACCAAGTACTTACTAAACTCCCACTCAAACTATTTGGCTTACCACTTAATCACCCAGCCAGATACAGATCTGAAGATTTATTCCAAATAACCTGGCTTAATTTCTCCAATCAACGAGGCAGAGCCAAGACTTTCTTCAGTTAACCCTGGGTACATGTTTCCATCAGCCAGAGATTATGACTGCAGCAATATTTTCCTCTGTCTGTTGTGTATATGTACATACAGATAGAGATAGGGAGATGAATACATAGTGTGTTTTTAAATAAAAGTTAAATTATAGTATATATATATGCTCAGGATTTTTTTATTACTTAAAACAATTACTACAACATATGATGAGTGTTTTTCTTTGATATTAAATGTTCTTCTAGAAACAACATTATTTTTAATTGCTGCATGATATCCCTTCTTATGAATGGACAATGGTTTATTTCCTTGAGTAGTGTTGTGGATGGTCAGAGAAACAGGGTGGGGAAAGTGGGAGGAGAGTATGTGATTAAGTCCTGGTCTGATTCCCAAACCTGGCCTTCTTGGCCATACTCCAGCATTATAAAAAGAGAGCTGGACAGAGACCCAGGAGCCCTAGGTTCTGGTCTGATTGTGCGGCTGTGGCAAAGTCACTTCCCATTTTTTAACCTCAATTTCCTCGTCTGAAAAATAATGGGATTGGATTTAATAATCTTTATGATTCTTTGATCCCACTGACTTAACCTTGGCATTTTCCACTATTTCCCAAGGAAGTCCTAGATTGCTTTTAACCAGATTATTTTTGACTGATGTCACTTGAGCACCTGAGTCATTCAGCACTCACTGATAGCGTATGTTAATATAAGGCGTTCTTCTTTTGTCTGGAGCTTCCAGAAGTAAAGTTTAGACTGATAGTTGACTCATGCATTCAGCAACCAATCGCTGAATACCATAACTGGTATGTTCTTAGTCTTGGTTTCTCTGAGCTGAGTAAGGCTGAGTCTCAACCTTGTTTCACTCACAGTCTACAGGGAGACAGACATAGAAACAGGCTCTTACAGCATGTTGCAATCAGTGCTCCAAACAAGGGCTTAGGAAATCTAAGGAGGAATTGCACATTCTGAGGTATGATTATAGTGGAGTGAATCAGATAGCTTAAGGAAGTATTTCTTTTATATTATAACTTATTATTTGATTTTCAAACTAATACATGTTTCTGAAGAACATTTACAAAATACCAAAAAGTATAAAGAAGAAAATTAAGATCACTCAACCTCATCTTCCAGAAATAATTACTGTTATAATGACTGTTAACATTTTATTTTTACTTCCCTTTATTTGTTTAAAAAAAATGTCCTTTAAAAATCATAAAATGGGGTACATGTTCCAATACATTTTTAAAAAGCGCATGGGAAAATCCAATAAAAATATATATGATTTAAATTTGGCAATAGAATGAAAAGAGTAGGATTATAGAAACTCAATTTCTGTGTTATGCCAGCATTTTTATCATGAGTAATTAGTGACATTGATTCATGATACTCATTTGGTGAGTAAATTAGCAATATTAGTACATTCACAATGTTATGCAACAATCACCCAATTCAGTTCCAAAACATTTTCATTACCCCAGAAAGGAAACCACTGCTTAAGCAGTTAGTCTTGATTCCCCTCTCTCTCAGCCCCTGGCAGCTACCAGTCTACTTTCTGTCTCTATGGTACTTATTATTCTGGCAATTTCATACAAATGGAATCACAGTATAAAACCTTTTGTATCTGGCTTCTTTCACTTAGCATGATGTTTGTGAGGTTAATCCAATTGTAGCATGTATCAGTATTCAGTTTCTTATGGCTGAGTAACAGTCCTTCGTGTGTGTATACCACAGTTTGTTCATCTGGTCATCCACTGATGAAAGTTTCAGTTGTTTCCACCTCTTGGCTATTGTGAATAACGCTGCTACAAATTTGTGGGCAATTATTTGTTTCAATTCCTGCTTTCAATTCTTTGGGATATCTACTTACAAATGGAATTGCTGGGTTATATGGTGATTCTATTTTAACTTTTTTGTTTTGAAGACAGGGTCTCACTCTGTCACTCAGGCCGGAGTTAACTTTTTGAAGAACTGTCAAAACGTTTTCAACAAGGTGGAGCCATTTTACATTCCTACCGGCAGTGTACAGGGGCTGTAATTTCTCCACATCCTCGCCAACACTTGTTATTTCCATTTTAAAAATTATTATAGCCATCTTCATGGGTGTGAAATGGTACCTCTTTGTGATTTTGACTTGAATTTCCTTAGTGACTAATGATATTGAACATCTTTTCATGTGCTTGTTAGCCATTTATATATCTTCCTTGGAGAAATGTTCATTCAAGTCTTTTGACTTATTTTATTTTATTCTATTTTATTTTATTTTATTGTGACAGGGTCTCACTCTGTTGCCCAGGTGGAGTGCAGTGGTGTGATCACGGTTCACTGCAGCCTCTGTCTCCCGGGCTCAAACCATCCTCCTATGTCAGCCTCTTGAGTAGCTGAGACTACACGTGCCATGACACCCAGCTACTTGTTGTATTTTTTTTGGTAGAGACAGGGTTTTTCCATGTTGCCGACTCTTTTGCCCATTTTTAAATTGAGTTCTTTGTCTTTTTGTTGCTGGTTTGTAAGAGTTCTTTATGTAGTATGGATACTGGAACCTTATCAGATATATGATTTGCAAATATTTTCTCACATTCTATATGTTGTCTTTTCACTTTTTTGTGATTGTTATTTGATGCACAAACTTGTTTATTTTATTGTCTATTTGTTGTTGTTGTTGTTGTTGCTCATACTCTGGATTCAGATCTAAGGACCCACTGCCAAACTCAGGGTCATGGAATTCACGCTGAGATTATAGTTATCACCCTAGCCCTTCCCAGCATCACATTTACAAAATATCACAAGGTAACTTTCAGGGAAGGTAGCCATTGTGGCTCCCTTTCCTTTTATGGGCATTCTTGTTCATCTCACTTTCATAGAATGAGTTTTCTGAGGTGTTCCTCCAAATTCTGAGGTTATGCCTCATTTGAATCTGAAGCTTTCTACTATGTGGACCAATCACAAGAAAAACATCATGTTTGTCTTGTATCCACCAGGAATGCTCCTCAGTTTATCTGGCTCCATGCAGAGCCCCATCCTGTCACCTGTGTCCTGACCATGGTAGGACTTTGTTGTTGGTGCCATGCAAAATACTTCTCAGACATTCCATTCCGTGCAAACTTTGACTGGGCCAATGCTCCTGTCTTAACAGTTGGAGGACAGTACAGGGGGACACAGGTGTTGGTATTAGAGAGATTCCTATTTAATTTCACATTGCTTTGTATATGTTATTTACCCTGATTGAGCTTGAGTTTCCTTATCTAAAAAATTGCTGTCTAACAGTTTTATAGTAGGCATTGCATGAGACAACATAAGTAAAGACCCTAGCACTGTGCATGGTAAATAACATGTGCTCAATTTCATTGTTGTTATTTTTACTTCCCTAAGAGAAAAATAGCATGTGCAGAATGGCAATTTGGGGACATTTTTTCAGTATTGGAGACTGTTTCCATTGTTTATTATCAAAATGAGATAATCTCTTACCATTTAAACGTAACGTTTGAGGGGTTCAAATGACAAGGGGAAATCCCCCTGAAACTAGAAAACTGAATGCTTAAAAGATGATATCTCTTACGCCATGAGTCATCAGATAGCAGCTGATTTTATCGATGCAGGCTTTATCTTTTCAATACCTTTGTACCACTCCCAGTTTACTTCTGATACCCTCACAGTTGAAATAGTTGAATCAGCAATACACAATTATTTTACAATCTATATGGTGTTTTCCTCCTCTTAAGTGGAAAGTCATGATTTGTTCTTCTTTAAGAATCAGCAGTGACTTAACTCACTTAGTCAGGACACATTCTCTCTCTAGTGGCAGATATATCTGCTTAAACCTCTGTGTGCAAGCCATTTGCAGTGGCGCCATTGGTGGTTTATGCAGTCAGCCTAAGAGATAGGCTGCTGCTTCCCAAGGCCACCAACTTCAGCAAATCTGTTTCATGTTTGAATTCCTATTCTTTTACAGACTGTGTCATACCACTAACTAGTCTAAAATTCCACTCTCTTGATTATTTCATATGAGTTCATCATGTCTCTCCAACTAGCTTCCTTCTTTGAGCTAGGAACCTTGTCACAATTATTTTATTTCACATCAAATACCTGGTATGTTGCTGGTCTCATCGAAAGAGTTCAGTGAATTCTTGCTAGTCTTTAAGTTAAATACATTGAGACACAAATGACCATGTCTACAGATAATACATGCTCCCACATTGTAGTCTTTTACCAAACTATAAAATATTGACTTTCAAAAAGGAAACTTTCATTTCTGATGTTCAGAAATGTAACATTTCCATCAAAAAGTCTTCTTTCTTTTTTTCAGCCTTGTTATAAATTTCCCAACCGGTTAGATTGTCCAATAAAGGATCCTTCTGTTTTGTTTACCTGTTTATCAATGTATGAGCTTGCTGTGTATTATTGAGCAAGTCATTTCATTCATCTAGATCTTAATTTCTGTGTCTGCTAAGTGATTTCTAAATTCTCTTCCAGATTTCCAAGGTGTCTGATTCTAGGATGCACATATGAGCAATATTTTCCAGAGCTAAATAATGATGATATTCAAGTTTAATTATTTCTGACTCTTCAATCATGCTCCTATTAAATATTATTTCATACTTCATTTTGATCTTTTCAGTCTTGGCTGAACGTTTACCATTGACTCCTGTATCACTTAAAGTTTCCACCAATTCTACGCGTCAGAGTTTGCACTTACAATGGACTGTCCACAACCTTCCTTATCATCAGGAATTGAAAATGGTATTTCAGATCCAGATCAGTAGGATTGAAACATCCAATGTCATCTGGGTGGTAAGTAATTTTTTTGGCTCAATATTTAAAAAATCATCTTTAAAAAAAGACACCTTGGTTTTCTTTTATAACATCTGAAAAATTCTCGTTTTGGAAATATATTAGCAGCTCAAAACAGTTTGTCTAAACAATTACATTTCTGCATTTTCTGTTAATGATCCAGGACAAAGTAACATGACAACTTTGGTTTGGTAGGTAGGATGGGATGCACTAAGAAAATAGATTTTCTCAGTTTTGCTCTGTCTTCTAAGAAGACTGTTGAGTCTGTCCTCGTGAATACTGAATTCCAGAGAGCCACGAAGATTAACCAATTCATTCCTCCTACCTCTTTCTTCTCCGTCCTCCAGAGATTTTCCTAAATAAGATGTAATAATTTGGCAACATTTTTCTTTCCAATGTAGCTTCCTGAGAGTTTCTTGGCCTATACCCAGCTGAAGTGCAGGGAAGAGTAAGTGCTAGCACTTAATGTTCCATCCAACAAGGAGCCATGTTGGAGAGTAACTTCCTGTGTCCTTTGTTGCCTTACATGTGGCTTTTTCCACAACAAATTAAATTAAGAAAATACTGACTTTCACACTCTTTTTGTCTTTGAATTCTTTGGGGTGGATTTTTCACTTAGTTCAAATGATTATTGGGTCAGTTTTGCCTGAGGTGTCCCCATCTAGTGCACTAGGACACATGAGTGGTTTATGATTTCCATTTCTCATCTGGGAACTCTAGTAATCTATATGCACATAATGTTCAGTCATTTTCACGGGATATTTAAGGACAGTGGAATGTTTTCTCATTAAAGGAACTGAAAATTTTCCTACAGGTAAGAGAAGCCTAGGACTGTGCTTGGGCCCTCTGTCAGCTCAACCAGGCTCCTGTCTTCACCCAGGTAGTGGAGGCTTTGGGTACACACATACAGCATGGTTAGTTCCTTTGGTAAGGCATACAAGTCACTAATTTTAACATCTTCAGTTACTTTCCATATTCATTATTGAAATTTGAGATCTGCGCAAGTTAAATAAAATTTTGACTCTGTCCACTTAGGATTCATACCTAGTCTATAATTCTACCTCTCAAAGGGCAGTTTCCCACAATGAGACTTATTTAGTATGATGATTTTCAACAACAGCAATACTTCTGTGTAGCTGTTTACTCCCTGCTATCAACACATCTTTCCACTATCTCACCTTATACTAGCAAGTCTGATTTTTGTATTTTTAATGGGTACACTTGTTGGTAATTTGGGCCCGGTAAAACATTGAAGCAAAGGTCATATTGAGACTAAGGATTATCTACAAAAAGAAAAATTGAGGTGGAAGTGCTGGAGGAATTGTGGAAAACTAGCACTTAGCACCGTTAGCAAAAATAACATTAACCATAGACTACATGGATCCTATTCTTTATTTTTCCAAAAGACAACTCATATCTATTATTATGTTACAAAAAATAATATTAGCCATACACCAAGTGGATTTTTTTATTTATTTTCCTAAAAAGCAGTTGTTCATATCTGTTTTCATATTTGATTCCCGTAAGAGTCCTCTTTTCAAGGGAAAGCAGCTAGTGTGGACTATTTCTGTAATCTTCTAGGGCTCAAGACCCTTCAGGGTAGAGTTTTGCCTTGTCTATCGTGTTGTCCTCACAACACCCAACCCAGCCTGACTACAACAGTGGAGAAACCACAGCACAGAGAGGTTTGTTGTGTTGCTCCAGGTGACAGAGGCAGGGTGGGATCATCCTTCACTCCTGTGCCCAGAAAGGGATGACAGTCACATGCAGCCCCCAGGCCATCGGTGGACACATGTCCTATGGAATAGATGATGCCTTGAGAAATGCTTGTCTGAATCACTCATGCCTGAAGTTGACGAGAACTATCCTCCTCCAGTTAAGGAGGAGGATGCTGCTTCTGTTTAGACCAAAATCTCCCTTATACAGGGAAGCTCCCTGTAGTGCAAGCCTGACAGGGCACTCTCATTCATGCTGGGGGCTGGGGGGAAGCTTCTGGACTCAATGTCTCGGACACCTCTGTTCCCAAACAAGTCAAAGGAAGAGCACTTGCAGCTGGACCAGAGGCACCGACCTGTCTCCTGGATGGTACTGGCCATTTGGAACCCTGAACTGCATGGTCCTGCCCTCCTGGGTCATGGTCCTCCCCTTCCCTTTGCTTTTTGATTTTGTCAATGGCATAGGAAGGCAAAGTAGAGTAAGAGCTCAAGCTTGGAAGGAGGCCAGGTGTGGGAGTCAAATGTCTCAGTAACAAATCAGTGACCTCTATTAGACTTCTGTGTAAATGTGTGTGCCAATTTCTTGTGACTTACTGATGTCTGCAAGGATCAAATTAAACCTGCCACTTCAATAAATGAAATGACCCAAAGACAATTCATCATATTTAAAGAAAAAAAATCAATGAATTGCAGTACTTAAGGAAAAGTTTTATCTCCTACATTAACAGGGCTGTAAAGACCACAAAGCAGAAGTTGAGGTTAAACAGGTTCCACACATAAATAGTGTCTGGGGGAAATACAACTCATTGCATATTAATGAAATGATTAAATCATTCAGTCCAGAGTTTTAGCCTGTGCTCCCAGATCAGGCATTGTGCGCAGTGTGGGAATGTCAGCGCTGAGCACACTGGAAAGAATGAGGAGGTGAACACACGCATAGGGTATTCTACACACGGGCTGTGTGTGCAGGTCACTGATGAGATGCTATGAGGTTCGGGTTAGGCCTCACCTTCTCCCACAATTTGGATAAAGGGCTGTTTGAGACCAAATATCCAAGAGGATAGAAGTTACTTTAGCAAGTAGAGTAGAAAAGAGTGCTCTGAGCAGGCCCAACAGGCATGAGCAGAGGCGCTGAGAGAAGGGAATTTCCAGGCCTGAAAGCCCGCTGTGGTGCTGGATCCCCAAGCACATGAGGACAGGGGCACAGGCCTAGATGCACAGGACCATGGAGTGCATGCTCAGGTTTTGTTTTTTTATCCCAAGGGCAATAAGAACAAAGGAAGTGGCAAGCTCTGATTTGAATAGCCGCACAGCGGAATGTGGTGGGGAACTGGGGCAAGGGATGTGTGGCCGCTAGGAAGCGAGCTGTAGGGTTCAGCCAAAGCGGAGATGCGGGTAAGAGAAGTGGCTGCATTTAAGGGACAGAAGGGAGGTAAAGTTCAGTCTGTGACTTGTTGGCATTAGAGCGAAGTTGCCATTATTGATGTACTTCCTTCTAGCAGGGGTCTGGGGGAAGAGAGGAAATATTTGCTCCTTTTTTTTTTTTTTTTTTTGAGATGGAGTCTCACTCTGTTGCCCAGGGTGGAGTGCAGTGGCGCAATCCCAGCTCACTGCAACCTCCGTCTTCCGGGTTCTAGCGATTCTTCTGCCTCAGCATCTTGAGTTGCTGGGATTACAGGCACGCACTACCACATCCGGCTAATTTTTGTATTTTTAGTAGAAATGGGGTTTCACCATGTTGGTCAGACCGGTCTCAAACTCCTGACCTCATGATCTGCCTGCCTTGGCCTCCCAAAGTCCTGGGATATTTGCTCTTAAATTTTAAAAATATTTAAGCAAAATGTACTTGACATTGCTCATGTTAAATAGTGAGGGTTTCATGGATCAGGACCTCACAACTTGTTAAGGAACATATTTTGTGATCTAGGAGTAAAGTAATGCAAGAAATGGAAATAAAATATAAACATTTAAAAAAACACAGTCTGCAGAGAGTGAGAAAGGAAGCCCACAATTAAATGCCCCCTGGGTGGACCAGGATGTTTTCAGCCCAGGGCTGGGTTTAATTCTGTCAGGGGCACTGTTTCAAGTTTGTGACCTGAATAGGGGGCAGACATAATTAGTAGAAGGCATCCGAGTTGCTAACGCCAAGCAGTGTGTGACATGTGACTTGTCCCATCCCCTTCACTGAGGACTTATTATTCGCCCTTAGAAACATGGATGCAGACTCGAACTCAGGTTCCCCCAGTAAGTGTCATGTGTGTGTTGTCTCCACCTTGCAGCTGTGGGGCAGGAAACAGGAGCGTTGGAGGAGGCACACTGAGGAGAAAGCATGCCTGGAGCTTTGGGGGACATGAAGAAGAGAACGTGGTTCCTGCTCCCTCGGGACCATGCTAGAGTCACAGCTGATATACCAACAGCTAGCCGCAGTATATAGGAGGGGCTCAGAAGGGGTGGAGACAAGAGGAATGCAGAGGAAAGAGCAAGAAAGCCTTCATGAAAGAGAAGGGACATAACCTAGGCTTGAAGAACAGGACAGATCCCCATACAGCAGGGAGTGGAAGACACCAAACCAAAGACATTGCCTGAGCAAAGACAGGTCTGAAAGCATAAGGCATATCCAGAAGTGTGGGGGAGGTGCTATGTTTGGAGAGACGATTCCTGCAAGGGACTGGTGGGTTGGAGCCAGATTATAGAAGGCCTTGCATGACAGGGCAAGGTGTAAACGGGCCTTTGAAGCCTGTGGAATTAGAGAATGGAAATGCCAGCATCTCAGAAAGATGAAGGCTAAAGGCTGTGTCAAAAGCCCAAATTACAGCTCAACTTAGACAAGCTTCCTAGAAAACAGTGTAAGACATTTTGTGTCACTGACAGCTTCAGGGCCTAAGAGTCTGACAGATGGAGCCCAAGAGATGGAGTGTGGCCATGTGGCCACCGTATCTGAAAGGACAAGAGACAGAAAACCAGGGGAGACTCAGAGAGCCATCTATCAACTTCCGAGAGAAAATGGAACTTCTGGTGTGCCATGAAAGACTGCTTTCTTGACTGAGATTTGACCATCCTAATCCAAACCTTGCTAAAGATGAATATTTTTTAAAAACAAACAATCTTTTTTTTTTTTTAAAGGATGACTGTGTTAATTCTCTACTTTTCAAGAACTTTCTTAGCAGATTCTCTGGGACTGGCACAGTGAGCACCTTCTGTCTCTGATCTGTTCCCCCAAGACCTGAGTAGCTTCTGTTTTCTCTCCCGCTTATTCCACATGAGTCCCCGGGAATTGGAAGACCATAGTGATTGGAAGCTGAGTTTTCAAAAGGCAGGAGGTCATAGCTGGCTCCCATGCGAGGCATCAGAACATGGGGAATTGACTAGCAGAAGTGGAATTCACTGGCACATATCGTGGACCTGCAATGGGGTCTTAGGTTTGTGCTTTGGGATAAGTCAAGTCAAGCTATTTTATAGGACAAGATGGCTATGTGTCTCCAATTGTTTTCTCTTTGCTTTTAGGGGAATTACAGCACCACTGTGAAGTGGAACCAGGTTCTGCATTGGAGCTGGGAATCTGAGCTCCCTTTGGAATGTGCCACACACTTTGTAAGAATAAAGAGTTTGGTGGACGATGCCAAGTTCCCTGAGCCAAATTTCTGGAGCAACTGGAGTTCCTGGGAGGAAGTCAGTGGTAAGAAGTGAGGTGGTTACAAGAGTGAAAAGGGTTAATATATTTTTTAATGAGGAGCAATAGTCAAATAGTGGAAATCTCCTTTGAGGAACCCTGGGTAGACACTGACATTATTTTCCTTTGGCTCCTATGGGAACTAAAAAACACAGGTGTGAAACTTGGCACTGGAAGATATAGTCTGAAGTCTTGCTCCTGAACTTACTCATTGAGATAGTTGTGCAGATTCAGGCAATTTTGTATTTGTTTTCAAAACATGTAAAGTTTGTGTATTATAAATGCTAAGTGAACAAAGCAAGACATAAATTGTACATATGTATTTATTTGAGCAACACAAAATGTGTATGCGTCTAGAGTAGAGGTTGGGAACATTTTTCTGTGAAAGGCCAGATAAGAGATAGTATAAGCTTTTCAGAGCATACAGTCGCTGTTGTGACTATTCAACTCTGCTACTGTAGTGTGAGAGCAGCCATAGATAGTGTGTAAACCAATGAGACAGCTTTGTTGATAGAAATTTATTTACAGAAACAGGGCCAGGCATGGTGGCTCACTCCTGTAATCTCAGCACTTTGGGAGGCCAAGGCGGGTGGATCACTTGAGGTCAGGAGTTCAAGACCAGCCTGGGAAACATGGTGAAATCCTGTCTCTACTAAAAATATAAAAATTAGCTGGGCATGGTGACGGGCACCTGTAGTCCCAGCTATTCTGGAGGCTGAGGCAGGAGAATCGCTTGAACCCAGGAGGCAGAGGTTGCAGTGAGCCTAGATTACACCACTGTACTCCAGCCTGGGCCACAGGGCAAGATTCTGTCTCTCACACACACACCAAAAAAACAACAGATGGTGGACTCAAATTGTAGCTCCCCCGAATCTAGACGGCGGGGTGGGGGGAAGGGGGGTGGAATATGGAAAAATGAAAGTGGTGTGTTATTTGAAAAATGAGATTATTTGCGCACGTTAAACTAATAATACTAATGAGATAATAATAATTGAATTAAATCTATGACCTAGTCACTTTTTAAAGTACTATACATATTTAGTTCTCATGTCAGTCCTATAAAAGGACTTCTTATCCTCGCTTCACAGATAAGGAAACTGAGGCACTGAGAGGTTAAAGAAGCCATGCAAGGTCACCACGCCACTAAGTGCTGGAGCTGGAACTCCAACCCAGACAGTCTGGCTCCAGAGGTCATGTGCTTAACTATTACATCCTACTATGGAAAGAAGGACACATACACAGGGAAAGAAAAGATATTAAAAAGATAGTAAGAGGTTGGGTGTGGTGGCTCACATCTGTAATTCTAGTACTTTGGGAGGCTGAGGTGGGCGGATTGCCTGAGCTCAGGAGTTTGAGACCAGCCTGCACAACATGGCGAAGCCCCAGCTCTACTAAAAATACAAAAAATCAGCTGGGTGTGGTGGCACATGCCTGTAGTCCCAGCTACTCAGGAGGCTGAGGCACAAGAATTGCTTGAAGGTTGGATTTTTTAAAAACTTTTAAAAATGAATGTTTTAAAGACCCCTCACACTTGAGGGACTCGCATTTCTGAGAAGGTAGGGAGAGATATGATCTCCAGTACAATGAAGAGATTACGAGGGATTTTGGAGATGCATAGACCTTGCCAGTCTGAATGTGGCTTTGCCACTTTCTAACTGAGCAAACTTTGGCTAAGTCTTACCTGACCTGTTGTTGTAAGGTACTAAGAACGACATGAGATAATGTACATAAACACTTAACATGGCCTTCAGCAGGGCTGGGACTTGATAGAAAGCAGTTACAATAACCCAGCAATAGCAATCATGCAATTATCAGAGTGGTAATAGTAATGTGCTGTCTGTGGCAGTAAGAGCAACAGCAGTGGTATCAGTGTAACAATAGGAGCAGTGGTGGAAAGGATTGTCTTGCATGCACCAGAGGGTAGAGGTTTGGCAGAGAAATTTAGGTTGCTATTTTCTCCAGGAGGTAGAAAAAGCTAAAGTTATCTGCTGAAGGCAAATGGATAACTTGTTTTAAGAGGCTTGAATTTTGAGTGCGATTCTAACTTGGCTATTTTTTTTTCTTGCAGTACAAGATTCTACTGGACAGGATATATTGTTCGTTTTCCCTAAAGATAAGCTGGTGGAAGAAGGCACCAATGTTACCATTTGTTACGTTTCTAGGAACATTCAAAATAATGTATCCTGTTATTTGGAAGGGAAACAGATTCATGGAGAACAACTTGATCCACATGTAACTGCATTCAACTTGAATAGTGTGCCTTTCATTAGGAATAAAGGGACAAATATCTATTGTGAGGCAAGTCAAGGAAATGTCAGTGAAGGCATGAAAGGCATCGTTCTTTTTGTCTCAAGTAAGTGTGCAAATTCTCTGTGGCCCTTTCTTCTCATTTCCTGAGGAATAGATTAAATCTCCTTTACTAGAAGACAAATAAACATTTCTACCCATGATCTTGATTTTCTTTTGTTTCCCAAGTTTTCTAGGAGAGGCTCTGAAGTCGATGTCCTTTAGTAATATTTCCAGGATTTCCTGTTGTTTTCTTGTCCTTACTGAGAGTTGTATTCCTAGAAATCAATAGTATTAAAGAAGACACAGTTCAGGTCATGACCTGGACCACTGGGAAAATACCCTTTTTTGCCCAGCCATGCTGGAATTACTTCGGGATCATGGAGGGAGGGTAGGAGCTACAGATTGGACAACCATGGAGTCAGCCAGGATTGTGGCCTAGGAGACCTGGGTTTGAATCTTCTTTCCCTGGCTGGGTGTGTCATCTCGCCAAGTTTCCTAGCCTCTCTGAGCCAGTTTCCTCCTTTGTAAAATGGGGACAGTGATGGTGATTGTGAGGATTAATGAATGTGGGTAGTGCCTAGCCCCAGTAATAGCTGCATGCAGTAGGAGATCAGCAAATGGAGGCCATTACTGTTCTTAACTGTGCAGTAAATTGGTTCCATCGGATACATTAGTGGAGTGGGAACATTTTTTTATATAGGTTTGTGTGTGCACAACTAGTGGCCTCCTGTATTTTGAGCATCTCCTTCCCTTGCACAGTAGGGAACATCTCCCTCCCTGCCTCCCTTGCCAAAGTCAGTCTCCAGTCTCCTGGATGCCTGGTTCATCTATGTCCCCTTAGCATGACCACTAAGGGCAGCAGTAACGCTGGGGATTTGGAGGTGCTTTGCCATTCCCTGAACACTCAGCTCCTGCCTGTTGAATTTAGCAGGTGTACAAATCTGACTGATTTCCTTGCATCCCCGAAGCATTCTGTGAGCCACAGCACCCGAAATGAAACATTGGCAGGCACTGGGGATACAACCCTTGTCAAATGGACATAGCATCAGCCACTTGCATAACATGGACCATCCATGCCCATGACATCTCAGAAAATCACAAGGGCAGGAAGGAGAAGGGGCCAAGATGAGGTGACCCCTGAAAAGTGACTTTTGGAGGCTGTTGATAGGTAGCCTTCCACCTCAGTGACCCCTTCCTTGTTCACAGTAACTCTGTGGCTTCAGACTCTAAACAGAGCTTTCCATTTGGCTTATCTTCCAATAAAAAGATTTAACTAGGTCTGTTTTCCTTTGTATGGACAGAAGTACTTGAGGAGCCCAAGGACTTTTCTTGTGAAACCGAGGACTTCAAGACTTTGCACTGTACTTGGGATCCTGGGACGGACACTGCCTTGGGGTGGTCTAAACAACCTTCCCAAAGCTACACTTTATTTGAATCGTAAGTTGGCTCTGGTTACATTATTGACAACTTCTTCCTTGCTTGAGGTGCTTGTGACAACATGGCAAAAATCTACACTTAGATGTTGCAGGAAATTTGAACAAATATTTCAGAACCACCTGCCAAGGTCAAGAGGAAACCTTTAAGTGGTGACAAGTGTCTAATACTTTCTACCTGAGGTTTTTAAAAAAGGAACATTTAGCATAGCATGGTAAGAAAGACAGTTAATGTATACCTTGACGTGAAAATAGTCCTGTCTGATAATCTGGGTTTACCCAATTTCTGACTTTTTAGGAATATTCCAAGTAAATTAAGGGATGTTCTTGCCACCCACGGGGAGTCAGTGATTCATGTTAAGACATTTCAGCACGTATGTCAAATTTGTAGAAACAATATTTTCGTTATTGGTATTTGTTGGTGATGGATGGATCAATGCCATTATGGGGAACATAGTTTGACAGTCACTGAGTATGCCCTGAGGGATAAGGGATACATTTGCTTTGACAAAAGTAAAAACCTCGTAATGGTTGTGTTATTTTGTTTTGTTTTTAAAGATTTTCTGGGGAAAAGAAACTTTGTACACACAAAAACTGGTGTAATTGGCAAATAACTCAAGACTCACAAGAAACCTATAACTTCACACTCATAGCTGAAAATTACTTAAGGAAGAGAAGTGTCAATATCCTTTTTAACCTGACTCATCGAGGTGAGACTAGAGTTGTCACAGCCCACCGTGGCCACTAACGTGTCTTTGTTTCACAGACTGTGTGATCAAGTAAATGTGCTGTAGATCTTTGCCTCATTCACAGCGGAGGTGAGAGTTAGAATTTATACCTATTGTTCATGCCACGTTTCTCCTCATGGATGCACGCATCCCCTATTATTTGTTTCTTTTAATAATGTCACGAGCACCAATGAGCTTACTACCCAACTTCAAAACTAGGACTCTAACAATAACTTCTGTCATATCTCATCCTGTAACGCCCCCACCTTCGCTCCTTCCGCCAAGATAATTATCACTTTAAATTGTGTGCGTGTGTATTCTCATTTCTTATGTGATGGTAAAAATGCCTTTATTTTGTTTGGTTTTAATGCATAGAAAGGACATCAAGCTGTATGTAATAATTCAGTAATTATGTTTATATAATATTAAATTGCTAATATTTGCCCATATTGTTTAGTGTTGCTGTAGTCCATTCACTTTTACTGCTGCGTAGTATTTCATTGTGTAAATATTAAATATTTTATTCATGCATCCCCTTTGATGGATTTGCAGGTTGTATCAAAGTTTTTGCTCTTGGGTACATGTTAATATGAACATTTTTATACATGTGTCTAGTACACATCTACAATTGTTTTTCTTGCATATATACTTAAGAGTTGGATCAGATGTAGAATATGTTCAACTTACAGGATAAGGTCAAGTTGTTTTTCAAAGGAGTAATACCAATTATACTCCCACCCTGTAGATTCATATATTCTTACCAAGTTGGTATTGGCACTTTTTTGTATTATTGCCAATTAAATGGCTATAAAATGGTATTTCATGATAGTCTTGAGATTGAATCTCATGAGTATTTTGGCCACATCTGTTTTCTCTTTTATGAAAAGCTTATGCAATTTGCACATTTTTTGTTGGTAAGAATATTCATATATTCTTGATACTGATTGTTGTCCATTTCTTTACTACTAATACCTTCTCCCAATTTGTAACTCACTTTCTTTTATATGTCTATTGATTAACAAAAGTTTATCATTTTTAAAGCAGATAATTTTATAAAAATATTTTAAAGGTATCATTTCCTACCCCAAGATCAGAAGGACAGTCACCTATAAGTTTTTAGCAAGAAGTTTAAAGGTTTTTAAGAAGACAAATTCCAAATCCATCTGGGATTGATTTTTTTATATTAAGTGAGATAGGGTTATGACACTGATTTTTTCTGTTTGGTAACCATTTTTCCATATCTGTTTATCAAATAACTCTTCCCTCCCTATGATCTGACATGCCACCTCTTTCACTATTATGAAAGTGTAAGAGAGTTCTGGATTCTTAATTCCACTGGTTGGTCTGTTTATTCCTGCACTAGTATTACACTAACTTTTAAAGTTTCAGATGAGTCTTGACATCGGGTAGGATAAGTCTCTCACCCTATTCTTTTTCAGAAATATCCTCACTATTCTTGGTGCCATACTCTTTTATGTAAAACTGATAATTAATTTACCAAATTCTATGAAAACCCCTCCTGGGCTTTTCATGGGATTTGCACTTAATCTATAAATGCAACTTGGAGAGATCAAAATCTCTATGTTACTAAATCTTCCTGTGCGTGGACATAGTATATTTTTATATTTCTTTAGGCCTCTGTTAAAATCATTTCATAAAGTTTTAAATTTTTCCCTTGTATACTTCTTGCATATTTTTTGTGCTACTGATACGGCTCCAATGACTGGAGGAACATCAGGGTTCTTCGTTTCGCGCCGGTTTGGATAAAACGACACAGACACACGTGGAGTGGTTTTAAGGAGTGAAAAGTTTAGTAGGCAAGAAAGAAGGAAGGAGGAAGGAAACAGCTCCTCCATGCGAGACAGACGGAGGAGGGATTTGAACAAAGAGAAAACCCCATGTGCAGCAGAATAGTGGCTGCTTATAAGAGGAAGCTGGAGGAGTTGGTTTCTGATTTGCATAGGGCTGAGGGGATTGGTTTGACCAGGCATGTCATTCACATAGCACAGGGAAAAACTGGCCCTCCCGCCCTAGCCTTTTAATATGCAAATGCAGGGCACCTTGATGTTCTGCACACGTGGGGATATGTGGGGGCTGCCATGTTGCTAGGCACATGTTGGGGCAAGGAAGAAGGCGGCCCGAATTGCCATGTTTGGGTGGACCCAGTTTGTTTCTAATGGCCAGCATTTGCACACTGAAGTTTGGGTGGGGTGGCGGGGGTGGGGTCGAGGGAGAGGTTCTAAGAGCCAGGGCCTTTCTGCAAGACAGGAAACATTTCTGGAGCTGCTTTAAAAGAAACAAAAACTTCCCAAGGACCCCTTTTAACTCCTATAACACTATAGGCACTTAAAAATTTCCTGAAAACAGTTAAAATCATTGTTAGCATATATCCTTCCCTCTTTTCTTTCTCCATTTTGAAATTTTTAAATTTTAACTCCTTTCTCATTTAAAAATAATTGTACTATATCATCATTGTCAGAGCACATAGATATTACCTGTTACATCATCTCCCTTTTAAATCTTGCTGCATCTCGTAAGTCCACAAGTATATATGTTTAATGTTCACCATTAGAGCTTATGCAAATATTTCTCTGGTCATTTTGATTATCTGAAATTTATTCCCTAGTACCTTCTTCAGAAAATGTTTATGGGAACAACAGTCCCCTGAATTTTTGAATGTCAATGAAAGTTTTACTCTGGTCGTTGTATTTAATGGTCAGTTTGAATAGATATAAAATTTTTAGCTTATATTTTCTTCCTTGAGTATCGTGAATTTTATTGTTGCATTTTTTTTTCTGACATACAGCAAGGCTGATGAAAAGCCTAGTAGTAATGATAATCTATTTTTTTCCCCATTAGAAGTCACTTGGTTTTTTTGCCTAGATGCCCAGAGGATTTTTTTCTTTTTCTTTAAAACCTTTGTCTTGGTGTTGGCTATTCTAGGTTGATGTGTTCAGTAATATGGTACATTCTTTCAATATGTAGTATCAAATATTTTTTTAATTCAGGAAGTTTTTTGAATTATAGTTTTTGGTATTTGTTTGGCCGCCTTCCCTTGGTGTTCTTTTCCAGGAATTCCTGCTAACTCTAGATTGAATCTTTTTTCTGATCTTTAATATTTGTCGCTTTCTCTTGAATTACTTTTATCCCTTCATTTATTTTATTTTAAACAATTTTTTCTCCCTTTACCTCCTATTTGCTTAAGAAATTATCTGTTGTGTTTTTTTGCTCTGGTAACTACTTCCAGTTTAACGTCTTCAATTTTGAATTTATTTTTTGTTTTATATCTATTTCTTTCCTGAGTTCTGTTACCTCATCCATGATGTTTGCTAAATCTGATTTATATTGTTCTCTAATATCTTTTATCACTTTTACAATGTCTTTTAGTCTATTTTGAAGTAATTGTCTTATCATCATATTCATTTCTGCTGTATCTGTGGTTGTATCTTCTTTTCCATTCACAATATTATCTATATGTGCCTTTGCTCTTATTATTTGGTAATCTTGCTAGAAGTTTAACTACTTTGATTTCTTTTTGAAAAGAAACCAATTTTGCTTTGAAAATTAATTCTTTTTATTGTGTTTTGTTGTTGTTGAATTTCCACTGTAATTTTTATTACCTGTTTTCTTCTACTTTCTTGGATTTTTTTCTGTTGTTCCTTTTACTTTCATAAGTTGGATATTAGTTCACAAATAAAATATTTAAAGCTACACATTTCCATTGAAATGCCAGTTTTATGGCATCCACAACAGTCCAATAAGTTTTAACTTAACATTGCAGTGCTTTCGTTATAACAAACTATATATGATACCATTTCTAATCCATGAATTAATTTGTGTTTCAAATTTTCTAAAATGAAATTTTATTTTTTTGTTATTAATTTTTAACAAAAATTCACTGTGGTCGTAGAAGGTGTCTATGTGATACGTGTTCATTGAAATTGTTGAGGTTTGTTTTATGGGCTTGTACCTTGCTGAAAGTGTGGTCTATGGACCAGAAGCATCAGTATCACGTAGGAGCTTTGTAGAAGTGCAGAATCGCAGGCCCCGCCTCAGTCCTACTGAACCTGGCAAATATACTGAACCTGAGTCTGTATTTTAACAAGGTCATCATGCATGGCAGACAAAGCAAAATTTTTATGCCAGGCAGAAATAACTTATATTATTGCTCTGAACTCAAGATTTTGACTTGTTAATCTGAGAGCCTAAATTTTTATAAACATTTATCTAGTTCTTTTCTTTTTAGATTTTCAGTCTTTTAATTAGCTATTATATCACCCTAAGCAACTGCTAGCAAGGCAAACCTAATTTTACATTTCTGAAAGGATGACTCTTAGGTGTACAAGGCTAGGTTGTTGGTTGCCACAGAGCTGTTGTAATTTGAAAGCCCCCTCTTTTTTTTTTTTTTGTCTTATCTTGGCTGAAATGCCTTAAGAAAAACTTCTGATTGACTTTTGAAATTAGCAACAGTAGAATATCTTAACTCAAGTGAAAAAGTCAATAGATTCAGAGTAAGCAGAGAAGAAGAAGAAAAGAAAAAAGAGATAAAGAAGTTGGGAGCCTCTATATACCAGCATTTAAAAAAATTCTATAGTTGTAGTTTCTTAATTTGGTACCGAGAAAAACAAGCCTGGGGACGTTGAATGATTCTTAAGATGACTATTGACTGAAAACTGTGCACAAGGAAGAGCCATGTAGCCAGGCAGAATACTTGGCATGCCCGAATACTGGGGGAATCCCATTCTATTTGCTCTTAATCTCTCCAGACCAAATGAATCCTATAAATCCTGTCAGGGAATGACAGGGATTTAGACCAGTGTTTTAGATGGTGATTAGCCACCTTAGTGGATTTTAATTGGCCATCGCGTGGCCACTATTTACAATATCTTTGTTCTCAGAAGACATTGAAAAGCAAGCAAGAGAAAAAGAGCCAAATTATTTACAGATGCACATAACCAAATCAAAATGAAACCAAGGTCAGAGTACTTGCAAAAATTTTAACTCAGATGTGCAGAGCAAACAGAATATTAAATCAGGTGTGCAGACCAAACAGTCTGATTTTGTAGAAATCAGGAAGGAGGCAAGGTGCTCCCAGGAAGGATGCAAGGTCCTTTCTTAAGATGGCTTTGTTTCTAGTTCAAGAGGACTGACTAGACGCAGCTAGTGTGCGCTGCTCTCACAGAGAGGAAACAAAATGGTCTATAAATACTAGCTCTTTAAGTGGATTGTCTGAGACCTCACATCAGGATTTACAAAGGAGGCAGCAGGCCCCATGGAGAACAGAGATGAGCAAAGCCCAGGCAGCTCCTACTGGGACTGGTGTGGAGCCAGGGGAGGCTCCCTAATGTGGGGAAAGGGTGAACAAGTGAGAGTTTTGGGGGAATCCACACTTACACCATGGACCTTTGTAATCCTGGGCACATGAGAACCCACCTGCCCCTGCCCCAGGCCTCTGGACTAACAGAGAACTGCCTGGAGTCTTTAGAGAGGTACCATTCAAGACCACATGGAGCTCCACAGGCCTTGGATCCCTGAGCAACCTGGTGCTAGCTGCTGTAGCCCCAATAGCGGCCATTGCCACGGTGCGGAGGAGTGGCCAGACTGTCCCACTGCTCCTCACTAAGACTCATTGGTTTGGGCTTCTAGTGCAGCAACCGCACCCCTGCCTGAACACTATGGCCAGTGTGGCTCTGCGTTCCTCCAGGAAGCACCCAGACTGCAGATCACATGATCCCCCACCCCTGCCGCCCTTCTCCGGGCAAGGCTCATGGCTTGGGCTCCAGCACAATAACCACACCCTCACCTGAACACTGTGGGCAGTCATGGCTCTGAGTTCCTCTGGGGAAAAACTCCCAGAGGTAGTAAGGTGTGGCACCCGTGCGTGCCCCCAAAAGTGAAGTCCAGCATCAGTTGGATGGGAGGAAGCAGGAGCATGTCATGCACCCCACAGCTGTGTGTCTTCATTGCTTCAGCTGAGAAATCCTGCCCTCCCTGGTGAAGGGCCCATAGCCTAACCTCCCTGCCACTACCTGAACATTTCAGCTGTGGCCCAGAGCCCTTCTGAAAACCCAGCCCCCACTGGCCTGGGATATTCCCTTGGGCTCCCACCATCTAAGTGTTCTGCCTGCCCCTGCCTGAGAGTTAGTTTGGCTGGAGACCTGGTGGCCAGCCTGCCCCACCCCATCATAGACAGCACCTGAACTCCAACCCCAGTCTAGCCCCTTCAGAACTCATACATGTTGTCCTGTGGGTCATCTAGCTCCCTGGGAACTGTGGAAATACCTATCTCACTGCAACCACTTCCCCTGAAGCCTGAGATTAGGCTGACTCAACTAGCCAACACCACCGTAACCAACATCCACTCACGTGGGCCCAAAGGTGATGTCCCCCCATACAAGAAGTAGCAGTACTGCCACATCGGAGAACAGACAAGCCATAAAGCTATCTGTATTGGGTTGAGTCATGAGATTATGCTGTGAAACCACTCCCACAGAGTCACAAAACAGACATTTCCCATGGCTTTCAACCACATTGTGGACTGCAGATAGACTACAAGGTACACCTGAACTAGGAGTCACAAGTCCTAGAACAGGGGAGTGATAGGGAAACAACTCAAGTTCCTGCCTATCTAGGATGGGGAGCTGGTGACGCCACCTTACCCCCTACCCCTACAGAGACCTAAGTGCACTTACAGGAGCTTCTTCTAGCCACCCTTGCCAGGGCTAGTGCTTGTGCTCACCATTGGGGTATTTGTGGGCAAGCCAGGGGCTCCAGCTCTGCCCACATTTGTCACCCTACCTCTGCAGAACAGGAACCCCAGAGTACTGGGCACTCTACTGTCCAGGGCTTCACCTGAAAAAACAGAGCACTTCACAGTAAACACAGACAGGATACTTACCTGCCTACTTGTGTAGCAGCTGGCTCTTACCCGCAAGTGTCATCTACTGGCCTATAGGCCAAGCCATGCAGCTCCAAATGAAACCTGCTGACAGAAGTACCTAGGGCTATAGGTGCAAAGCCAAAAGACCTTACCCCCTCCAGATGAGAAGGAAAAAGCATAAGAATTCTGGCATCATGAAAATCGAAATGTTGTGACAACATCAAAGGATCACTCTAGCTCCTGAACCCAAATGGAAACTCAGAAATGACAGATAAAGAATTTAAGGCATCAATTGTAAGGAGGCTCGAAGAGATCCAAGACAAAGTTGAAAATCAACATGAAGAAACTTCTAAGTCAGTCCAGGAAATGAAAAAAGAGAAACATCTTGAAAAGAAATCAATTAGAACTACTGGGACTGAAAAACTCACTTAAGGAATTTCAAAATACAATTTAAAGCTTTATTAATAGACTGGATGAAGCAGAAGAAAGAATTTCAGAGCTTCAAGAATGATTTTTTCAAACCTAGTCAGACAAAAGTAAAGATAATTTTAAAAAATGAACAAAGTCTTTAAGAAATATGGCATTATGTAAAGCCACTAAACATACAAAGTGTTGGCATTCTTGAGAGAGCAGGAGAAAAAGTAATCAATCTGGGAAACAAATTTGAGGGAATAATAGAATAAAACCTCTGTAATCTTGCTAGAGAGGTAGACACCCAGATACAAGAAATCCAGAGAACACCTGCTGGATTCTACACAAAACGAACATCACTAGGGCATATAGGCACCAGATTGTTTAAGGCCAGCACTAAAGAAAAAATCTTAAATGCAACTAGAGAAAAAGGTCAGATCACATACAAAGGGACCCCCATCAGGCTAACAGTGGACTTCTCAGCAGAAACCTTACAAGCCAGAAGAGATTGAGGGTCTATTTTCAGCATTCTCAAAGGAAAGACATTCCAACCAAGAATTTCATATCCTGCCAAGTTGAGCTTCATATGTGAAGGTAAAATAAAATATTTTTTCAGATAAGCAATTGCTAAGGGAATTTGTTACCATTAGACCAACCTTACAAGAAATCTTTAAGGAAGTTCTAAATGTGGAAACAAAAGAACAATACCTGTTACCACAACATCACACTTAAGTACCTAGCCCATAGACCCTATAAAGGAACCGCAGAATAGAAACTACAACCAGCTAACAACTTCACAATAGGATCAAAACCTCCTATATCAATATAAATCTGGAATGTAAACAGTCTTAACACCCCCACTTAAAAGGCACAGTGAATTAAATTAATTATTGAATGAAAAAGAAAAAAAAAGAAAAAACAAGACCAATCTGTCTGCTATCTTCAAGAGACCCATCTTACATGTAATGACATCTATAGGCTCAAAGTAAAGGGTTGGAGAAAGATCTGTCATAAAAATGGAAAACCAAAAAGAGCAAAAAGATATTCTTATATCAGGTAAAACAGACTTTAAACCAACAACAGTTAAAAAAGACAAAAAAAAGGCACTACATAATGATAAAGGGCTCAATTCAATAAGAAGACTTATTGATTCTAAATATATATGTACCCAATACAGAAGCACCCAGGTTCATAAAACAAGTACTTCTTATTTTATTACCTACAAAGAGACTTAGATAAGCACACAACCACAAAAAAATAGTTGGGGACTTCAACACCACACTGACAGCATTAGATCATCGAGGGAGAAAACTAACAAAGAAATTCTGGACTTACATTCAACACTGGACAAATTGGGCTTAAAAGACATCTACAGAACACTCCACCCATCAACCACAGAATATACATTCTTCTCATCTGCACACAAAATATACTGCAAGATTAACCAGATGCTCGGCCATAAATCAAGTCTCAATAAAAGCAAAAAAAAAATAAAAACTTTTAGGTAAACAACAAAATGAAGGAAGAAATTAAAAAATTCTTGGAAATAAACAAAAACAGAGACATAACATACCAAAATCTCTGTGATGCAGCAAAAGCAGTGTAAAGAATAAGTTTATAGTGCTAAATGCCTGCATCAAGAAGTTAGAAAGATCTCAAATTAACAATCTAATATCACACCTAGAGAAACTAGAAAAACAAGAACAAACTGACCCCAAAGCTAGAAAAGAAAATAAATAACTAAAATTAGAGCAGAACTGAATGAAATTGAGACCCCAAAACCCATACAAAGGCTCAATGAAACCAAACACTGGTTTTTTGAAAGGATAAACAGGATTGATAGACCACTAGCTAGACTGTAGTTTTGATTTGTATTTCTCTGATGATCCATGATGTTGAGCACTTTTTCATATGCCTGTTTGCAAATTGTATTTCTTCTTTTGAGAAATGTCTATTCAGGTCTTTTGACCATTTTAAAATCAGATTATGAGATTATTTTTCCTATAGAGTTGTTTGAGCTTCTTATATATTCTGGTTACTTAATCCCTTATCAGATGGGTAGTTTGGAAAAAATGTATTCCCATTCTGTGGTTTGTCTCTTCACTTTGTTGATTGTTTCCTTTGTTGTGCAGAAGCTTTTTAACTTAATGAGATTCTATTTGTCCATTTTTGCTTTGGTTGCCTGTGGTTGTTGGGTATTACTCAAGAAATTTTACTTGCATAAATTATTCCAATGTCTCGGAGAGTTTCCCCAATGTTTTCTTGTAGTAGTTTCATAGTTTAAGGTCTTAGATTTAAGTCTTTAACACATTTTGATTTGATTTTTTATGTGGCTAGAAATCGGTGTCTAGTTTCATTTTTCTGCTTATGGATATCCAGTTTTCCCAGCACTATTTATTGAAGAGACTGTCCTTTCCCCAGTGTATGTGTTTTGGCACCTTTGTAAAAAATAAGTTTACTGTAGATGTTTGGATTTATTTGGGGTACTCTAGTCTGTTCTACTGGTCTATGTATCTGTTTCTATGCCATTACCATGCTGTTTTGGTTACTATAGCTCTATAGTATAATTTGAAGTCAGCTAATGTGATTCCTCCAGTTTAGTTCTTTCTACTTAGGATAGCTTTGGCAATTCTGGGTTTGTGGTTCCATATACATTTTAGGATTGTTTTTTCTATTTTTGTAAGGAATGTCTTTGGTATTTTGATATGGATTGCAGTAACTATGTAGATTGCTTTGAGTAGAATGGACATTTTAACAATATTGATTCTTCCCATCTATGAACATGCAATATGTTTCCTTTTTTGAGTCTTCTTCAATTTCTTTTATCAATGTTTTGTAGTTTTCATTGTAGAGATACTTCACTGCTTTGGTTAAGTTAATTCCTAGGTATTTAATTTTACTTGTTGCTATTGTAAATGGGATTACTTTCTTGATTTCTTTTTCAAATTTTTTGCTGTTGGCATATAGGAATGCTAATGATATTTGTATATTGATTCTGTATCCTGCAACTTTACTGAATTTGTTGATCAGTTCTAATAGTTTCTTGGTGAAGTCTTTAAGTTTTAACAAATATAAGATAATATCATCTGCAGACAAGGAAAATTTGGCTTCTTCCTTTTTATTTTGGATGCCCTTCCTTTCTTTATCTTGTCTGATTGCTCTAGCAAGGACTTCCAGTACTATGTCGAATAACAGTGGTGAAAGTGGGCATCTTTGTCCTGTTCCCAATCTTAGAGGATAGGATTTCAGTTTTTCCCCATTCAGTATGATACTAGCTACGGGTCTGTCGTATATGACTTTTATTGTGTTGACATATGTTCCTTCTATACCCGTTTTTTTTTTAGTGCTTTTATCATGAAAGGGATGTTGAATTTCATCAAATGCTTTTTTAGCATCAATTGAAATGATCATATGGGTTTTGTCCTTCATTTTGTTGATATGATGTAACACATTTATTGATTTGCATATGTTGAACCATCCTTGCATCCCTGGGATAGATCCCACTTGGTCATGATGAATGATCTTTTTGGTGTGTTGTTGAATTTGGTTTGGGAGTATTTTGTTGAGGATTTTTGTATCAATATTCATCAGTGATATTGGCCTGTAGTTTTCATTTTTTTATCTGTCTCTCTCTGGTTTTGGTATCAGGGTAATACTGGCCTAGTAGAATGACTTTGGACATATTCCCTCCTCCTCTGTTTTTCAGAGTAGTTTGAGTAGAATTGATATTAGTTCTTTAAATGTTTGGTAGAGTTTAGCAGTGAAGCCACTGGGTCCCAGGCTTTTCTTTGCTGAGAAACTTTTTATTACAAGTTCAAATTTGTTACTTGTTTTTGGTCTGTTCAGGTTTTGGATTTCTTCATGGTTCAATATTCTTAGATTTATGTGTCTAGGAATTTTTCTATTTCTTGTAGATTTTCCAATTTATTGCCATATAATTGCTCATAGTAGCCACTAATGATCCTTTGAATTTCTGCAGTATCAGTTGTAATATCTCCCTTTTTATCTTTGATTTTATTTATTTGGGTCTTCTCTCTTTTTTTCTTGGTCTGGCTAATGGTTTGTCAATTTTGTTTATCTTTTCAAAGAACCAGTTGGTCTTTTGTATTGCTTTCTTCATTTCAATTTCATTTATTTCATCTCCAATCTTTATTATTTATTCTACTAACTTTGGGTTTGGTTTGCTCTTGCTTTTCTAGTTCTGTATTAGGTTGTGTATTTGAAGTTTTTCTTCTGTTTTGATGTGGGCACTTATGGCTATAAACTTCCTTCTTAGTACTGCTTTTGCTGCATCTTATAGGTTTTGGTGCATTGTGTTTCTCTTATCATTTGTTTCAAGAAATTTTTCAGTTTCCTTCTTAATTTCTTGATTTGGGAGCATATCGTTTAATTTCTATGTAGTTTATAGTTTCCAAAATTCCTCTTGTTATTGATTTCTGGTTTTATTCCATTATGACCAGAGAAGATGCCTGATATTATTTCAATTTTTAAAACTGTTTAAGACTTGTTTTGTGACCTAACATATAATCTATCCTTGAAAGTGATTGATGTGCTGAGGAGAAGAATGTATTCTGCAGCCATTGTACAAAATATTTCTGTAAATATCTATTAGGGCCATTTGTTCTATAGTGCAGATTAAATCAGATATTTCTTTGTTGATTTTCTGTCTGGAAGATTGGTCTAATGCTGAAAATGGGGTGTTTAAGTCTTCAGCTGTTGTTGTATTAGGGTCCATCGTTCTCTGTAGCTCTAATATTTCTCTGTATATCTGGCTGCTCCAGTGTTGATTGTGTATATATTTATAATTGTCATATCCTCTTGCTGGATTGACCCCTTTATAATTACGTAATGACCTACTTTGCATCTCCGTATAGGTTTTGTCTTGAAATCTATTTTGTCTGGCATAAGTAAAGCTACTCCTGTTTCTTTTTGGTTTCCATTGTCATAGAATATCTTTCCATCCCTTTATCTTCAGTCTATATGTGCCTTTATAGGCTAAGTGCATTTCTCATAGGCAACAGATCATTGGGTCTTTTGTTTTTAAATCCATTCAGCCACTCTATGTCTTTTGATTGGAAAGTTTAGTCCATTTACACTCAATGTTATTATTGATAAGTAAGGGCTTACTCTGGCCATTTAAAAATTTGTTTTCTAGTTGTTTTATGGTCTTATCTTTCTTCTTTCCTTTCTTCAAGTCTTTCTTTTAGTGCAGGTGATTTTTCTCTGGTGGTATGATTTAATTTTCTGCTTTTTCCTTTTTGCATATTCGTTATACATATTTTTTTAAAAATTTGAGGTTGCCATGAGGCTTGCAAATACTATCTTATAACTCATTATTTTAAGCTGATAACAACATAATACTGCTTACATAAACAAACAGGCAAAAAACTCTACCCTTTAACTTTGTCTCTCTACTTTTTAACTTTTTGTTGTTTCTATTTACATAATATCTTTTTTTTTTTTTTTTTTTTTTTTGAGACAGAGTCTCACCTGCTCTGTTGCCCAGGCTGGAGTGCAGTGGTGCGATTTTAGCTCACTGCAACCTCCACTTCCCAGGTTCAAGCAGTTCTCTGCCTCAGCCTCCCAAGTAGCAGGAATTGCAGGCACCTGCCACCACGCCTGGCTAAATTTTGTATTTCTAGTAGAGACAGGGTTTCACCATGTTGGCCAGGCTGGTCTCAAATTCCCAACCTTGTGATCCACCCACCTCGGCCTCTCAAAGTTGCTAGGATTACAGGTGTGAGCCACTGTGTCCGGCCTAAGGCCCAAGGACTCTTTAGTCAGCTTGTGGTGAATGCTGCCAGGCCTGGGACTCACCTTTTAGGGCAGTGGGCTCCTCTGTGTCCCAGGTCAGATCCAGAAATGCCAGCCAAGAGCCAAGGCCTGGAATCAGAGACCCCAAGAGCCCACTTGTGCTCTACCCCTGTCTCCAAGTTAGTACCTAAGGTGCAAGACAAAATCCCCTTTACTTTTCTCAAGCAGAGGGTGTCTCTCACTGTAGGCACTGTAGTGGGTCTCACCTGAAGCCAGCACGTCTCAGAGTCTCACCCAAGGCCCATGGTATACTACTTGGGTATTGCTCCTGGTTATTCAGGGCCCAAGTACTCTTTAGTCAGCAGGTTATGGGTCCTGCTCGGACTGGGTCCTTCCCTTCAAGGCAACAGGTTCTCTTCTGGCCCAGGGTGTGTCTTTAGAAATGTCATCTGAGAGATAGGGCCTGGAATGGGGGCCTCATGACTCTGACTGGTGCCCTGTCCTACTTTGGATAAGCTGGTATCCAAGATGCAAGACAAAGTCATCTTTACTCTTCCCCCTCTTCTCCTCACGCAGAAGGAAAGGTTTTCTTTTGGAGCCATGAGCTGTGCTGCCTGGGGTTGGAGCAGGGGTGGCACAAACACTCCCTTAGCCTTCCCAGCTAGTGTCTTAGTAGGTCATCTTTCCCCAAAGTCTGCTTGCTCTAAGCCCGGCTCAGCACCATGATTCACCTAGGAGTTGCAGTCCTTGTTGCCTAGACTGGCTTTCTAGTTTATTTAGGGCCTTAGAGCACTTCAGCCTACAGTGGTGAGCCTCGACAGAATCACTGGGTTCCGACTGCTGGGATGGGTGATTCCTCTCTGGCTGGGGCTCATCTGAATGCTCCCTCTGTAGGCGGATATCAGCTGAGTTCAACCTGGTTTTGCTTGCTTTCCCAGTGACTGGGCAACACTGAATTCCATGCAGTCTCTCAATCACCGTGCTCTCCCTCTCCTAAGTGCACAGAGGTTCTGTCCATGACACAGGGCTGCTGCCAGGGAATGGGGGAGGGGTGGCATCAGTGATTTAAGAATATCTTTCTTCCCCTTTTCAGTGACTCTTTCAGTGATATGATGTCAAAGCCAGGTACTGTGAGTGCCTACTTGACTTTTCAGTCTTATGAAGGTGCTTTTTTTCATATAATTGTTAATCTGGTGATCCTGCAGGTGGGACAATCGATGGAGCCTTCTCTTTAGCCATCTTAGTCTTGCTTCTGAGATACCAGTATGCCAATCTAAATAACAGAGAGGGAGACTCTAAAAGAAAATGATATATATTCAGGAGTAGACATTGCAATGGGAATACATGTATTTGGGAAGGTAAACAAAGACAAAGGTTTTTAAAGAAACAATGAGAAGGATTACATAATGTTTTCAGATAATTATTTTTGACTACAAGGATCAATAACAAGGGCGGTGTCAGTGTAAGGCTGGATAATCCAGTTGCTGGACAGATGTCCTTGTAGAAGTATTTTTTTTGTGTAAGGTTGTGTTGACCTTTGTGCATGGTTGTGGCTTTTACAGGTTGTTTCAGGATAGTTTTGTTTTCAGGCATTGGTGTAAGAGAGCCCTTCCTGCGTGACCTTACCTGGCTCCATTTTCAGGATTTTGTTTTTTAACATAAATGACCCCATTTTGATTCTGACAACTTTTATGCTGCAAGCTCTTTCCATAATTCTTGTCCCACACAGAGGATTCCTTAATCAGTCCAGTCACTCAGTTGTTTTTCTTCTGACAACATGGCTAGGCTATTGGCAATGGCCCATGAGTCTGTGAAAATACAGCAAGATATGGTGAGTAAGGCGGCTGGCGTGGCCATTGCCACTGTATGTAGTTTAGCCTATTGGATAGAATGTCCATGTCCAGTCTCAGTCAAAAGTTGGCTATCTATTGGCCAGATGGTGGTGGCAGCCCAATGGACCCCATCTGCTTTTAGTTTGGCAGAACTGTTAGTAAACCACGCCAGACCATTGGTAGGCATATTTTTGAACCCATAGGAGGAGCCAAAACATCCTCAACAGGTTACTTGGTCACTTTTGGTTAGCTAGCCATTTATACATGGAACCTACTGGTCCCTTGGGATCTGGGTGGACATGATCTTAAATGTGCCAGTTTCGATGTGCCAGTTTCATTTAATAATCGAGCTCTGTTGAGCCTGTCTAATTTGATTGGTGGAGTTTGCATGAACCCAAGTAAGAATGGGCATTTCATGTTGTAGTGTCATGTATGGTGCTCTGGCCATAAGATGCTCAGTGTCCAGAGACTAGTGCCTAGTAGCAAGCAAGGAGTTGCTGTTTAAAAGCGGTGTATCTGGGGGCTGCTTCAAGCAACTTATATGTCCAAAATGTGAGAGGCTGGTACATCCCAGTGGTAGTTTTTTCTTGCCAGAGACTCCAATCAGCGTGCATGGAGGTTTTGGACATCTGTAATTTTATTGAGCTAGCAGGCTTTAAGGGTTCTAAAAGCAGTGCCTGGACCACAACTTGTTGAATGGCTTCCAAGGCCTGTTGTCGCAAAGAACCTCATTTAAAATTGGTGGGTTTGCTGGTCAATTTGACTAAGGAGAGCAAAAGGACACCCAGGTTAGGTATATGTGGTCTCCAGTACTCAAAGAGGCCTACCAGCTGCTGGGCCTCATTTTTATTAGAGGATGCCACAAGAGACAACACTTTTGTTTGGCTGTATCGGGGATACTTCTTTGGTGTTCAGCTTAAGTGGCCTTGGCATTTAGCCTGTGATAGTCCATGGTTAGTCTCCATGCCCTGGAGAGCCTTTTGCGACCAGCCAAACTGGGCTGTTATATTGTGAGAGGGTGGTTTATAATATTTATATCTGTATTAAGTCCTCAATTAACAAAATACTGTCCTATTCTCCACTCAGTATGTATAAGAGTACTACTTTTGTTGAATAAGCCATTGGAACTTGGGGAGCTTAGGTGGCAGGCGGAAGTGGATATGCCCCACTGTTATGGCTTAAATCCTTAGCTGTGTTGGGGGAACATACCCCTTCAGATGGAGGTGGCCTTCTGTGCCCCAAGCAGCCAAAATGCCAATGCCTATGATGCACTGACTGATAGGAACCATGGTCTCTGGCACCTAAAATGGCCCAACGGGCCCTGCCCACAACCAGATAAGCATCTTGGGTCACTATGTTTGTCCGAAAACCTCCCAATGTCATCAGTTTAATTTTTCCCCTAAAAGAACAAGGAAATATTGTCATGTGGGCTCCAGTATCCAAGAACTCCACAAAAGTCTGAATTTTCTTCTTTTTCTCTTTTCTCTTAACAAGAGTATTAGGCCAGTGCCCTTCGGTAAGCACCTAGAGACTTTGGCAACAACCCTAACTGCACCGTTTGGGTCTGCAGTGTCCCTTTATCCAACAAACAGACCAACCAGGTTGCTTGAGAGCTTACTGCTTATGTCTATGTGTGTCCTTTGGATCTTGAGTCACGTTCTCTGTGAAGGCCTGCATTGTGCATGCTGGTTCCCTCTCAGATGTCTCAAGGACCATCAGAGGACCTCTTTTTAATTCTCTCTCAGATGCCTCCAGATGCATCTGAATACCCAGGAAGGAGCAATCACATATGTGCACTAAGCTCCCCTGTTTCCACGCTTCTTTCCTCCGCCACAATCCATGCAGCCACCTCACCCACATTCTCGGGGTGTATGTGTGGCCTGTGTCTCTCTTATCACTGCTTCTTCCCCATAAAACATCTAGCTGGTCTGATGTCTCCACTGTGGGCCAGGTATGAGATAGGGTATTGCCCCTTCTACTTCACCAATGAGCCATTGTTCTGTCAGATTGAATCCTGCTTGCTGTGCCAATTTTGTGAAGCAGGTGCTCTCTGTGCACTGGTTATCAACTGTCCGAGTCCAGTGAGACAGAATACACTCATACACAACAAGTTACGTGAAATGGATTTGTTACCATCAGACAGGCAGCAAGGGATAACACAAGCCTTGGATTTATTGCTGCTGGTCCCCAAGGCTGCGGAGAGCTGCCCAGGGCAAACAGAATCTTATCTCTGAGTTCTTCACTTGTACCATAGCTGAGAGACCTCAGAAGCATCCATCCTGGATTTTATATCGTGACAACACATGACTCGCTGCACTAAAGCATTAAAGGACATCCTCTTTCTAGGGAGGACTGGAACAGAGCCTGAGCTGTTCTGGCCAATCCCCCTCTCATCTAAAGATGTTGCATTCCTAGCACAGTCTACATATTTTGGATTATATCCTTGACATTGTTAATGTTATTTTGGTTACACTCTGAGTTCTGTTAAAATTCTCCGCTGTGGGCCATCTTCTCCAAGTTTTGACTCCCCTTCCCAATTTGCCTACTTGTGTTTAATTTTAAGAGTCCTCAAGTAGTTTCTTTTTGTATTTTGTTCAATGCATGCAGTAGAATCATTGAGAGAGAAAGGCTGTAGTTGGCTCATTCTAGCTTGTCTGTAAGTTCTTGTTTGTCATGTTCTCAAAAGTGAACAAAAATACTTGTTGAACAAATAAATGAAGAAATAAACTGCCTATTACCAATGTCTTTTTGGATCTATGCTTGAATTTTTTTGTTTCTTTTTCTTTTTTTTGACAGTTTATTTAATGAATCCTTTTAGTGTCAACTTTGAAAATGTAAATGCCACAAATGCCATCATGACCTGGAAGGTGCACTCCATAAGGAATAATTTCACATATTTGTGTCAGATTGAACTCCATGGTGAAGGAAAAATGATGCAAGTAAGAACCCTGCTTAATTTTCTATTTTCAAAAATTCTTTTTTTGTCCTGAACAGAGACACTGATGAATAAAATCACTTTAAACTCTTATTTCTGTGTAGGTTCAAATGGTGTGGGTCATCTGTTTTAAAAGGTCCATGAAATTAATCATACACTTTTATGGTTAGGAAATGGGCCTTGAAGATTTTTTTCCCCCCAAAGAAGAACTGATCTTACTCCAGGTCAGGATTTGCTGTGCTCTGGTTTGCCTTTGTAATGGGATGCACTCACCAATGTTTCTGTCTTGTTCTTTTCTCTTTTTTCTTTTCTTCTCTTTTTTGATCAAGCAGTACAATGTTTCCATCAAGGTGAACGGTGAGTACTTCTTAAGTGAACTGGAACCTGCCACAGAGTACATGGCGCGAGTACGGTGTGCTGATGCCAGCCACTTCTGGAAATGGAGTGAATGGAGTGGTCAGAACTTCACCACACTTGAAGCTGGTATGTTCAGCCCCTGGCATTTAACCCAAAGAAGTAGGTCTTAGGAGTTAGACTGGTTTCCTTAAGAGATTTTGGTTGTACCAAAAACTAAGAGAAAAATATTTAAACAGAGGCGGGGTAGCATTTAAAAAATTAGATTAGGTGCCTCATGAGAAGTGAATGGGAAACCATCCACCTCAGACAGTTGACAGTAGTATTTTATTTATACTGCCTATCTTCTCTCTTACCTTTCATTTTCCCAAAATGGTTTCAAGCCATCACTTTGCTGGATTCACAGTAGATCTGGAGCTATATAAATTAGTATACACCTTTAATTCAGGACAGTGGAAGTGTTAATGACAAGGAAAGCATTGGTCTCATCCTAAACAACTTGAGGCCATGTTTGGAAATGTAATGACATTTGGAACCTTAATGGTTATTTGTGAGTCATTTGTTCCGGTGATGCCACACTGTGTGCCCTCTCCAGCATGCTCTGTGGCAGGGTTTCCTCAGTATTGACTGCAAACTTTTCCTGCTAAATAACTATGTCTGAGAACTCAAATGGGCCTCAGGAGATTTGATGGCCCAATCCTGCTTCCATCTCCCTCCAACTCAATGTCATAAAGGATAACTGTTGCCCATTTTACAGATGAGGCAACTTGCACCCATAACTGAAGAGATTTGCCCTGATTGCAGTTACTGAATGGTACAGACATCGTAATAATCTTAGGAGTGCAGTGGCTCACACCTGTAATCCTAGCACTTTGGGAGGCCGAGGAAGGTGGATCACGTGGTCAGGAGTTCGAGACCAGCCTGACCAACATGGTGAAACCCCATCTCTACTAAAAATATAAAAATTAGCCAGGCGTGGTGGCACACGCCTGTAATCCCAGCTACTCGGGAGGCTGAGGCAGGAGACCGCTTGAACCTGGGAGGTGGAGGTTGCAGTGAGCTGAGATCGTGCCACTGCACTCCAGCCTGGGCAACAGAGTGAGACTCCATCTCAAAAAAAAAAAAAATCATAGGAGTCAACATTTACTGTGAGCCATACATAGCTCGAAGGGCCCTCTGTGCTCCTCTCTTTTCATCCTGACAACACGCAGTAGGTGCTCTTATGATCCTCATTTTATGCCAGAGGATATCAGGGCACAGAAAGATTAAGTAATTTAACTGGTTCAGCCAGGCACTGACTGAGCTGCGACTCACGTCCAGGCAGCCTGACACCAGAGCTCCACCCTTAATCAGAGCTCAATTCTGTGTGTTCTCTCTCTTGGTGTTATTACAACCTCTAGATCTTGTTGATTCAAGTCCTGGCTATTTTAGTGCCAAAGGAAGGATTATACATATGTATTTTATTATTCTTCTTATTTGTGTATGGCAGCTGGCAGAACTCTTTCTGTCTGATTCTGGGAGGACCATTTTAAAGCAGTGACTCTAATTTGGGGGTAGTGGGCACCGCTAATCAGAATCCACACATGAGGATGGTCATTAGTCAAGTTCTGCAGGCCTCCCCGCTTCCCTGGTGGTGTCTGCCTATCCTCAAGCCCATTGAGACTCCAGTAATTTTTCCTAGGTGTACGGGTTCCTCAATAATCTTTGTTCTGGAAGGCCCTGTTCCTGAGAGGAATGTTGCATTTTCCTCAGTGTGTTTTAGAAAAGAATTTTTATTATTTTGCTTTACGTTTTCTGTTTTTTTTTTGAAAATTTATTCCAACATAACTAAAATTATGTAAAAAGGGAAGATGGCAAAAGAATAGAGTTTCTTTTAGATTATAGTAATAATCTAACATCTTGAAAACGCTTAACTTTGCTTTTGATGATGACAAGAAAATGAGATGAATCTACTGAAGGTGAACCTATAGGAATTTTTTATTACTTCTGATCACGCTTTGCTTAATGCTGGAAAACTCAAATCTTTATGTGTATTATAACCATGCTTAAGTATAATTATAGTGAGCAGACATTGAGTTAAATGAATTGATGGTATAAATGATGTTGTTTATAAAATATAGTGCTATCAACTGTATTGTAGCACTTTTTTGTTATAAATAGTAATTTACAAGCCAGCTGAAGATTTTGCATTGAGCTTAGATATTGTCCCTGAGTATTTCAATAAAGTTTTAAATTTAATATTGGCTTCTCCAATGACTTATTTAGCAAATTGAAATCTGCTTTAATAGATTTAAAAATATATGGCCACCTTTAACTTAAAGTATAAAGTGTTGAGTCAGCAACTAAAATAAAAAACTTAAATGTCAATTATTAGGCAAAAAAGATTATATTTTTATAAGATAGAGAGATACATTTTAATGTTATGTTCCAAAACAGTTCTTCTTTCAAAGAAATGTTCTGAATCAGATCAAAAATTACTTGTCCTCTCACAAACCAAAAACTAAAAAAAATAGGAAAGTTATTTTTTAATATTTGAAACACCTTAATTTTGTTAAATTTTGTTAATTTCGTGACAGTTGCTATTTAACACTTTCACACTTAGCAGCCAAAATTTTTTTAAACCATTTTAGTATGCAGAAATCATATTTAAAAAATAGAAGTTGGAGGTCCTAGCCAGAGGAATCAGGCAAGAGAAACACATCCCAAAAGGAAAAGAAGTCAAACTCTCTTTGCTGATGATATGATTCTATACCTAGAAAACCCTACATTAAGAGTGGACACAGGGAGAATGCAGAAGCTGGGCTGAAGGGTCAGGAAGCTGCATACCCTGCACAGGGCTATGAAGCACCCACACTCGTTCTTGGCCCCCAGCAACTCCTGGGGAAGGGGTTGAACAGGCGGCCTGCCCCTGCCGTGGACCTTTGGAATCCAGGCAGCAGGAAACCCCACAACCCTCATGGACAATTGGACTGGCAGGAAGAGCTTCTTAGAGAGGTAGTAGGAATAGAGCTCCATCCTGGGCAGGGCCCAGAGGGTTTGGTGCAGAAACATCTGCAGTGGAGCATGGCCAGGGACACAAATCCCCCAAGCCTTGCCTTGCTCCTCTAGGAGACTTTGGCCAAAGGGTGACCATGAGACCTAGACAGAGGAGAATGGTCTTACCCATGAGATGGGGCCAGTCCAATCTGAGTGATCCCCTGTCTGCTGGCCACTCCTGAGGCTCCAGCCTTGCCACACTAGCTGGAGTTGCAGCCTCAGATGCCCAACTATGGTGCTTCCTAGGGGACCATATCATAGCTGCTTTGCTGGCAGATGGCACCTGACCATTGGAGATTTCCAGCAGAACAGTCCCTACTGACATGCATCAGCCCACCTGCAGCCTCCCCCAACCACAGCCTACCCAATGCCACCTTGCCAGTATGCACTTGTCCATGGTCACCCCACCACCACTTTGCCAGTGCACACGTGTGGGTGGACCTTGCCTCTTCTCCTCCAATGGCTTATGTGTGCACATATCCCACTGCTGCTGTTGGCATAAGCACAACGTGTGGCCCTGCCTCCCCTGGTGCTTCCATTTCTGGTGTGAAAGAGTGCATGGACACCAGCAGCCCCACCCCCACTCCTGCTGACACTGCCACCAGCGTGAATGTGTGCATGGCCCCACAACCCCCCCAACACCATCACTGGCACAAATGCATGCACAGACACCAGCAACTCTGCCCCTACCCCTGTGCTGCCACTGTGGCTGCTGCAAACCAGCACACAGACAACCACGGCCCTGCCTTCCCAGTGCCACCACAACTGCCAATGTGAATGCATGCATGGATGCTGGCAACTCTACCCACCCCTGCACTGCCACTGCTGCCTGTGCAAACTCATGCACAAAGACTGGTAGCCTCCTGCCTCCACCACTGCCAGTACCAGTGCCAGCACTGTCACTGGCACTTCTGCCTCTGCCTGCATCCCCCCACCAGGGCAACTGCATGCAGGAACCCTGCAGCCCTACTCTCAGAGGTACCCCACCCCAGCTGATGCACATACAAACCACTGCACTGCCCTAGCTGCTGGCACATGTGAGTGAGCATGGACCCTGCTGCCACTACCCTGATGAAGTGCTTTGGCCTGCACCACTCATTGGAGTTTTGTGGCCAGCAGACTGAGATCAGTTCGGCCTCTCCAACACAGCAGGTTCCTAGCCTTGAGGGGCCAGAGAACAAAGGTGGGGGCCTGATACCAGTCCTGCAGAGTTAGAGCATGCAGACCAGGAGTGCTAAGCTGAGCTTTGGCCCCTTAAAATCTTCCAGATGGGAACCCAGTCAACTGAACCCATCTTATATCAAAATCAGATGTCCCCCAAGGACATCAAATAACATAAAACATAAAACAAAACAAAAACCCATCCAAAGGACAGCAACTTCAAAGACTAAAGGAACATCAGCCCACACAGATGAGAAGGAAAGAATGCAAGAACTCAGTGGCAACTCAAAAAGCCAGAGTATCTTCTTACCTCCAAAGACCACACTAGCATCCTAGCAATGGTTCTTAACCTGTTCAAAATGACAGAATTAGAATTCAGAATATGGATAGAAACAAAGATCATCAACATCCAAGAGAAAGTGAAAACCCAATCCGAGGAATCTAAGGAATACAACAAAATGACACAGGAGATAAAAGACAAAATGTCCATTTAAAGAAAGGATCAAACTGATCTGATAGAGCTGAATAATTCATTTCAAGAATTTCATAATACAAATGCAAGCTGAGGAAAGAGTCTCAGCTCAAAGACCAGTTCTTCAATATAACTCAGTCAGACAAAAATAAAGAAAAAAATAAAAATTATTATGTAAAGAGAACAACTCAGCCACTCATTGGTGTTCTTGAAAGAGAGGCAGAGAAGGCAAGCAACTTGGAAAACATATTTGAGGATATTATTCACAAAAATTTCCCCAGCCTCACTGGAGAGGACAACATTCAAATTCAGGAAATGCAGAGAACTCCTGTGAGGTACTATACAAGATGACCATCCCAAAGACACCATGTCTCCAAGACATAGTCATCAGATTCTTCAAGGTTGAAATGAAAGAAAAAATGTTAAAGGCAGCTAGGGAGACAGGGCGGGTCACCTACAAAGGGAACCCCATCACGCTAACAGTGGACTTTTCATCAGAAATGCTACAAGCCAAAAGAGATTGGGGCCTGTACTGAACATTCTTAAAAGAAATTCCAACCAAGAATTTCATATCTAGCCAAACTAAGCTTCATAAGTGAATGAGAAATAAGATCCTTTTCAGACAAGCAAATGCTAACGGAATTCACTACCATTAGACCTGCCTTAGAGGAGATCCTTAAGGAAGTGCCAAATATGAAAAAGGAAGTCCATTACCAACCACCACAAAAACAGACTTAAGTAATAGACCATTGACAGTATAAAGCAACCACGCAATCAAATCTGCATAATAACCAGCTAACAAGACAATGACAGGATCAAATCCACACATACCAGTATTAAACTTGAATGCGCACAGGTTACATGCCCCAATTAAAAGGCACAGAGTGGCAAGTTGGAGAAAGAAGCAAGATCCAACTGTATGCTGTCTACAGGAGACCTATATCACACGCAGTGACACCCACAGGCTCAAAGTAAAGGGATGCAGAAAAATCTACCAACCAAACAAAACAGAAAAAAGCAGGGATTGGTATTCCAATTTCTGTCAAAATTTATTTTAAACCAATAATGATCAGAAAAGACAAAGAAGGGCATTACATAATGGTAAAGAGTTCAATTCAACAAGAAGACTTAACTATCCTAAATATATATGCACCTAACACAAGAGCGCACAGATTCATAAAGTAAGTTCTTAGAGACTTACAAAGAGACTTAGATAGCCACATAATAATAGTAGGAGACTTCAACATTTTGCTGACAGTATTACATGAATTATCAGGGCAGAAAACTAACAAAGATAGTAAGGACCTCAACTTGACACTTGACAAAATGGGCTTACAGAACTCTCCACCCCAAAACAAATATACATTATTCTCATCTGCACATGGCATATACTCTAAAACTGACTTCACAATTAGACATAAAACAATCCTCAGCAAATTAAAAGAAAACCCGAAATAATACCAAACACACTCTCAGGCAACAGCACAATAAAAATAGAAATGAGTACGAAGAAAATTACTCAAAACCACCCGATTACATGGAAATTAACCTGCTCCTGAAAGACTTTTGGGTAAACAATGAAATTAAGGCAGAAATTAAGAAATTATTTGAAATTAATGAGAAGAAAGATAACAATATACCAGGATCTCTGAGACACAGCAAAGCCATGTTAAGAGTAAAGTTTTGGCTGGGTGCGGTAGCTCACACCTGTAATCCCAGCACTTTGGGAGGCCAACGTGGGCAGATCACGAGGTCAGGAGTTTGAGACCAGCTTGGCCAATATGGTGAAACCCCATCTCTACTAAAAAATACAAAAATTAGCCAGGCGTGGTGGCACGTGCCTGTAGTCCCAGCCAGTCGGGAGGCTGAGGCAGGAGAATTGCTGGAACCTGGGAGGTGGAGGTTGCGGTGAGCTGAGATTGCATCACTACACTCCAGCCTGGGTGACAAAGATCTCAAATTAACAACCCAACATCACACCTCAAAGAAGTAGAGAAACAAGAACAAACCAACACCAAAGCTGTCAGAAGACAAGAAATAACCAAAATTAGAACTGAACTGAAGGAAATTGAGATGCAAAAAACTATACAAAAGATCAACGAATCCAGGAGTTATTAAGAAGAATAAGTTTCATAGATCACGACCTAGACTAATAAAGAATAAAAGAAGATCCAAATAAACACAATCAGAAATGTTAGAGGACATTACCACTTGACCCCATAGAAACACAAAAACTCTCAGAGATTACTGTGAGCACCTTTTTGGACACAAACTAGAAAACATACAGCCTGGAAACATACAGCCTCTCAAGATTGAACCAGGAAGAAATTGAATCCCTGGACAGACCAATAGTGGGATCTGAAACTGAATCAGTAACAAAAAGCCTAGGAACCAGAGAAAGCCCAGGACCAGATGCATTCACAGCCAAATTCTGTCAGAGTTATAAAGAGCTGGTACCATTCCTACGGAAACTATTCCAAAAAAACTGAGTTGGGGGACTCCTCCCTAACTCATTCTGTGAGGCCAGCATCATTCTGACACTAAAACCTGTCAGAGACACAACAAAAAGAGAAAACTTCAGGTCAATATCCTTGATGAACATAGATGCAAAAATCCTCAACAAAATACTAGCAATCCAGATCCAGCAGCACATTAAAAAGCTAATCCACCACAATCAAGTAAGCTTTATCCCTGGGATGCAAGGTTGTGTCAGCCTACGCAAATCACTAAATGTGATTCATCACATAAACCGAACTAAAAACAAAAACCACACAATCATCTCAATATATGCAGAAAAAGCTTTTGATGAAATTCAATATCCATTCATGTTAAAAACTCTCAACAAACTACATGTTGAAGGAGCATACCTCAAAATAAGAGCCTAGATCTATGACAAATCCACAGCCAACATCATACTAAATGGGCAGAAGCTGGAAGCATTCCACTTGAGAACTGGAATAAGACAAGGATGTCCACTCTCACCACTCCTATTCAATATAATATTGGAAGTCCTAGCCAGAGCAATCAGACAAGAGAAAGAAAAAAAAAAGCATCCAAATAGAAAAAGAGGAAGTCAGAAGTCAAACTATCTTTGTTTGCAGGTGATATGATTGTATACCTAGAAAACCCCATAGTCTCTGCATAAAAGCTCCTAGATCTGATTAAAAGAAAAAAGTCAGCAAAGTTTCAGGATACAAGATCGATGTACAAAAATCAGTAGTATTTCTATACACCAATAAGATTCAAGCTGAGACCCAAGTCAAGAACGCAATCCTACTTTCGATACTCACATACACAAAAATATCTAGTAATACATTTAACCAAGGAGGTGAAAGATCTCTACAAGGAGAACTAGAAAACACTGCTGAAAGAAATCATAGGTGACACAAAGAAATAGAAAAATATTCCGTGCTCACAGATTGGAAGAATCAATATCATTAAAATCACTGACTCCCCAAAGCAATTTACAGATTCAATGCTATTTCTATCAAACTATCAATGTTATTTTTCACAGAAATAGAAAAAAACTATTCAAAAAATTGATATGGAAACAAAAAAGAGCCTATATAGACAAAGCATTTCTAAGCAAAAAGGACAAAGCAATAGGCAGCACATTACCCCAGTTCAAACTATACTACAAGATTACAGTAACCAAAACATCATGGTACCAGTATAAAAACAGTCACATAGACCAATGAAGCAGAATAGAGAACCCAAAAACAAAACTACACACCTACAGCCATCTGATCTTCTACAAAGTCAACAAAAATAAGCAATGGGGAAAGGACTCCTAATATAATAGATGGTGCTGGGATAGCTGGCTAGCTATGTGTGGAAGAATGAAGCTAGACCTGTACCTTTCACCATGTAGAAAAAATTAACTCGAGATGAATTACAGATTTAAATGTAAGACCTCAAACTATAGGAATCCTAGAAGAAAACCTAGGAAACACCATTCTGGACATTGGCCTTGGGAAATAATTTATGACTAAGTCTTCAAAAGAAATTGCAACAAAAACAAAAATTGACAAGTCAGACCTAATTAAACTAAAGAGCTACTGAACCACAAAAGATACTATCAAAAGAGTAAGCAACAACCTACAGAATGTGAGAAACTATTTGTAAACTATGCACCTGACAAACACCTAATATCCAGCATCTATAAGGAACTTAAACAATTCAACAAGCAGAAAGCAAACAACCCCATTAAAAAGTGGGCAAAAGGGCCAGGCGCGGTGGCTCATGCCTGTAATCCCAGCACTTTGGGAGGCCGAGGCAGGAGAATCACGAGTTCAGGAGATTGAGACCATCCTGGCTAACGTGGTGAAACCCCGTCTCTACTAAAAATAGAAAAAAATCAGCCAGGCGTGGTGGTGGCTGCCTATAGTCCCAGCTACTCAAGAGGCTGAGGTGGAAGAAAGGCATGAACCCAGGAGGCGGAGCTTGCAGTGAGCAGAGGTCGTGCCACTGCACTCCAGCCTGGACGACAGAGTGAGACTCCATCTCAAAAAAAAAAAAAAAAATGGGTGAAAGACATGAACAGAGAGTTCTGAAGACATACAAGCAGCCAAAAAACATTAAAAAATGCTCAACATCACCAATCATCAGAAAAAGTCATATCAAAATCACAATGAGACACCATCTCACACCAATCAGAAAGGCTATTTTTAAAAATCTTTGCATGTTGTTACTGTTTTTATTCTTTAGCTACCCCAGGTAGCTTCTGTAGCAGTCAGCACCACTGTCCTGCTAGACCTTCTGTAAGTATTAAAAGCCAATGTTCTTACAAGAACGTTTTTGCACAGAAGGAGGTGTTACACAAAAAGGGGGAAGGTTAAGCTACTGTACGCATTTGTTTGCAATGTGTCATCTCACAGAACTCATCCCTGTAACCCCATCAGGGCAGGAGCCTTCTTCACATGTCTTCATAATATTTCTTAAGGGAGGCCATTTTCCACAGTGCTTCAGATCTCAAATGCAAGTGGAGCCTGACATAATAAAACTCTGGTTTCATTTCAACCATGATGCAGGGAATATATTCCATGTGTATTAATAGGTTGTAACAGTTTTCTAGGGCTTTAATAACACAGTACCACAGACTGAAGGACTTTAACAAGAGAAATTTAGTGTCTCATAATTATGGAGGCTAGAAATCTGACATCAAGCTGTTGGCTGAGGTTGTTTCTCAGAGGCCACTCTCTTTGGCTAGTAGATGGTCATCTATGTCTGCTCACAGGGTATTCTCTTGAGCGTCTCTGTGCATCTATTGCCTTTTCTAATGAGGACACAAGTCAAAATGGCTATTACTAAAAAGTCAAAAAGCAACAGATTCTGGGGAAGCTGCAGGGAAAAGGGAACACTTATACACTGTTGGAGGGAATATAAATTAGTTCAACCTTCGTAAAAAGCAGTTTGGAGATTTCTCAAAACAGAGCTACTGTTCCACCCAGCAATCCCATTACTGGGTATATATTCAAAGGAAAATAAATCATTCTACCAACACGCATATGTTCATCACAGCACTATTCACCATAGCAAAGACATGGACTCTACCTAGGTGCCCATCAATGATGGATTGGACAAAGAAAATATGGTACATATACACCATGGAATAAATAATGAAATAATGTTCCTCCCAGCAACATGGATGTAGCTGGAGGCCATTATCCTAAGCGAATTAATGCAGGAACAGAAAATCCAATACTGCATGTTCTCACTTTTAAGTGGGAACTGAACATTGGGTATTCATGAAAATAAAGATAGAAACAATAGACACTGGGGACTACTAGAAGGGGAAGGAAGGGAGGGGGCAAGCGTTGAAAAACTAACTGTTGGGTTCTATGCCCACTGTTTGGGTGATGGGATCATTCATATTCCAAACCTCAGCATTGCACAATATACCCATGTAACAAACATGCACATGTACTCCCTGACTCTAAATAAAATTATAAAAAGAGAGTTTCTAGGAAGTATTTTTAAAAGTATTTCAAAGGAAAGTAAAATGTAATAGGGAGGGATATGATTCACTAAATTTGATTATTAACTACAGAATGATGAAGTATTTGACTATGGTTTCACATGAATGAGTTATATGGAAATATGCTAAATTACTTTCAAGAACATAATAGCATGCACAAAGAAGTCTGGAGGTTAAAGTAGCACTCAGGTGATGGACTTTGAATTTATGTTTTCATAACCAACTCTAATTTAATGAAATCATAATTTCTCAAAAATTTGACAGCACTGGGATATGTATTTTGAAATATAGTAAACCCTATCAATGATAGTAGACTGGTAAAATACTGATTTGCACCTTTCAAAAAGGATGTTTTTCTCGATTAAAATAAAGTTTGTGATTTGGCAAACTGAGAGTTGGAAGAAAAGTTGGAAGAGTTGGAAGAAAAATAATTCATGTAAAGTTAAGGAACCTACTGATAAGTAATTTGGATTTTATATCATTACTCTAAAATGGAATCTGGACTATTAAACCATTAGATTATGAAACTAACAACTCTATATCACATCTTGTATTTAAATTGATTTTTGTTATCACAAAAGTTATTTAGGTTTGTAGCAGTGCTACTAACTCTCTTAATTAGATACTTGAATTTAATTCAGTTATTTTTATTAGGGGCTATGCTAAAATATTCAAGCTATCTTTAAGAATTAAAGGGAAGTTTCAAAGTAAACATTAAAAATAGAAGTCATATGAGACATGCTATAGTTGTATTTTCAAATTCAGAAAGCTGAAGCAGCACGTTCACAAAATGTGATTGAGTAGAGAGATAAAGATGTTTTTTATGTCTGGATTTAAAAATGAGATGTGCTGTTAGGACTCAGTTGCAGAATGACATCAATACCTGTGAGTCCCTTTCTTGTTTGTCTCCATGGATGTGCTATAATTGGGTCATCTATATCTTCATCAGTTAAAGCCTGATATTTCTTGTGGCTTATGAATGTTTTAAATTCTCTTTTGACTACTTCTTGTTGTACTATTCTTGTGAAGTTCATACCATGACAAAATTGTATCAGTAGAAAATTTGATTCTATGTGGAATACAGAGTATTACATAAATCCAACAAAACAATTTACAAACGAAAAGATGTACTCATCTTAATAGGACTTTCATAATATTTTTATCAATCAATGATTAAAACGTGTGCCTTTTTAAGATTTTAAAATAAATTGCAATGATTTCATTATTTTTCCATTGCTGAGATTTTTTTTAAATGAGAATTTTGTTGAACTTGTCATGCAAGCTGAGCCTTCAATTGACCATCCATTTTCTAAAGATGAATAATGGAATGACCAGACCCTAACTACCTTGAGTTCAAATCTTGGCTTCACTTTTACTTTCACCTGGGTGATTTGAGAAATTAACTTACTCTCTCTGGGTCTTAGTTTCCTTATCTAGAGAATGGGGTAAATAATCATACCTGCCCCATAGAATTGTTATGAGGATTAAATGAGTTAATATATGCAAAACATTTGGAACTGGGCTGGCATCTAGTAACCCCTCTATAAATATTAGCTATTATTATGTGTAAAAGAGATCCCCCAAATGGTTTAATACATAGGTACCCAGAGTTGGCTTGGATTTAAAGACCTTTCCTTATGATAAGTTGATTGAGCAAATGCAGATTTAGATGCAAAATCAATCAGTCAATCCATCTACAAAGATTTCTGAGTGAGGGATGGAGACAAGAAAAGATTGGGACATTGAAGCAGGTTGTTTTCTGAGTTCCTTTGAAGTTCGGTTTTTATTCATTCAAACGGTTTGTAGAGCTTTCACGAAGTGCCAGGCCCTGAGGCAGATGCTAGAGTTTCAAAACCCTTGGCCCCAGGGATCCTATGGTTTATTGACAGAGAGACAAGGAAGCACACTATTCTAAAGCAGCATGGTGAGAGCCACAATAGAAGAAATGCTGGGTGCTGCAGGTGCCTTAAGTGTCCACAGCAAGCAGGTGACCCAGGCGCAGGCAAGGTGCTGGGAGGAGGAGTGGGATGAGGCCTGCCCAGTGGAGGGAGACCAGCACTCCAGTGAGCGGGCCAGCCGTGGGTATCATGAAACTTGAGGAAGAACGCATCCTGCCCCTAGCGGGTTCCCCATCACTGTGTCTCTATCCATGACAGATGGGGCAAGGAAGTAGCAAAGGTCTGCTGCCTAGAAAGTCAAAAAAAGGGGAAATTTACCTAACTCATCTGGAATTGGTCTAATGGACAAATTATTCCAAACTTCTTTGGTAGTTGTATGGCTTGATGTTTATAAAGGCTTTCAGAGGCAGCTGACCTTTTTATAAAGCACTGTACTGTGTGCACCTAGTGAGGAGTGAGCAGTGTGGCTGTGGACCAGTGGGTAGAAGTCATAGAGAGTGAAAACGGGAGAGGCAAGCCTCAGGTTGGACAGGTAATTGTCATGTCCTTGACCGTCCTAGAAAAAGGTTGAGCATATTGCTTTACATACATATTGTGACTCAAGAACTTTTCTTTGGTTAATTTCAGCTCCCTCAGAGGCCCCTGATGTCTGGAGAATTGTGAGCTTGGAGCCAGGAAATCATACTGTGACCTTATTCTGGAAGGTAAGATGTGCAGATTCCAAAAGTCTGATTGTTTCCAAAAGTCACATTTGTGGAAACAAATGTGTCTTCCTCTGGAGAACTGTGGATTGGTTCAGTGTCCCAACTGGGAGGGATCTTCACATTCATCCAATAGAATTTCTTACCTAGTAGAGGAATCCCACTCCACTCCTTTGATAGCTGATGCAACTGACAGCCAGTTCTGATTGGTAGAACCTTCTCTGCAACTTCAACTCAGGCCAGGCTTGACTTTTGCAGGGCCCAGGGCAAAGATGTAAGTAAACAACCACATATGATAGTTAAAAGTTACACATATTTAAATAGTCATACTATTTATATTTAAAAATTATAAATCAAGCTTAAAAATTGTAATATAAAATAAATTTTATCCTTCTATCTTGACTAATACACCTTCATGACAACCTGGAAGGCCAGGTTTGTATTCTGAACTCTGTGATGCGTCAGTTTCACACTGAAACATGGTGATCCTGGGAGAGTTGGCTCTGGTCTCAACCTACCCCACTTTTTTTTTCACCTTTAGTTTGGCACACTCCGCAAGAATCTCTGTGCACAGACGTGTGGGCATGCCAGTCTGCATGTCTGGGTTCTGTCCACACCCCAAGCAGATAGCCACTCCAAGCCCACTCTCAGGGCTGGTGGTACACATGCCAGGGGAGGGGAGGCCTGAGGAACAGACCCCAGAAGTGGGCTTGGGACTGTGTGGGCAAGAATTTCTCTGCAAACTGAGGATCTTCCAGAGGAGGGCTCTGGGTATGGAGAGCAGCTAATCCCTGTACGGCTGCATAGGGGTAACATGGCTGGAGGTGGAATGAGGCCAGTACCCAGGCTCCTCCTGCAGGGTCCCAGGGTGGTGCTGTTTGTACTCATTGCTTTTCTGCCCTTGACTACCCCTCACATTCTTTTTTCCACCAGGTTAAAGAGTCTATTCCTTGTGATTCTGACCTGAGCACTCTTCTCAGGGCACATAATGCTCTTGAGGCTCTTATCTCCAAATGATCCTCTTCTCTACTCACCTTCAGTTAGATTTGAATGTCTGATTTCAGAGTTGGTTGAGAGAGTTATTTTCTCTATTAAGCTGTTTGAATTTTCTGGTGTGTGCGTATATAAAGGAGTTGAGGGACAGAAAAGATGAAAAAGGAGTTGTACAAATTCCTTTCAATTAAAACCCATTTAAAAATGTTTATCAATATTTTTTTCAGCCATTATCAAAACTGCATGCCAATGGAAAGATCCTGTTCTATAATGTAGTTGTAGAAAACCTAGACAAACCATCCAGTTCAGAGCTCCATTCCATTCCAGCACCAGCCAACAGCACAAAACTAATCCTTGACAGGTGTTCCTACCAAATCTGCGTCATAGCCAACAACAGTGTGGGTGCTTCTCCTGCTTCTGTAATAGTCATCTCTGCAGACCCCGAAAACAGTGAGTTTGTTTTCATTTTCTTTTGTTTTTATTCTCTAGGAAAATGTTGATGACGTTATTAAGTAGTGATGGATAAATTGAGAAAACAATAACTTAGGAAGACAAAATGTCTAGTCACTAAACAGTCATTTTCTTTTGGGCCAGGTGTGTCAACGTGTTTCAGTGGGACAGTCCCCTCAGTGTGGGGAGAAGGAGACTTCAGCCATGGCTCAGGACATTTCTGTCCAGGGGATTCTTCAACATACATGGGAAATTATCTCAAATTTATTCAAGTAACTGCAACCCTAACAAACAGTCACCACTGAGAGTTGGAGTTACTATTTATGATCTTTGTGGCTTGTGAAATAGGAATTGCATTTACTATTTTGTAAAAAGTGTTGTCAGTCTTTGCACCTGGAAAGAGTCCATGAACATTTCCAGAGATCATCAGAACTGGCATCAACTTTCACCACAGACTCTGCCAACTTTGTAGAATAAAAGATAATAACTGGCTAATCTCTTGCCTATGAAAGAGCAAACAAGGTGGAATGCCCTTACATGCCAAATCAATAGTGATATTAATTTCCTTCTTAGCCATAAAAAGAGTCAACCCCACAGTTACATGCTATGAGATGATACATACATGGGCATACATAATGTAGTTGGCAAGTGGCATCCTGGGATCATTCATGAACCTTGCAATAATATTACCCTTCAGTTCCTGCTATTAAAATTTCCAGACCCTTGTAGGTTCTATAATATGTGTTTATTCAAGTTCAGCTTAAATTTGGGTTGAGTTGGATTAGAGGATGTTGTTGTTTTGTTTTATTTTTATGTTTTTAAAAGAACTACCCAGTATATATCACATGAGGAAAAGAAACTATATTGTGCCATAGAAGAAAAACCAACCTAAGTTGGTTTAGGAGTTGTTTAGTGTAACCTCTGCTTTCTGAAGAACTATATTAGAGAAAGAAGTTATATTCTGACTTCATTAGGATCCGAACAGGAAAAGGGGGCATTTCATTCAGCCTCGGGGAGCTGGTACTGGCCTCTTCTGAGGAAGGGAGAGACCAGTTCAAAGCAACACTGCTGAGAGCAATTATGTATTTTGGGGTCTCCTACCACACCCTCCATCCCCGTGCCCTGCCTTCAGATGCCTAGACCTTCTGGTGAGAGGCTCCAGCTAGCTATCCTTAAGTGTTTCTTGTTTCTACATCACCAGCATGTATAAAGTCACTCATGTACTATGAGAAAACCAGTAAGGTTAAGCCAGTTCACACTAGGGTGTAAATGACTGACAAAAAGATTCCCCTACTCTTTGATCTACCTCCATCTCTCAAAACATATTTTCAATTTAAAGAAACAGCTTTCTAAGAGTTTCAACCCTGGGTTTGGAGTTAAATTTTACTAAGTATCAATAAGTCAAGTGAAAAATGTCGGCCTTAATATGTGAGGGGCATTTGTCTGCTTGATGGAGGAAGGCAGGGAAGCCATGTGGATGGGATCTATAAAGCCCTCATGGGCTTTTAGCTTATACCTAGGGCTACACATTCCTTTGGGTGCCCCTAGCTGGATGATATTTTGATGCCCTATAAAAATGAATCAGTGGTTTTCACACCAGTATTCAGTTGTAATTAGGATTGCCAGGTAAAATACAGGATGCCCAGTTAAATGTGAATTACAGACAAACAATAAACCAGTTCTTAGTGTAAGTCTGTGGAAAGAGGAGAAATTCTCATGCCTCAAGGTTAAGGTATATCCCTGTTGGAACTCAGTAGAACTGGTAGTCCCCTGAGGCCATGTTATCCTTTTTCCAATTGTCAGACATCAGGAAACCTACTTTAACATATAAAATATATTGACATGGCAGTATTAGTCATAAACTGTGTGCATATCTTTATATAACCCAACTTTTTATATACCTGAATATTTTCTTCTTTTTTGTCTTCTACTCAATTCCTACCTGTAACACATCTCAGAAGCAGTATTTAGTTCAGGAGCAACTGATGTTACCGTGGGAGAATTAGCCTGCATTAGTTATTCATTCAACAGGTATTTTTTGAAGCAGATCCAGTACCCAATACCAGATTCTAGATTAAGGATCAAAAAATTTTGTGGTAAAGGGGCAGATAGCAAACATTTTTGCAGGTCATATAGTCTCCATTACATATTTTATTATATGCCTTCTTTGTTGGTTTATTTTTATTTTTACAACCCTTAAAATGTCTTAGAACCATTCTTAGCTCAAGGGTCATATGAAAACAACCCTCAGAGGCTGGAATCATCCTCCTGGTGGTAGTTTGCTGACCCCTGTCCTAGGTGCTGAAGTCTGGTTGGGCTTCAGAAGGTCAACATGATGGGCATCTGAAGGGCAGGTGTGAATATTCGCTGGGAAGTAAGAGACAAGAACTCACCCATGAAAACATCCCCCACCCAAGCACCTGTAACTATTGAAGTGGAGGTCTGTTACCTACTAGATACAGTGCATGTATGTATTTACTTTCTACCTTACACACTTAAAACAATTTACAGTTAATTAAATCTGGAGCATTGCTCTATTTGTTTATATACAGAAGAGGTTGAGGAAGAAAGAATTGCAGGCACAGAGGGTGGATTCTCTCTGTCTTGGAAACCCCAACCTGGAGATGTTATAGGCTATGTTGTGGACTGGTGTGACCATACCCAGGATGTGCTCGGTGATTTCCAGTGGAAGAATGTAGGTCCCAATACCACAAGCACAGTCATTAGCACAGGTAAGAAGAAGCTTCCATATCATCGCATTGCTATATTCACCTTGAAGAAAGTTCAAGTGGGATTTCTGGACTACTTCACAGACTTTGACTGTGCTAAGCTAGTAATTTTGAAACGACAAATCCAGCATGGGTGTTAGGAGTTCAGATGTTACAAGAATATGTTCTAAAACTTGACCTTTAAATCTACTTTTGCAGAGAATATCTGCACATGAGGTGGGAACTGATTTTCATAAACTTGTTTCTTTAAATTAGTGCATAGTCTCGAATGGCAGAAGGACATTATTATAACAGTTGTCCAGAGAGCTTTTACAAAAGCAGAGACTTGCATCCATTTGGAAGATGTTTAGGACATATAGTTGATGAGAATCGATCATCAACTTCAGTTTCAATAGAACATGTAGAACTTGTTCTCTTACCTCCCACATTGGATTTGTAATGTGAAGATTGCTAGTTTAGCAGTCAGAGGAGTGCTGGTTTGTGTGGCTTGAGCTGGAGGGGTGGGTGGCGCCATCTACTGGGCTCAGGGAAAGGTGTGGGAAATGTCCCTGTTCAGAGGGTGATCAAGGTTCTGCCAATTTCAGTGGTATGGTGGGTTGTGGAAGGAGATTGCAGAGGTACAGGTGTAATGGGGAAATGAGGAAGTGGAAGCAAAGCTTTCAAGACTATTGGCTTTAATGGGAAGAGGGAAGATAAATAACTGGAGGGGGATTTGGAGCCAAAGAAGGGCTTGGTTTTCTATGTCTGGTCTGATTCTGCACCCAGTTGTATGCACATGGATACAGGCATAGTTGAGAACTCTTGCTTCAAAGAACACTGCAGAGGCCAGTCCCTGCAGGCTTTGCTGGAGACAAGACAGTGGGGCCAGGTGTTTGCAACATGGAGGACTCCAAGGCTTCATGGAAGGAGGGAATATCGTGGGGATGAAATACAAAATTCCTGAAAGCCAATTATTAGGGGAGCACAAATTTATTTTTCATTCTTTTTTGGGGGGTGTGGTGGGGAACAGACTGTTGCTGTGTTACCCAGGCTGGAGTGCAGTGGCTTGATCTCAGCTCATTGCAACCTCTGCCTCTTGGGTTCAAGTGAGTCTCCTTCCTCAGCCTCCCCGGTAGCTGGGGTTACAGGTGCCCGCCATTAAATCTGGCTAATTTTTCTGTTTTTAGTAGAGAGAGGATTTCACCATGTTGGCCAGGCTGGTCTCCAACTCCTGGCCTCAAGTGATCCGCCTGCCTCGGCCTCCCAAAGTGCTGGGATTTCAGGCGTGAGCCAACGTGTCATGCCTTTTCATTCTTTTTCTTTTCAGAATTAGGAAACATCATTCTGTTATTAAAAATCTGTTGACTTTTTTTCCCTAGATGCTTTTAGGCCAGGAGTTCGATATGACTTCAGAATTTATGGGTTATCTACAAAAAGGATTGCTTGTTTATTAGAGAAAAAAACAGGATACTCTCAGGAACTTGGTAAGTTTAAAGCATGTAATGTGCCCCATGTGCAGACTTGTTCAGAACAATTCATAGATTCCTAGCTTTGGGTTTAGGAAGCTGTCAGCACCATACCCAACTTTTGGTATCCCATTTATTCTAGCAATTGGGTTTTTAAAATTATTTTTTAATCATACAAACAAAACATTTTCATTAATTCTCATTGCTAAGTCTCTCTCTTTCTTCCTTTTTTCAGTCTCTTATACCCTATGTGAATAATCATCATTTTAGCTGAATCTTTGTCCAAATCCATAATAATGGTTTGTAAATGAAGTCTTAAAGATAGGATGCTGGAATCAAAGGGTTTCAGCTTTTAAAATTTTTTTTTCATTCCTTTCATAATTTTTAAGACTTTCCACACATGTTGTGAAATCACCCCCTAGAAATGTTACCACTGTCCCCCCAGCAGTGGAGGGGATTTTTGATCCTTCCATGGGGTTGCTTATTCCCCTTCTTTAGCTGGGTGCTTGATTGTTCACACAGATCAGACCAGTTCTCAGGGGTTCTTCCTTTAGCAGGAGTGGATCCACAGTTTACAGTTGGCTCAGAGCAGGCAGGAGGTGTGTGACCTTGTGTGCACGGTCCAAGTGTGCATAAGCGTGTGTGGGAAAACAGCCTCAGCAAAGCCTTCAAAGTAAACATTCCTGGATTGTTTTTCAGTGACACTTGGATAAGTGTGCACTGCCACAACCTGGGAACTAGAGTTCATCAAATCCCCCCACTTGCCTCTTTGAACATAATTCTTCCACTTCCTTCCTTCTTCCTCACTTTAGTAGGTTCTCTGGTTGAGTCTTTCCTCAAACACTGTTTTGAATTCAAGAACAGAATTAAGTCTCCTTTTTTTTAGAGTTTAGTTTGTTTTATTTTTATTTTTTGGCTATGTGAGCTTGTGCAAGTTATTTAGTCTCTGGGTGTCCATTCTTCATCTGTAAAAGGCAAGACTTGAACAAGATTGCTCAACTCCTTCACAGCTCTCATAAACTATGTCAAGGCACAAATCCTCTAGAGAAACAGATAAAACTCCTTAACTTGGCATAAGCTGTTACAACCTCCAGAGCTGGCTATGGTTCTTCTATTAGTTGACATGAATATTCTGAGACTGTTTCCAAATCATGACTTTTCTCTTATCCCAACTTCTTTTCCTAGCTCCTTCAGACAACCCTCACGTGCTGGTGGATACATTGACATCCCACTCCTTCACTCTGAGTTGGAAAGATTACTCTACTGAATCTCAACCTGGTTTTATACAAGGGTACCATGTCTATCTGAAATCCAAGGCGAGGCAGTGCCACCCACGATTTGAAAAGGCAGTTCTTTCAGGTGACATCTATTTTTAATTTGTTTATTTATTCTTTCAAGATCTCATTATTTGAAATCATTTAAAATAATGGCTGCCATCTCAGACTGTGGCCAGGCTGAATTCCCTTCTTGCATGGCTTTATACTGGAAAGGTGTTCTTAAGCAAATTAGTAGGGTGAGCAAGATGGTGGGGGCAGGGCAGCATTTTAACTTACTTAAAAAACAATATGACTTGGTATTTTTAGAAGCATCTGAAACACCACCAGCTCCTTAAGAAAGCCTGGCCTTTATGAAACTTTCCTCTTTTTTTTTTCACTTTATTGAGCATTGTTCCAATTTATTTTTAAGCCCCTTGCAAGCTCTTACTGTTTCTTGCAGATTTGTATGCTTTGGCTGGATCACTAGTACCCCTTGTTCAGTGGATTTTTTGCTTTTTGTGCCATCTCCTGACCATTTTACCTGGTGTGCCCATGGTGATGAAATTATGATTTGATTTTTGTTTGGTATAAACATGTTGGTGGTGCTGAGTTAACAAGAGCATTAGTGTCCAGCTCTCTCACAAGATGTTTACAACACTTTTAATAAAATCTTTTTTTTCCTTGAAAAAAAAACCATTTAAAAAATCACAGATGGTTCAGAATGTTGCAAATACAAAATTGACAACCCGGAAGAAAAGGCATTGATTGTGGACAACCTAAAGCCAGAATCCTTCTATGAGTTTTTCATCACTCCATTCACTAGTGCTGGTGAAGGCCCCAGTGCTACGTTCACGAAGGTCACGACTCCGGATGAACACTGTGAGTTTTCCCAAATCAAAGTTCTTCCCTTAGGAGTTTCTGGGAAACTAACAAATTACAGAAGTGTTGACTTAGGCTTTGTCTAGATCAGGAATTTTCAAACCTTTCTTCTCCCCTTCTCACCTCCCTCTTTCTCTTGATGAAACCCTTTTTGTCACAAAAAAAGGGTTGCACAGACTCTCACTATATAAAACAGATACAAATAGAGGTAATCTGTCTGATTAAGGCCTAAAATCTTCCTTCTGCCTCCCTCAGTGGCCCTTGAGACAATTCTCTGGAACTCAGTCTCACAATCCTGTATGTAGTTTGAAAACACAGATAGCATATTTTAGTGTTGACATCAGAAGAGCCACAAGGCTTCTGTCTAGAGAAGAGTGGTGCTGGTTTTCTCAGCAGAATTGTTCTCTGCAGCTAGCTTTCCTCTGGCTCATTTCCCTCAGCAGCAAACGAATTGGTTCTTGACTCTGTTAGGGCCTCCAGGGGCAATTAGAGATGGGTGCAGTGGGGTGGGAATTGAGCAGGGGAATGGAATACTTGCTCACAAACTCCCTGTTTGCATATTTGGTTGGGAAATGGTGAGGTGGAGAGATAGATCTTTTCAAAAATGCATTTGGCTTGAAAGATGAAGTAAGAAGGAAGGGAGAAAAACAGTAAGAACTGGTTGATGGAAAAATTTATTCTCATGGCAAACCCTGACAACCAATAAACAGGAATGTGGTGAGAGAAAATAGATACTGATGGAAGAAAGAGGAGAAAAGAATATCTTCAGTGAGGGGATCATAGAAGATCCTGGAAGGCACCCATGAAAAGCAAATAGATTCAAAAGGCTTGCCTGAAGTTACCAACTTTCCTTAATGTATGGTGCCCTCACTGAAGCTGCAGCTGTAGAGATGGGCACATCCTGTTGGACTGCTGACCCTGGAGTGCCCTGACTGGTGATTCAGATACACGTGGCTGCAGTGGCAGTGTATTAGTCCGTTCTCACACTACTATAAAGAACTGCCTGAGAGGGGGTAATTTATAAAGGAAAGAGGTTTAATTGACTCACAGTTCCACATGGCTGGGGAGGCCTTAGGAAATTTACAATCATGGCAGAAGGGAAAGCAAACACATCCTTCTTAACATGGCGGAAGGAGAGAGAAGTGAAGTGCTGAGCAAAGGGGAAAAGCCACTTATAAAACCATCAGATCTTGTGAGAACTCACCTACTATCATGAGAACAGCATGGGGGTAACTGCCACCATGATTCAATTACATCCCACGGGGTCCCTCCCAGGACACATGGGGAATATAGGAGCTGAAATATAAGATGAGATTTGGGTGGGGATACTGCCAAACCATATCATTCCACTCCTGGCCCCTTCCAAATCTCATGCCCTCATATTTCAAAACACAATTATGCCTTTCCAACAGTCCCCCAAGGTCTTAGCTCATTCCAGCTTTAACCCAAAAGTCCAAGTCCAAAGTCTAATCTGAGACAAGGCAAATCCCTTCCGCCTATGAGCCTGTAAAATTTAAAGCAAGTTAGTTGTTTCCTAGATACAATGGGAGTACAGGCATTGGGTACATACACCCATTCTAAATGGGAGAAATCGGCCAAAACAAAGGAGCTGCAGGCCCCATGCAAGTTCGAAATCCAATAGGGCAGTCATTAAACCTTAAAGTTCCAAAATGATCTCCTTTGACTCCATGTCTCACATTCAGGTGATGCTGATGCAAGAGATAGGCTCCTGTGGTCTTGGACAGTTCCACCCCTGTGGCTTTGCAGGGTACAGACTCCTTCTGGCTGCTTTCATGGGCTGGCATTGAGTGTCTTGGCTTTTCTAGGCACATGGTGCAAGCTGTTGGTGGATATACCATTCTGGGGTCTAGAGGATGGTGGCCCTCTTCTCACAGCTCCACTAGGCAGTGGGGATTCTCTGTGGGGGCTCCAGCCCCATATTTCCCTTCCACACTGCCCTAGCAGAGGTTCTCCATGAGGGCTCTGCCCCTGCAGCAAACTTCTGCTTGGACATGCAGGCATTTCCATATGTCCTCTGAAATCTAGGCGGAGGTTCCCAAACCTCAATTCTTGACTTCTGTGCACCCACAGGCTCAACATCACATGGAAGCTGCCAAGGCTTGGGGCTTGCACCCTCTGAAGCAATGACCTCTTTTAGCCACAGCTGGAGCTGAAGCAGCTGGGATGTAGGGCACCATGTCCTGAGGCGGCACAGAGCAGGGCAGCCCTGGGCTCAGCCCAGGAAACCATTTTTCCCTACTAGGTGTCTGTGCCTGTGATGGGAGGGGTGGCCATGAAGACCTCTGACATGGCCTGGAGACATTTTCTCCATTGCCTTAATGATTAACATTTGGCACATTTTTCAGATACACGTGGCTGTAAATATGCATTATTTATGCATATTTCTGCAGCTGGCTTGAATTTCTCTTCAAACAATGGGTTTTTCTTTAGTATTGCATGATCAGGTTGCAAATTTTCTAAACTTTTTTGCTCTGCTTCCTCTTGAATGCTTTTCTCTGTAGAAATTTCTTCTGCCAGATACCCTAAATCATCTGTCTCAAGTTCAACGTTCCACAGATCTCTAGGGCAGGGGCAAAATGCCACCAGTCTCTTTGCTAAAGCATAACAAGAGTCACCTTTGCTCCAGTTCCCAACAAGTTCCTCATCTCCATCTGAGCCTGGACTTCCACCTCAGCCTGGACTTCATTGTTCATATCACTATCAGCATTTTGGTCATATCCATTCAACAAGCCTCTAGGAAGTTCCAAACTTTCCAACATCTTCCTGTCTTCTGAGCCCTCCAAGTCTCTAAGAAGTTCCAAACTTTCCCACATCTTCCTCTCTTCTTCTGAGCCCTCCAAACTGTTCCAGCCTCTGCCTGATACCCAGTTCCAAAGTCGCTTCCACATTTTCGGGTATCCTTATAAGCAGCACCCCACTCCCTCAGTACCAATTTACTGTATCAGCCCATTCTCCACTGCTATAAAGAACTGCCCGATACTGGGTAATTTATAAAGGAAACAGGTTTAAGTGGCTCACGGTTCTGCATGGCTGAGGAGGCCTCACGAAACTTATAATTATGGCAGGAGGAGAAGCAAACACATGCTTCTTCACATGGCGGCAGGAGAGAGAAGTGCCGAGCAAAGGGGGAAAAGCCCCTTATAAAACCATCAGATCTTGTGGGAACTCACTATCACAAGAACAGCAGCATGGGGGTAGCCACCCCCATGATTCAATTGCCTCCCACCAGGTCCCTCCCATGACACGTAGGGATTATGGGAGCTACAATTTGAGATGAAATTTGGGTGGGGACACAGCCAAACCATATCAGACAGGTTGTGGTGCTGACTGCATGTTGACTACTACACTGAAACATGTCCCTAGGTTTCCAAACCAAAATCCAGAACCCCTTATCTGATTAAGATGTGTCAGTGATTTACATTATTTGAGCACTCTTGGCATGTTGGAGTTAATTTTAAATTTATTTTCAGGTTAGTTTTATTCGACCTTTGGAATTTACTTGGTATACACACACACACATGTGCACACACACACTTATCTTTAAATATGTATTTTCTAAGTCTCATTCATCTCCCTTATGTTAAACTTCATTAGCCCTGGCTTGGCTTGTGACTATTGATTATATTATTATTTGAAAGAAAATATTTGAAATATTTGCAACTTTCCTGAGATTTTACTTTTTTTAAAAAAAATAGGTATACTATTATGTGACTAGCATCCAATTAACTGTACCTCAGATATTGTTAGATGGGAGTAAAAAATACCTGTATGTGCTACAATGAGGCTAGGATGATTAAACAGTAAAAACAAACAAGCAAAAAACAGAAATGCAAAAAATTGATGTAATGTTGACATTGCAAAATAGTGAATAAATGTTTATTCTGTTGGTATTTTTCAAAATAATCCTTTCTCTTTGTAAATTGGTTTGTTAACTTTTTCTCGGATTAGGAGACAGAGAGGGTAAACAGTTTGTTTAAACATATGGGGTATCCAGACCAACTGTAATTTGTGTTTTTATATTTGGACATTTGGCACTACATTTCCTTCTGAATTTAATAGGCATTACTGAATCACTTTTCAATCCTGAGTATGGAAGTAGATTATGTTCCAAAAGTTTGTGTTTAAAATTAGCCTGAAAATAGCTGAAATGAAAAAGATGAAAAATACCAAGTGTTGATGAGGATGTAGAAAAACTGGAACTCCCATACCTTGCTGGTGGGAGTAAATTGGTACAAGCAATTTTGGAAAACTCCTTGGTAGTATCTTCTAAAATGAGCATATATATACCTTAGATGTGAGAGCCTTCATTCCTAGGTATATATGCCCCCAAAATGCCTACATAAACCCTAAAGAAATACCTAAAGATGTGTACTAATACAGTGATTGTGAAAGGAAAATAAAATTCACTATGCAAAGGAAAAAAATAAGCTGAAAGCTGGTTCATGCAAGAAGCTGCAATTCATTTTGCTTCTAAGCAGATAGGTACAGTAAAAGTTAAATATCTCCACAGGTAGCTACTCTATATTTACCTTATCTTAGCCTCTCCTGGGAGATGAATACATGATTAACTATTCTCCTGTCTCCTCGTTTTCTCTTGTGACATGTGGATAATCATACTCTCCCTTACAGCCCACTTTTCCTCCAGCCCTTTCTCCTCCAGCCCACTTTTCCCCTTTAACATTATCTTTGGAGAAAGGCACAGACCACATAATGTTTCTATGATTCTGTTTATTTCTTCCAGTCATATCCTTCACGTTGGCAAAAGAAAATTCTAAATTGGTGGAGACCTGTCTCAGATACTTTTTGGTTTACATCATCAAAAGTACTGTTCTTGAGAGCAAGGTTTTCCATAGTAAGATTCATAAAGAGAGTTTCTTTCCCCTTTTCCAGGGTCAGGGTTAATTTTAGGCCAGTTTTGGCCCTCTCTTACCTTCGTGGGTCCTTTTCCCTAGAACCCTGTGTTGCCTCATAGCACGGGCTTGTGCATCTACCCAGGGCCACTTTTCTTTACAAAACTCCAACATTATCTGCCACACCACTGTCCCCAAATCAAGCCCCATTTCTTCCAGGACAGCCAGATGTGAGGTGGAGCATGGGGAGGGCAGGGGAGGCAAATGGATTGAACAGAATCATATGTAGATGTGAATAACTTAACCCCCTAAACCCTCCCTGAGCAATTTACATTTGTGAAAAGGGATGTTTACCAACCCAGCTGAATTATTATTTGGTGGAAATTGCAAGCAATGGGAACAGGAAGATAGTGTCAGTCTAATAACAGAGAGATACTCTCTGAAAGAAAAGATGTTTATTTGGGACTGAGCATTGTAATGGAAATACTTATGCCAAAATAAACTATAGTAAACTATGTGCATATTCAGGGAGGTAAAGGAAGACAAAGGTTTTTAAAGGAAAAAAAATGAGGAGGATTATATAATTGTTTTGAAATAATTATTCTTGACTACAAAGATTAATAATAAGGGTGATGCCAGTTCAAGGTTTAATGGGAAGATGCCCTTGCAGAAGCATTTTGTGTGTGTGTGTGTGTGTGTGTGTGTGTGTGTGTGTGTGTGTGTAAGGTTGTGATGGCCTTTGTGCAAGGTTGTGGTTTTCGTAGTGTTTTTTGTTATCTGCGTGGCCTTCCCAGCTCTATTTGTCAGGGTTTCCTACCATTAGTGATTACATTTTGGTTCTAACAGATTTCACAATGGTCATTTGAAATAAATGAAGCACCAGTTGACATATTGGAGAAATAAACGTAATCATTTTCCCAGATTAAGACATATTTATGTAATCTGAGGCTAACTAGAAGGAGTGCACTAGTCAATTTTTGATGTGTAACAAACACCCTCAAAAGCTCCGTGGCATACAAGAACAAATCTATCTTTTTATGCTCATGGGTTTACAGGTCAGCCGAGACTTGGCTGATCTAGACTGGGGTAAGCTGGACTCCAAGCTTCAGTCAGGTTCAGATTTGTTTCACGCATCTTCATTCTAGGGCTAAGGCTGAAGTCGCAGCAGCTACCTGGGGCACACACTTCTCATGCTGAGGAACACAAGAGGGCAAGCCGATGTATGCATGCACATTTAAAGCACTTACGTTACAATTACCAACAGCCCATTGGCCAAGCCAATGCACATGGCTGAGCCCCAAGTCAAGGGGCAGGATAGTATTCTCACCTACCATGAAGTTTTGGCAGGGGTGGAAAAGCATAATTTTAATACAGCAAGTCATGATCCAATCTATCAGAAGAGATAGATAGTAACAAATTTGAGACACACGGTGTTGATGGCAAATGGCTTCCTGTGTTGGTTGGCTAGTTGGTTGGTTGGCTTTTCCCCTGAAGTCAGGCAGAATTCATATTACAACTTGCATACATAATTTGAGAAATAATAAACATGTAAAATTACTTTCAATCATAAACTTGTATTTATTCCTTTGAGGAAGGGAAAAGTACTTATTAAAAATGTCCCTTTCTTTTTCCTCGTTCAGCCTCGATGCTGATTCATATCCTACTGCCCATGGTTTTCTGCGTCTTGCTCATCATGGTCATGTGCTACTTGAAAAGTCAGTGGTAAGTGTGTGAGGAAGGTTTTATCCAAGAAGAGAGTAAGAGAAAAGTCTGGAAAGAGATTTAGTAAGATAGAAATGACATTGAATAATATGAAACAACGTATAAAAAAGGAAAAGAACAAAGGAGGCTGGGGTGAGAGTATGTAATTTATTTCACAATTTTGTTTTCCAAGTGGCTATATGAGGAAACTAATCACCATTTAAAATAGACCACAAAATTTTTTCAACAGCAATAGCTAATATTTATATCTCTCTTACTGTATGTTTGGCAATGTTCTAAGTGCTTTATCAATTAATTCATTTAATCCTCATGGGGACACTATAAGTACCATAATTATCTCCATTTAGCCATAAGAAATTAAAGCATGGAAGAATTAAGTAACTTGCTTAATAAGTTACAACGCAAGGATTAGAAGCCAGGAATCTGACTCCAGAGTTCTTGCTCTTAACTCGTCCACTGTACTGTGAAATTCAGTCTCATTTTCGCTTTTTTTTCTAGGATCAAGGAGACCTGTTATCCTGACATCCCTGACCCTTACAAGAGCAGCATCCTGTCATTAATAAAATTCAAGGTAAATGTTGGCAAATTGTATGTATACCATATACCTATTAAGGACTAACCCAGAGTGGGGGCTGTCAGAATCCTACTTTCCTAGAGCTCCTCAGGAAAATATAGCACAGTAAAAGCCATCTTTGCACCCACAGCCATGAAATAGGTGATTGGAGCTTTGATTTCTTCTGTCAGGGGAAATCTTTTGGTTTTCAACATCACCTCCAGGTTACTTGTGACCAGGAAGAAACATGAAGAACATTGAAGCTCTAAGTGTATTTCACATGCTTAATATACTTTGATGCATGCATGCACACACACAAATGTCTATATTTACATATTTTTGTTTCCTTTCTAGGAGAACCCTCACCTAATAATAATGAATGTCAGTGACTGTATCCCAGATGCTATTGAAGTTGTAAGCAAGCCAGAAGGGACAAAGATACAGTTCCTAGGCACTAGGAAGTCACTCACAGAAACCGAGTTGACTAAGCCTAACTACCTTTATCTCCTTCCAACAGAAAAGAATCACTCTGGCCCTGGCCCCTGCATCTGTTTTGAGAACTTGACCTATAACCAGGCAGCTTCTGACTCTGGCTCTTGTGGCCATGTTCCAGTATCCCCAAAAGCCCCAAGTATGCTGGGACTAATGACCTCACCTGAAAATGTACTAAAGGCACTAGAAAAAAACTACATGAACTCCCTGGGAGAAATCCCAGCTGGAGAAACAAGTTTGAATTATGTGTCCCAGTTGGCTTCACCCATGTTTGGAGACAAGGACAGTCTCCCAACAAACCCAGTAGAGGCACCACACTGTTCAGAGTATAAAATGCAAATGGCAGTCTCCCTGCGTCTTGCCTTGCCTCCCCCGACCGAGAATAGCAGCCTCTCCTCAATTACCCTTTTAGATCCAGGTGAACACTACTGCTAACCAGCATGCCGATTTCATACCTTATGCTACACAGACATTAAGAAGAGCAGAGCTGGCACCCTGTCATCACCAGTGGCCTTGGTCCTTAATCCCAGTACGATTTGCAGGTCTGGTTTATATAAGACCACTACAGTCTGGCTAGGTTAAAGGCCAGAGGCTATGGAACTTAACACTCCCCATTGGAGCAAGCTTGCCCTAGAGACGGCAGGATCATGGGAGCATGCTTACCTTCTGCTGTTTGTTCCAGGCTCACCTTTAGAACAGGAGACTTGAGCTTGACCTAAGGATATGCATTAACCACTCTACAGACTCCCACTCAGTACTGTACAGGGTGGCTGTGGTCCTAGAAGTTCAGTTTTTACTGAGGAAATATTTCCATTAACAGCAATTATTATATTGAAGGCTTTAATAAAGGCCACAGGAGACATTACTATAGCATAGATTGTCAAATGTAAATTTACTGAGCGTGTTTTATAAAAAACTCACAGGTGTTTGAGGCCAAAACAGATTTTAGACTTACCTTGAACGGATAAGAATCTATAGTTCACTGACACAGTAAAATTAACTCTGTGGGTGGGGGCGGGGGGCATAGCTCTAATCTAATATATAAAATGTGTGATGAATCAACAAGATTTCCACAATTCTTCTGTCAAGCTTACTACAGTGAAAGAATGGGATTGGCAAGTAACTTCTGACTTACTGTCAGTTGTACTTCTGCTCCATAGACATCAGTATTCTGCCATCATTTTTGATGACTACCTCAGAACATAAAAAGGAACGTATATCACATAATTCCAGTCACAGTTTTTGGTTCCTCTTTTCTTTCAAGAACTATATATAAATGACCTGTTTTCACTTAGCATCCTTTGGACTCTGCAGTAGGTTGTCTGGGTCAAGATAACTCTCAGTCACATTTATATTCATATTATGCTAAAATAGTAAAATGAAACCTCATTGTTGGACATAATTTAGATATAACTAAAAAGTTCTATGAAGTGGGAAATTCCGTGTTGGCTCTGGAGCAGCTTTGTCTCCTCTGAACCAATATATCCCAAACCAATATATGCAAAGCACCTGGTACACAACTGGTATTTTAGTACATGTTGGTTCTTTTGGTGCAATCTCAGCTCACTGCAGCTTCCGCCTCCTAGATTCAAACAAACAGTTCTCCTGCCCCAGCCTCCAGAGCACCTAGGACTCCAGGTGCATGCTACCACACCTGACTAGTTTTTATATTTTTAGTAGAGATTGGGTTTTACCATATTGGCCAGGCTGGTCTCAAACTCCTGACCGCAGGTGATCCACCTGCCTCAGCTTCCCCAAGGGCTGGGATTACAGGTGTGAGCCACCATGCCCAGCCTATTTGTCACATTATTTGTCACATTTATTTTACTTTTATTTATTTTTTGAGATGAAATTTCGCTCTTGTTGCCCAGGCTGGAGTGCAATGGTGCAGCCTTGGCTCACTGCAACCTCCGCCTCCCAGGGTCAAGCAATTCTCCTGCCTCAGCCTCCTGAGTAGCTGGGATTACAGGCATGCACCACCACACCCAGGTAATTTTGTATCTTTAGTAGAGATGGGGTTTCACCATGTTGGTCAGGCTGTTCTCGAACTCCTGACCTCAGGTGATCTGCCTGCCTTGGCCTCCCAAAGTGCTGGGATTACAGGCGTGAGCCACTGCGCCTAGCCGTCACATTTCTAAACAAGCATGAAAGGGGTTCATTTTTGTCTTCTTCTTGCCTGCCGTCAGCATGGTGGAAATGGCTCTGCCTATGCTCATGCTTCTGGTGCCCAATGCCTTGCACTGTGCCATTCAACACTATGAAGAGAAACAAGTAGCCACACCTCAAAATAATGTGGCTGTCAACAACTGGCCTAAATAAACCTACACAAACCAGTACTTGCCTTTTGCTGGAAACATTGATTATGTGCTCCTCACGTAGTAGAAAGCGGTATCCTGATTAGTCTAACAGTTGTGTTAGACTTTAGGGCCAGTATTGTCAGCATTTATTTATTTATGTACCTTTGTTATGATGGGATATTTTTCATTTGAAACTTGTTCATAAAAATGTCAATGACATTGATGACTGATTTGTACATATTTTTCATATAGTTTTGTTTAAAAAATAATTCACGCAAAATCTTGAAGTCATTTTTGCTATTGAAATAAACCTTAATTAAAATATTTCATCATCACATTGTGTTTTATCTCCCTCAATGAAATGAAAATCTAGTAATTACTCAGTTTAGATGATACATCACCTCATGAACTTACTAAATAAAAATGTAAATTCCTGGGTATGACTACAAACCTCTTAATCAGAATCTTTGGGGCATGGACCTGGAATCTATTTTTTATCATCAGTTCCCAGGCATTCATCTACACACTAAACTTTGAGAATCACTCGCCTAAATCAAATGAAGTCTTTCTGAAATATAACAACATGCCAATAGGAAATGCTGGGCTCTGTAACATTTGTCTTCATAGTATCACTATGACCTGTAGTCTTGGCTGTAAACATTTCGTCTCCAATGGTCATAACCAAATAAATTCACGTTCAAAACCTTAGTTTTCAATACTATATGCCATCTTAACATGGCTTTAGGAAGTGCTATTCAGAAACTTTGAAATAATACATATTCATGTGTCAGGAAAATAATAATGGACAATTTCAAATAAATATATACACAAAAGTAGAATAGTTTAATAAACCACTATGTATCATCACTAGCCCCAATGGTCACTACCCATGACTGTTTCAGCTCCATCCACACCCCTGTTCGCTTTCTCCTCACATTGTTTTGAAGCAAATCATGATATCATGATTTCATGTCAATATCTGAGTTCTCTAAATAAGCTCTACTTTTTCTAATAGTCATAATATTGTTAAAATTGCACCTAAAATCACAGTAATAATTCCTTAAAAAAAATCAATCAGGATATTTGGGTGGTGGATGGATGGGACTGGCATATATGGCCTTTACATCCTGCGTCAGCCTGTGCACGGTCCTCACCTGTGTGTGGGGGAACTCGACAATTCAAGATGGGAGTTGGGACCTCTTCACACAACAGTACGACTGCTGAAACGCTTCCTACATTCAAACACCTAACCCATACTAATTAGGGTCAACCTTGTTACCTACTAGAATGTGTATTGATGAAGAACGTCAAGACTTACTTAATAATATCTTCTTATTAAACACTTCTAAGAGTTCTGTTGAAAGATGATAAGCTTTCATCTCAAATAATTTACAAAGCATGTTAAAGCAGTCTGCATAAAGTAGAACTTTTAAAACTCTGGAAGAGAGAAAGTAGAAGACAGTTTTCACAACTTTCAGTTAAAATGTTTACAACACAATAGGTATATTCAATTTGAAAGCATAGTTGTTTTATTCCTCTAAGCATTAAGGAAAGTTGTTTTAGTATATTTTAGTTTCTTAAAATCAATACCGAAGTAGTACCGTATTTTTGAGTATTTTATATGCTAAAGTTTTAAAAATGAAACAATATTTTCCAAGTTCAGCTACATTAGGACTTTTTTAAAGGATCAGCGGCATGATGAATTTGTAAGTATGCTTTTTATTTCGGGGCCAACTACCTTTTTTTGAGACGGACTCTTGCTCTGTCGCCCAGGCTGGAGTGCAGTGGCACGATCTTGGCTCACTGCAAGCTCCGCCTCCCAGGTTCACACCATTCCCTGCCTCGGCCTCCCTGTAGCTGGGACTACAGGTGCCGGCCACCACGCCCGGCTGATTTTTTTGTATTTTTAGTAGAGACGGGGTTTCACTGTGTTAGCCAGGATGGTCTTGATCGCCTGACCTCGTGATCCTCCTGCCTTGGCTTCCCAAAGTGCTGGCGTTACAGGCGTGAGCCACCGCGCCCGGCCAAGAGGCCAACTATATTTTCAATGACATACACAGTGGAAGACATTGGGAAAAAATGATATACAGAAATTTGCCAAACTGTCCAAAACGTTTCTTGAAGTGAGACATACATTTTACCATATTTTATTAACAGACCCTAACTTCGACACTCAACTTTATCCTCCAGAATTGGTAATTTCTGTGTATGTTACTCTCTTTTGCCAGTAGGTAGCTGTAGGTAAGCTTATCCAATATCAGGGCAGTTTATGTGTGAGAAATCAAATACCTTCCACAGAGAAGTCACCACTGTCATATCATCATCACTCATATTGTACATTATTTCCTAAAAAAATTCAGAGCTATTCTATCTAAAGACTGACCCATTTTCCAAATCCCTTTAGATATTTAAAAAACTACAAAGATGTTTAATTATGAAGTGTTTAAGAAGAGTATTACTTTAAAATATTTGTAACAGCCACTCTACATGTCTGTGGTACCTAAAAGTCACTTTTGCTTGGAGTCACGTGTGTCAGCATCGGCATTACAGGACTCAAATCAAGGCCATATGACCACTGATTATTTTAAGATTTCAAATAAAACAATGACAAAGTTTAAGAATTTTAAGTACATTTTATTAACAATGTATCCCTTTGATAAGATTATGCTTCAGGAGGCTTTTAATGCCCTTGACATAAACTATACACATTATACAAAAACAAGAAAATCACAACAAAAAAAATCAAGGTGAGCAAAACCATTTGGGGACAAATCTTATTTAAATTATACACAACTCAATGAAATATTCTTACAGAAAAAATATAAATACTTTTTCTTTCTATGTTACAGTTATACAATATAAATCAGATTTCAATGTCTGTTCAGTGACCTACAAACACCAGAACCTCCAAATATGTAGCAGCGTATTACTAAATAAAAAAGAAGAAACTCATGTGGTTAGAGAGCATTAAGTCTGAGATTTTTTTCACAATTCCTTACCACTTTTCAAAACTAGTTTACACCATTTGTTTTACAATGCAGCTTTAGGGTTTCTGACAGGTATTTTTGTAACAATTACCTATAAAATTTTTTTCACTCCCCCTCTCTGCCCCAAGACTTTGCATTTTGTGCTAAATCAACCAAGTAGCAAAATTGAAAGGTATGCTTTTTTTGGCATAAATTATATTTTTGAAATTAAATATTCTATAAAGAAAGTAAAACAAAATGTGCAATTTATGCATGCTGTGGTGCAGCTATCCGATACTTACATTACAAAAATACTCCAAACAGGAAAAAAGTCCACATTCTGTGAGTCATATAAACCTACTAGGAATGAAAAATACCCTGGAACTTGGAACTAAAAGAAGAAAAGAATGCTCCTAGAAAGATTCTCACAGATTTCAGTGTTCTTTGATAAGCACTGCTATTAATTTCACTGGTATGCTTTTAAATGAGATTCTCACTGTAATGACACTCTTGAGATTAAGATAGTAACAGTGTATTTTGTTAATGCAGAGACAATGGAGACTTCCTAACTTACATTTTGGAAAATCTGAAATGTTGGTTCATTCCAAATAGCTCCTCTAACAAAAGTCTCTCAATTTTACCTTTTCTTTTTTCCCCATGTTTTAATGGATTGTGAATCTGAGACAAAAGTGGAAGCATAAGACTAAAGGAGAAAAAACCTTACTTCCAAAGAACATTTCCCAAAGTAGTTTACAAAGTTCATCTCACACAAAATTAGCACCTCACTCTTACCATGCAAAAATAACTGCAGTTATAATTTGAATGACAGACAATTTGGTTTTTATTGCTTAATGATCTGTGCTTTAATGTGGGGATAAAAGGCATCCTCTGAATGGAATAACATTTTATATAAATAGCAGTAGGAAAATGTAAATAAGCATTGATATCCCACTGCTGAACACTTGGCCGTTGTGATATGCCCTGAAAAACTCAGCTTGAATTATCTCAAGCTCTAGATAAAAGAGCTGAAACCCATTAAAGTTGTCATTTCAAAAGGACTTGTACACATTATGTTAATAATGTATATACTTCCAAAGAGCCTCTTTTAATGTCACTGTCATATAGAATGTCCATATTCTACTAATCGTTATTAGAAAAAATTTAATTAGGGAGAACAGACTGTTTCCCCCTTCCAATCTACCTAAGAATAAACAGGAAATAAAAGTATAGGAAATTTTAGAGCATATTTAATTATGAATACTAAATTTCTAATTTCCTTATTTATCAGTATTTACTTAGTATGTGAGGCTGAAATCTGTTCTTGAAAAAAAGTTCAATTAGAAATAACAATTCACTTTACGATTAGAAATTCATAGTTTACAACCAGCACAACTGCCCAGATTCCTCCCAATTATTCAATAATTACCAATAGTACAAATTTATATGGACTAAGATTAATCCTAAAATCTTTAAAAACTACAGTATTGACATTATTTTGGTATTCTATAGTCTGTAATATCTATTATTTATAGATGATTTTCTCAATTATTTCTATTACTGCTGATATCATTCCTAACCTCTTCTGCTATAATTTAATATTTTTAAACACTTAAGTTAATCACTTGGCACTGCATGTATTTTTCACCATAAAGTCTACTTTTTACAAACAAGTACTCAAAGAAAATGTATTAGACCTGTCAGTGAAATCATGGAGAAACCAAATAGCACTATAAATTTAAGCGTAGACTTTTTTTTTTTTTTAGTATACTGATAACCACAAAGCTCTGAGTATCTCCCCAAAGTAAGTGATATAGGCAGATATGATAAGGTATACATACATATTTTTCAAAGTAACAGTAAAAAAAAAAAACAAAAAAAAAAACACAAAACATTCAGGCCAATACTAACTAAGCCTTATTTCAGGATAGATGACCAAGGTGAGGGTACAGGGATAGTGATGGTGGGGGAGGGGGTGTGTGTGTGTGTAAGACAAAAAAAAAATTACTGTTAACTTTTGAGGGATTAAACCACAGATTTTTATACTCTATATTAACTGAGGTAGTGTTTAAAATGAATGTCTAAAATATGTTAATCCCATTATGAATAAGATTACATTACTTCCTTTGGAGGTTTTAACCACTATTTGGTCTAGTAACTCTGACATTTGGTTCTCTGGAAAGGCAGTTTAGTTATCCAAGACCAAAGACCACGATGACAGGCAACGTTCTTAGAAGTACTGTTGACATTTAAATAAACACTTGGGTTCAGTGATAAAGTATAAAAAAATTATTTATCTTCAACTGGATTTTATGAGAGAAAATCTGAAGAACCACTTTTCAACATAAGCAGCAGCTTACAGCCCTTATCTGCTTTGTTATAATGTAAGTTGCTACACAGTGCACATAAGAACAATTCACTGAAGTGCAGTCAAAGAGGTGTTATGAAGTGAGATGAAATGCTTCATCCCAACTGGAACTTTCAGTTCCAGTAAATAAATTTTTTAAAAAAGTATCTCTGTGAGTTATGTTTTCTAGTTCACAGGGTTCTTTACAGAGATCTCAAAGAACAAGCCCATTACAAAAAGGATCTGCATCATGGGAAAATATTAATGTTGCTATGACTGTGTCAAAACTGATGTGTAATTGTAATAAAAATGTTATACACAAATGAATTAAAAAAGAATCCTAATCAGTCCAGCTGGATTTTCTATTTCTATTTATATATAGATCTCAAAAAAGATAATCCTTTCATTTACAAGCATTCAAATGATGGCCATGCTATTTTTATATACAAATTTGCATATATGTTTAATTCCTGTAAAAAGTTCCAAATACCTTTAGACATATACAAATTAAACAAACAAAAACCTTGCCCTCATCAACTTAACTTCACAAATGGATAAAGGCAATTAATATACTCATAAACCCACCTACCACTGCATTTAGTTTGTGCAAAACAAAAACACTGATATAAAAATTAAGTTACTGCTGCTTTAAAATTTGGTACTTAAGGCTTTTCACTACAATTTTTCTCAATAACAAGCTTTATTAATGTTTTTTTTAAGGAAATATGGCTCTTCTTTCCCCATGGAATGTGTAAATTGCAAGCAAACTTATCTTTTCCTCAGGAGATCCAAAGTATTATTTAATGCTTTCCTATCCTTTAGGTCTAAACTAACAGTGCTTGTTCAAGTTCCTGTTTAAAGCGATGAGATGGAAAGTTGATGAAAGTGGAAGTCCATTGCAAATATATGCATTCTATAAATGGGAAATATTTTTAATTAAAATAAAAAATGATTTTTAAATTTTATTCAAGAACTGTAGTGAAAAACCTTAATTGGTTCATATATCCTGTAATAACACATTGCAACAAAATGAAGAGTTGGAAAACAAGAATCTTTATGCAAGTCTAGTAACATAAAAATAACTTATAAGTCCCGGGTTGTTGAGGCTCTTCTTCTGCTTTGAGGTTATAAACCTCTGAAGTAGTGTTACAAACATTAAGAAAAACGTGAAAGGGCCAAAGTTCCCTCTCTAATACCAGCAGTTATAGCACACCCCATTGTGGTAATAGGATGCAGCCTTAGAGACACTGATTCCTGCTTTCCACAAGTTAGTTAACAAACAAGGCATCTGTATTATTTACCCTAAAAATCATTCAGAAATAACTTGTGAAGGGTGCTTCTGCATATCCCATTATTGTTCCACTGTCATTATGCTTTTAAAATGAAAGAAAATAGAAAACCTATGTAGGTATTCAGTGCTTGGCTCTTGCATACAATGGTAACTGAAACTCTTAAAACTGTGGTAATGAATCATGAACCCCTCAAAAGGCTCAACAAAGGAGAGAAGGAAGTTGTTTTGGTTAGGAAAGTCAGCAGTTCCAACTGTTCATGTACCAGTAACTGCGGAACAGTGTACAGAAGATACTCCTGTCTTTGCTGCCTAGTCAGTCGTATTTTCTGAGGCTTTTAGGAAATCCACAAATATGAATATATATAGTATGTATCTATATCCATCATAAATATGAGGTCAGGATTCAGCAGATGTATCAACTATAGGTTGCTTTGGTGGTGTTGCCAACACAGCCTCTGCTTCTTCATGCATCTAGGGAAAAAATGGTGTATCATCAATTACTTTTATAAAAACAGATGATATAACATATTTATATAAATATCTAATTTTTTTTTTTTTTTGAGATAGGGTCTTGCTCAGTCTTCCCAGGATGCAGCACAATGTTGCCATCTTTGTTCATTGCAACCTCTGAGTCCTGGGTTCATATGATCCTCCCACCTCAGCCTCCCAAGTAGCTGGGAATACAGGCAGATGACACCAACCTCGGCTAATTAAAAAAAAAAAAAAACTGTGTTGACACGGTCTCACTATGTTGCCCAGGCTGGTCTTGAATTCCTGGGCTCAAGCAATTCTCCCGCGCTGACCCCACAAAGTGCTGGGATTGTAGGCATGAGTCACCACACCCAGCTATAATCTGTATTTTAATTCAATTCAAACACAGAATTATTCTTGGAAGATAAATTTGAGAAGTACTAATCATACTTACTTGTAGAAACTGTACATCTTGAAATAATTCTTGTATGAACCTCCGACACGGAAGTCTGAATGTGCAGTGTGACAGCAAATGGGAAACCTCAGAGTAAAGGCATATGTCATCAAATGTTTGAGGATACTTCTCCTTAATTCTAAAATAAAAGATTATGGTGTGATGAAAACTGTAATCATGATGTATCTATTTTTCCTCCAAGGTATCACTTACTTTAAAAATAGATTTCCCTACAGATATGGATTAGATGGCATACTTGGGGTGATGACTTGAGAATATAAAATATTAAATATTCCTGTCACACACTTAGACATTCTGAGTTTGGGTTTTTTTTTAAAAAAAATGATTATCAAAACCTGAATACTTCTTGTAAAATTGAAGCATTCTTTTTTATTGGCATGAGAAATTGCAAAATATATTTATCAGCCTAGGATGATTAAAATATGTTCCAAATTAAGTTTTAAAATAGAAATACATCTTTAAAGTTAAGTTATTAACATCCCTGACTGGGCTATTTCTTTGGATACTTCAAATAGCAGCTTTTAGCTAGGAAAGCACCTCAGAATCAGCTGTGAGTTGGGTGAGTGACCAGTTAAGGGCCCGCTCCCAGAGCTCCCAGCCCAGAGGTCTGCTGTGGGACCCTGATACCTATGTGGGACCCCAATACCTATATCACCCTTAAAAAAAAGCCCTACAGCTGGCTGGGCACGGTGGCTCATGCCTGTAATCCCAGCACTTTGGGAGGCTGAGACAGGAGATCACCTGAGGTCAGGAGTTTGAGACCAACCTGGCTAACCTGGCGAAACTCTGTTTCTACTAAAAATACAAAAATTAGCTAGGTGTGGTGGTACACACCTGTAATCCCAGCTACTTGGGAGGCTGAGGCAGGAGGATTGCTTGAACCCGGGAGGCAGAGGTTGCAGTGAGCCGAGATTGCACCACTGCACTCCAGCCTGGGTGACAGAGCAAGACTCCGTCTCAAAAAAGAAATACAAAATACAAAATAAAAAAGCCCTGCAGGAGACCCTGAGGTGCATTTCTTTTAAGAACCACTGCTTTAAATAATAAGAAAAAAATTAAACCAAGAAAATATGACTTGTTACATGTAAGCCCACTTTCCTCAAACTTTTTGGTCTCAGGACTTACTTTCTTAAAAATTACTGAAGACCCAAAAAAGCTTATTTTTGTGTGGGTTACAGCCACCATTAACTACTATATTAGAAATTAAAATTGAGAGAATTTCCTAACATGCATTAATTTATTTTAAAAATAAATCCATTACATGTTAACATGTATTTTAATAAAAATAACTGTATTTTCCAAAAGTAAAAAAGTGAGAAGAGTGGCATTATTTTACATTTTTTGCAGATCTCTTCAAAAGTCTGGCTTAATAGAAGATAGCTGGATTCTCATACTTGCTTCTACATTCAATCTGTTGCCATATGTTGTTTTGGCTGAAGTATTAAAGAAAATCTAGCCTCACACAGGTATGCAATGCAGTTTAGAACTACTGATGTAAGTTAACTAGCCTAACTTTTGAAGTATTTCAAGTATCTTTTCTCGACTTAAAAAACAGAATAAACAAATAATACTCATGCACATAGTTTACTCACGTTAAAAGCCCAGTCTCATGACATTTAGTTGAAACTGAACTACTCAAATTAATGACTAATCTTAGAACTTCTTTGCGAAGGAGTATACGGCACATTGGTGTATCATCTGGAATTGTTTTAACACCTGAAAAGATTTCAGGGAGAAGTTAAATATTATCTATGTCACAATAAAATGATTAAAACTCATGAAATTTATTTTTAAACTTCACCTAAAGACCTAGAGATCAATTACACATGATCTACCAATCATTTTGGGAGCAAAACTCTAATAAAAGCAGATAGCTAAGAGGCTCTATGTCAGTGGGTGATATAGGTGCAATAATTAACAGTGTTAAATTGCTTCACTAAAATGGACGTATTACTGTTTTGAGACAACTTTAATTTACAGTATTTACGAAAAACAAAACAAAACCAACTAATCAGAACAGTTTTACTAATAATGATTGGATTTGAATCTGAAGACTCACCTAGTAACAATTCTGTGCTTTTGGTGCTGCTAGCTGAGCCTTCTTGAGACACCCCATCACTGCATCCAGAAATCCCCGAAAACTTAGAGGGAACCACTTCTAAAGGATTATGGATAGTCTGCTCACACCAATCAGAATATGGAATATCTTGAAAGTCTGAAGAAAAAAATAATTATTTCAATTAAAGCACCATAACGGCTTAATTCCTGTGCTTACATTGCATGCTAAAAAGAAATAATATAAAATAACATCTTCTCTAATTGTATGCAATATACCAAACACTTCCAAAACTTTTTTCCTCATAGAAAATGAAAATAACTACAGCATGCAAAGGGCCTGGACAGGGCTGTTCACAGTGGAAAAGACCTAATCCAGGGATCTGTCAGACTCAGGCCCCACTGTGACCTGGAACCGTGAGAGGATCAGCATCTCAGCATAACATAATTTGGCATATCAGTGTGCTGCAGCTCACCAGCTGGGAAACTCTGAATTAGAATACCAAAAAGAAATTTGGAAAAGTAAACCAGAGAACTTTAGTCATCACTAGGTTTTTCTGAAGGTGGGACGTGATCACTTACCTGAATGACTACATATTGCACTCAGTTGGTTGCTGGGCTGGAAACCCAGAATTTCAATACAGACACAATAAAGGCAGTTATCATCTGTATGTTCCTGTAGTCCAGTGTCTTCTGTACTTTCTAAAAACAGAGAGGCATCTGAATGGATTGAATTCATTATTTCCGTAAGACTCATCTGCTGTCGTAGCAAGTGAAAAGAATTTTTTACAAGACCTCCAGTTCCAGATGGAAGACCTGTGCATAAGTAAATATAAAACATAATCCAATAAAGATAATACTTTTCAAGGTACCTTAAATTATGTGAAATTTTAAAGAAAGCTTAAGCACATTTTATGACTCAAAATCTAACTGGAAAGAAAAAAAGAATAATTTGCTTTAAGTTATAAAAATAAGGAAAGCCAGCAGATGTTTATTATTTTAATATATAGTGTTTTAAATACAAAATGGAAAATTGAGATTATATAATACATCATTTCAATTATCGTCAATATTTGCCTAAAGATATGTAATAATTCTAAGTATAAAGAGGCATTTGTTTAAAAAGTCATTAAGAATATAAAGCTATAAAACCTGTGGCTTATATTTACATATTAAAATATAACAGTTCAAAACAAAGACCGTGTATTTTATAAGTACATTTCTTTCTCCTTACTCTAAACAAACAGCTATTTCCTGGATCTATGAGGATTAGTGTTATACATTGTTCATGTGCTACTTTTAAAAAACAGAAACAACTAATTTGGTTTCTATTTCCTTGAAAGGTTGAGTACTTCACTGAAAACACTGTTAAGTCCCTCACACATACACAAAAATGTGGTTTAATTTTAAGCTGACTTTAACAATTGTTTTGGTATAATTTTAAAGTTGATCCAAAAGTGAGTCTTCCTAAATTTTTAGTGTTATCCTACTAGAAAGAACTAAGAGTTTTCTTTTTAATATAAAGAGGCATCTCACAAGTACAATGCACAATGCATTACCTCCTGCATCATGGGCAAATGCTCTTGCACCTCGATCATCATGTGGTGGTATGTTTTTTGTCTGAAAATAGGGAATATCCTTTACCTAAAAAAAGATATAAACCATGGTAAGTCCTGCTATAAAAATAAGCCCACTTTATGAAAATTAGCAAAATTAAACAAAATAAAATTAAAATAGAATTACCATAGCATATGAACCTATAATCAAGTTTACTGAAGGTTCAACTACCAAAACTTAACAAAATAACCCAAAAAGTCCTTATTATATTATTAGTGACTAAATGGACATTAATTATTTTAGCGTTTATCTAAAATGTCTTTCAACTTCTAAGAAAATGTGTTCTTTAGTACTATATACCATCTAGAGATCTGTGGGTATCTCCTGGGATTAGGGTCACCTTATATTACTGGGTACCACATATGGCTGGCTACCTTTTATGGGATAAATAGGAATGAGGATTTAAAAATGAGGTATAAGTTAAATGTGACTAAAAAACAAGTTAGAAATTTCATAAATTTCTACAGAGAATATATGGATAAAGAAATCAAATGAGATACTGATTTAATATGGGAAGAGAGGGAAGGATAATGTTCTAAGGACTAAATAAAAGAGTACAGAGTAGTTGAAAAGGGCAAAATAATTTTAATCTTAAAGTTTCTTTAAACAAAACGGTCTTAAAAATCATGCTGCCCCAAACTGGTGCCCACCCTAAATTATGATTTCTAGTAAGCAGTTACAGCATATGAAAAAATAGGAAACCAACTCATAGGAAAACAATAAAATGTATGATAATACCTGGAATATATCATTTATATCCACCGGGAGAGCAAGACCAATGTAATCATCTGAACCCCCATATGTGGCACTGGACACCATGGACCGCACTGAGGAAGATCGTTGCAGGGTATTTTGATTAATAGGACTCAATAAATCTTCTTTATCTAATGATGCATAACTTAAGGCTTTCATGAACCTATAAAACCATAAAGAAACCACTTGCATTAGTTTCTTGATCTGTAATTTTAATCATATGAAGAAATAACATATATTCCTACCTTCATAAAAGACAAGTAGCTAGTCATGTATTAAGCAGTGTCATCTTGTTTACTGGCAACACATAAACACTTTAAAATATTAGCTGTTATAGACCGCTATGTAAAAGGTCACCAGTAATGTTGACTGTTACCAAAAACAACTGTTATGGTCTCTCAGGTAAAGGTGAAAAGGTGGGCAATTAGAATAACTTTCAACATCTAGAAGTAAAAAAAGAAACTGACCTCAGTAGTCAGAGCATGGTCCAAGGACTATCTTCATAATCACTTGAGACTACTAGATTTGGCATTTATGTAACTAAGGATATGTGTATCAACTCTATTTAATATTATATTTATAAAAAATGAGATCAATTACATATCATTATTTGTGTGATAATTACCTTAATGCCTTCATTATCAACATAAGATTTATGTAGCACACAAGACAGACACAAGAGCAAAATGGTCATTTATGACGAGATATCCTTGTAAAAAGCACTGATATTTCCACAATGTACTGATATTTCCACAATGTACTCCTTACTACTAGAGATTCCATAACAAATATGATACACTGATATTTCCATAAGATACATGTTTCTCATACAGATTCTTACTTATGCAACAGACATGCTAAAATATTTACTTGGTATCTGCTGTATATATACAAGGCACTATGCAAGGTTCCACATTTATATACATTTATATGAAGATATTTTTGTTTGGAAAACCAAGTCTTTAAAATGTACGAATGCAGCCTAATATTAAATCAAATAATTATTTTGTAAAACACACAAAAGAAATGCTTTCTAAATAGTAGCTATTAACATAGCAAAAACCATGCTCCTAATTTCCACCCAAAAAACACTCTTTCAAACTGTAATCTGTTACATTTCTTTGGTTCCCATAAAACTCTTCAAGGATTACTGGAGTGGGAGGAAAACAATTATTGGATTATTCCCCTTCCCAATTCCTATTTCAACCAGTATAGGTCCCTTTCTATCTATTCTACCTATTGGGTTTCCACAGAAATCTTTATGTGAAAAAATAATTTCTCTGCTTAAAAAACAACAATACAAAAGTTTACAACCACTGATCTAGTGCAATCTCCACCAGATGAGGTAACTGAGGCTTAGGAATGTTCAAAATTCATGAACTTTACTGCATAGATTTGTAACAGTGAGCTGTTGAGAACTTTCCCTGGCTTTGTCCTGGACAAGGTTGCCAAAGCTAGTGAGTTCCAGATAGATGAGACATTGCTGCATAATTTCTTAAATCCTGTAAGGGTACACAATTCATTGTCTGCTACCAAGAAACCCTCTATTAAATGTGTTAAGCATTATTGAAACAAAACTGCTTAATGTTATTAAGAATAATGTAAGGGCTAGATGGATTACATTAAATAACTACCAATGATGATGATAAATAGCTAACTTTTATTGAGTGCTTAATATGTGCTAAAGTATTCTAACATATATTGTTGACATATAAGTACCTGACATATATTAATCCACTTAAATAAATGTAAATGAATAATTTAAAACTAAGGAAAGTTGTTTAGAAGCATTTGGTCCAACCACAAAAATTATAGGTACAAAATTTTTTTGCAGCAAATACTGTGTATCTTTTAAAAGTAAAATCTAAACTGTTCACTTTGACTAGCTTGATATAATCTAAATATGGTATAGAAATCCCTGCTGAGTCATGAGGACCAAGTATTTCATTTAGTGTTTATTAGGTTCCTATTTAATAATCACAGCTACTTAAAGTGAAAATAATTTCACTGAAATTTTCATTTATCTTTTTAAAAAAATAATAAAGAGGTCAACTTTTGGAGCCTTAAATTGACCTACCTGAAAAGGTTGTTTGTTATTGTAGGTCTTAAGCTCCTGATTCCCCCGACATGCTTCTTTTTAAAATCGATCCTTGCAGAAGCGAGAAATAAATAAAAAAAAGCTTGTGACTTGTATGTCCTTTGCAAAGCATGTATGTTTATTTTCAGGGCCTATAGGATTTTCTTCCCCCCTCGCAGCTGCAAGAATCCATTTCAAGTCATATCGGGTAACAAGGAGCTTATAGCCTACCATAGTAAACAATTATAATAGGTCAGTGATGAGGCTCACATAGTGTAAAACCTGGCTAACATTTTGTATTTAAATTTGTTAAAATGCAACCATTATTGGTCACTTCTAAACATATATTTGCTTACCTGCTTGGTGTTAATCTGGACTCAAAACTGTTGGCCTTCATGGTGATGGTATCAGTAAATAGCACATCTTTTGCTGGAGATGCCAAAGCTTCAGAGTGAGATAAGGATGGATGCATTCTTTGTTGCTGTAGTCTTTTCAGTGTAGCATAGCCAAAAGCATCTCTAGAACTTGTGTAACTAAAGTTACAATCTGCTAGACTTTTAATTGTAGCAATAGAGGGTGCTTTAAGGGACTGTGCTCTTCTAGGAAGCGTATGAGAAGAACCTGGAGGCACCAGGGACACCGAATTTGATTTGGAGAGAGACAGATGGTTAGACTGTGGCGTCAAATAGTGGCTTGTCTTAATAGTTTTAGTACTTACCACAGTACTCATGCTTCCACAGTCTGTGTCCATAGTTGTAGCATCTACACCTACTGTCTCTCGTGAAGGACTTGAGCTCATTGAACTTATGCCACTTGTTGTAGTGTCTGTATTGAAACTTTGGCTACGTATCTTCATATGTGAGCTCGTTGAACTTTCTACTACTAACCTCTCTCGGCTTGTATTTTCTCTGTGATTCTCTGTACCAAAATTCTTGGTGAATTTTAAGTCATTTTCTCCAATGCTTGGTGTACTACCAGTGTCTTCAATGTGCTTATTCCCCATAAATGAAGTCTCTAATTGTAATGTTTTCTGTACAGTGGATATGGGTGTAAAATCATCACTATGATTAAAATCAACACTGGGCTCCGTAAGTGTTCTGATTCGCCTGTTGCTTGTCTTACTTTCAGATGATAATTTCCCTCCTTTTGGATCACTGCTACTACGATGTTTTTTGTTAGGCAAAGTAAGCGAATTTAAGATACGATTCTTCACAAGTTTACTAGAAGCAAAGAAAGGGAATGAATTTTTATCCTTTATGGGTCCAGATCGGTCATAAAATGTTGGCTCTGTATCTTCATTGATATCAAGGAAAAATGTGCTAGTAGAGCTGCTGCCAAACCGGTCATCCTCCAATATGAACATACCTATGATTGAAGGATCAATTAATAAAAACACATATAAAATGACAAATTCATGATAACTATTAGTGACATCACATTTCAGGAAATTTTTTTTTAGTCATCTAGAGGAAAAAATTTAAAAATAAACGGTTAAACCATTCAGCTACTTGAAAATATCTTTCTTGAAACCCAGAGTTTGGACTTGAATAAAATGTAAAATTATGTAATTTATGAGAATCTCCTGTTATTTCCAAAGAAAAATTATTATAAGACCCACTATGGCACAGGTTACATGAAGTTTCTTTTGATTCTCCAAATATTCAGGATGAAATTAAAGGGAAAAAGGAGACTTGGCCATGGATGCTTACTCAATTACTACAGATTCCTAGTGGTTCTTCTTTAAATTACTATAAGCAGGAGAAATTCACCTTGTAAGAAATGAATTCCCAATCTTAAAATATACTTACAGAGAACCAAGTGGTAACATTATAAATTCATGTTTAAATTATGTTTATTTCTCATTTTACCTTAGATACTAAGAAACTCATTAAATTTAGTGCCCAATTCTACTAGAAGACGCAACCCAAGTGAGTGCCTAATGACATCTATACGATTTTTCTTTTATTAACTTTTCTGTTGAATAATTACAAATACTTCAAATATATTTTCAAAGAAGGTAAAAGAAAATCCTAAGTGAATTTGCATACTGCATTACCATTTCTATATTTTGTCAATTCTAAGATGCACACTTTTCACATTTAATCCCTTCTATTTTCACACAGAATCTGATTCTAAAATCAATATGCATCTTGTAGTATGTCCTAGTTTAATAGGCAGCACTTCTTCTTTCTTCTTCTTTTGTGGTACATAAAATATTGGCATATTTCATAATTCATGGCATCTCAGATTTGGTGAAATACACAGTCTGATAAAGCTGACACTATCTTCTTAAAAGGAAGAACCATGCCTTAAATTTTGTACACCTAACACCACTTAGCACAGGACTTAAAACCACAAATCATTTTATATATAACTATTTTTGTTACTCTATTAACAATTTCACTATTTTAAAATTTAGTGCTTCTCTCAAAAATGAAGATGTGAATATAATATCAGTTAAAAATATATTCTGGCTCAACAATCTCAGTATCTGAAAAATGAGTAAAAAGATTAAATAAAGAAGGTAGACAAATAAATACTTGTTATATTTGTTTCTTTTCTGTCAAAAAAAGGAGGACTGGTTCTTCTGGCACATGGCTTATTACATAACTTTGTAGGAATCCTCAAAAGCTACTTAGAATATAAGGAGAGAGAAAAATGTAAGCTGGTGATTATACTCTTTGTTATGAAAATATACACATTCTCCAAGAGGCTATTATTGCCAAATAATTATCTTAGACAAAAGCAAATTACAAATGTAACAAATACATTTAAATTCTAAAATTCAAATATAAATGTTAACATTGGCTAACTTTATATGAACCTGTCAGGATACTCACTCGATGGCACAGATTCACTTTCACTATTATGTCTAGAGCTGGTTGACTCCGAGTTCAAACTTAGAGTGCTTGGGATAGATGAAAGTTCATTACAGAGTTGTTCCACATCATCTGGAACCACTGGCCACAGATGTTTGCGACTATGCCTCACAGCATCCCAGTTGTGACATTTTAGAATATCACAGCCTTGTTTGGTTTTAGCTATGAGCCCAAGTACATATACACAGGTCCTGTATATAAAAGATGCAGTAAAAACAGTTATAATTCCAAGCTGAGATTTCTTAAAGCCACCACAGATTAATTTGCTATACATACTTTGAACTTTCTCTAAAACCCACCAAAATGGTTGCGTTTGTGGAAAAAAAAAAACTTATTAAGACTAGTCAGGAATAAATTAGCAGCAATAAAAAACAAGCAAACCTTCCCAATAAAAATAGTAATTACAACAAAATAAAAAGAACACAATGCAACATGAGCAAAAAAGGTATATTAGCTTTTCTAGTATAAATCTGGAACAGCTGGGTTACAGGAATACTGGAGTATCTGTACAACACTATGCCTTACCTGTTACCTACAAGGTAAACTTCAATATAATAAAAATCAAATTATAGTAGTAAACAAGGAGTTCGTTTAGATGTTTAACTTAATACAGTTAATAATCTTGTATCATTAGAACTTTCAGTGGATTAACAGTTATGCATTGCACTTAATCATAAAATACTTTCCCCTAACATCCATTTGTGAATAACAACGTCTACATTAGAAAGATTTCTGAGTTAAATGACCTACCCTCTGATGGAAAGAACTTCACACTGTTTTGCAAGTTTTAGTATATCTGGAATCACGTTTTCTTCCTGTAGCAAATTGAGACCCCAATTTGATGAGCCGATATTTCCCTGAAAGAAAAGAAATCACTTACATCAAATATAAGAGTCACTCTTTCAAAAGATTTGGAAAGCTACCAAGAAACAAATTTAACCTCATCTCTGAGAGAGAAAAAATGTAAAAGCCTCCTCAAGTACAAAACATTAGGCATGAATTAATTCTAGTTGTCTTAGCAACAAAACAAAAGTCATGAAACCAATAGTTCAACCATCTATTCTTCAACATAGAGATAATACACTTATATTGGCAGGAACAATCCAGTCTTAAATATTAATCTAATAAGTAGTTCCAAAGAAAATATTTATCTATTTAGTATAAATGAAAAAAAAACTTAAAAATCTAAAAATTGCGAAGATCTTACAGAAGTGTTTATTACAAACCAAGGCCCAAAGAGATGCTTTCAGTTTTTTAATTTCTTCCCACTTATCCAAATCTGGTGTACGAACATTACGACAGAGTTCTGTAATAATATTCTGGAGAAAGAAAAAAAAATACCATGAGTAATAATATATTTATGTATTTAATATATTATTATTGCATCATAAAACCAGTATAACGTTTGTTTTTTGTCATTTTTGCATATTTAAATTCTAAATAATTTTATGTAAAATTTCTTGAGAAGCAGCATAGGGCAGGGGTTCTGAATTCACATTCTAGAATTATCACTTATTAACTGCATGGCCTTGGGCAAGTTACTTCATCTCCTCATCCTTTGATTTCCTAATATCTAGAAGAGTGATAATAACATTTGCATCATAAGGTTTCAAGATTTAATAAATTATTGCACATACAGTGCTTACCAAAGTACTTGGCACTTAGTATTACTAAATAATCATACTTATTCTTTAAAACAGAAAGTAAATTAGTGCTTAGGTTTTATCATACTATGTAAGTAGTAACACTGAGAAAATCATTTAAATTTTTAGTGAAATTTTCAAATGTTAATATGAAAATACTTGTCCCAACAGTTTTCACAGACGTAATATAAAAACACATGAAACTATAGAGTACATTTATGCAAAACTTTGTGCTCTTGAGATGAATACTGATACAATCGGGAACTAAATTGTTAAATAACTATTGTTCTGTCACAAAAACAAATATTCCTATAACTTTATTTCTAAAATAAGAGAAACGTTACATTTATTGGAAACAGTTGCATGACATATTCACAACCATAAATGCGGTGTACATATTATAACTCAAAGAACAACTGCTTGCCTATGCTTGTTAACATTCCATGAAGTACGCGAGAATAAAATGTGCTCACAACCAGCAACTTTCAATTTATTGCTCAACAAGGATAACTTAATCTGTATTAGGTTCAGTTTAATTTCCCAATGAGTGGAAGAAAAACTCGGTTTTTCAGTACGTTTTTGGAGATCTGAATTTCTCCACTAAACTCTAAAAAAAGAACTCAGATCTTCATTGGATTGCTTACTCTACATAACAAGTTAGTTATTCAAAAAGTCATACACAAGTCAGTTAATGCATTGCAAGGCCATTAATATTTCTCAGGTTAATAAATATAGAATGCCTAAGTCAATTACAAAATAGATGAATTTAAAAGCAATTACACCACTGATATTAAAGCTTTTGAGAAGTTTTTGCAAAGGTAATATTTTAGCAATGTTAAGATTTTGTTTTTTTTTTACTATTGTAGCTACTTAAAATAAGTGAATTATGTTTTTACCTGTACTTCCAACAAATGGCAGCCTGTTTTATGGTGTACTAGTTGTCCATAAAGGTGTATAGGCAGGTAGACGTGAGGACGCTGTAATCTAGTATAATAAAGATGATTACTATATCTCTTGGCTAATTTAAATATGCTAATTAGAACAAAAGAATTTTAATAAATGTTTGATAAATAAAATTAGATACAACTCTCCAGCATAAATAAAAATATGAAAGTAACAAGGAATGAGGATTTCTCAGGTAAAATATAGGCTGGGCTTCCCTAATCCAAAATGATCCAAAATCCAAAACTTTTTGAGCACTGACATGACACTGTAAGTGGAAAATTCCACACATTAGTATTTAATGCAAACTATTTCATACAGAAAATTACTTATAACACTGCATAAAATTATGTTTAGGCTACGTGTATAAGGCGTATATGAAACAGATTAATTTCATGTTTAGACTTGGGTACCATTCCCAAGGTATCTCGTTATATATATGCAAATATTCCAAATCTGAAAAAATCTGAAATGCGAAACATTTCATCATTTTGGATAAGTGATGTTCAACCTGTAACAGTTTATCAGAGCTCAAAGTACTGGTAAGAGAATCTAGGCCTAGAAATACAGACTGGGGTGCCAGCATGGAGTATATGTGAATGCGTTATCAGTAAGGATATTCAACATGCCATGAATGCCACTGAATTTTTGAGCAATTAATGCTGCGCATTAAGATTCTTCCTATATCATGTTAGAAGCAGAATATACAAAAACTCAGAAATGTTAAAAATAATTTATGATGAACTAGTTTTAAATCTGATAACTGGGTACGCACCTTTGGTTACTCCGACGAACATAGTTATCACCATCAACAGGCTTCCGGTAAGTAGTAAGTGCTTCATTGAGTTGTTCCTCAATCAAGTCAACATATTTGGAGTTGTATTCCTAGAGGATAATATTGTTTTAATTGCACATAGTATCACAATGAGTCACTAAATTTAAAATATGTCAGATACTTAGCAAAGGGTAGACAGATCAAGGTATTATGAATGCAAATGTTCTATCATATCCATAAGCTTTTGGCTCAGGTTTCAACTAGTACTATATACTAATGACCCCCATATCTGCCATTTTCCTCACAAATCTGAGCTCCAGATCCACATTTTCAAGCCATCACGTGGTTACTGCACAGACAATGCCAGTTCAACATATTGAAAATTCATTAGCCTAATCTTGAATCACTTTTTATAAATGTGATCTCTTAATAGTGATCCATTATATATTGTCATTAAATTAGAAACCTTATGAGCCAAGTTGGACCTCTTATTTACTGTATCCAATCAGCCCACAAATTCTGTCCATCTTATTTTGAAAATACCCAGAAAATGCGTCCTCATCTAATCAACCTAACTACCAGTGAAGTTCAGGCACTCATCAATTCTTGTTTCTAAACTTGTGTCAATATTTCTAGACTTTACCTTCAATGATCAAAATTCCTCCTCTTCACTGCAACCTGTCAGATTACTAAAGCACAACTCTGATCACTCTTTAAAAGCTGTTAAGGATTCCCCACTATATATACAATTGAAATCCCTTAGGATGATATAATATGGCTTACGAGGCCTTTTACAATCTAGCTTTAATTTACCATTCCAGCCTCATCTTGCCACTCCACACTTACCTTAGTTCCAACTACATTGGAATATGACTTTCTTCATAAGTCTATAATGTTCCAATGATCTATACAGCTTTATTCTGCTCCTTCTTCCGTGGATACCCTTCTTCTAATTTATTTGCCTACTTACTCCTCAAGACCATTTCAAGTATCACATCTACGGCTCCTATTCAACATTTCTTTTGATAATCCCTAAGGCAGAATCATTAATCTCTCCTCTGTGTTCCCTTATACCTTGCATGTAACTTTGTTATAGCTCTTATATTTTATGCTATTTTCAAGCACTGCACCAATATTCTAAGCAATTTTCTAATACTATGATTTGTATAATAAATTTTATTATGATGATTTAAATATCTTCTAGGAAACAAACCTATCACATCTTGTCTCAGTTCTACAATTCATCAAATACTAAAAGACTTCATGCCTTAAGTTGTATGCTTGGAAGTTTTAGTCCATTTAAGGAGTATCTCTTATGAAATATGGTTCAATATAGACACTATAAAAGAATGTGTAACTATGTTAACAAAAAAGAGAAAACAGGATAACTGATCTGAAATGATGAAAAATCTAAAAATCATTTATATCGGTAAAGATCATTTTGACCATGGGTTTCCAAGATGCTTCGATGACTTATAATACTTCAAACAAAATAATGAAGCCACAGCAATCACCAGCTAAAGAAAAGCTAGAAAAGTTGTTTCATATCTTCAAACTACTCCCTTCTTAGCAGGTTTCCCTATGACAGCAAGAAGTTCATTCTCAGATTTAGGTAAAGTAGTATCCTAAAGTAAAGTTTAACTAAATGATTATATCTCCTTGGGATTTCAATCTCCCTTCATTTAAAAAAATTATTTTGGTTTTAGCTTAAAGGGCTCATGCAAAGTTGTAGGCCATATTAAGGGACCGAAGAATGAAAGAAATGATAAACAGGGCCAAAAATTAGATTATAAAATCAAATGAGTTGAGAGTCAAATTTCAATAGAACGAATACAGTCAACAGTTCAGAATGAAAGAAATAACTGTAGTTTAAAAAAATGTATAACTATAAATACTAGCAATTATGCAGAATTTAGGATTCAACTTGATATTGATGTTTAAATATTTAACCTTATTAATTTCAAAACACTGATATAAAAAAACCATCCTCTAAATTCACAAATCAATTTCAGAAGATAAAAACACACAAATTCAACTTTATTCAAATAAGAAGTTACCCTGTGCCACTTTTCCAATTGTTTTGCTACATAACCTCTTTCATTCAGATAGGAAAATCCTTTTGGAATGGAGAGAAATCTGCAAATTAAAACAAGCAATAGTTTAACATTGAGTCTGGCAAAAACGTATCTTAAGAAGCTAAAATAACTAAAATTTAAAAAAGTATAAGGAGCTAAAAGACTTTAGGAATAGTTCGTTCCTAAAACTAAAAGGTCAACTATAATTTATTATAACTTCAATTACAAATAAATTTTCACAATCTTTGCAACAACACGCGAACCCAATCACAATAAAGAAAATGTCAGCCAGGCACGGGGGCTCACGCCTGTAATTCCAGCACTGTGGGAGGCCAAGGTGAGTGGATCACCTGGTCAAGAGTTCAAGACCAGCCTGGCCAACATGGTGAAACTCCAACTCTACTAAAAATACAAAAAATTAGCTGGGCGTGGTGGTGTGCGCCTTTAGTCCCAGCTACTTGGGAGGCTGAGGCAGGAGAATCACTTGAACTTGGGAGGCAGTGGTTGCATCGAGCCAACATTGGACCATTGCACTCTGGCCTGGATGACAAAGCGAGGCCGTCTCAATAAAAAAAAGGAAAATGTCATGAAAAGTATGAACAGACCAAAAAAATTAAAAAAAAAGAAAAACCCAAAATAATGAAAAGACAATGTTTCAATATTAAAAGGTAAACTCTTCAGCGTACTTCCCATTTGGATTTGAATCTATCTTTAATATACACTGCCAAAGAACACAACAAAAAAACATAACAGAAAATTTACTTAAAATTTACCTCAGCAGGAGAAGCAAACCCTTGTCTCCAAGGTGGGATAACGCTGGTTTCATCTGAATGAGAGCATGAAGATTGGCCTAAAAGAGATTATCATTATTTTTTTATAATTGCACAAAAATAGCAAAATTTTTAGTTCCAAAATGCCTATTATATACTTTTACATAATTGTCAAATGAGTATTTCAAAAAAATTTAAGTATTAAATTATAAAAAATGAACCTTTACCTTGTCTTCACATGCTTCATCGAGGATATCAAGAGCTTCAGAGGAAATCGTTTTGTTTTTATCATGTAGCTGGGTCACTAACAACTCAATTCCCCAATTATTAAAGAATTCAACATTAGCTCTCAATAATACCCTTAAATGTTTTGTTGCATAGAGTCTGCAGGCCTATAAGGATAAATGAATACATTAAAAAAAAAAAAAACTTCAGCATAAATAGCCTATTTGATTTTATTTTGGGATAGTCCTGCTACTTGAAAAGGGAAGAATGCCTGGAATTGGTGGTCTAGCCCTTGATATGAATACTTTTTTGGTTCTTGTGAAATAGAATACTTCCCTTTCTATCTAGCAGCTTCTTCCCCCGATACAAAAATCTGAGTACTATATGCAGTTCCTTGGAGAAACTAAAATTTTAAAGTAAACTCAATTTCCATATCATATTCTTAGAACTTAATTTTACTTAGCCCAAAATTCATAAAGTAGTGAATTAATTGGTTATAAATATAGTTTTACTGGCTATGTTATACTCACATCAGTAGCTGCAGTTAAAATTTTGGAAAGGATGACTCTAGCCAATCCATCTCTGCTATAGTCCAAGCTAGAAACAGTAAGTTTTAGCAAGTGATCTTGGTTTTTCAAGGAGCAAAGATTAAGGAGACTTAAAAGAAAAAAAAAATAAGAATGGTTAAAAGAAATTACTATATTGATACATTAATTAAACAAATATTTTTTCCAGCTTTACTGAAGTATAAATGACAAATAAAAATTGTATTATTCAAAGTGTATAACTTGATTTGATATACACATACATTGTGAAGATTACCACAATCAATGAACACATCAATCATCATACATAGTTACTATTTTGAATGCTGGAGTGGGAAGAGCATGAAGTCAATTCAACGTATATTTTTAAAATTCCTAATATAAACAAGCTTTTTGGAAAGAAAGCATTTAATAACAACAATTTTAAAAAGAATATTAAAGCAAAGATAATGCTAATTTAAAATAAAACTTAACCAAACACATGTACACAGAATAAAAAGCATACCATATCTAACTACATTAAAAATAAAGTTCATGTATATATTGCAACAAAATCTGGGAATGCTCACCACTGAAATACACTGCATTTTTCCAGCATTTTAACTCCATGAGGGTGGCAAGAAAGTGTTCCAATAAATAAAAAGTAGTGTTGACTAAGGGTGGTCAATAAACCATTATTTTGAAGACTTCTTTCGGGTTTCATTCCAGATGAAGCATTGAGCCACTGAACAATATCCTTTACTAGATCTTCTAAGTAGCCTTGCCCATCCTAAAAGTAAATACATTGTGATATTGTGAGAAAAGCATTCAAAATCTGTAATTAGAAAATCAACTTCAATCAAGTACAAAAACTTACTAATAATGATGAAGTTACCAATAATAGCTATCAATCAGTGAGTACCTGTTGTTTTCTAATCCACTTCAACACAATGCTGCATGGAGATGATATTATTCTCCATTTTACAGAAGAGTAAACCAGGTTTTCTAGAGGGCAGATAACTTGCCCAGTCTCATAACTAGTGACTAAGTCGGGATTCAACTCTAGGTCTGGGATCATTTCTTATGTTTCCAAATACGGCTTATGCATATTCAGAAATAAAAGCAAAACACAAGGTGGAAACAGAGGGAGGGTAAGGGAAGCAAATTCAATAAAAAACATTTGCTCTGGAAAATATTCAGAATGCCCACCTCTTCAGATTCAAGAAGAAATTCTGTAAACTGGCAACCTACAACCGTGAGCTGTTTGGCCTTGGCAAAATCCAGATCCAGGTTGGCATATAATTTACTGCTGGGCTTGTAAAAATAAAGTAGTCTTCGTACAAACCTAAAATCAAAACACAAGTAGCAAAAAGGTAAGAAATGAAGCAATTATTTTAGAATCTTAACCATTACTTATGACATAATAAGGCTTTCAGAATATGTTTTGGGTCTGAACCATTGGGATAAATGGCAAGAAATGTATTAAAAGTGTTTGGTACATGATATGGTCTGCCTGTGCCCCCACCCAAATCTCACCTTGAATTGTAGTTCCCATAATCCCCACATGTCATGAAAGGGACCTCATGAGAGGAGATAAGATTATGGGGGCGGTTACCCTTATGCTGTTCTCGTGACAGTGAGTGAGTTCTCACATCTGATGGTTTTATCACCAGCTTTTCCCCCTGTGCTCTGTACTTCTCTCTCCTGCTGCCATATGAAGAAGGATATGTTTGCTTCCCCTTCTGCCACAATTATGTTTCCTGAGGCCTCCCTAGCCATGTGGAATTGTGAGTCAATTAAACCTCTTTCCTTTATAGGTAATTTCTATATTATCTGTAGAGGCAGTTATAAATAACTGCCAGTCTCAGGCAGTGATTTATAGCAGCATGAGAATGGACTAATACAGTACATTTCATACCAAAAAAAACCCCAAAAACCAAGCAAACAAAAAACCTTCATTTAAAAAAAAATCTCTGTGGAGTAAGAATTTTATGGTGAGATGGTTAGAAAAAATAAAGGAGAAGAAAGATGCTAGATGGATGAATGCAGATTTAACATAGCTAGAATATAAAAATTTGATAAATGAGGATGTCACCTGAACTTAAATTTTCTTCTATTGTATTCATGAAGAACTTTGTCCCATGGCTCAATAATGTTCTATTGTTAAGATAATAATTGTAAGATACTACACTATGATTTTGTTGGTTTTTCACAATTAGGCAAAAGGTCAAGCATGAAAGTTGCAATTTAGGCCAATGAATTTATAGACATAATTTATGATCTTTCAACATTATATCTTTCAACATTATGTTCTAAGCTTCTACTGAATTTAGTTCAGTTCAATTTCATGCACTACAATTCAATCCAATAGAGGTGTCCAATCCAGGAGCTGGGAAAACAAAGTTGAGTAAGACATCATCTGTGTTCTCAAGGAGTATAAAAAGTTAGTACTATGCTTTTTTATTTCAGTGCAATTTATAAGTTATCTTTATTTCTTAAAACTTTTATAGATATTAGGTTACATATCATGAATACAGAATGCAATCAAATAATAATGTTAATGACATGAATTTCTCAAACATACTAAGGACCTCTTTCTGAGATCAGTAGTAATAGCTGGTTAGTCTAAACTCAGGAGTAAAAACATATGGGTGTAATGAAGAACAGCATCGTAGCTTAAAGTGTTCTTCATGCTACAAACATTTGCACGGGTTATGGAAGGTGTGGTTAAGGAGAATGTAAACAGCAGTTATAATGGATAACTCCAAAGTCAAACAGGAATAAAAGTTGTATATTAAAAATATAAGTCCTTATTATGTCATCCTCATATGTCAGGGCTAAGACCCACTATACAATTGATACTACCCCAATTTGAAAAACTTTTATCTCAACTACTTCATCTATTCCAAAACTAAAAGCAGAATGTAAATAACTAGAAAAAGAATTTGCTAATATGTTTTGGTTATAAAATAAGACTATATTAAAAATATATATGAGTACCTATTGAAGAGACATTGTTAAAATGTATGTATATGTCTTTAAAATTATTACATATTTTAGCAGGTATTAGGCCTAATATCCATATTTAAGTTCTTTAAATTTAAATGCAAAATAGTTCTTACATACCTGTGTAACTGTTCATCTTTATAGTTTCTTAGATTTACATTTGGCCACTAGAAAAACATAATATGTTATATTACATATGTACTTATCAATTCTCACACATATAAGATAATTACGTTATAATTAATAATAAAATTAAAGACAAGCCATTACCATGAAGTATCTTTTCATACCTTAAGAATGGTCCCTATAAGATTCCAATTCCATTCAAGATTCTCTTTATGTTGAAGGACTTGGCTATCTCTAAGGTTAATTAAAAGAGCTTCCTCTGTATCCTAAAATCATCAGAAAGTAATAAGAAAAATTAAGGCAAACTGTCCTCATATCAGAAAACTAAGTTCAAATTTGAAAAAATGAAAGGCAGCTTTTCCATTTAAGGATAGATCAAGGTTTTTTAACTTTAAAGTTATAAAAACCCATCTCCAAATTATAAAACTCAGAAGCCATCTGAAAATTCATATGCATGAAGAGAAGTGTAAACTCAAATACATGCATACTAAAATCCAGTGGTTAAGGAATTAAGATGTTGTGTTTAAGATGAAAATCATGATTTCATGTCAGCACCTTAAGGATAAATATATCTTTCTGAACTCGGAGATACTGATCCCGTTTCTGGTGTGTTGCAATTGCTTTCTGAATAATGTGGTCTAAATGAAGACTATAAGGCTTAGGTCCTCGTTTCTTCATTTCATGGAAGCGTTTTAAACAGTTCAAGGCTGCACTGGCTCGCCTAATGAGAAAAACAATTCAATCAATACAGTAGCAAGACCAATATAATTTAAGAGATTACCTTGGTAAATTATTAAAGCTTACGTAAGATCAAGGCTAGAAATTATTATTGATAAAGTAAATTATTTCATCAAATTTGGAGAGACAAATACAAAAAATAACACTACTGATTTATATAAAGACACACTGATTATTTAGATGCAATTGAACATGTACTTACTAAACTTTTCTTCTATGGTGGTAGGTATTTTTTGTATATTGGTTTTAAGAACTACAAGGTCAGAAACCTAGTTTTCTATATTTTCTTATCGAAATTTTAAAGCTTTGCTTTTCACGTATAAATCCTTAATCCGCCTGAAACTTATTTTTGTTTATGATATGAGGTTGAAATAATTTCACTGTACTCCCATATGGATAATCAATGATCCCAGTATCAACTGAACAGTCTCTATTTTCCACATTGGTCTGTAACTGTAAATGGTATATTTTTATAAATTATATTTAATTCTTTGTGGTAAATACAAGTGCCACTTTCAAGAATTTGGTAGCAAGTCTCACCTTCAGAATTTCTAGTAAGTGGAATTTTTAAATATTGGGATGTGCTGACTGGCAAGTATTTATCAATAAAGAAAGCTTACTGAGCTAAAGATAAAACTATTTTAAGAGGACTATTCTTACTGGAATTCTGAAGATAAATTTGAATTCCTGATAAACCCTGGAATTTGTGGCCATAATCTAACCCAGAGTTTAGGTCTATCAGGTATTGGGAAAGTACATTCTTCCATCATGAAACTACTAATATAAAAGCTAAAAGCTACTATTACTGATGTAAGCCTAGAGACAGAACTGAGATAACTCCTAATGCCCTCAGTTTATAAGACAACTTTGGTCTGTTAAACAGTATTTCCAAAGGCAGAATGAAAATTAACAGATTATTAAGCGTACTTTATTATTAAAGCTAAGTAAACTTTTCAAAAATGTACTATAACTCTTAACAAAAATACATAGTTTTGAATAGCTAAAAAACTCCATTTCACTAACATCAAGCAAAAAAATAAAATCGTCCATGTATGTTTTTGATCATAATAACAAAATAAAAAAACAACCACAAAAAGACATTCCTAGCGTAGATATAATCTTTGCCAAGTCAAACTAAGTTCCTTCTAGCACTTCCCAATTGAACCCTTCCATCATTACCTTTTATATATATTTTATTATTAGCACTGGAATTCCAGCAGAGCTACAATTGTATTACCATAATTTTGTTCGTAAATTCTATGTTTGCAGTATCTCCTTTAGTAGCAGGAGTTCAGCTTATTGCTATGTGGCCCAGTAGTACTTGTTACTAAATTGCAACATTTTTAACCACGCAAATAAAAGAATATATTAATACTGTAAAGCTTTATTTGAAATAGTTCATAGACATAAAAAAAAGAGCCAGAATTGCTGCTCATGACATAAAGGAGTCCAAAAACCTCTCAGCTAACATTTTTAGTAATATGATAACCATTCTATGTCCTTGTCTACAAACATGCTAGAAAAAAGTGATTTTATTACACTATTAGTATTTTGCAGCCTAAAAGACAAATTATTAAATATTTTTAGAACTATTAATTTTTCCTTTAGCAAATTCCTTAAAAGAATTTCCCACCATAACCTATCCATACTATTTTTTTTAAAAAGAAGAGACAATAATCTAATTTGATATTAAATATATCAAACAAAAGCTTTGCTAAAGCTCTGATACTTACAGTCTCTTTTCCTTGGGGATATCAAAGGATGCAGCCATATTCATTAGGGTTGGCAAGCAGTGTAAATGATGGCTATGTGAATGAGGAAGAATTGTGTTTGCCTAAAATGAAGCATAACATTTTACATGAGTTTTCAGAAGTAGAAAGAGTTTATGTCACAGATTACCTGCACATATAATGCTGTATTCAAGACTATTACAAATTCTGAGGTTTTACTCATAAAATTAACTTATTTTCCCCAATACATGCTTATTTATATTTTTATCATATCTATAATACTTTCAACAAGGATGGAATATAAAGATACACACATATTAACATAACCATTAAGTTTCATAGATTCTTTATTATAATATTATGGTTTTAAGTGGTACCCAGTTAAACTCAATTCTTAAATGCCAGAAGGGATTATATGTCAAAACATTACAGGAATCAACCTAAGTTATGTTTAAAATAACATTTAAAATGCTAGATGCCATATCCAAATTTATGAGTTGACTTCTTAAGTTTTAAAAACTACTTTCTCAAAATAGATGTGTCCCATATGCCATAATCTTTAAAATAAGAAATATTAATTTCTACTTTCCAAACAAAAACCTCACCACCCAACCAGCTATCAATGAAGACAAGTACATCGATCAAATGTGGAAGATAGAAAATGTAAGAATAATAAGCAAAATAACCAGCTCTTTTATTTCAAGAAAATTATAGAATTCTAGGTATGGGACAAGGGAAAAAGATAAAATGTATAGAGATTCCTTCATATAAAAGCAAATAACTCTGAATATTGGTATTCTTGAACAGGAAATGGTATCTTTTAAGAATTAAAAGACAAATAATCAGACCTGAAAGCCTCTGACTCTATATAATTCTTTCACAGATGGGCCAAAAAAGAACAGAGCAAGCAGCTAAATAATTCACTGATTTAAAAAAAGAAAGTTAAATTAAATTCTGCTTAATGCTCTTTACCTCACTCACATAGCCCAGTTGCTATGAAGGGAAAACAAGGGTGGGGAGGAGGGGAAGAGATCAAGAAAGAAAAACCTAAACAAAAAACATCTGCTAAAAATAGCAAACTGTGACATAATTTCAAAAGATTTGCCATAGAATCAATTCTTCCTTAATGAGTTTTAAATGGTTCTTTTTATTTTGTATTTACTAACTAGTAAGTAATCTAAAAATATAAATTCCTACCTTGCAAACTATCAGGGATCCCTCATTGATTGATTTGCTGACAGTAAGAATTGTCAAATCACTTTCCTAGCTCCTACTTTCCAAAAGTTACTGTAATCACAAAATCATGGTGAAAAGAAAAACAAAAAAAACAAAACAAAACAAAAAAAACCCATCTTCTGAACCTCAAACTACAAGTTTATAGAAAAGACTATAATGTTCAACCAAGACTACATTTAAAGCTTCTGCACAAAGCTTTCTAAAATTCAGGCACTGACTACCATGTATCAAGTACATTCTTAGCAGACTGAAGTAGTATCCATAGTTTTGCAATTTCTTGCTTCTTAGGAAGTCTTTCTGAGATCAATTAAGATTTACAGGACGAAAATGTCAACTTTGAAAGTGAGTGTAAAAATCAACATTTCAGTACTTTGCATGTTGTATATTTATTCCATTTACAAAACCAATCAAAATATGCATGTGCATGCGCATGCGCGCACGTACATATCTATCTCAGGATACAGTACCAAGGGCTTTTTCTAATGCAAAGATAAACATTTATAAGAAATGCAAATTTATTTTTGAGATAATACAAAGCAACACTATTAAAATAACTTGTTTTATAAATTCAAACATTAAAGGTATGAAACATATAATCAGAAGTTGCTAAACTTACCATATGTAAAAGCTCTCCTAAAAGGATGGTAGCTCTAACTGAGATATGATCATCACTGTTTGTTATCACTTCAACTAGACCCTTTGAAAATAAAAAGATAACACCACTGTTGCAAAATAATACATATGAAAACATTTATGCATCAGATTTATTTTTCAAAATTTTTTTTTTTTTTTTAAGACAAGAGGCTTGCTCTGTTGCCCAGGCTGGAATGCAACGGCAAGATCTCAGCTCAGTATAACCTCTGCCTTCCGGGTTCAAGCAATTCTCGTGTGTCAGCCTCCTGAGTAGCTGGGACTACAGGGGTATGCCATCATGCATGGCTAATTTTTGTATTTTTAGTTGAGACACAGTTTCACCATGTTGGTCAGGCTGGTCTCGAACTCCTGGCCTGAAGTGATCCGCCTGCCTTGGCTTCTCAAAGTGTTGGGATTACAGGCGTGAGTCACCACACCTGGCATGAAAGAATCTGTTAGAGAAAATAAACAAAATGGAATAAAATAAGGTTTATAAGTCTTACCTCTAAAAGTCCATTACGAATAAATGCAGAGAGTATCAGTGCCAAATAATTATCCATGAGGTCTGGCCTGGAAAAAACAGCACAGAAACAATTTAAATAAAGTTTCATAGATTACACAGTCTAACATAAAAACCCGAATTCTAATAAATTGAAACCCTTTTTATTTTAAATTCTACCTGGATCTGGCACGATGAGGAAGAATAGTTTTTGCCTCAGCTGCCACAAAGCCATCTGAAAGCCTCCAACTGTCTTGGAACCTCCCTGGATCTAAATTAGTTAAAATATGGTAGGGAAAAGATTAGATATCACTGAAACATTTCAGATAAGTATAAAACCATCAGCTAGCCAGGCTATAAAGAACTTTAAAAAGTGCTGGTTAAATACCATACATTCAAAAAGATACAGACAAAAATTAGTTATGTAAATACACGCAGATCTAATTTTCTTCATTTTGGGACTTCGGTACTTTAAGTCATTTGGCTCAAATAAGATGAGAATTAGATAATCTGAGGATTACATAGGTTTCTTACTGTCTCCTCTCTTCCTTTTTTGGCCCATTCCTATTAATTTAATTGCTCTTAGAGCCAAGGTGATAAAGAAGAAATTAAAATTTCTCAGTCTTAGGAACTTGAGGTTTTATTTTTATATTAATTTCCTGTCACAATTATGCAGCAAGAAAAGAAAATAGTGTTCAATAATTTAGTATTTCTCCTTTTAGGAACTGTCTCCATTAAATAAAAATTACAATATATGAAAAGATACAAATGTACTTCAATACTTACCTACACTGAGTAGTGCTTCTATGAACTCCTCAGTCACAACAGGTAGAGGAAGACGAAATATATCATAAAGCACTTCAAGTAGACCTCGCTAAATTAGCAAACAAATACACCTCATTTATTTTTATGAAACACTTTTAAGATTTTTAAATGTCCTATTCACATTTTTTAAAATGATAAAAACAGAACTATTAATACAATGACATGTCACATAACAATATTTTAGTCAATGATGGACCATATATACGATGGTCGTTCCCTAAGATTATGATGAAGCTGAAAAATTCCTATCGCCTAGTGAAACTGTAGCAGCAGTCATATTGTCTGTCACAGGGCAATATTACTGAACTGTTTGTGGTGATGCTGGAGTAAACAAACCCACTGCACTGCCAGTTGTTTAAAAGCATTATATATGGAATTATGTAAAATTACATAATACCTGATAATGATAATAAATGACTATGTTACTGGTTTACATATTTACTATACTATACCTTTTACCATTATCTTAGAGTGTACTTCTATACTTTAAAAAACAAAACAAAAAAAAAAAAAGCCCTTTGGGAAGCCAAGGTGGGAGGACTGCTTGAGGCCAGAATTTTGAGACTAGGAACATAGTGAAACCCCATCTCTACAAAAAATTTAAAAATTCACTGGGTGTGGTGGCACGTTCCTGTAGTCCTAGCTACTCGGGAGGCTGGGGCAAGAGGATCACTTGAGTCGAGGAGTTCGAGGATGCAGTGAGCTATGATCATTCCACTGCACTCTAGCCTGGGTGACAGCAAGACCCTGCCTCTTAAAAAAAAAAAAAAAAAGTTAACTGTAAAACAGCCTCAGGTAGGTATTCCATAACAAGACATGGTTATCACATGACAGCTTCATTCATGTATACTGCCCCTGGAGACATTCCAGTATACTGCCCCTGGAGACATTCCAGACATACAAGGTATGGAGGTGGAAGACAGTGATACTGATGATCCTAACCCTGTATAGGCCTAGGCTAGTGTGTGTTTGGCGGGGGAGGAGTTTTTTTTTTTTTTTTTTTTTTTTTGAGGCAGTCTCGCTCATCTCCCAGGCTGGAGGGCAGTGGCACAATCTCGGCTCACTGTAACCTCCACCTCCCGGGTTCAAGCAATTCTCCTGCCGCCAGCCTCCTGAGTAGCTGGGATTATAGGCACCTGCCACCACGCCCGGCTAATTTTTGTATTTTCAGTAGCGATGGGGGTTTCACCATGTTGGCCAGGCTGGTCTCGAACTCCTGACCTCAGGTGATCTGCCCGCCTTGGCCTCCCAAAGTGCTGGGATTACAGGTGTGAGCCACCGCACCTGGCCTGTGTTTTTGTTTTTAACAAAAAAGTTTAAAAAGTAAAAAAATTTAAAAACAGAAAAATCTTATAGAATAAGGATATAAAACCAAAAAAATTTTGAACACCTATACAATGTGTTTGTGTTTTAAGCTAAATATTATTGCAAAAGAGTCAAAAGTTTAAAAAATTTGAAAATTATAAACTAAAAAGGTTACAGTAAGCTAATTATTTTTGAAGAAAAGAATTTTAATAAATTAAATGTAGCCTAAGTATACAAGTCTGTAAAGTCTACAGTAGTGTACAGTCATGTCCTAGGTCTTAACATTCACTCACTTCTCACACATTGACTCATCCAGAGCTACTATTAGTCCCATAAGCTCCATGCACTGTAAGTAGCCTATATAGGTGCTGTATTTTTAATTTTTTTTTTTTTTTTTTTTGAGATGGAGTCTCGCTCTGTGGCCCAGGCTGAAGTGCAGTGGCGTGATCTCGGCTCACTGCAAGCTCCGCCTCCCGGGTTCACACCATTCTCCTGCCTCAGCCTCCCGAGTAGCTGGGACTACAGGTGCCTGCCACCATGCCCGGCTGTTTTTTCTATTTTTAGTAGAGACAGGCTTCACCGTGTTAGCCAGGATGGTCTCGATCTCCTGATCTCATGATCCGCCCGCCTCGGCCTCCCAAAATGCTGCAATTACAGGTGTGAGCCACTGTGCCCGGCCAGTATTTTTAATCTTTTATACTGTATTTTTATTGTACCTTTTCTATGTTTAGATGTTTAGATACACGAATTCCATTGTGTTACAACTGCCTACAGTACTCAGTACAGTAACATGCTATACAGGTTTGTAGCTTAGAAGCAACAGGCTATACCACATAACCTAGGTGTGTAGTAGGCTGTACCATCTAGGTCTGTGTAAGTACTCTGGGATGTTCACAGGATGAAATCATCTAACAGTGAGTTTCTTAGAACACATTCCTATCATTAACCAATGCATGATTATACCATATTTTGAAACTGTATAAGGCCTATATTAGAGAAGGGATAACTAAATGCTTACTACTACATACATCACTTAATCTAGTCATTAAATTTTTCATTAACCTAATTGTGCAAAAAAGCAATTGTCCCAAGGTCATGGAGCTAACAAAAAAGTAAATAAAACCAGAGGTTAAACTCCAGTTGGTCAGACTCTCCAAAGACCATGTTCTTTTTCCACCTATTACAGTAAGAAGTGAATTATCTCAAGTTTGTTACCTGCTTACAGATCTTTCCATTTATAATTATATCCTTCCATTTCCATTATCTAAATACTTTTTATTTCACATTTAAACAAGGCACACCTGGCTAATATTTTCTAATAATATTTTTCACCTCCAGGTTTGGTTCATATAAGGAAGGGCAAAAGAAAGAAACAAAATTAAAACAAATAAAAACATTTAAGGAGAAAGGAAAAAAATCACTTTAAGAATTCTCTTTTCCTTCAAATTCGATTTAACTGTATAATACAAATTCTTACAAATAATTTAGAAATATACCTAATAAATATAGAAATATTAACAATTCCATTTTAATCAAAACCACCATCGTTAAAATAAAATCTCACCACATATTACAAAACATAAGTTAGAAGGCATAAATACATTTACCTTTTGTTAAACGTAGTCTGTAGTGCTTGAACCTTTTATAGTGAGAATGCCCTTGTGTGTTGTTTATATTGTTTTAATGAATAAAGCATAATAAAGTTCATATTTTCAACTCAACTTTTTTTTGTTTTTTTGAGATGGAGTTTCACTCTTGTTGCCCAGGCTGGAGTGCAATGGTGCGATCTTGGCTCACTGCAACCTCCACCTCCCAGGTTTAAGTGATTCTCCTGCCTCAGCATCCTGAGTACTTGGGATTACAGGTGCCCACCACCTAAGTAGCTGGGATTACAGGTGCCTGGCTAACTTTTTGTATTTTTAGTAGAGACGGGGTTTCACCATATTGAGGAGGCTGGTCTCGAACTCCTGACCTCAGGTGATCCACCTACCTGCCTTGGCCTCCCAAAGTGCTGGGATTACAGGCGTGAGCCACCATGTCCGGCCTCAACTCAATTTTTAATACAGCCATTATTCCTAACAACAGCAATTTTTTTTTTTTTTTTGAGATGGAGTCTCGCTCTGTCACCCAGGCTGGAGTGCAATGGCGCTATCTCAGCTCACTGCAACCTCTGCCTCCTGGGTTCAAGCGATTCTCCTGCCTCAGCCTCCTGAGTAGCTGGGATTACAGGCGTGTGCCACCATGCCCAGCTAATTTTTGTATTTTTTTTTTTTTTAAGTAGAGATGGGGTTTCACCATGTTGGTCAGGCTGGTCTTGAACTCCTGACCTCGTGATCCACCCACTTCGGCCTCCCAAAGTTCTGGGATTACACGCATGAGCCACCGTGCCCAGACAACAGCAATATTTTAAATGATTCCTATTATATTTAGGGTTTAACTAAGTAGTAAATATTTACTTCTGTATTTTAAAAATATGATCTAGATTAACAACTAATGAGGAAAACACATCACCTGAAATAATTTTTTTTTTATAATTAATTCCCACTGTTAAAGGTCCAGGAATGAAACAATCCTAATAACTTTTACCTACCCTTATTTCCATATTTGGTATGCAAAGTACTCCTATTAGAGACTGGATCCCAGAATTTCCAGGTTTACATAAATTAATAATACCTAAAGAGGACAGAAAGAAAAAAAAATCACTGACATGAATTTCAAAAAAATTTCTATGGCAATGTATAATATAAAACTTGTCATATTTTTCTAGGCAAAATTATATGATTATGATACTATTTGGTCATCATAAGAACTATTATATAACTGAAATATATTTGAAGCATACTCTGTATTTCTCTATTGATTAGAGATTACCAATAATTTCGTCATTTAAATTCCATCTTCAGTATCTGTTTAATACCCAGAAAGTTCATGAGTCTGACTGCCTGATGAACTCTTCTCTGGGAGTAAGAACACGGGAGAAAAATCAGACAATGGTCTGTCTCCCCTCTTTTATACTCCTCACTTTAAAGTGAAAAACTCTACTTGGCATTTATTAAAGTTCAATTCTAAAATATACTGAATGCACATGAGTATAAGTAATAGACTTCAAATAAATTATATGATTCAAAATTTTTAAGTTACAGAACTAAGTTGAACAATTTTAAACATATTAAAATCATGTCACAAAAGACGTATGAATAGCCAATAAACACACACAAAGTGCTCAATATCATTAGTCATCAGGGAAATGCAAACTATATTAATAACAAGAAATCAAAATATACCTACTAGAATGGCTAAAATTAAAGACTCACAACACCAAATACTGACAAGGATGCAGAACAACTGGGAGTCACATATGCTGATGATGGGAGTATAAAATAGTGTAAGTATTTTGGGAAAAAGTCTGGCAGTTTCTCATGGACACAAACATACATCCAATCTCAGACCCAGCAATTCCATTTAGGTATTTACGCAAGAGAAATGAAAACTCATGTCCACAAAAAAAGTTTGTATGGAATTGCTCAAAGAAGCTTTATCTTTGATAAAGGAGCTTTGAATAGTCAAATCTAGTAACAGAAGGGCAAAAAAAAAAAAAAGAACAACAAAAACTGAAATGTTCATTGCATGAAATATTATAAAAAAGAAGAACATATTACTGATATATACAATAACATAAATGAGTATCAAAATCATTCTGTCAAGTGAAAGAAGCCTTACAAAAAAAAGCCTTATCAGTATGATTCCACTAATATTAAGTTTCAGAATAGGCAAAACTAAGCCACAAAAATAATGGTGGTTCCTTCTTAGGAGTACGGAGTCAAAAACTGACTAGGAAAGAGTATAAGAGAACTTTCTGGGGCAATGATAATGTTCTATATATTGAAAAGGGTTTGAATTACAAAGGTGTAAGCATTTGTCAAAACGCATCAAACAGTAGACTAATGATGTGTGCATTTCACTGTATGTAAATTTTACCTCAAATCTCTCCCCCCGACAACAAATCAGGACCATAAACAGACATCTAGTTCTAGTTAATAATGTGCATGCTGCAGTGTTCAGGAGTGAAGAGGACTATGTCTGCAACTTCCTTTAAGATATATTAGAATAACATAGATGGACTGATGAACGCCCAGTGGGATGGACAGATATATAATACAGCAAATACAGTAAAATCTAGGTGGAAGTATATGGGTGTTCACTGTATAGTTTTTTCAATTTTTCTGTATGTTTCAAATTTTTTATGACATGTTAGGGAAAACATTCTTTAAAATGTCTTATAGGACTCCAAAGTTCCCTGTACTTCCAGCTAAGCGTACAGATATTTATGAACAGTCTCTATGTTCTCTTTAGATTCAGGATCAAAATTCAAATCGAAACATACTAGGTAAGCTTATTTGCTTAAAGTATCAAAATACTATTTCGCAAATTTTGATGTCTGAGAGTAGTTTGAGAAATTACAGATAAGATATAGTCTCAAAAGATCATACTCTGTGCTAATATGGAAAACAGGCTGTTGCACCTCATTAAAAAATGTGTTCTAAAAGATCATTTTTCAATCAGTTATTTGGAACTGGAAATACATCACAGAAATAATGTTACAAGTACACAAAAGTTTATTTAACTTATAAACAGTACTACAGAATATAAATATTATTTAGGAAGTTATTTCCACGAGACAAATGCTTTCAAGGTTTTAACTTATAATGCTGATATTTCTCTTCTTACTTCAATAGAAAGGTAGAAGACTCCCACCCCTCTAAGTTTCTTTCTTTTTTTTTGAGACAGAGTCTCGCTCTATCACCCAGGCTGGAGTGTAGTGGTGCGATCTTGGCTCACTGCAACCTCCGCCTCCTGGGTTCAAGCAATTCTCCTGCTGCAGCCTCCCGAGTAGCTGGGATTACAGGTGCCCGCCACCACACCTGGCTAATTTTTGTATTTTTAGTAGATACAGGGCTTCACCATGTTGGCCAGGCTGGTCTTGAACCCTTGACCTCAGGTGATCCACCCACCTTAGCATGAGCGACTGCACCCAGCCCCACCCCTCTAAGTTTCTAATGATGAATCATTATAAAAGGGCTCCAGGGGAAATTGAAACACAGTAAAAAAAAATGTTTAAGAGCAATAAGGAAAGACTGGCAGAAACAGACATCATTACAGGAAGCGTAGAGTCTGGACGTAGGAAGAATAAGGAGATAGTAGCTAGGATGCAGGATAGAATTAATTTTTTTGGTAAGATACAAACAGCTCTAATGACAAGGAAGATGAGGAGTGGTAAAGGAAGATGACTGTAACTACAGAAAACAAAGTACTGGGGAGCTGATGAAGTATTTAAAAAAAGTATGTATGACTGTTGAGTCATCATAGAATCCTATGGTTGTCCATCAGCATAAGGAAAATAGGTATTTATGAGGTATAGCAAGGCAGAGCTTTTTACCAAGCTGCTAAGAGATCAGAGAAAATCCCTGGAAACATACTGGTTAGGGGCCAAGTGGCCTTCCCATACAAATGGCTGGAGTAAACATTTGTATGGAAAAGGTATTTTTAAGTTAGGGTTACCTAGGTACACAGAAATGTTTAGGTGAATTTCCTTTTTTTGCTTATTGCTACTTCTTTTCCATGCTACCCCTTCACAATAATACTAAATCAAGAAGGAAGAAGATAATCATTAATACATTGGGTACAAAAGTAATTGCGGTTTTTGCCATTACTCTCAATTACTCTTAATGGCAAAACCCCAATGTTATTAACAACACATTTAATGGTGGTATTATTTTAAAAACAATACTTACTTTTTATTCCATGGAAAGATAAAACATGCACAATCCCTATTCTCAAGAAATTTGGAACTATTAATGGCCTATCTTGCTTATTTTGTATCTATGACACTACACTGTACTTTAAGTAACAAACTTTAGTTACATACACAGCTAACACTCAAGTTTTGTAGGTTTTTTTGGTAAAGATCATGCTTAAATTTTTTTAATTGCCCAGGTAATCATTAGCACAGTGACTGGCAAATAATAAATATGTGTATACTGATCATAATATTAGCTAATTCCTATTGACTATTACAAATTTCCTTCACCATATTTTAATAATTTTGTACGAGTTCCTTTGGTTCTAATAATAATATACAAAGTAAGACTAGATTAGCATCTGAATTAGGTGCTACAATAATAATTTAACATTTGAAAAAGCAGTCTAGTTTTTCTTCTTGGATGTTATAAAGCAATGTAGAGTAACCTACCTGCCCATGATCGGAATGTTGCTATGATTCCCATTTTACTGGCTAGAAATCGTGCTTCTCTGTCTTCTCTGTTGGGGGTGGGGAGGCAGCGGGGAGAATCAATGAAATAAAATGTTAAAATGAGTTTTTTCCTGCTACTAAATCACAATAAGAGCTATCACTAATGTTTAAACATTTACACATAAAATTAAAACAAGACAAAGATCAGATCTACACTAAAGCAAATTAGCCAATTATAAACTGACTTCAAACTTAAACTCACAACATCGTTTAAGTCATAAATTCTGCTTTTCTACTCAGTTCTATATTCCTGCTCCCTGAAAACTATTCTTAGATAAGATTTAATTAAGCATTAAGTCTGCTTAATAAGCATCTGTGGTACTAGGCTGCCCCTTAGCAAAGAAAATTATCACAAAAACCTCTTAATTTTAATCACACACACTGTTTACTTCACAATCTTTGCTCTAAACTTATTTGAACGTTTCCAACAAGCAAGTTCAACAACCTATATAGTCACTGAAATGTTATGAAATAACTACATATTAACATCACCAGCTACTTTCTTCCTTGACAATTATGTACCCAACTGTTTCCATTATTCCCTCCTCTACAATAGTTATGACAATTAAGCAACTGAATTTTTTATATCTATTAAACATTTTTCATGGTTGGCTTATGGCCAGTTTCAATACTTAATAGCAATTTTGTGTCTCTTTATGTCACTCCAACCACCATGTCTACCCTGTCGATTGTCCCTTTTTTCCTGTGCCACCTTTTTTTTTTAATCTTTCCTACTTAAATTTTTAATGGTTGTGAGCATACAAAAAAATCACAGAACTGGGAAAAACAGCAACAAAAAGTAGAAGGAATAAACAGCAATGACAGAATATCAAATTAGATATGAGTGAGCAATTAGTCTACAAAAGTGGATTGAAAAGCTCAAAGAAAAAGACTAAGCTATGCAGCACCAGCTAAAATGAGAAAATAACAGAAATGAAAATGGGGGCGGGGGTGGCTTGGAAGAAGGGAGAATCAGACACCTGTGTGATTAAGCTTTCAGTGCTTTCTCTTAAAAAAGTTGGTGACATACATTGACTGTTTGGTAATCCATCTCTAACCTATTAAACTTGTAATATTTTAAAAATCAGTCATTTCCCTGTTCCCTGGTCATAATATACCCTTATTTACAGGCCTGATATCTACCTGCTTATACTCCAGAAACTTAGAAGAAAGTACAGAACCAAATAGGAAAGATTCTGATGGAATAGCCCCACCCTCCCAATTCTAAGAAATATCTAGGTTCACCTGTTGTCCATCATCATATGCAGAATTCTATATATGGCCCTATCCCAAGATTCCATGACCTGATCTCTGGGTCCTGTGAACATGGTGAGGTATCAGCGCTATGACTGTGACTATGTTTATGTTATATTGTCTAGCAGAGCATAAGAAAGAGTATACAGCATATAGCAGGCTTGATCTAATTAGAGAGCTTTCTCTAGCTGGTAGCCAAAGAAAAAGTCAGAGAGGCTGAAAGCAGTAGAAAGATTCCAGCATTGTTGCCTTTGCAGAGGGAGAAGACCATGTGCTGAGGAATGTGGGAGGCCTCTAGAAGGTGAAAGTAGGCCCCAGCTGACAGCCAGTAAAGAAAAAGGCATAGCAGTTGTACAGTAGCAAGAAACTAAATTTTCTCAACAATCTGAATGACCTTGGAAGTGGATTCTTCACCAGAGCCTCCAGGCAAGACCTGAGCCAGACTTCTGACCTATCAAACTGTGATCTAATAAACTGGTATTGTTTTAAGCCATCATGCTTATTGTTATTTGGTGTGCAGCAACAGAAAACTCATACACTCTCCACAATAAGAGAATGTCTATATTTCAAAAGAAGCCAAGAAAGGGCCTTACAAATTCCGATTCATAACTGAAGTTTGCAGGAATAAGTTTGAGAAGTCTTAGAGGACATCTACTTTGATCTCTTAGCTCAAAGTAGATCATGGTATGTTAGGGTGAGAATGAGTTCACAATGATGGATGTGACTGAAGGTATGAAACCACTTTTTTTTTTTTTTTTTTTTTTTGAGACAGAGTGTCGCTCTGTCACCCAGGATAGTGCAGTGGTGTGATCTCAGCTCAATGCAAACTCCGCCTCCCAGGTTCAAGCAATTCTCCTGCCTCAGCCTCTGGAGTAGCTGGGAATACCCATGCCCAGCTAATTTTTTTTGTATTTTTAGTAGAGACGGGGTTTCACCAGATTGGTCAGGCTGGTCTCAAACTCCTGACCTCAGGCGGTCCACCCGCCTCGGCCTCCCAAAGTGCTAGGATTACAGGAATCACTATTTTTAACTCAGGGGAAAAATGAAAAACAATAAAAACATTTCCCTGGCAATGTATACTATGTATCACAGTAAGTTTATGTCTACATTAAACTCATTGCAGTGCAATAAAGTCTACCAGAAAAAACACTAGATAGCGTATTTAATGGAATTGTGTCATTTGCAAAATCTTTACAGAGTGCTTTATTTGATCCCTAAATTATGTTAAAGTTATCTCCAAATACCTAGTGAACATGTGCCTTTCTCTCCAAAAACACCCTGAAAATTATACTGTCTCATTTCTAGATAATAATATTTACTCTATTCTCATTTATTTCTGTATTAAACTTATTCTCAGAATTCTACATATTACATCATTCTGCTGACTCAGTAAGTTAAGGTCACTCTTCATTCTACTATCTACTGTTATTTCATTCTTTTGGTTTTTTAAATGTAATTATGCTAAAATATATACATTACAAAAACAATGACCTTGGTTTCTGTCACAGTCTACCATATATTTTTGGAAATAAGAAATTAATCTTTAAATTTCTCAAAGCTTTAAATTTTTTAAACCACAGTAAATTATGAGAGAAATGCAACTAATTCTATAAAATAGAAAATTTATTTAAACTCACATTTCTCTGGCTGTACATGGAATCACGCAAACCTAAAAGCTTTAGTATTAACATATACATTATCTTAAAAATTATTAGGAACCAATGTTACTTACTTGAGCTGTCCTTCAGCTGTATCTGGACTATGTCTGTAGTGAAAATCAGTATAGGGTGCTAAAATTCTCTATTTAAAAAAAAAAAGGAAGAAAAGAGTCTTTATTTTAAAATGCATCCTTCCTGCATTTTATGGAATGTAACATTCCATTTCTCTCTATCTTTAATGGGTTTACTGCTTGGGGGACTTATTTCTTCTAACTCATCATCAGGGAATATGTTTGGTGATTTTTTTTAATGTACAAATTGAAGTTCTGAACTTTTAAATTGAGGTTTAACATGTATCTAAAACAGTGATTTTCTCAAACTAAGCACACTCATGTAACTAGCACAAGATAAAACATTATAGGCATCCTCAAAGCTCTATTATACCTTTGTAGTCACAATCAGTATCTATCCCAAGATAACCGTCTTGACTTCTGACACTATGATTAGTTTTGCCTGTGTTTGAAAATTTAAATAGTTCTATTAATGAACTGCACGTTCCTTTTGTTGCTGGTATAAAGAAAATCCAAGTTATTTTTGTGTGGTGTTGTTTGTATTCAGCAACCTTGCTAAAATAACTCATTACTTTAGTACTTAAGAGACAAGATCTTACTCTACTGTGCAGACTAAGGTGTAGTGAGTGGTGTGATCACAGCTTACTGCAACCTTGAACTCCTAGGCTCAAGCAATCCTCCCGCCTTAGCCTCCAGAGTAGCTGGGATTACCGGCTACTTTAGAACTACTATATTTTATTAACAACCTTCCCATCTTGTCTACGGCATTACTGTGGACATGAATTTTAGTTCTAAATATAATTTAAAACATAAGAGATTAATAACTACTTTTAACAGTCATGATTCTTTTAAATCTAGTCATATATTTACTTTTTCTGGTGCTCTTCATTCCTTCCTGCATTTCTTTGTTTTAGGTCATTTTCCTTTTAACTGAGGATTCCCTTTAGTCTTTATGTCTCCTTTTAACAACAAATCATATTTATTAATTTATACAGTTTCAATGACTTAAGAGTCTAGGAGAGGCTTGGCTACATGGTTATGGCTCAAAGTCTCATAAGATTTCAGTCCAAGTGCTAGCCAAGCCTGTAGTCATCTGAAGGTCTGACTGGAGCTAGAGGATCTGCGTCAACAAGTGTCATTCACAAGGTGCTGATTATTGGCAAGAGGGCTCAGTTCCTCCCTATGTATTATCTTGTTTGTTTTCTGAGCTTTACAACATGAAGCTTTATCAGTTTTAGAAACAAAGTTTTGGCCACTTTCTCTTTGGATCTTTGCTTCTGCCAATTTTTTCTCTCCAAAGACTGCAATTACGTTTTATCCCTTTTGTGCTGTTCAATTTATTTCTTTTTTCTCTGTGCTTTACTGTGTGTATTAACATTATTTTTGTTTTACCCTTGGATATTTTTATTGACTTCTCTTTCAGTTTACTAATAACATCTTCCTGTTCAAACTGAATTTTAATTTCATTGTGCTCTGAATTCCAGATATCGTATTTTCAGTACTGGAATTTCCATTTGATTTTTTTCACATATCCAATTATATGATAAAATTCTCCATTATTTCATCTATTTTATTTCTCTTCTTGAACAAATTAATCGGGGTTGTTTTAATGTCTTTTTCCTCTATCTGAATCACCTGCAAGCATGTTTCTATGGATTGTTTTTTTTCTTTTGGGTTTTCAGTCATACAGTCATGTCTTTTTACGTGACTAATTTCCAACTGAATGTCAGGCATTGTGCACTTTATAAAAGACTCCAAGTGATGTTATCTCCCACTAGAGATGGCTTATTCTTTCCTCTGCTAGACAGGTAGATTAAGGGGACTGATCACCTTATTCTAACGTCCAACTAAGTTAAATTGAGGCTACAATGCAATTTTGATAAGACTAAGTAGGCCTCTGGTTTTCCTGTGTTTGAGGTTTGTTTCATTTACATAAAGGCTTTGCTAATCCACTGTGTGATATATAGGAATAAAAACTCAGCTGGCTGGGCATAGTGGCTCATACCTGTAAGCCCAGCAGTTTGGGAGGCTGAAGTGGGTGGACTGCATGAGCTCCAGGAGTTCAAGACCAGCCTGAGCAACATGGCAAAGCCCCGTCTCTACAAAAAATACAAAAATTAGCCAGGTGTGGTGGCATGTAACTATAGTCCCAGCTACTCAGGAGGTTGACATGGAAGGATCGATTGAGTGCGGGAGGTCCAGGCTGCAGTGAGATGTGATTGTGCCACTACACTTAAGCCTGGGCAACAGAGTGAGACCCCATCTCAAAACAAAACAAAAAGCAAAACACAGAGCCTATACATATTATCTTTTATTCATCTCTCCAATTTTAAAATTACAGTTTTCTTACTTGATAAGAAAAAAAATTAAAGCTAAACATATTATAAAATATCAACAGTGCCAGTTTATTCCCACAGGATTCCAATAAATAATATACTTGAAATCACTTATTAGGACTATTATACTAACATTGTTAGTTAATAATATAGGCTAATGTCAATTTTATAATGTGAAGCATTTTTAAAAATAGTCCTGATAAAAACAGAACACTTAAGTTTCAAAAAATGATTTGGAAAAACAAATTAGGGGACAATCAATCTTTTATATCACACATGATTTCATACCTAAATACAAACAAATCCTTGATTTAAGCTGACTCCAAATACTATATTCAAAGGACAACAATGCAATACATGCACACGAAGAAACTATAATACAGTGCATAATTCTGTTCCAACCTCCACGACATACTTTCTTATAAGGTATACAGTAGCCCTGTTACTTTTGACTAACTGTAATAAACCTTACTTGAATCAGTAAAAAATTTAAGAGGTATTTACAAAATATACATACATGCTTTCTTTCAAGTAGATATAATTAGTTGCTAACAAAGTGCTTCCAACTTCAGATAATTTTAGGTTTCATAAATATTGTATAATTAGCAGGAGCTATTCACACACAATGTACTAAAGGCCTTAAAAACAAATGGTAATCTTAAATAGGTAAATTTGTTACATAACTTTATTTGTACTCTAATTTGGTTCATAAACTTTTCATAGATAATACAAAAATAAAATTTACACATTGATGAAATATTCTTAAGAGTAATGTTTTCAATTCAGTCCAAACTGAATGATCTGTAAAACAGAGCTGGGAATAAATTAGTGTCGGCTAATTTAGGCTTGATAATTAATGTGGTGCTGCATCTATAAAATTTAGTATTTCAAAGTAAAAGTATACATTTATAATAATATTTTAAAACTAGAAAAGAATATTAAAGTTCCTACCTCTAATTCTACATCAGCTCGCACATACTGTCGAGTCTTTGGATGATTAAGAAGGTGCAAAATTGTAGTAATTAGGGCCTCATTTATTCGACTTAATTGGCAATCGATCACATTTTTCAAGATGGTGTTTAGTCCACCTCGAAGGGCCACCACCTCTGGATTCTGAAGTGCTAAAAGAGAAAAACTTAACATATTATATTTGGGGTAATTATTAAAAGTAATAAAAAATCTAGGCTTTAAAACTTAATTGCCTTTCTGACTTGAAAAACTTTCTAATACCAACATTTATAAGAACAGGTAGATAAAAGGACAAGTGGAAAATGTAAGAGTCACTGAATATACTTCCCCACAACCTGATATTTAAAATATCTTTGGATTGTCTTTTCATACCCTTTGTCCATATAATAACGGAATGGCTTTTTTTCCTATCAGTTGCAGGGAGTTCTTTATAAAGTAGGGATATTAGCCATTTATCTGTCTCAAATCTTTCATTTGTGATTTAACTTCAGATTTTGATTAAAATGGTGTATTTCATTTCTCTATATTTTTATTAAACACACACATAGAACACACAGTTTAATAATTTTAAGCTCAAAAATTTCTTGCTCCAAAGATCAGGCATTTATTTGCATACGTGCATGTGTACATATGTGTTTTAAAAGAGTTCATGAATTAGTTACACTTCGGTTTTCAATCTGTTAGGAAGCTGAGTTTTGTTAAGATGATAAACTCAATTTTCCCCCTTCCAAATGTTGAATCAATTATCCTGGGATGCTTCCCAAACTAGTTTTTGTACTTTATGATACATTAAAGTTTTCTGTTTATCAGGGTCAGCAACTCTTGATTCTCTTTCATTTTTCTCTCCCTTAACAACCTAGGTTAACAGTTTAAAATTATACATACATACACACATATATATATACATATATATACACATACATATATATATATAAACAGTTAACAGTTTATACATACATATACATATAAATATATTCTCTTTCAAAAATGTTTATTTTTACTCTTTTTCAAAAATGTTTTCATGGTTGGTTCTTTACTGTTTATTCTTCCAGAAAATTTTAGAATCAAGTTTCTTTTCTTCTATTTTCTAAAATGAGGCATAATTACATTTAGTAAAATCACAGATCTTAATGGTATAGTTCAATAAACTATGAACAATGTCCCACTCAACACACAGAACTCTCATTATCCTAGAAAGATCTCTCACATTACTTTCCAATGAGTCCTCCTCCATTGCACAGGCAGCCACTGTTCTCATTTCTACCCTTATAGATTAGTTGTGTCTTCTTAAGAACCAATTTGACAAATTCAAAAGTACTTCCCAAACACACACACAAGTCATACACAGTTCTTATAAAATTTGTCTTATATATTTTCTTTTCTACTTTAAAATAGTATTGCTTTTTCTAATTACTGATTATTGTTGAAACACAAAAATCTGTCAAATCTGTGTTTTCACATAGTCCTACTACCTAAAATTAAGTTGGTTTTCGCTTCAGAGTTTTTCTATATATAAGATACCATCTACAAAGTAACACTGTCTCCTTTCCAATATATAAACATATTTTATTTTGGCTAATAACCTGGCTAAAAGTTTTAAAATAATGCTAATTAATAGTTACAAGGATGTGGTATCTGTAGAAATTCACCATTAAGAATAGCATTGATTGTTGATTTGAGATAAATATTCTTGAATGTTAACAAAGGAGCCTTCTAATTATCTATGTATCTAGGCATATGTGTATCTGTGTACATGTACATAAAATGCTAGTTACATAATAAGAAATTTGTAGGTTTGGCCAGGCACGGTGGCTCAGGCCTGTAATCCCAGCACTTTGGGAGGCTGAGGCGGGTGGATCACGAGGTCAAGAGATCGAGACATCCTGGCCAACATGGTGAAACCCCATCTCTACTGAAAATACAAAAAAAAATTAGCTGGGCATGGTGGTGCGTGCCTGTAGTCCCAGCTACTTGGGAGGCTGAGGCAGGAGAATTGCCTGAACCCAGGAGGCGGAGGTTGCAGTGAGCCTGAGATTGCGCCACTACACTCCAGCCTGGTGGCAGAGTGAGACTCCATCTCAAAAACAAAAACAAAACAAAACAAAAGAAAGAAATCTGTATCTTTTTAATGCTCTAAATCAGATAACACTACGTAAGAATTACCTGTTTTTTTTTTTAAAACAAAAGTACCTGGATGAGTTTTTTTGGAGCAATTATTTTATCAATGTTTTCAAATACTTCTATAGCTTTTGAACTATTTGTATTTTACAATTTGTGAGTGACTGGAAATTAAAATTTATCCTGAAAATCCATTCATATTATTAAGTTTCCGAATAACATAAAAACTATTCTCTTCATTTATTTATTAATCTTTTGTATTTCAAATCTTTGAGTTTTCCAAACATTTGTGGATTTTAGTTTCTTCTTCCAATTAACAATTTAGATTACATAATCTATCTTGTTCAATAATTAAGACTTTTACTGGTTTTTCTCCATCTGCTTAACATGAAATGGATTTTTTTTCTTCTTTTGGTATTTCTTGAGTTATACTGGTTCACTCACTTATTTTTTGCTTAATTATAATGAGCTTTCTAATGAAAAATTATCTTTGAGTATAGCTTTCTAGGCATCCAGGCAGTCCTACAGACTGGTGCACAGTCAAGTTTTACTACATATTTTTTAAATTTCCCTAATCACAGTTCTGACTCTGTCTTTAAATCAACAAGTATTGTGGTCTTTTTAAAAAATCCTCAATGGTAGGTTTTGGTTCTCTTTTTTTTTAGCTTAAACTTTTGTTATCATTTATCACCTCAAGAAGGAATGTAACCAACACCATTCCTACTTCAGGTGGCAAAAAAACATCTTTTCTTGTGACTTAAAATTATATTTCTTTGATAATAAGTGAGGTTGAACTTTTAAAATATGTTGTTGTTGTTGGTGGTGGTGGTGTTTTGATACAGACTCTCGCTCTATCACCCCAGCTGGAGTGCAGTGGCGAGATCTCGGCTCACTGCAACCTCCGCCTCCCGGGTTCAAGCGATTCTCCTGCCTCAGCCTCCCAAGTAGCTGGGACTATATGCGTACCTTTTTTTTGTTTGTTTTTTAGTAGAGACGGGGTTTCTCCATGTTGGTTGGCCAGGATGGTCTCGATCTCTTGACCTCGTGATCCACCCGCCTCGGCCTCCCAAAGTGCTGGGATTACAGGCGTGAGCCACCATGCCCAGCCTAAAATATGTTGCTTAGCCATGCATTTCTTTGAGAATTACAGCCATCACTCTGTATCCACAGGGAAATGGTTCTAGGACCCCCGATGATACCAAAATTCTCAGATGCTCAAGTCCTTTATATAAAATGGCATAGTATTTACATATAACCTATGCACATCCTCTCATATGCTTTAAATCACCTCTAGATTACTTACAATACCCTACAATGTAAACCCTATGTAAATGGTTATACTGTATTTAAAATTTTTTTTTTCTCTAAATGTTTTAGAACTGCGGATGGTTCAATCCACAGATGTGGAAGCTGTGGATATGAAAGGCCAACTGTATTTGTTTTCCTATTGGTTTGTATATAAATAAATTACTTATTTTACTTGTTACATTTACCTTTTTATTGGATTGTTCTGGCACTGCTTGTTTTTGTGACTCCTTATAGTAATATCTATAGCTGCCAAAATCCCTGTGTGATTTCTTTTGATAACTCAAAACTCCTTTTCCTTCCAATGATCAGATAAATATTCATCCATGTTCCCCACTGGCCCCAGTTTTTTCCCTGTTTAGCCCTTTCATGCCTTTGCACCTACAATTCTATTTTTTTTTTTTTTGAGACGGAGTCTCGCACTGTCACCCAGGCTGGAATGCAGTGGCGCAATCTCGGCTCACTGCAACCTCCGCCTACCAGGTCCAAGCGATTCTCCTGCTTCAGCCTCCCGAGTAGCTGGGATTACAGGCGCATGCCACCATGCCTGGCTAATTTTTGTATTTTTAGTAGAGACAGGGTTTCACCATATTGGTCAGGCTAGTCTCGAACTCCTGACCTCAGGTGATCCGCCTGCCCCCGGCCTCCCAAAGTGCTGGGATTACAGATGTGAGCCACCACACCTGGCCTAGAGTTTATTATTTTTAGGCATAATGGATTGTTTACTGTTTTTAACCCACATCAAGAATGATTTGGTTTGGCTCTGTGTCCCCACCCAAATCTCATCTCAAATTGGACCCACGTGTCGAGGAAGGGACCTGGTGGGAGGTGACTGAATTATGGGGCGGTTTTCTCCATGCTGTTCTCGTGATAGTGAATCTCATGAAATCTGAAGGTTTAAAAGTGACACTTCCCCTTCGCTCTTTCTCCTGCTGCTACGTAAGACATGCCTCACTTCCATTGCCTTCTGCCACAATTGTAAGTTTCCTGAGGCCTCTCAAGTCATGCAGAACTGTGAGTCAAATAACCTTTTTTCTTCATAAATTACCCAGTCTCAAGGAGTTCATAATAGTGTGAAAATGAACTAATACAAACATACAGAATAACTAATGTTAGAGAGCCAGACTTTAGTAGATTCTATAATATTACTGGAATTTAGACAATTCCTATACTAAATTTAATGATGAAGAAAAGTTTAAAATTTATAGAATTTTAATGTCGCATTGAAATTATTTGTTAAATAACAAGTTCTCCACTTCCCTACCAGAAATGTACTACTTTTTCACATTTTTGGAACAATAAAGAATTCATGCATTAAAGGCCTCAAAAATGTTATATATCCAATCACATCATCTGCAAACAGAGACAATTTGATTTCTTCTCTTCCTATTTTAATACCCTTTATTTCTTTCTCTTGCCTGACTGTCCTGGCCAGAACTTCTAATACTATGTTGAATAGGAGTGGTGACAGAGGGCATCTTTGTCTTGTGCCGGTTTTCAAAGGGAATGCTTCCAGCTTTTGCTCATTCAGTATGATATTGGCTGTGGATTTGTCATAAACAGCTCTTATTATTTTGAAATACGTTCCATCAATACATAGTTTACTGAGAGTTTTTAGCATGAAGGGGTGTTGAATATTTTACTGAAGGCCTTTTCTGCATCTATTGAGGTAATCATGTGGATTTTGTCATTGGTTCTGTTTATGTGATGGATTATGTGTACTGATTTGCGTATGCTGAACTAGCCTTGCATCCCAGGGATGTGGCCAACTTGATCGTGGTGGATAAGCTTTTTGACATGCTGCTGGATTTGGTTTGCCAGTATTTTATTGAAGATTTTCACATCGATTTTCATCAGGGATATTAGCCTGAAATTTTCTTTTTTTGTTGTGTCTCTGCCAGGTTTTGGTATCAGGATGGTACTGGCCTCAAAAAATGATTAGGAAGGAGTTCCACTTTTTCTATTGTTTGGAACGGTTTCAGAAGGTGTGGTACCAGCTCCTCTTTGTACCTCTGGTAGAATTTGGCTGTGAATCCATCTGGTCCTGGGCTTTTTTTGGTTGGTAGACTATTAATTACTGCCTCAATTTCAGAACTTGTTATTTTCTATTCTTCTTCTTGGTTTAGTCTTGGGAGGGCGTATGTGTCCAGGAATTTATCCATTTATTCGAGATTTTCTAGTTTATTTGCGTAGAGGTGTTTATAGTATTCTCTTATAACAGTCTGTATTTCTGTGGGATCAGTGGTGATATCCCCTTTATCATTTTTTATTGCACCTATTTGATTCTTCTCTCTTTTCTTCTTTATTAGTCTGGCTAGCGGTCTATTTTGTTAATCTTTTCAAAAAACCAGCTCCTGGATTCATTCGTTTTTTTTGAAGGGTTTTTCGTGTATCTCCTTCAGTTCTTGTTTGATCTCAGTTATTTCTTGTCTTCTGCTAGCTTTTGAACTTGTTTGCTCTTGCTTCTCTAGTTCTTTTAATTGTAATGTTAGGGTGTCGACTTTAGATCTTTCCCGCTTTCTCCTGTGAACATTTAGTGCTATAAATTTCCCTCTAAACACTGCTTTAGCTGTGTCCCAGAGATTCTGGTATGCTGTGTTTTTGTTCCCATTGGTTTCAAAGAACTTATTAATTTCTGCTTTAATTTCATTATTTACCCAGTAGTCATTAAGGAGCAGGTTGTTCAGTTTCCATGTAGTTGTGCAGTTTTGAGTGAGTTTCTTAATCCTGAGTCCTAATTTGATTGAACTGTAGCCTGAGAGACTGTCTTGATTTCTGTTCTTTTGCATTTGCTGAGGAGTGTTTTACTTCCAAGTATGTGGTCAATTTTAAAGTAAGTGTGATGTAGTGCTGAGAAGAATGTATATTCTGTTGATTTGGGGTGGAGAGTTCTGTAGATATCTATTAGGTCTGCTTGGTCCAGAGCTAAGTCCTGAATATCCTAGTTAATTTTCTGTCTCGTCGATCTAATATTGACAGTGGAGTGTTAAAGTCTCCCACTATTATTGTGTGGGAGTCTAAGTCTCTTTGTAGGTCTCTAAGAACTTGCTTTATGAATCTGGGTGCTCCTATATTGGGTGCATATATATTTAGGATAGTTAGCTCTTCTTGTTGTTTTGATCCCTTTACCATTATGTAATGCCCTTCTTTGTCTTTTCTGATCTTTGCTGGCTTAAAGTCTGTTTTATCAGAGACTAGGATTGCAACCCATGCTTCTTTTGCTTTCCACTTGCTTGGTAAATATTCCCCCATCCCTTTATTTTGAGCTTATGTGTGTCTTTGCACGTAAGATGGGTCTCCTTAGAAAACCCCATCGTCTCAGTGCAAAATCTCCTTAAGCTGATAAGCAACTTCACCAAAGTCTCAGGATACAAAATCAATGTGCAAAAATCACAAGCATTCCTATACACCAATAATAGACAGAGAGCCAAATCATGAGTGAACTCCCATTAACAACTGCTACAAAGAGAATAAAACACCTAGGAATCCAACTTACAAGGGATGTGAAGGACCTCTTCAAGGAGAACTACAAACCACTGCTCAAGGAAATAAGAGAGAACACAAACAAATGGAAGAACATTCCATGCTCATGGATAGGAAGAATCAATATCGTGAAAATGGCCATACTGCCCAAAGCAATTTATAGATTCAAAGCTATCCCCGTCAAGCTACCACTGGCTTTCTTCACAGAATTGGAAAAAATACTTTAAATTTCATATGGAACCAAAAAAGACCCCATATAGCCAAGACAATCCTAAGTAAAAAGAACAAAGCTGGAGGCATCATGCTACCTGACCTCAAACTATACTACAAGGCTACAGTAACCAAAATAGCACGGTACTGGTACCAAAACAGATACATAGGCCAATAGAACAGAACAGAGGCCTCAGAAATAACATCATACATCTACAACCATCTGATCTTTGACAAACCTGACAAAAATAAGCAACGGGGAAAGGATTCCAATCTATTTAATAAATGGTGTTAGGAAAACTGGCTAGCCGTATGCAGAAAACTGAAACTGGACCCCTTTCTTACACCTTACACAAGAATTAACTTGAGATGGATTAAAGACCTACAACCATAAAAAACTTAGAAGAAAACCTAGGCAATATCACTCAGGACACATGCATGGGCAAAGACTTCATGACTAAAACACCAAAACCAATGGCAACAAAAGCCAAAATTGACAAATGGGATCTAATTAAACTAAAGGGCTTCTGCACAGTAAAAGAAACTATCATCAGCGTCAACAGGCAACCTACAGAATGGGAAAAAAATTTTGCAATCTATCCATCTGACAAAGGGCTAATATCCAGAATCTACAAGGAACTTAAACAAATTTACAAGAAAAAAACAACCCCATCAAAAAGTGGGCAAAGGATATGAACAGACACTTCTCAAAAGAAGACATTTATGTGGCCAACAAACATATGAAAAAAAGCTCATTACCACTGGTCATTAAAGAAATGCAAATCGAAACCACAATGAAATACCATCTCACCCCAGTAAGAATGGCGATCATTAAAAAGTCAGGAACCAACAAATGTTAGAGAGGATGTGAAGAAATAGGAACGCTTTCACACTGTTGGTGGGACTGTAAATTAGTTCAACCATTGTGGAAGAAGAGTGTGGCAATTCCTCAAGTATCTAGAACCAGAAATACCATTTGACCCAGCAATCTCATTACTGGGTATATTTACAACTCATTGTACTATAGAGGCACATGCACACATGTGTTTATTGCAGCACTGTTCACAATACAAAAGGTTTGGAACCACCTCAAATGCCCATCAGTGATAGACTGGATAAAGAAAATGTGGCACATATACACCATGGAATACTATGCAGCCATTAAAAAAGGATGAGTTCATGTCCTTTGCAGGGACATGGATGAAGCTGGAACCTATCATTCTCAGCAAAATAACATAGGGGCAGAAAACTAAACACTGCATGTTGTCACTCATAAGTGGGAGTTGAATAATGAGAACACATGGACACAGGGAGAGGAACATCACACACCGGGGCCTATCAGGGGTCGGGGGAGGGACAGCATTAGGAGAAATACCTAATGTAGATGACAAGTTGATGCGTACAGCAAACCACCATGGCATATGTATACCTATGTAACAAACCTACACATTCTGCACGTGTATCCCAGAACTTAAAGTATAATTTAAAAAAATACATATATACGATATATACACGATATATATACGATATATATACGATATATACACGATATACACGATATATACACGATATATATGATATATACATGATATATACGATATATATGATATATATACGATATATGATATATATATCTGACATATATCAGATATATGATATATATCAGATATATATCAGATATATCATATATATGATATATATCAGATATGATATATATGATATATATCATATATATGATATATATGAGATATATGATATATATGAGATATATGATATATATGAGATATATGAGATATATGATATATATGAGATATATGAGATATATGATATATGAGATATATGAGATATATGATATATATATGATAGATATATGATAGATATATATATCTCAAATGTTATATATCCTTTCTAAAATATTACATTTTCATTACTTGAAGAAAATTCTGACCTAGTTCACAGATAATGGCAATGCATGCTCGGACCATTCTGTCTCTTTCTTGAAGTCCATCATTTCCAACTGCAATTAATGAGTTGGTCACAGAACTAGGAAACAAGGAAGCATTCACAGTAATCATCTGTAACAGAAGGAATCAGAAAAAGAAGTTACTTTAGTAATACATTTCTTAAACCTATTTTGTCCAGACTGAAGTAGTTAATAACAGAATAAGATCCAGAATAAGATCTAGGTATCAATTTTAATCTTTTGCTTATGGATATTTCAAAAGATTAATATAACTAATAATTGATGTAACAAATGTTAATAGCCATTACTATGGAAAATGTGTTAGATTTTTTTCTAACAGTACAGACTATAAATTCACTGACCAAATGTTTCTGAGATTTTAAATTACTCTAGAATAGGGCCTAAATCTTAAACAGTTTTTCAGTACCTAGACAAGGTAAACCAGAGGGGACAATAGTAGTCAATATACTACTGTACTTTTACGATCCTGACCAACTCTCCATATACCATCATCACCAAGTCCTACCAATTTACTTCCATAACATCTTTATCTCTACTCCCCTCTCCTCATGAAATTAATTGATTAACTTGGGCCCTCACTCTCACTCTGACTACTGCAATAGATATCTAATGATCTCCTTACTCTCTAGTCACCTCTCCCATCAATCACTTGTTGCTATACCAGAAAGCAGAGTTCATAATCCAAATCTATTTTTAATATTTCAAAAATCCTGATGGAAATATATTGTAATAAAATTTTGTATGAATCTCACATTAAAGATCTAACTGGCAGTAACATTTGGAATATTGAAAACAGGTAACATATGTCTTTGATTTGGGAAACAGAAAATTATGTAGCTAATTACTGTTTAATAAATAAAGACTATTTTGCAAATTAATTCAAAATAGCAGGTTACTGGAGTGGAAATAAAATATTTTGTTTGTATAGTAATAAAATATTAGAGAAAATTAATTTGACCCAGATATTACTAGATTTATTGTCCTGTTGATAAAATAAAACTTGTGAGATGAAACAATTAGAGGATGTAATATAACTAATGAAAGACACACAATTAAGTCTTACAGAAGATCAAAAGAAAGATCTGTTTGATCAGTAGTTGTAAGTGGTTTGTCATTTAAACAGCATTTTTAAGACATATTACAAAGTTCACCTGAAATTACAGAATACAGTTCTACAAGCATAAATCAAATACATCTCCAATAACTGTAGAATCTACAAAAGCTTTCATATTCATTTCTAAGTCAGTTTTTTCAATTAACTGAAAAAGGAGAGAAAGAAAGGGAGAAGGAAGGAGGTATAGGAAGTATAGGAAATCAATCTTCCTGGGTGAAAGAATTCTAACATCTTATGTCGGTAAGTTCTTTTTTAATACTTTCTGATTATTATTATTCTTATAAGGAGCTTATGAGAAAATTTCTCCAAACAGCAAAATGCATGTAATATATTCTGTAAAGAGCTGGCTGAAAAAACCGGCAAAATGGTTTTTAGAGTTAAGTCTGCTATAATAAACTATGTTACCTTGGCTAAACCAATCCTCTCTTGTGCCTCAGTTTCCTCATTTGTAAAATGAAGATATGTATGAACAGATGATTTCTAAAGTTTCAAGTATAAAATTCTATATAAATCTTGTGTCTACTAAACATATACTTAATTCACCAGATTGTGCTATGAAATATATACATAAAATTTTTACAAATAAAATCACTCTTCTTATTTTCCAGGTAAATATATGCAAAGAAACTCTTAAATTGTGTGTAAATCAGAGAATGCTTTCCTCATAAATCAATGAATGCTCAGTAAGGGAGAAGCCATAAAATGCAGTCACTGTTAAAACTGTAAAAGTTTAATAATCTCTTCTGGCATGACAGGGCAGACATATAAAACAAATTAAAGATCATGATTAGGTAATAAATTTGTGGAACTGACACAAAGGAATTAGAGAAGCACTGAGTTACCTAAGGGGAATATCTAATATTTGAGCTCAGACTAGAAGATCGATGTAAGGTGAGAAGGGCTGAAAATGAAGAGTAGGAAGGAAGTAACAATTGTGGTAGTAGTGGTGGGTAGTTTGCCTACACATGGTGGCAAAAGACATGTCAGATAAAAATAGTTGGCTGGACCAAAACTGGGCTCTGAAGGCCAAAGTTGGCAGGTTGAACTTCAAACTCATGGGCCAATGTAGGTTTGGAAATTTTGCAGAAGAGGGTTCTTGCTCTGGCTTTGCCACTATCTTGCTATGTATCAAGGGCATGAGATACCAGCCAATGAATCTCTTTCAAATGTAAAAAGTTTGTGGAATTCCTTATTACATGAATAAAGAAACTATATATGAAAAAAATGACAGCTCAAATTAGGTGGGCAGCGAGTAGAATTTAAATAAGATTAAGAAAAGAATAGTAGTAACTGACTAGTGGAAAAATTACATTAAAAATGAGGGAGATAAAGCCAGAAAAGAGCTGCCTGCATTGGAAGGGGGAGAGAGAAGGGGGAAATCAGAGACATGGAAAAGAAAAAAGCAGACAGAACATTTCCAAATGAATGAGATGGGTAAAATAAGAGAAAAAGTAACATAAGAATTCCTTAATTATTCATAGTGTAAGTTATCCTAAAGCAAAAAATGTTTTTCCTTATCCTTTAAAATATAATAGACATACTTTTATTAGAAATTTTAAGACTCTTGGGAATTCATACAAAAAAACTCAGTGATATAGTAATTATAATATTAAATATTAATTTATACTGCAGGTTGAGCATCCCTAATCCAAAAATCCAAAATGCTCCAAAATCAAAAACTTTCTGAGACTGACATGAGCCAGAAGTAGAAAATTCAGCATCTGACAACTTTGCTTTCTGATGGTTCAATATACATAAACTTTGTTTCATGCACAAAATTCTTAAAAATATTATACAAAATTGGCCAGGCGCGGTGGCTCACGCCTGTAATCCCAGCACTCTGGGAGGCCAAGGCGGGCAGATCACGAACTCAGGAGATCAAGACCATCCTGGTTAACACGGTGAAACCGCGTCTCTACTAAAAATAAAATAAAATAAAAAATTAGCAGGGCGTGGTGGCGGGTGCCTGTAGTCCCAGCTACTGGGGAGGCTGAGGCAGGAGAATGGCTTGAACCCGGGAGGTGGAGCTTGCAGTGAGCCGAGATTGCACCACTGCACTCCAGCCTGGGTGACAGAGCGAGACTCCATCTCAAAAAAATATATATATATTATACAAAATTAACTTCAGGATATGTGTACAAGGTGTATATGAAATGTAAATAAATTCTGTATTTAGATTTAGGTTTCATTCACAAGATAACTTACTGTGTATACACAAATATTCCAAAACCCAAAAAAATACAAAATGGGAAATAACTTCAGGTCCCAAGCGTTTTGGATAAGGAATACTCAACCTGTAGTACAGCTGCCAAGGTTTTACTAAAAAAAAAAAAAAAAAAAAAAAAAAAAAAAAAGTGCTTCAGATGCCAAAAGCACTAATGAAATTATAGTTTCTCTGGCCGATAGAGGCCACTGTTCGTTCAGCAAATGTGCTCTCACTCTAACCCTTTTAGCATAAACCAAGGAAAAGCCCTGTGCCACAATTCTACCGCTGATTCTATATCCCACCACCAAATATCAGCAATTTTCCTGTTCTAGGATTCACAAATGGTATGTGAGTCAACTACTCTGCATCTCAGAAGACAATCAAATGAAATGATATTTTTGTTATGCTATTATTTTTGAGCAATTAAAAACTACTTTAAATTAAATTTTAACTTATGCAAAAATACAAAATTGAAGTAAAACATTTACTAAAATATCCAAAATTGAATTTAATTGTCTGAATCCATTTGAAATTGTCTTTTCTTCTGACAGCAGTCTCTAAAGCGGTTATGCTCAAAGTGTAGACCAGGAAATTCTGAGGGTCCTTAAGATATTTTCAGAGATTCTGCATAGCAATACAAAGACATTATTTGTCCTTTTTACTCTTATTTTCTCACAAGTGTGTACTAAAGTTTTCCGGGGGCTCCACCGCATGTGTTATCAAAACAGACTGAATGCAGAAGCAAATATGATAATCCAATTGACTCGTTTATCAAGACAAAATTAAAGAGAGTTGCAAAACTCTAAAACAATAGCCCTCTTCTCATTAATTTTATTTTTTGGAAAATATAGTCATTCCTAAGTGCCCATCAACCAATGAGTGGATAAAGAAAATGTGGTATTATACACTATGGAATATTACTCAGCCATAAAAGCAATTGAAATAATGTCTTTTGAAGCAACTTGGATGGAGCCGGAGGCCATTATTCTAAGTCAAATTAACTCAGAAATGGAAAACCAAATATTGTATGTTCCCTGCTTATAAGCAGAGCTAAACTATGAGGACACAAAGGCATATGAATGATATAATTAACTTGGGGACCAGAGGTGGGGGGAGTTTGGGAGGAGGTGAGGGATAAAAAGATTACATACGGGGTACAGTGTACACTGCTTGGGTGACAGGGGCACAAAAATCTCAATCACCACTAAATAACTTATCCATGTAACCAAAAACCACCTGTACCCCAAAAATTATTGAAAAAATAAAATAAAATAAAATATGGTTTTCATAAAAATGTTATTTATATTTGTATTTAATGTGTTTATTATTTTAAACATATTAATATATATTTTAGTCCCTAACATTATAAATACTGACATATAACCCAAATAACCAAAAAATTGTTCTAGGTTCTTCAGAAACAAATTTTGTTTTATCTTGAATTCTCAGTCATGGAAGAAGGAAGAATTGTATAAATAAAAACCATAGATTTTTAAAATCTGAATTTGAAAAGTCAAATTACAATCCTAGTGTAACAGTTCGCCTATAACAAGAGTCTCCTAATCTATTTCCGGTATCATTCTTAGTCGAATTTCAAACTTCTTTTAAGGCTTAACTCATCCATTTACTTGTTCACCTGTGAGTACTATTACTATTACTAACCAAAAGGTAGACAATTTTAAGAAAAGGGAAAAACAGGGAACCCTAGCTAACATAGAAATTGAACAGTACACCATTTTGGAACCTGTGTACTGAGTTGAAAGATAGGAAGAGAAAAAAAGAACTAAAAAATTCAACTGGAAAATATTTTTAGATTTTTTATGCAAACAAACATATACTTCATGATTCTCATGAACATTAAGATAAAATATGACTGACACTTGTCTCACTCAGGCTGTGTCCCAACCATATTTACTCTCAGTTCACTCTCTTCTTCCACCATTAGGGTATCAAGTAAAAACAACAAAGCATTCCCTGAAGGCCTCTCAAGAGAAGCATTATGGATTGTCCTTAACACCCTCTCTTGTGGAGTGTAGGCTGTGACCTTTTATCCTGTACAAGGGCCTGAATTGTTTATTGCAACTGCCCACAGATTGTATCCAAATTCACCTTTAAAACAATGAACTTCTTAGTATTTGTGACTTCCATTTAATACTATTAACTCTAAGTATGCAATTAAGAGAAAATCAGGATGGGGAGCAAGTAATCCTCTTCCTCTAGTAACTTATCAAAGCAGTAACTACATTTACATGTCTACTGAAGGAAGAAATATTCTTCAAAATAAACATTTTATAAGAAATATTGCCCTACCTATACCCAATCACATAGAATTCCACAAAATATTTGTTTACCTCAAAGTTTAATGAATTTATTTAATATAAAACTTTAATAAAAATGTTTAATAAAAGTTTAGTCTTTAATCTTAATAAAGATTTCACAAAAGTCTAATCTAAAAATGTAAATATTAACATAAAAACCATAAATTTGCCTTTTACTCTCACACATAGAGCATACCTTTCTGACTAATCGAAGTGCTTGTGTCCTCTCTACCTCGTTGCTCTGTTGTATGTCAATGCACCTAAACAATACACAAAATATTAATCATTGATAAAATTCTATTAAACAACTTTTTGTATCACAATACTGATAGATGAAACCCATTTTCACAATGTCAATATGGTATATTATTGTTTTGGTATATGATTTCTCAGTACCAGCATATATTTATTTAATTAACCCATACATCTCGAGGGATAAATATCTGTCATTTAAAAGACCAATTTTTTCTTTTAAAACGTTAGGAAAGAACAGTATAGTAATTTACAAGACTACATCTATTCATAAAGAAAGAATAATAAACATAAAGTGTAAAAAGTCTACTAAAAAAATTCACTTATCTCTGATAAAATTCAGACATTTTATAAAAATTGTAAAGGAAAAATAATTCAAGGCTGTTTTCATTTAATTGCAATTTTGACCAGGGCTTAAACTAAATTAGGCACTATCCATAAAAATTCTATCTTACCAAAATATAATTTGAATTCTGAATTCACTTCAAATATTGATGTCCAAACAAATAGCACCAAACTGACATTTCTTTGTAAAATTTATTAAATTATCCAGTTTTGAAAGTCTTTTATGTAGAAGCATAATTTTTATTTAGACAGTTCATTATTCTAATCAATGCTTTATATATAGATAGTCTGTGATTCAAAAAGCATTTCTTCTATCTGAATACAATTAATCTAAGGCAATCCTATTAAAATTCAAATGGACTTAGAATTCCATTCCTGGCCATGTCAGAGATGAGAGGTTCTGACTGTCTTCCCAAAAACAACCAAGAAGATTTAAAAAAAAAAATACTTTACAGTATAAAACAACTGTTAAAAGGGCAATGAAGAATAATCCCTGAAAAAAGAAGCACAGGGAGCTCCACATTCAACCACATTTGTTCCCTGGGTGCATCTGTCAATGTCAATCCCTGGTCTTACGGGCAGAGTCCTAACAGAAAGCAGAAATCTGGCCGTACTGAAAAGACAGAGGTTTAACTTCAGGGCAGCCAAAGTAGCTGGGACTTGAGGGGTAAAATCCCTGAGAGAAGAAAACAGAAGAAAGTGAGCTAAAATCTGCATGCAGTGTTCTCTCCAAGACACTTGTCAACATCCACATTGTGCAAAAGCAGAATTACACTCTAAGAAACAAAGGAACAGAGTATAGATTTCAGCAGAAACACAATACTCTAAGAAATAGGTAAAGGTTCAAGACTGGTTAAGGTGAAAAGATTCTGCTCAATATCTACACTCTGAGATCCTAAATAGCCACTGCTAGGAGCAAAGGCAAATCTAAAACCAAACTTTAACAGAATCAGTGTAATAAACCAACATACTAGAATAAAACTTAACTCTCTTACAAGGCAAATAACATGATCCTGAGACAACAATTGTGTTTTTTTGTTTGTTTGGATATTTTGTTTGTTTTTGAGACAGAGCTGGTGCCTTGGCCTCCTGAGTAGCTGGGATTACAGGTGTATGCCACCATGCCTGGCTAATTTTTGTTTTCTTAATAGAGACAGAGGTTTCGCCACATTGGCCAGGCTGGTCTCAAACTCCTGGCCTCAAGTGATCTGCCCGCCTAGGCCTCCCAAAATGCTGGGATTACAGGCATGAGCCACCAAGCCCAGCCCCAACAATTTTGAATACCAATGTTCACATTCTATCAGACAATATGAGGCACGGTTTAAAACAAACAAAGGACCAAGAACCAAAAACTAAGAAAAGAAAATGGCACTACAAATAGAACACAGGTGATTCACATATTGGAGTTGTCAGAGGGGACTTCAAAGTAATTATGGTTAATATGCTAAAGAAAATAGAAGAAAAGATGAAGAAATGAAGCGGAGACCTGAAATCTTTAAATAAAACTAAAATAAGCCAGGTGCGGTGGCTCACGCCTGTAATCCTAGCATTTTGGGAGGCAGAGGCAGGCGGATTGCTGGAGCTCAGGAGTTCAAGACCAGCCTGGGCAACATGGTGCAACCCTGTCTCTACTAAAATAGAAAAAAATTAGCCAGGCGTGGTGGTGCGCACCCGCAGTCCCAGCTACTCGGGAGGCTGAGGCAGGAGAATCACTTGAACCCAGAAGAGGGAGGTTGCAGTGAGCCGAGATTGCGCCACTGCACTCCAGCTTGGGCGACAGAGCGAGACTCCATCTCAAACAAACAGGCAAAAAAAAAAAAAAAAAAAAAAAACAAACCTAAAATAAATAATAAAATCATAACTGAAATTAAGAATTCATGAGAGTCATTTACTAGCAGGATGAAAGGTTTTTAATAAACAGGTAAGTAGAAACTAAGCACACTGAAATACAAAGATTAACCACAACAAAACGTTGAAAAATACAATAATGGCATCAGAAACGTGGGACAGTGAAAAGATCCAACATGTGTATAGATGGAGTACCAATCAATAGGACAGAATATACAACAGAGAAAAAAAAAATCTTTAAAGCAGCCAGAGGTAAAAAGATATATCCCAAAGAAGCAACAAGAGAAGCTACTTATTGCTCAACTGTTAAAAGAAAAAAGAAAAAGAAATCTAGAAGACAACAACTGAAGCATTGAAAAATAAGTAACTGGTAGTGAAAACAGCCTTTGAACATGAAGGCAAAATAGAGGGATTTACAGACAAAAGATGACTAGCAGAACTTAATATATCAAGGATATATGTTCCAATCTCTAGGACAACTACTAAAAAGAAGGAAAGACTTCATAGCCAAGACACGAAAAGAGGAAAAATATTGTTATTTCAAAAGAAGCAAAAAAAAGGAGAAATACAAGAACAAAGAACATATGTGACAAATAGAATACAAATACCAAGATAGCAAACAAATTCAAGTATTAGGAAGCTAGTAATGAGACAACAAACTCATAAATACACACAAATAATTACATTAGACAAAGTCCATAAATCATGCACATAATAAACCACTAGACATAAATAGTCTAAATACTCCAATAAGAAGACAAAGTTGGTCAAACCAGATATAAAAAAAGAAAAAAACTATATGATATTTACAGGGGAGACACTTAAATGTAAAGACAAAAAAAGAAAGTAAAAGGATGGTAAAAGGTATACCATGCAACCACTAGGCAAAAGAAAGGTGGTAATGTATTATTAGATGACATGAACACTCATAAAAGAAGTATTACTAGGAATAAAGAGGGTTATTTTATAATTATAAAAGGATTAAGCCCAATAAGAAGATTTAGCAGTTCTAAACATGAAGTAACAACAAAGCTTCAAAATCTGAAACAAGAAAAAGAAAAGTCAGGAAGCATTATATGGGTGAAAAATAATTGAGTCTATAATTTTAAAACAGGCTGAAAAAGAAAACCCAGCCAGAGAGATCCATTAATGAATTATAATCATGTAGGACAAAAAAAAATACATATCTTACATATATTTTCCAGGTAATATGAAAACAAGGCCATATTTCCCTAGTTGTTTTATAAAACAAACATACATACTCCCAATACTAAAACCAGACAAAGACTTTAGATGAATGGAAAAATAATGGTCAACAACTCTCATGAACATAGGTGCAAAAATCTATAAAATATTAGCAAGGAAATTAAGTTACATATAAAGAGAACAATATATCACAAATAGTGGTGTTTATTTAAAGAATGCAAACTAGGAATATAAAGAAAATCTAGTAAAAGCTTATAGAAAGTATAAATAATGGTGAAATACTTAATGCTTTCCACCTGAGTTCAAGATCGAAACAAACTTGTCCATTATTATCATTCCTATTCAGTGCAATATTCTAACTCATGTAGTAAGGTAAGAAAAAGATAAAGATTGGAAAGGAAGATATAAAATGGACATCATCTGTAATTAATGCTTATACACATAGAAAATCCAAAGTAATCTACAAACAACCAGAACTGAAAAGTGAATTTGGCAAAACTGTTAAATAAGAGGTCAATATCTCCAACAGGTCAATATCTCCCCCCAATTTTTTTATATATTAGTAGCAAAAACAGAAAAGAATGTTTTAAATTACATTAATACTATCAGAAAAATATCTTAGAATAAACTGAATAAATATGTTCAGGACTTCTGCAAAAAACAAACAAACACACACTACTAAATACTGTTGACAGAAATCAAAGTTTCCAATAAATAAATGTTTAGAAAATTCAGTATGAAGATGTAAATTCACCCCAAATTAATCTAGAGCATCAATGCAATCCCTGCTAAAATCCCAGCAAGTTATGTGGATATGGACTATCTTATTCTAAAACTTAGATGAAAATGCAGAACCCAGATTAGTCAAAATAGTCTTGAAGAAGCAAAATTAGACTCACATTAACAGATATCAAAACATTATAGAACTGCAGTAGTTAAAACAGTTGAGAAACTGGTGCAAGGACAAATATACCAACTAAAGAGGATAGAGAACCCAACAATAGATTGCTACTGAACTACCTGATTTACAACAAAGGTGACACAAATCTAGACGTGAAACGAAAATATTTTCAATAAAAGGTGCTAATTTTATTGGATATTCATAAAGATAAAAATGAATCATGACTTGCCATCTATCTCATATCTTACACAACCATCAAATGAGATCAAATCAAGTAAGATGGTTCAAAGACTTAAACACGTATAAAGGAATAAAACCTTTAAAAGAAAACACAGATCTCTTCCAAATAGACAAAAAGCATTCTGGATTTCACTAATTATGAACTTTTGTTCATCAAAGACCCATTAAAAGAATGAAGAGGCAAGGCAAAGGCAAGGCAAACTGAAACAAGACATTTTCAATACATATATCTGTAAAGACTCATATCCAGAATACATCAAGAATTCCTACATAACAAGAAAGATAATCCAATTTACAAATGAGCAAAAGATAGGCTATCCAAACTTTCAACCAGCAAATGAAAAGTGCCTAACATCATCACTCACCGGGGAACACAAGTTAAAACCACAATGAGACCCCACACAAGAAAGGATATAACTAAAAACTGAAAATAGCAAGTGTTGATGGGGACACGGGGAGACTGAAACTCCTATACATAATAGTAGAAGTATAATCAGTGCAATCATTTAGCAAACTATTTAGCAATATCTACTAAAGCTAAACATACATGTACCTTATAACCCAGAAATTCTAGTTCTACATATACCTAAGAGAAATGAGTGCATTTCCTCTTCTATAAGAATATTCTTGCAGCCTTCTACAAGAACATTCAGGGCAGCTTTATTCCAAATAGTCAAACACTGAAAACAACCCAGAAAAGCTTCAACAGAATGGAATAAATTGTGGTCTATTTATAAAATGAAATGTTACACAGCAAAAAAAAAAAAAAAAAAAATCAACATGTATGAATCTCAAAGATAATAATGAGAAGAAGAAAGAGTAATTACTGTATACGTCCAACACACAATGCTCAAGAACAGGAAAAACTAGTCTGCAATGGGAAAAGTCAGAATAATGTTTACAACTGATTGGAGATGTAACAGAGCTTTACTGGGATGCTGAAAATGTTCTAAATCTTGTTACTTGGTTGTGTGTGTGTGTGTGTGTATATATATATATATACACACACACAAAATTCATCAAAGTTACACTACAGTACAAATCTATACACTTTATGGCAGGCATGCTAAAAACTCAACACAAAATTTCAAAAATATATAAACAAGTCTAGGAAATTTACCTAGCTATTAAATAGTCCACTTTCAATTTTAGCACCTTCTGGAGAATACTGGAGTCTTGGATGAGATATCGAAGCGCTCGTAGCCCTGCTGCTCGCACTTCTTTTGCTTCATTTAATAAAGCTAACCGCAAACTGTATGAAAACAAACAAAATACAAGTTTTGCTGCACAGGTTTCAAATACACACAAAATTATATTACCAAATTATTCCTCAGCCAAAATATGCAAAAATTCTAGTCATGCACAGAATTCTAAGAGCATTCTACATATATAAAAATTACTCACTCCAAGCCACACAATTTCACTTAGTGTTGTTTTTTTAAATCTGTGCCTCCTTAGTACATTCTTACCAATCAAGAAAATGTTATTGAGTTCTTTCTTACCTTCTGTACTTTATTTTATATAAACAATGGAAACAGCCTTTGTTTTATATAAACAATGGTACAGCCTTTTTCAAGCTGTACCATTTGTGTCTCTACAATCGAATATCCTCTCTCTGCCTACCTGGTTCCATACCTCCCAAAAATCATTGGTTTAAATCAATGATAATAATAATTTATGCCAATAGCAGGCACAGACCTTTTATATCAATTTTAATTCCTAAGAGTACCTAAAAGATAGTTATAAAGCCATATAACATGCCTCTATTAGTGTGCATGGGCAAATCAAGTCTGTTGTAAGCACAAACTTTCTCTTAGGTAAGACCTAGAGTTATAGTTGTTCCTGGGAATAATATGAGAAATTTAGTCTGCAAATTTCAGATTTAATTTAAAAGTTTAAATTATAGAAGTCCAGATATTTTTGAACATTCACTTTGGTTCTTCATATTTAGTAATTAGAAAATATCACAAAGACTCACAAAAACAAAACTACTGTAGCTCTTAGATTTTTTCTAATGTTCAAGCAACTATTTCTATAAAATCAAATATGAGGTGCTGTATTATTCTATTTCTAGTTTAAAATTACTAAAATTAAAATTACTAAAATCTGAAAGGGATGGGAGGGGGGAATGAACCACACTTACCAAATTATGATATCCTCATAGTGAAAGCCCAGTTTTTCTTCACTGTGGCCAATATCACAAAGAAGCTGTCAGAAAAACAAAATAAGTGTGCATTTATGTGTTGTATATTTTCACATATTTATATACATTATATATTTACACTGGAAAATAAGGTATTTTTATGGAATAATATTTTGAAAAATATGATTTTACTGTTCAAATCAGCAGCTTTATTTGTATCATCTATTTCTCATTTGACCTGCCAGTTTTAAGTTTCTTTAATCTTTTATCTTTCCTGCCTTTTAAAAAATCATTTGTTTTCTATTATTCCATTTTCCTTCTCAATAATTTACTGTTTTAAAAATGGTTCTTTTAGTGGCTACTATTAAGATTACAACATGCATTGTTGACTTATCTAACAAAAAGTATCACTTCACAATGTCCTCAATGCCAGAATCTCACACTTTAATTTCACTTTCTCCCCTCACATTTCACTTTACAATTGTTTTTTCTATCTTTTAAAAACTATACCGTATTACTGTTAATGGGTTTTAACAGTATTTAGTCAATATCAGTTTATATTTATTCACATATTTACCCTTTTTATTATTCATCATTTTGATGGTTCCTTATTGGGATATCTTCCTTTTACCTGAAGAACTCTGTTGTTGCTGTTGACTTGTTCTGTTAGTGTTTTAATTTTAGACCAGGTTGCTGGTAATGATTTTCTTGGTTTTTATTTCTCTGGAAATAATTTTTTTTTTTACATTGAAGTTTGAAGAATATTTTGCTGGATATTTAGAAGTTTAGGTTAGCTGCTATTTTCCTCCAACAGTTTCAAGATGGCCTCCACTATTTCAGTTGTGAAGTCTGCCATCAGTCTTATTGTTGACTCTTTTGAAAGTCATGTCATTTATTTCTCAAACTCTTTTTTTTTTTTTGAGACGGAGTCTCACTCTGTCACCCAGGCTGGAGTGCAGTGGCCTGATCTGAGATCACTGCAACCTCTGCCTCCCGGGTTCAAGTGATTCTCCCGCCTCAGCCCTCCGAGTAGCTGGGATTACAGGTGCCTGCCACCACGCCCAGCTAATTTTTGTATTTTTAGTACAGACGGAGTTTCACCATGTTGGCCAGGCTGGTCTCGAACTCCTGACCTTAGGTGATCCACGATCTGCCTGCCTAAGCCTCCTGAAGTGCTGGGATTACAGGCGTGAGCCACCGCACTGGGCCTCTCAGACTCTTTTTTTTTTTTTTTTTTTTTTGAGATGGAGTTTCATTCTTGTTGCCCAGACTGGAGCGCAATGGTGCAATCTCAGCTCACCGCAACCTCCGCCTCCCACGTTCAAGCGATTCCCCTGCTTCAGCCTCCCTAGTAGCTGGGATTACAGGCATGTGCCACCACGCCCAGCTAATTTTGTATTTTTAGTAGAGACAGGGTTTCTCCATGTTGGTCAGGCTGGTCTCAAACTCCCGACCTCAGGTGATCCGCCCGCCTTGGCCTCCCAAAGTGCTGGGATTATGGGCATGAGCCACAGCGCCCGGCCTCTCACTCAGACTCTTTTAAAGACATCTTTCCTTATCTTTGGTTTCCAGCAATCTTATTACAATGTTTCTAGGTGTGGTTTCCTTTGTAGCTATCCTGCTTAGGGTAAACAAAACTTCCTAAATCTCTGGGTTGATCTACTTCTGCAGTTTTGAAAAATTCTATACAATATATTTTCAAAACTACTTCTGTCCAAACTCTCCTTCTGGTAATTCAATTAAATGTATGCCAGATCTTCTCATGTGTATCACAAATCCGTAAATCCTCTTTTTTTTTTTTTCCATTTTATCTCAATGCTTCAGTTGAATATTTTCTATAACCTGTTTTCTGATGTGTCTAATCTTCTATTACATGTATCTAATGAGTTTTTAAATGTAGATACTGTATTATTCCCTTCTTGAATTTCCATTTAATCCTTTTAGCCATTCCAATGTGCTAATGAAATTCTTCATTTCACATCAATTTTCTCCATACGTCCTCTATGTTCATGACATAGTTGTTACTGAAAATAGGTTTCATCTAATAAACCTGAATGATGTGGATCATCTCTGGATCTGTTATTAACTGTTTTCCCTTTTGTTCTAGTCATGTAATCCTGTCCTTTGGTAGCTCCTTAGTCTTTGATTGTATATAAAAACTTGCAAAGATTTGATGGTGTTATCTGTCTCCACAGAAGGTTCAGCCTTCTTTCTGTTAAACCACTAGATGGTGTTGAGTCCACGTTAGGTGGTTGCCCTGGTAAGACCAGGCCTACCTCTGCTTTTTCCCTGCCACCTGAAGTTTCAACTGAAAGCTTATTGTTAAGAAAACTAGTCCAAGGAGGATGAAAAATTTAATTTTTGTCCTGCAAACTCCATTCCTGATTTTCAAAGATTTTCTACTTAGGTTTTAAGTTTCTCATCCCAGGTAGCCCCAGGATTAAACAACTGAACTGAGGGGAGAATCTCCTCATGCTTGATGCATCTAGGTAGGACTCCACCAAAACCTCTGTGCTGTTTTTTGACTTTCGGCAACAGTATTTCTGGGCCTAATGCTTGAATCCCGTTTCCTGCCCATACTTAACATCAGCAAGTGTCCCCTGGGAAAAAGTTGTTGAAGCAGCTTATTTGTACAAGATTCTCTCTTTTCTGAAAGGTTGGTGTCTGCACTTATTGTTGCCCGAGCAGCTTCCTGCTGCCTTCAAACAGGTTTTCCTAGTTTTCATTGAGAGCGGTGGTCTAATACTACCTTTATGGATCCCACCTGGATGAATATATGCCAGTTTAATCTAGATATGAGTCTGGAGAATTGACTTTTACCTAAAAGTTACATATAATGTCCTTAATTGATTTATTGCGGCTAACTGAAATGGATTAAAGAGAAGATAAATCATTTATTTAACACTGAAGACCAAGAAGGGTCTCCAAAGTGCTAATATTCTTTCTCAGTATGAAGTTATAAACATTGTAACCATACAGTATAAAGCAACCAAAGTGATCAACATATCACATCACATCCACGAGAAGCATGGACCCTAAGAAAAAGCTGATAAAAGTTCACTACCCTATTGGTAGGATAACTGTAAAAATTTCCTGTCCAATTTTTTCTTTAGAGGAAATAAGGGGAGGGAAGGGGAAGGGAGAGGAGGGGAGAGGAGGGGAGAGGAGGGGAGAGGAGGGGAGAGGAGGGGAGAGGAGGGGAGAGGAGGGGAGAGGAGAGGAGGGGAGGGGAGGGGGTCCCAAACAGAATAGGGTAGGAGACAGGACTAGAATAGCTGCTATCAGATATTGCAACACTGCTGATATTACAATACTGGTATTCCTTAAAATTCTGATATGACGAACAAAGAGGCCTCAGACTTTCAAAGAGTATGTTTTTCTTTTGTTTTTACTGTCTTGTACAGTGTTGAAAGTAGTTACAAATTTAAGAGAATGCGTTTTTATACATACATATTTAAAATAACATAAAATTTTCTAAGTTTTGAGATAAAACTTCTATACCTCTAAAAAACCAACCATATACCTAAAATTAAAAGTGACAATGTGTTAGTAAAAAATATTTGCAACAAATATGGTAAGAAAAAGGTTAAGGCACTGTATGTAGTTTGCTAGGGCTACTATAACATATGTCACAGACTGGGTGGCTTAAACAACAGAAATGTACTTTTTCATAACTCTGGAGGCCAGAAATCTAAGATCAAGGTGTTGGCAGGGTTGTTGTTTTTTTAAAGTCTCTCTCCTTGCCTTACATATGGCTATTTTCTATATCTTCCTATGTGTATGTCTGTCTCCTAATCTACACTTTTTATAAGAGATTATATTAGATTAGGCCCACCCACCCATATGACCACATTTTTCTTTAATTATCTTTTTCAAAGGCCCTATCTCCAAATACAGTCACATTCTGAGGTATTGGAGGTTAGAAATTCAACATACGAATTTTGACGAGACACAATTCAGCTCACAGCATTCCATCCTCACCTAGCAAACTAATACAGATCCTTATAATGTAAAAGGTTGAAACAAATTGAGGAAAAACTTCTCAGGACCCCAAAGAAGAACAGGCAAAGAAAATGTACAAGGAATTTACTGAAGAAATATAATTGACAAATAAATATGACATATATTCATTTTTCCTAAAACCCAAATCAAATGAATTGCAAAGTTCTACTTACAACTCACAAAAATGGCAAAATATTGTTTTAAATATTATTGTATATTATTTTATTATTGTAAATATTTCAGAAAATAGTTTTAAATATTGTATATTACTATAATAGTTTTTAAATATATTGTAAAATATTATTTTAAATATTATTATATACTGGTAATGGGATTGAAAACTGAAAATATTTTATAAAATAAATTGGAAAAATGCACTAGGATCAAGATCCACTTTTGGAGATTTATGTATTTTAAATTATTTTACTAATATAAAGTAGGTTCAAGTACAAGATGCTTATGACATTATTTATAACATTAAAGAAATGGGAATAAAATGTTTATAAAGGAGGAACTTCATGAGGCCATTAAAATACTGTAATATACAATCATAAGAAAAATATGCAGAATCTATTGCTAAATGGGGAAAAGATTCTGTAAGACATATTTCTTAAAAACACACTTTAAAAAAAAAGGATATACATCAAAATTTTAACACCAAAAATTTTTTTAACAACAACTCCTCTGCGTTTTTGTGTATTTTATAAATGTTCACAATTAAACATGTATCACACCATCTAGGAATAGTTTTATATATAGTATTGATGAATACACACAGAAGTAACAATTATTGACTGGTAATCTTCTCAACCCTGGTAGTACTTCTGTAAATGAAAACAACTGAGGCTTAGAGAGGTTAATATGACTTCCTAAGGCCACAAAGCCTAATTAAGTGGTAAAGCTGGAAATCAGATCAAACCAGTTTGACGCCAGAGCCCACTATGAAAAATATTACTATAATTTTGTATTGAAATTATTTACACAGGGTTGGGGGTTAGGGGAAGTAAAAAACAATTGAACATTACCATCTTATTTCATTTCTCCAGCCTCAAATGTGGCATCAAGAATCTGGAGAACTGCACCCTGGCTATATATATACATAAAACAAATAAGAAAATTTAACTATTGTTTTCTCCAGAACTGCTAACTAAAAATATACCATTAAAAAAAAACTGCCCATTTCAAAGAATTAAAATATAAAAAACTGCACTTTCACTCCTTAAAATAATTTATTATTTTAAAGATTTCTCACATATTTCAGAATACTAGCATTATCACTATGTGGTACCATACATGAGTAAGAAAGAAAAATATGGTCAGCTTACAGTGTTATCATTACTTCATCCTTGGGAATATTCAAATATATATAATATAGAAAAATTAAGGTTAGAATTTGTTTATATCAACATACAAAATATTGTGCTTTCAAACTGGGAAAAAATGTTACTTTCTTAAATTATAATTTACACATATCAACTCAACTGCTTAAAAAGGGAGTATTTCCATTCCTCTGCTACAGTAATAATGAATGTTAATAAAATGAAAGGTTGTAAAATTCTACAAATATACAAAGTCTTGTCCTTTAAAAGGTTGGTTTTTCCCCTAAGTGTGTACTTGACTCTCATTTCCTGCATTATATTTTTCATACTTGCCAGTCAACCTTGTAGAAAACTATAGATTCAGAGAACACAATTTTCAAATTATCTACCTTCTCAGACGAGAAAAATATATGACCATTTATCACTTAACATTTCCTAGAGTTAGCAGTTTTAGTGAAAAAGTTAAACAAAATTCAAAGGTATTATAATCTTAAAAAACAAACACGCACCATTTAAAAAGTGTTTAGAGAGGTGTGTCATTTTCTGATTATTAATGTCAATGCATCTCAAATGCAAGAAAAGTTTTTGAGAAAGATGCTGAATCAGCTGGAAACTGGAAAATCATAAATAACTAAAAAGAACAATTATGGCAGAAACACAATATATTTGTTATTAATTAGTGCCTATTTTCCAGACATAGTAAATGGAATTCAATAATGGTTAAATTTAACCATTTAACCATTCAATAATGGTTAAATGCCTTCAGGTTGTTTCCAGGACTGTAGAAGAGGGCTTTAATCAGTCTTAAATGAAAAACCTTTTGAATTAGAATTATCCCGAGCAGTGATTAAACTTTCTATGTGTAAATAAATTCACATATATATTGGGAATAGGAAAGAAGATAGTAATAGAATTCTAAATTTTGGATTATCAAAGAAATATTATACTTTCACTGCTAATCACTAAGAATTCATATATAAATCTCAAAATATTATGAATAAGAATGACTTTGATACAAACTTCTTGTGATGACTACCTTACTAGTTATCTCCTAATTTAAATAACCAAACCCTAAAGTACACATTAAACTGTTTAGCTCTTTTTCTATGTGATATGGTTTGGCTCTGTGTCCCCACCAAAATCTCACCTTGAATTCTAATAATCCCCACGTGTCAAGGGCAGGACCAGGTGGAGATAACTGAATCATGGGAGCAGTTTCCACCATGCTCTTCATGTGAAAGTGAGTTCCATCTATGACCATATCACCCTGAACACACCCAATCTCGTCTGACAGTGAGTTCTCACGAGATCTGATGGTTTTATGAGAGGCTTCCCCCTTTTCTAGGCACTCATTTTCCCTCCTGCTGCCATGTGAAGAAGGATGTGTTTGATTCCCCTTCCGCCATGATTGTAAGTTCCCTGAGGTCTCCCCAGCCATGCAGAACTGTAAGTCAATTAAACCTCTTTCCTTTATAGATTATCCAATCTCAGGCAGTTCTTTATAGCACTGTGAGAACAGACTAACACAGTAAACTGCTACCACAGAGAGTGGGGCACTGCTGTAAAGATACACGACATGTGGAAGTGACTTTGGAACTGGGTAACAGGCAGAGGCTGGAACAGTTAGAGGGCTCAGAAGACAGAGGAAAATGTGGGAAAGCTTGGAACGTCCTATAGACCTGTTGAATGGCTTTGACCAAATTGCTGATAGTGATATGGACAATGAAGTCCAGGCTAAGATGGTCTGAGATGGAGATGAGGAACTTGTTGGGAACTGGAATAAAGGTGATACTTGCTATGCTTTAACAAAGAGACTGACAGCATTTTGCCACTGCACTAGAAATCTGTGGAACTCTGAACTTGAGAGAAATGATTTAGGGTATCTGGTGGAAAAAATTTCTAAGCAGCAAAGCATTCAAGAGGTGACTTGGGTGCTCTTTAAAACATTCAGTTTTATATATTCACAAAGATACAATCTGGAATTGGAACTTATGTTTAAAAGTGAAGCAGAGCATAAAAGTTTGGAAAATTTGCAGCCTGATGATGCAACAGAAAAGAAAAACCCATTTTCTGAGGAGAAATTCAAGCTGGCCACAGAAATTTGCATAAGTAACAAGGATCTGAATGTTAATCACCAAGACAATAGGGAAAAATGTCTCCAAGGCATGTCAGAGATCTTCATGGCAGCCCCTCCCATCACAGGCCCAGAGGCCTAGGAGGAAAAAGTGGTTTCCTGGTCAGGGCCCAGGGACTTGCTGCTTTGTGTAGTCTTTAGTGCCCTGTATCCCAGCCGTGGCTAAAAGGGGCCAAGACAGAGCTCAGGCTGTTGCTTCAGATGGTGCAAGCCCCAAGCCTTGGCAATTTACACATGGTGTTGGGCCTGTGGGTGCACAGAAGTCAAGAATTGAGGTTTGGGAACCTCCATCTAGATTTCAGACGGTGTATGAAAATGCTTGCATGTCCAGGCAGAAGTTTGCTGCAGGGGTGTAGCTCTCATGGAGAACTTCTGCTAGGACACTGTGGAAGGGAAATGTGGGGTTGGAGCCCCCACACAAAGTCCCCACTGGGTACTGCCTAGTGGAGCTGTGAGAAGAGGGCCACTATCCTCCAGACCCCAGAATGGGAGATCCACCGACAGCTTGCACTGGGCGCCTGGAAAAGCCACAGGCACTCAATTCCAGCCCATGAAAGCAGTCAGGAGGGGGTGCTGTATCCTGCAAAGCCATAGAGGTGGAGCTGCCCAAGGCTGTGGGAGCTCACTTCTTGCATCAGTGTGACCTGGATGTGACACATGGAGTCAAGGGAGATCATTTTGGAACTTGAAGGTTTAATGACTGCCATATTGGGTTTTGGACTTGCATGGGGCCTGTAGCTCTTTTGTTTTGGCCAATTTCTCCCCTTTGGAATGGGTGTATTTACCCAATGCCTGTACCCTCATTGTATCTAGGAAGTAACTAACTTGCTTTTGATTTTACAGGCTCATAGGCGGAAGGGACTTGCCTTGTCTCCAATGAAACTTTGGACTTGGACTTTTGGGTTAATGCTGGAAAGAGTTAAGACTTTGGGGGACTGTTGAAAGGGCACATTTGTGTTTTGAAATGTGAGGACATGAGATTTGGGAGGGGCCAGGGCAGAATTATAAGGTTTGGCTCTGTGTTCCCACCCAAATCTCACCTTGAATTGTAATAATCCCCATGTGTCAAGGGTGGGATCACGTGAAAATACTTGAATCATGGGGGTGATTTCCTCCATGCTGTTCTCGTGATAGCGAGTAAGTTCTCATGAGATCTGAGAGAACTCACTCACTATCACCGCTTTTATAAGGGACTTCCTTCCCCCTTAAAAAGTCCTCTGAGAGAACTATCAGTGGTTTTATAAGGAGCTGCCTTCCCCCTTCACTCAACACTCATTTATCTCTCCTGCCGCCATGTGAAGAAGGACATGTTTGCTTCCCTTTCCACCATGATTGTAAGTTTCCTTAGGTGTCCCCAGCCCTGTGGAACTGTGAGTCAATTAAACATCTTTCCTTTATAAATTACCCAGTCTCGGGCAGTTCTTTGCAGCAGTATGAGAATGGACTAATATACTATGAAAGATACAAGAAGAAATAGAAGAACATAGAGTGAGTTAAAACATGGACATCCTGCGAAGCCTCTACTAATAATCAAGTTGCTAATTAATCTTCAACAATTAGGTAGCAGTTTCGTCACTACTATTTTTGCCGTTACTGTTGACATCCTATCTCCTGTATTAATGTAAGTCATTAAAATGTAATTCTGACTACCCTATTATATAGGCTTGTTATTATATATTAAGAACAAATCATTGACTATGTTTAGAAATTGTTAAAGACTTTACAAAATGTTAAGAATTAGCGTTTACAGTCACATAAAATGCTAAATTATTAGACACCACACTTTTCATTGGGTTTGGCACTCCCCATGCCATCCATGCATTTTTTTTAATTGGCTATCAGTCACAACGCCTAGCTAAACCTGACCAAATAACATCAGAGTTCATATACAAAGATGCTAAGAGAGGGTTACTCTCTGCTTTTCAAGACTAGAAGTATTAAGGATGATGTATTTTATCTTAGTCCCATGGAAAGTGTTTATCTGAGAATGAAGACAACCTGAAAGAAAACAGGAATGAAAAATAGAGTGGCAGCATGTAATTGACAGTGTCTCAACCCCTGGGTTGTCTTGTCTGAAATTAGGATCCAACATTTGATATTCCTAATTATGTACACAAAAAATTTCTTTATATTTTAGCTAAGATGAATTAAGTTTGTTGAATTTATTACTTATAAACAAGTTAAACTTTCAGTATCTTAAGTCCACAATTATTTTATGAGTATAACACGTTAAACTTAACATTTTTATAAAAGCAAAACAAATACTATTATACAAATCTTATTTTAAGACGGGTTAAAGATTTTGATAATGTCACTGGTTTGACTATTAAAATCCATGTCCATCATCAGTGAATCAGTTATTTGTTATAATAAATCTACATGACTTTCTTACACAAATACTAAAATATTCAAAAAGGGCTATAAACAATTATATCCTGTCAAAGTTACAACAGAACTGTATATTATCTCCAAGTATTAAAAATTTGTCTGTTTATTAAAATGATCAAGTTTTAAAAAATGTAATGACTAGTTAAAACTAGGTAGTTCTAAATGCTACTCCCATTTTACTTGTATTACTCTGAAGGTTAAATAGTTGTAAATAAGCAAAAGAAACAACAACCCTAATTTTAAAAAATGTTATCTCACATACTAGAATTCCATGGCACAGTCTTTTACATGGCAATTTAGACACAAACACACACACACAGAGCTACAAAAAAAGTAGATTGACATGTATAGAAAAGGAAAGCATGCTATGATATATTGGGATGTGGAAAGCAGCAAACTGCAAGTCAATACACATTTACATACAAAGATATATATACACACATACACATTTATATACACATATCATGCTGTCATTTAAAAAATACCTTTTTGCATATACATCTACAGTCATGCACTGCATAACAACTTTTCAGTCAATGATGGATCACATGTAGAATTGTAGTCCCATAAGATTATAATACTATATTTTTACTGTATCTTTTCTATGTTTAGACACTTACCATTGTGTTAAAACTGCCTACAGTATTCAGTACACTAATATGCTGTACATGTTCATAGCCTAAGAGCAACAGACTATACCACATAGCCTGGATATGTAGTACACTACACCATCAAGGATTGTGTAAGTACACTCTATGATGTTCACAAAATGATGAAATCACCTAACGATGCATTCCTTTACCATACCCTGTGTAATAATGGTAAATAAATTACGTATAACTGTATAATAAATGGCAAATAAACTGAGCATGATAGTAAACACTTCATTTTATTTTGCTCATTTAAATCTCACAATTCCCAAGAAAATACACATACACATTTATAATTATACCAGAAAAGGATACTTTCTAGTGGTTACCTCTGGAGAGTGGTATTTCTGTCAGAACAGGGAGGTGGGTGGGAAGGGTATGAAAGGGAAGAATTTCACTTTTTATCATATATTCTTCTGTACCATTTTAATTTTTTTTACTCAGCTTATAATACCTTAAAGTTTTTAAAAAGCAGAACAAAATAAATATTCTTTTAAAGCTTTTAATATAAATATATGAGATTAAATATAGGAAAAGAGAACTTTTAAGATATAAACGAGCTAAAATATTTTCATCTTTAAAAAGCAGGTCTTTAGATTATGAGCATGTTGTCAGTTATAAAAATAGAATACTAAGATTATACTCATCAGCAGTCTGTTATACACATTACTTTATCCAGTGAGATGATGTCAGAAGGCAAGCATGGGTGTGTGACATTCACATGGTTAAAGGATCACATCACTAGCTCCGTTTCTTTATACCTTAAAAGGAAGTTTAGTTTTGAAGCTGAAGTTCACCCTATACAACATTTTAATGTCACTGTTCTATTAAGATAACTTAATCCTAACAGGCTTATACTTAACAACAAAACAAATGCCAGTAAAAACAAAAACTCATATTTAAAATGCATCATCTTCCCAATCTAATATAATACCATTAATTAAACACATATTATGTGACACGCTTTTGAGTAGAGAGGGATATGAGGGTGGAAAAATAAATACTACGTATTTTTTTGTGTTTGAGAAACTCAGTTTAGTAACAGAGCAACCCACAATAAATAATAAAATAGATAAAATTTAGTAGGCATATCTATCAAATAATGGAAACACAGAAGAGGGTAGCAAACAAACTCCACTAGTCCTGGCATCATAATTATTTTTCTTATTTTCTTATTCTATAGAGCTATTCTCAGAAATTGCTGAGAATTCCTAAATTTTACTCAATAAGCAAATGAATGAATTTACAGGTTTTATAGGAATACTAGTTACCTAAATATTTATAAACCCAGGTCTCTAACAAATGGAATTCAAGACACAGTACAATTAAATTCAGTGTTCTGTGCTGCATATTTGAATAAATTTTATAATAAAATCTACACACACATTTATTTACAGAAATGGTCCTTAATGGGGGGCAATTTTGTCTCCCAGGGAACATTTGGCAATATCTGGAGACATTTCTGCTTGTCACAACTGGTTTGGGGTGGGGGTGCTACTGGCATCTAGTAGGTAGAGGCCGGGGCAGTGCTGAACACCCTAAAATACACACAGCAGCTTCTCAAAACAAATAATCATCTGGCTCAATTTGTTAGTAATGCCAGCATTGAAGAACCCTGATTTACAGTAATAGTTTACCAACTGACAACTCAAACTATTAAGCAGACTCACCATCTTACAGTCAGCTAAAAAACTAGAGAAGTGACAAAAAACAAAAAAACACAAAACACAAAAACCAAACATGAGGTTGAATCAAGGCACTACCTATTACAGAGCACATATTATGTGTCAGGCACTAGACTGAGACCTTGCCTCTACAGAAAGCAAGATTACCTCTGAGTAAAGAAATCTGCCTAAGATTGCCCTGACAGTTAATCACAGTTGGGCTGCAAGTCTCCATCTGTTTCATCTAAAGCTCATGCTTTTCCCAGCACATCACTAAGCAGCCAAAATAGATTTTATGAAGTCCAAAGTTCATGGACTTTATTCATGGGACAGCCCCTAAGATCCTGACTCAGGGCGTACTCACTCTTAGAATAGACAAATTCTAATAAGTTTGGCTATCAGGATTTTAAAATCATGGCAACATAGCAAAGAAAGGGGCTGCTACAAAGCTTGCACCAAGGCCAGAGGGATATATGAAAATCATTTTAAAAAGGATATGGTAAAACAAAAAACAAACAAGACAAAAAGTACAAAAAGTTTAGAGCCTTCATTACAGAGATACACTGCATACTCTACAGTGGTACAACGGAGAAAAGGAAGGAGAGGGGGAACAGAGAAGGGGGGAGAGGGAACTGAGAAAAGAGGGAGGAAGAGAAAGGTGACAAGGAAGGGTGAAGAAAAGAGTGAGAAGATGAAGGGGCGAAAGGAAGAAGTAGAGAAGGGATGAGAAGGAGAAAGGGCAGAAGAGAGTGGGGGAGCACAAATCAAGAAAGAGAGAGGAGGTGGAGCGAATAACTTAGTGAAATACTGTGGGGGAAATTTAGACCAACAGAAAACAAGGAAACTGAAGAGAGAAGAAGAAAGAAAAAAAGGGAAACTAATCCTAATGCAAGAAAACCTGGGACCTAGACAGAAATAAATGAAGAATGAGAAGGGAGAATAAGAGGTGTTCAACAGATTCCTAGAAATGAAGGCCAGAGGTGTTCAACAGATTCCTAGAAATGAAGGCTTTTAAGCCACTCCTGTTCCAAAAAGCTGTGTATCTTCACTGTCCAATGTGGTTAGTAGATACTAGTTGCAAGTGACTATGAGCACTGGAAATGTAGTTAGTCTTAATTGAAGTTTGTTGTTAAGTATAAACCATAAACTTGCTTTCAAAACTTTAGTATGAAAAAATAGTAAAATAACATTTAATAATGTTTTATACTAATTACATCAAATGATGTTTTAGATATACTGGCTTAATAAAAATATTAAAGTTAATGTCATGTTTCTTTTTACTTTTTTAGTATGGCTACCAGGAAATTTAAAATTACACATGTGGCTCACATTATATTTCTATTACGCAACACTATTCTAGATTTTTAAGATTGCTGTAAGACCCATGCTAGTAACAAAGTAAAATAACAGGAATTACTGCCATTCTTACCTCCATCCCCAACTTTCAGAATCCTGTTGGCAAGAGATGTGGAACTATATTATCTAGCTGTGCAAACTTGGTTATAACAGTAATTATAATTGCAAACAGGACACAGACCTCTATTATAATTGTTTTTAACAGTTAAAACTAAGCAAGTGAGGCTTATTTGAATTGAGTGAAGACTGGTGAAATAAAACTATAAAATTTAATAAAAGACAATGAAACTAGAAGATGCATTTTGCAACCTTGGAACAATGTTGCGGTCTTAAAGATTTGACATTATCTCACCACCATGTTGAAGAAAGATGTTTGAAGATTTTCATTACATTCACTCACACTACAAAATACATGCCCATACTTTTGAAAGCCCGTTCTCCAGTACCTAGTCAATGTTTTTAAAAGCTGTTTTTTAAAAAAAAAAACTTTCTCATCCCTCATATAAAATCATTTTATCATCTCTTATATATTAAAAAACAGCCAGAGTATTTTAAAACTTCACTACGGAAAAATAAATGCCTATGTACTTGCTTCTCTAGCTATAGAAAAAAACCTATATTTATTGCACAATACTACATAAAAAATTGTATTACATAGTGACTATATTCTCATCCCCTTCTATTTCTATGAAATAAAAATCAAATCCAAGTCACAGTTCAATTACTTGACAAAGAATATTTGGAAGGATTAAAACAGTACTGCTCAAACTTGAATGTACACATACATTTACTTGAGACTCTTTATTGAACTGTAGATCCTGATTTAGTAGGTCTGGGGTGGGGCTAAAATAGTGCATTTTCAAACAAGCTTCAAGGCGATACCAATACTGATGAACTGTGGATCATATTTTGAGCAGCAAGGGATTAAACATAAAATGATTCTTTCATTAAAAACAATTTATATTTAATATACTAAAAGGTGGGGGGAACGTTATCCCAAAGACCCATTCTGTTTTCTATTTTAGGGTATCTCCTAAAATAGCAGGCATTTTAGTGTTTGCATGAATTGGCTGTCCAGCATTACAAGGCTGAGAAACATACCAATCCACTCATCAAACTCAAGAATTCTGGGCTGCTACTAGAGATCAAGTCAATATTTATTTGGGACCAGGGCCCCCACAATTTGGGCTCTAATTTAGATCCAAATAATGGGGATACAACATCAGGAAAAGAGAAAGTTATAATATAGTTCTTTGGGCTTATGGCTATATTTATGAAATATGGCACACATATGTAGTTACATATGAATACTTACAAGCATACTTCATTTTATTGAGCTTCACAGATACTCTGTTTTTTACACATTGAAGGTTTGTGGCAAACCTGCTTCAAGCAAGTTCATTGGTGCCATTTTTCCAAAAGCATGCGCTCACTTTGCATGTCTGTCACATTTTGGCAATTCTTACAATACTAAAAATGTTTTCATTATTATTATCTGTTAGGGTGATCTGTGATCAGTGATCCTCAATGTAACTATTATCATTGTTATGGGGCACCATGAACTGGACCCATAAAGGACGATGAACTTAATAAATGTGTGTTCCAATTCCTCCACCAACTAGCTGTTCTTGTCTCTCCCTCTCTCCTTGGGCCTATTTCCTGAGACAAAATATTCAGTAAAATTGGGCAAATTAATAACACTACAATGGCCTCTAAGTGTTCAAGTGAAAGGGAGAGTCAACCATCTCTCACTTTAAATCACAAATTAGAGATTGAGCTTAGTGAAGAAAGTCCAGAGAGGCCTCTTGAGACAAACAGGTAGCCAACTTGTGAATGCAAAGGAAAAGTTCTTGAAGAAAATTAACAGTACTACTCCAATGAACACACAAATAATATGAAGGCAGAACAGCCTTACTGCTGATAGAAAGTTTTAGTGGTCCAGATAGAAGATTAAACTGGCTACCAACATTCCTTTAAACTAAAGCCTAACCCAGAGCAAGCAAGACCCCAACTCTCTTAAATGTTATGAAGGCTGAGAGGTGAGGAAGCTGCAGAAGAAAAGTGTGAATGGTTCACGAGGTTAAAGGAAAGAACCCATCTCCGTAACATAAAATGGCAAGGTAAAGCAGTAGGTGCCGATACAGAAGCTGCAACAAGTTATCCAGCAGATACTGCTAAGATCACTGACCAAGGTAGCTACACTAAACAACAGATTTTCAATGCAGATGAAACAATCTTCAACTGGAAGAAGACGCCATCGAGAACTTTCATAACTAGAGAGAAGTCAATGTCTAGCTTCAAAGCTTCAAAAGACAGGCTGACTCATGTCTGGGGCTAATGCAGCTCGTGACTTTAGATTGAACCCAATGATCATTTACTATTCTGAAAATCCTAGAGATCTTAAGAATTATGCTAAAGCTGCTTTGTCTGTGCTTTACAAATGGAACAAGGCCTGGATGACAGCACATCTGTTTACAGCATGGTTTACTACATATTTTAAACATACTGTTGAGAAAACAGTATTTGCTATTGCTCAGGAAAAAAAAGGATTTCTTTCAAATTGTTACGGCTCATTGACAATGCACCTAGTCACCCAAGAGTTGACAGTTACAAGGAGATTAATGTTGTTTTCATGTTTGCTAACACAACATCCATTCTGCAGCCCATGAATCGGGGAATTGGGGAATAATTTTGATTTTCAAGTTTTATTTTAATGAAATACATTTTACAACACTACAGCCACCATAGACAGTGATTCCTCTGATGGATCTGGGCAAAGCAAACTGAAAACCTTCTGGAAAGGATTTATCGTTCCAGATGCCATTAAGAACATTCCTGATTCATGGGAAGAAATCAAAATCTCAACACTACCAGGAATTTGGAAGAAGTTTATTCCAATACTCATGGATGACTTTGAGGCGTTCAAGGTGTCAGTGGAGGGAGTCATTGCAGATGTGGAAGAAATAGCAAGAGAACTAGAATTAGAGGGGGAGCCTGAAGATGCAACTGAATTGTTGCAATCTCATGAAAAAAGCTTTAATGGATAAGGAGTTCCCTCTTATGGAAGAGCAAAAACGGGGTTTCATGAAATCTATTCCTGGTGAAGATGCTATGAACACTGTTGAAATGACAACAAATAATTCAGAATATTACAGAAACTTAGTTGATGCAGCAGTGGCAGGGTTTGAGAGGACTAACTCCAATTTTGAAAGAAAAAATGCTATCAAACAGCACTGCATGCTACGGAGAAATCTTTCGTGACAGGAAGAGTCAATGCGGCAAACTTCATTGCTGTCTTATTTAAAGAAATCGCTACAGTCACCTTAACCTTCAGCAACCACTACTCTGATAAGGCAGCAGCCACTGACATTGAGGCAAGTTCCTCTACCAACAAAAAAAACCCCACAATTTGCTGAAGGCTCAGATGACTGTATTTTTTAATCAATATTTTTAAATTAAGGTACACGCATTTTTTAAAAACATAATGCTATTGCACACTTAATGGACTACACTATAGTATAAACATAACTTTTTATATTCACTGGGAAACCAAAAAACTCGTGACTTGCTTTATTACAACATTGACTTTATTGCGACACTTTATTGCACTGGTTTAGAATCAAACCCACAATATCTCCAATGTATGCCTGTACCATATATTATCAAGTAAAATGAGTAGAAGGCAAAAGAAATACATCCTTATGTGAATAAAAGGTTGAACTGTAAATTTCTCAGTGATTTTATTCTTTTCTGAACCTACCAAATTTTCTGTAACAAAGATATAATTCTTCTATTACACAAATACATTTTTAAGATACACTGGACAAAATCCATGAGAAGCAGGAAAGAAAAGCATTAATGCTGAGTGAATACACAAGAATTTGTATTTAATGATGGTCAAGAAACATTTAGTAAGTGTGGTAAGGAACAAAGAATTTTAGACAATAATAAAAATTCAAGTTACTTACCTTAGTAAAGTTATTCAGATGGCCTAGCTTTCTCATATTTGATACTCCCTGCAATCTGGCCACATTTTGGAGAATCTCTCTTAAGTTATCAGAAGGTTCTAGAAGGAAAGACAAGACAATTTAACACAATTTTATGAGTATTTTCCTGTTCAAACACATAAAACATGCAGTATTAAAACTTCACAACTTTGGCTCTTGGTTTAAAGTCTTACCCTCCACCCCAAATCTGTTAATTTAAATGACTTCAAAGTCTGTGACGAATCCAATTAACTTCACATCTCTACTCCCCTGTACCCATGGTCCAGCTCTGTATCATTGCCTGGAATTACTCAACCACAAAATCTTAAATCTTGCTATTATTTGAATGTGTTCCCCCCAAAGTTGTGTTGGAAACTTAACCACTAATGCAAAAGTGCTGAGAAGTGGGACCTTTAAGAGGTGATTAGGTTATGAAGGCTCTGCCCCCATGAATGGATTGTTAAGGAGGAAATGGGTTAGCATGAGAGTGAGTTTGTTATAAAAGCTTTTGGCTCTCTCTTGCATGCACCACCCCCACCTTGCTTGTGCTCATGCTCTCACAAGCATCTCTCCCCTCACCCCACCTCCAGTGCTCTCTTGACCTTCCAGCATGGGATGACATGGCAAGAAGGCACTTACTAGATGAAGGCCCCTCGACCTCAGACTTCCCTGCCTCCAGAACTGTGAGAAATAAATCTCTGTATTTTATAAATCTCCAGTCTCAGATACTGTGTTACAGCAGCATGAAACAGACTAAGAAAAATCTCAGCATCACAACTTTCACTTGATAGCTGTTTGATAGCATGGCTACAGTGTAGTAAAAGGGACGAAATATACTGTCCCTGTTTGAGTAAACCAAAAAATTAGATAAAATATATAGATGGTCTGTGACTTAGAACGGTTAGACCTAATTTTTCAACTTTACATGGTGCCAAAGCAATACACATTTAGTAGCAACTATACTTCAAGAACCCATAAAACCATTGTTTTTCAATATAGTACTCAATATATTACATGAAATATAATACATCTTATTATAATATAGGCTTTGTGTTAGATAGTCTTGCCCAACTATAGGCTAATGTAAGTGTTCTGAGAATGTTTAAGGTAGGCTAGGCTAAACTAAGATGTTTGGTAGATTAGGTACATTAAATGCATTTTTGACTTAAGACATTTTCAACTTAACAATGCATGTATTGGGACGTAACCTCATCAGTGAGCTGTGGAATTTTAAGCTGCTTAACATATGTGTAACTGGAAACCCCAAAGAAAAGAAAGAATTGAGGGAACAGAGCAATTACTTGAAGAAATGATGGCTAAAGGCCACCCAGCCTTCCCAGGCCTATTGCAAATACGGCTCTTGTCCCCTGCCAGGTGCTGCCAGCGGTGTTTCTGCTGTCTTACTGCTCTATCCTGTGCAACTAGAAGGTCATCAAAATGACCTCGCATCAGACCCATGAAGGGAGTTGGAAATTGCTGCTGTTCATTGTTCTGTGTTGCAGCTAAAGGCCTGGCTGCCCTAGAGCAGCACCTTCTGAACCATTCACTATTACCTGGTAGCTGGGGGACAGATGGAGGTGGGGTGCAGCCAGGTGGTGGACTATTTGGAGGGAGACACAAAACTGCTTCCAAGAAATGACACAGGAACATCTTAACTAACAAAAGCATCAGACAAACTTAACCATGAATGGCCTGAAACCCATTCACCCTCAAGATGCTTTCCTGAGCACCCACTGTGGGATAAACTTGCTGCAACTGAAGGAAACAGTGTATTGTCTAGCAATTTGGAGCTTCATCTGGAAGGACCCAAATCCTCCTCATAAGAGAGAGAAAGTACCTAATAAAGTCTTATTTGCAAAAAAAGAAAAAAGTGATGGATGAAAACTTTCCAAATTTGATGAAAACAATAAACCAATAAAATGCTCAACAAGCGCCAATCACAAGAAACATGAAGAAAACCAGACCTAGGCAGATTATAATCAAATTGCTCAAAACCACTGATAGAGATAATCTTAAAAGTAGCCAGATTAAAAACAAGAAGTTACATAGAGAAAAACAAAAACAAACAAACAAAAAAGGATAACGGCGGATTTCTTATCCAAAACAGGGCAAAACAGAAGACAGTAAAGCAACATCTTTAAAATAATGAAAGAAAAAATGCTTTAAAAAATACTTGCTTTACAGAAACAAGCCAAGAAAACTAGACCTAGGCAGATTATAATCAAATTGCTCAAAACCACTGACAGAGAAAATCTTACAAGTAACCAGATTGAAAAAAAAGAAGTTACATAGAGCAAAGCAAAAAAAAAAGATAACAACGGATTTCTTGTCCAAAACAGAAGACAATGAAGCAACATCTTTAAAGTAATGAAACAAATGCTTTAAAAATATGCTTCACAAAAACAAGCCATGGGCCAGATATGGCCTTATAGGCAGTAGTTTGCCACCTCCGGAATAGAGTGTCAATTTCTTCAGATGGCTATAAACTATTAAAATCTTCACCATCCTATTTGTTTTAAATAAAAACAAAAGCACAATTTTTAAAATACATTACCAAGTTTTTGATATTTTAGTTTAAGAGCCATTATGACTTCCTTTGAGACTTTTATCTGTTAACACCAATGCAAGGAACTGTTTTGAATTAGTGTTTTCCTCATCAAATGAAACGGTTTGCACTGTCCTGCTTTAAATTTAGCTTGCGTCTGCCTACCTTACTCCATTCTGTTATACTGGGTGTTGTCTATGACAACAAATGTGGTGTCAAAGCACTAAGTACACTACTTAGCTATTTCCAATTGCTTTGAAGTTGCTACATGCTGAGATCAATCATTGGATTTTCATGACAGATGAAATATTTTTAATGTAAATAAAATTCAATCTTAAGTGATTTAGTGTGGCAGTCCCCAACCTTTTGGACACCAGGGACAGGTTCTGTGGAAAACAATTTTTCCATGGACCCGGGGTGGGGATGGTTTTGGGATGAAACTGTTTCACCTCAAATCATCAGGCATTAGATTCTCATAAGGAGTGCGCAACCTAGATCCCTCGCATGTGCAGTTCACAATAGGGTTTGTGCTCCTATTAATAATCTAATGCTGCTGCTGATCTAACAGGAGGTGGAGCTCCGGCAGTAACGCTCACTCCCCTGCTGCTCACTGCCTGCTGTGCAGCCCGGTTCCTAGCAAACCACAGACCTGTACCAGTCCAGGCTCAGGGGCTAGAGACTTCTGGTTTAGCGTATGTCTTTATACTTAGAGATTTTGGGGAGTTATTTTGAAAGTTGAATGATCCATCACTGAGTGAGACTGGATATATTAAAAAGAATTACAAGGGGCCATGAATAGGTCACTGTATTTAGTAATATCTTTTCACTACTATAAATTGTATCTGTTTGAAAAGACTATAGGAGAATAATTATAAGCAAGTCAATGGCATTAAGATGATTTAACTATATTTGAGAAGTTCATAAAAATTTTATAACAACCCTCTAGATAATTTAGGACCTATGGTAGTTTGCAAAGTCAGGGTTGAGGTTCATAGAAGCTAGTGTGAAACTCTTCTAATGGAAATGTATAATCTAAACATTTTACTTCAGTTTATCATTAGCTTGTCAGGCACCAAACAGATTAACTCGTGACAATATAGTTACTGCTATCTAATGATCTAACAGGACTAATAGTTACGATGATTAGTCTGAAAAGATAGATTCCTTACAAAGGTTTGCAAATTTTTAAATACTGCCTATTTTCTGGGTACAAACTGATTGCAGACATTTTTTTAAAACCACAATCTTGTTACAAAGCAAAATCTCATATCTAAGTGTATTCATTCAACAAATATTAACTGAATGGCTATTATGATCAGGTACTGTTTTAAGTACTGGAAATATAGCAATAAACAAGACAACTCCCTCTCTAATGTATCTAACATAGAAGTGGAAGAAAACTGATTACAACAACAACAAACTGCATGCACATAATTTAAAAACTGACAGGTGATGATAACTCAACAATGAGTCAAATGTTTGCCTAATGAAGATGTTATCCTTCTTAACCCAAACCAAAATGAATCAGCCTTTCTCCCTCCTTCTCCTCCTCAAAGCTTTCTCCTTTATATAATTACCAAGAACCTCCACCTCCCAGACAGTATTTGACTTCCAGATCAATTAAAACAGTATTAGGGCCATTTTAGACACCAAACTACCATCTAACATTCATGTGGTACAATGCTGCTGAGGAACTTTTTAACTTGAAATAACAGGTTAAAGTTTCCCTGGTAATAAAATGAGAAATCTCTGCTTTCTTCTTTACCTAGACCAGGGCTAGACCAGGGACTGAAAAACATTTTCTGTAACTATTTTGACTTTGCAGGCCATAAGTCTCCAATGCAGCTATGCAACTCTAATGTTTTAGATCAGAAAGCAAGTGCAGAAAATGGACTTTTCATGTGTATTAAGTCAGTTCAGTATACTATAAAACTAAATAATGGAGACCGAATGGCTTATTAAGCAACAGAAGTTTATATCTCATAGTTCTGCAGGCTGCAAGTCCAAGATCAGGGTGACAGCATGGTCAGGTCCTGGTTCCTCTTTCAGGTCGCAGACTGCCAATTTCTCACTGTCTCCTCACATGGTGGGGAAATGGGGCTAGAGAACTCCCTGGGGTCCCTTTTTATAAGGGCACTAATTCCACTTGTGAGGGCTTCACCCTTATGACCTAATTACCTCCCAGAGGCCCACCTCCTAATACCAATACGTTACGGGTTAGGATTTTGACATATTAATTTTTGAATGACACAAACATTCAGTTCATTGCACTGTTCCAATAAAACAAACTTGGCTCTCGAGCTGCAGTCTGTCAACCCTTAGAGTGTCACCACTTAAAGTAGTGAGCAAGCTGAGATTGACATGATTTTTATATGGGGGATAGGGTGACTAGATATAGAAATAGCAAAAAGAAACTTAAAGAGAGGTTTACCTGTCTCTATTTCTTCCTACTCTGTGTTTCCAATTTTCCTTCTCTAAAACTGTCTACGGATAACAGCACTACGTGAAAAGTATCAGGTCAGAAATAAGATGATATTCTCTGAAGCCTTAAAGTTTAGAAAACCATGGCTGTATGAGAGAAAAAAGGAAAAAATAACCAGACACAGTTGCTCACACCTGTAGTCCCATCTACTCGGGAGGCTGAGGTGGGAGGACTGCTTGAGCCCAGGAGGTTAAGGCTGCAGTGGGCAGTGATCATGTCACTTGTACTCCAGCTTGGGCAACAGACAGTGCAAGACCCTGTCTCAAAAACAAAACAAAACAAAACAAAAGGAAAAAATAAATGTGGGTAGCCTGCTATGATAGGCAACTACTCAAATGGAAGGAAGCAAAATACAAAAGAACTACTAGAATTACAGTGGCTCTTTTCATCATATTGTGTAGACTGTAAATACTACACGTATTCCTGATGAATCTCTCTGGAAGTAATGCAGTAACTGCAGCAATTCCAAATATCCAGTGATTTAATATATTCAATTGTAGAGCTGAATACAATTGATTTCAACCATCTTTAATTTGATCTGTCTTCTCCTGTCCTTCCATCGAGGAGTTGCCTATTCTGCTTGTGACACTGTAGATACTCTGTGGTATTGTTTTTAATAGATGAGTTAAAAATTTAATGGATGGCCAGGTGCGGTGGCTCACACCTGTAATCCTAGCACTTTGGGAGGCCGAGGTGGGTGGATCACCTGAGGTCAGGAGTTTGAGACCAGCCTGACCAATATGGAGAAACCCCGTCTCTCCTAACAATACAAAATAAGCTGGGCGTGGTCACGCATGCCTGTTAATCCCAGCTACTCAGGAGGCTGAGGCAGGAGAATCACTTGAACCCGGGAAACGGAGGTTGTGGTGAGCCGAGATCGCACCATTGCACTCCAGCCTGGGCAACAAGAGCAAAACCCCATCTCAAAAAAATAAAAAATAATGTATTACTCTCACATACTAATTACTGAGCATTATTAAGAAAAACAAAATGCAGATTGAGAGAGAAACCAAAATGTCAAGAGATTTATTTTCTTGACATTACACTGCCTTATATGTTTTTGGAAGTGAGGACTGTATAAAACTTTAAGTATAGCTGAAAAGGGATGGGGTTAACACTTAATTACCCCCAAGGAGATAATACATGGCAATTCAAGGATTCTTGCAATTAGGAAAGTATATACTTCAAAAATATTTTCAGAGAAGTTAATTTTAGGTGGTAAAAATTACTGATGATTTATTTTTATATCTTGGACTATATTTTACTTCTCTAAATGAGTATAAAAAACATGCACAAAATGAGAGGAACTGAAAAAAAATGAAGACTTCCTGGCTGTGACTAGATTAAAATAATTAATCTCTCTACATTGCTTTTATAAGTAAAAATGGAAAAAGCAGTTTAAAATAAATATAATAAATGTAAGTGTAATGTGTTTTATATGTGCTTCATTATCATGTATTGCATGGCACGTATATAGTATTCACCAGAGTATTATATATTAATGTCACCATAAGTTACACATATTTATGTTAAAGTTTATTTTTTAGAGTACTTCTGATGTTACATTATTTTGTAGACATTTTGAAAAATAAAAAAGCCAAAGAAAATGTTAAAAAATTACTAACACTTCCATCCCGCAGAAGCATTTTTACATATCAGTGTTAAATATTTTTCTAAGTATACAGAACAATAGAAAGCAGTCTTAATTAGTATAAAGTTAATTATCTGACATAAGTATCTAATCCTCTGCTCATCAAAAGACTATTAAGAAAATGAAAAGACAATCCACAAAATGGGTAAAAAACATTCACAGCACAAACATCAGACAAGATTTTAATAACCAATATATGACTATCATCTACAAATCAACAATAAAATAACCCATGTAAAAACAGGTAAAAGATTTAAATAGATGTGAAAGCAAAAGAGGATAAGAGGCCAAAAAGTATGAGAAAAGGTGCCTAACATCATTAATTAACAGGAAAATGAAAATTAAAACCACAGAAGTACCATTACACACTTATAAGAATAGCTAAAATCAAGAAGAATGACAACATCAAATGTTGGAGAGGCCATGGAGCAACTGGAATTCTTTTTTTTTTTTTTTTTTTTTTTTTGAGACGGAGTCTCGCTCTGTCGCCCAGGCTGGAGTGCAGTGGCGGGATCTCGGCTCACTGCAAGCTCCGCCTCACGGGTTCACGCCATTCTCCTGCCTCAGCCTCCCAAGTAGCTGGGACTACAGGTGCCCGCCACTACGCCCGGCTAATTTTTTGTATTTTTAGTAGAGACGGGGTTTCACCGTTTTAGCCGGGATGGTCTCGATCTCCTGACCTCGTGATCCGCCCGCCTCGGCCTCCCAAAGTGCTGGGATTACAGGCGTGAGCCACCGCGCCCGGCCTGGAATTCTTACACACTGTTGGAGGAGCATGAAATATTACAACCACTTTAAAGAACTGTTGGCAACATACATCTGTCAATATTATGATTCTGTAATTTCACTCTCAGTTAGAAATACATGCCCACAAATATACTTGTACAAGAATATTTATAGCAGCCTTATTCATAACAGCCCCAAAGTGGAAACAACCCAAATGTCCATCAACAGATGGATAAACAAATTGTAGTATATCTACATATTGGAATATTAATCAAAAATCAAAAGAACAGAGCTGTGTGCAGTGGCTCGTGCCTGTAATCCCAGCAGCTAGGGAGGCTGAGGCAGGAGGATCCCTTGAGCCCAGGTGTTTGAGGCTGCAGTGAGCTACGAATGTGCCACTGCACTCCAGCTCGGGTGCCAGAGCAAGACCCAGTCTCTTAAAACCAAAACAATATTAATAAGAAAAAAACAAACTACTTATACATACAACATAGATGAATTTCAAAAATGTTAAGAAAAAGAAGCCAGACACAAGAGTATATATTGTATCATTCTATTTGTATGCAATGCAAATATAAGCAGAAGTAATCTATGATGATAGAAATCAGATAGTGATTGCTGGAAGATAAAGTAACCAATTGGAAACAGGCAAGGGGGTTTAGGGAAGGGGATAAAAATATGTTGTATCTTGTTTGGAAGTAGTGGATAATTATTGAATGACACTTAAATGCATACTTAAAATATGTACATTTTATTTTGTGTTAATTACAGCTCAACAAAGATGCATTTAAGTCACTAATCATAAAACACTTTACATATTTAAACACACACATATACAAAGATACATAATACATACACCACCAAGAGAAAACTAACATATAAACCATTATTCACTAATTATTCATTTATTTATTTCTTGGCTCAATTCTCTGTATGTGCACATGTACACACACATATGTATATATGTGTGTAAACATTAATATAAAATTGGCTTCAATATATGCTGCTTTATAACTTGCTGCAATAAACTATATTGTTATCTTTACCTGTCAATAAATAACACAACACAAAACTGATTTTTAAACAAATCTGAATCCAAGTACCTATAGTAAATTAATGACCAAAAACTGATGGCATGCACATGCTACTTGGGAGTAATGGAAAGGAAAAAAAACCTTTGGAATAAAAAAGAACTGAATTCAAGTCTAGCTCATTCACCCCTAAACCATGTAGCCTTGGCTAAATCACTTAACTTTATGAGCATCCATTTTCTCTACGTAAAGTGGAAATATTTGCCTACTTTAAAAATGCTTTTGCAAAATGTGAGATATAACTTCCTTATTAGCACAGTGCCTAGCCCATAACAGCTACTCAATAAATAATGACTATAATTAAAAGTTATTTGTTTAGCATAACCAATTTTCACAGAGTAATCATGTGAAATTTATACAGCTGGCCCAGGCAAGTGTTTAACACATTAGTCTATTTAAATTAACTTTTATTATATGAGGGTTTTAGTAGTACATTACTTTCATGATCCAAGATTAATTCGTTTTTAAAGTAGAAACAATAATGACCTTCCAGAGCTATGTTAATGATCACATTAGATATTCCATATAGAAATATTCAAACCATAAAGTGCTACACAAATACTAGAAATTATGACCCTCTTCCTCTTAGTGTGAATTACCTGAAATCATTTAATATGCAGGTAGAATTTGTTTTGCTTATATAACATATGACGTACTTTTTGATACATAATTCTATCTAAAACTGTTATTAATGAAACCTCAAACAAATCCTTAAAAAAACTTTTTTCAGTCATGCAAGAGTAGTAAATTATAATAAATTAAAGGAGTCAGTACAAATTTAATAAAGCCAAATATGCTGATAACTCAACAGGCCACTATGTTGTCATAAGTATATTCTCAGAATATATTCCCCAACATCTTACGGTCACTTCAAGGATCCCTCAATTCTTATTCACTATCCCATCACTTACCTAGCCTTTAATTTCCCATCACTCTTACCTAAACTCTCAGTAGTTTGGATGAGATGTCATTTACTCTAGAGCGTTATCTGTGTAGCTCTGTAATTTCTAATATTTTCACTCTAAAACAGGACAGTAAAAAAACAGGTGAACAGTTATATAACATGAACCAAGATTCTATGAAGAGTTTTAAGCTTTATGAGGACAAGGACATCTTGCTTACAATTATCTTCAAATGCCTACCACAGTCTCTGCCACACAGTAGGCTTTCAAGAATTATTTTTCTATATTAAATAATAAATATGTGAGTAAACATTTTTTAAGACCAGGTTGTTGTTGCTAACAGTACTCAGGAGGAGGAGGGTCCAACCAACATTTACTAAGCATGAAGTATATGTCTGGTCATGTACCAATTCCAGTAAGTATTGCTAATTATCCCTTCCAATTGCCCTGTGAAGCAAAACACCAAGAGGACAGAGAAGAAGGAAAAAGAAACAACTACAAAAGGAGTATGTGAAAGGAGGGTGATATGCATATAACGGCTATCAGGCAGCATGAACCTAACAAAGCTTTAGTTCCTGTCATTATCTCTTCTTCTAGGCTTCATACAAGGTTTTTCACACTCATGAGCTCCTTCTAATTAAAATCACTTATAAAATGTTTTCTTGAAGGGCTGGAGGCTGACTAGAATCTTGAAGCAAATGTCTAAATATATTTCCATTTATCATCTATAACTGTTCAGAAACAATGATTATTACAGTTAATGACTGACCAGGTTTGTTGATAACCGCCTTAAAGAGGCACTGAAAAGAAAAGGCAGTTAAGCAAACTCTGAGTAATTACTGGTCCTTTAAATTCTTTTCCACCTTAAGGGAAAATTTATCCTTAAAAGTTATCTTTGACATTTTCCTCTCCCTGATCTCTCACCTTCAACTGGCCAGCAAAGTGCTATTTACTCCTCTCTAAAGTTTCTGACATCTTTTCCTTTTTTTAAATTCTATCAACCACAGCCACATTTCAATTGTGCTCTTCTAACTCATACCTAAATTATGGCAAAAGCTGCACAATGAATTAATTCCCTGTGCTTATATTGCCTCTCTTTCTTCTAATCCAATCTCCAAGCCACCATGAGATTAACTGTACAAATCTAACTTTTATCATTTTATCTACCTTCCTGAAAATTTCAAAGAGAAACTGGGACTGGGAGTAGAGCTGAACAATGCATTCTATGATGTATTTGTGAATACACATAAACAAATACTACAATATATCCAACTAGAAAAGTTGGATACATATGCGACTTCAACAGTAGAACAAAATTAAACAATTACACAAATCTGATATGGAATTATGTCTTTAATATCATCTATGATTATTGTGAGCAGATATGACTAAAAGCATACGAAGATTACTGTAGTTAGCATTACTTTTGCAAAAGCCAGAAGCAAAACTATCTCCACTAGCGAAGACACTGGGAGTCCATCTTCTCACCTTTATCCACAGGTACAAAAGGTGAGAAAAGCATTGCTTCAAACAATCTAACATTTCCTGAAATTCTAACAATTATTAATTTCAAAAAGTTATATAATTTAGTAGAGAAAGGCTGTATCCCAAGGATAGCATCTTCTGAGGGCCTCTAGTTTATGATAAAATAACTATGCAGAGGAAGTCAAAATTTGCCAAGAGAACCTATTCCATCTTTGGATAGAAAAATAGAACATTTTTTCTTTACTGATGCCAAAATCTGCCCCTTTGTAATTTTTGTCTATTTGTTCTGGTGTAACCATCTGGAATGCAGAGAACAAGTATTATCTTCCGTTTACATACTTGAAATAACCATGTTTCCTCTCAAGCAACTGAAGCACATAATAATCTTTTGATCATTGGTATATTTTAAATATAAATACAATGGCAAAAATAGTAAAGAAAAACCTGTCAATCAATTACAATGGCAAGTCAATCAGTTTAACTGGATTATAATGTTCCTAAAATGTTAAGTTTATCATACTAAAAACTGAACATGGACTTCATTTCTGGTTCCACACAACAGGAGCCTGGAAGTCATCACATCATGCTAACAACAAGTAAAAACCTGAACAAACTGAAAAATCAACAACTCTTCTTGAATTTGTAAGAGAACTGAGGACACAGGGCAAGCCACTACCCCCAAGATCATAAAGACAGACACAAGAATACAGGGAGTCACACATTAGAAAAGAGGTTCATGAGCAGAAACTGCTGGGAGAACCAGTGCCTAGGTAGGAAAACTGAAGTGCAATTAACCAACTGAATGTTTCATAGCTGTTTCAGAAAAACGACAAACCATGAAGCACTTCTTGAGAGGCAATGATACGGACAGAGACAGAGCAACATGGACAGCAAGATGGCACTAGGTCCCTTTAACCTGGCATGCCGTTTATTTCTCAACCCAACTTGGGGAACAACTTTGTCATTCTTTAGAAGTCTAGCTCAGACTAGATTAGTAAAGGTTTTTCCTAACCTACAAGCCCCCTTCTCTATACTCATGATACATTCTTCATACTAACATTACAGCACATATAACACATATATCTGATTTGTCAGGGTTCCAATTTACAGTTGGTGTACCACTGTAATTATTAATACCATCTATTTTCACTTCCCAAAGTATCCCAGGTTGTATTATAAATAACAACTATAAATAATATGATCGCCTTAAGTGTAAACTTCAACTGCAGTGTCTGTTTTTCTTAGGACTACATCTGCTCCATTATCTCCTTCCCCCAGAGACTAGAATTGTGTTGTTGGCTTCTTGTACCAGTGTCCTACTCTTTTTTTTTTTTGGGAACAGACTCTTGCTCTGTTGCCCAGGCTGGAGCGCTGGAGTGCAATGGTGGGATCTCAGCTCACTGCAACCTCTGCCTCCTGGGTTCAAGCAATTCTCCTGCTTCGGCCTCCTGAGTAGCTGGGATTACAGGTGTGTGCCACCACGCCTGGCTAATTTTTGTATTTTTAGTAAAGACAGGGTTTCACCATGTTGGTCAGGCTAGTCTCGAACTCCTGACCTCCTGATCCACCCGTCTTGGCCTCCCAAAGTGCTGGGATTACAGGCATAAAACACTGCACCTGGCCCACCAGTGTCCTACTTTTATAATAATGATGGCAGAAAGAGTTATGGCAATTTCTGCTGATTTGTAACATATTAAAATTGTCTTCCCTAAAGATGGGAAAAAGAGACACCGGGGACTAGTAGTCAGGGGAGGAGGAAAGAGGACTGAGCACTGAAAAGCAACCTATTGGGTACCATGCACACTACCTCGGTAATGGGATCATTTGTACACTGAACCTCAGCAACATGCAACTTAACCATATAACAAACCTGCACATGTACCACCGAAACTAAAGGTTGAAAAACAAACAAATAACTATATGTTTTTAACAATAAATAAATAAATTTTTCTCTCAAGGACTCTGGGATTCAGATCTATTTTCCTCCCCCTTCAATTCTGAATTATAAACTTACTTCATTTTATACTTTCCTCTTTCTGTGTACACAAAAACATCTGCCTTTCTTTAATTCCAAACAATTGCTCACTTTGAATGATTTCAAGGAGAAAAGGTTATAATTAACGGAAGAAAAAAAAGTCCTTGCTGACAGTTTATCATTCTGTACCTTTGGATAAGTTAAACAAGTGACATCTACCAGGCCACTTCTGCGATTGTCTTAAAATTCTATTAAAAGCCATGTCTTTAATTGGTTTATTGTCAGCATATTATTATATACTGTAACTGTCAAATATAGATGAGGATCAATCTAGGTATAGAACACTAACAGAAAGTGAGCTAGATGTAGTTAATAATCCATTTGAACAGAGCATCTATTAAAAGTTGTATAATTTTGGGGGTGGAGCCAAGATGGCCGAATAGGAATGGCTCCAGTCTACAGCTCCCAGCATGAGCAATGCAGAAGATGGGTGATTTCTGCATTTCCAACTGAGGTAACGGGTTCATCTCACTGGGGAGTGCCGGACAGCGGATGCAGGACAGTGGGTGCAGCGCACCGTGCATGAGCCAAAGCAGGGCGAGGCATCTCCTCACCCGGGAAGTGCAAGGGGTCAGGGAATTCCCTTTCCTAGTCAAAGAAAGGGGTGACAGATGGCACCTGGAAAATCGGGTCACTCACACCCTAATACTGCGCTGTTCCAATGGGCTTAACAAACGGCACACCAGGAGATTATATCCCACACCTGGCTCAGCGGGTCCTACGCCCACAGAGCCTCACTCATTGCTAGCACAGCAGTCTGAGATCAAACTGCAAGGCAGCAGCGAGGCTGGGGGAGGGGCGCCCGCCATTGCTGAGGCTTGAGGAGGTAAACAAAGCAGCCCAGAAGCTCGAACTGGGTGGAGCCCACCGCAGCTCAAGGAGGCCTGCCTGCCTCTGTAGGCTCCACCTCTGGGGGCAGGGCACAGACAAACAAAAGGCAGCAGTAACCTCTGCAGACTTAAATGTCCCTATCTGACAGCTTTGAAGAGAGCAGTGGTTCTCCCAGCACGCAGCTGGAGATCTGAGAACGGGCAGACTGCCTCCTCAAGTGGGTCCCTGACCCCTGACCCCTGAGCAGCCTAACTGGGAGGCACCCTCCAGCAGGGGCACACTGACACCTCACACGGCCAGGTACCCCTCTGAGACAAAACTTCCAGAGGAACAATCAGGCAGCAGCATTTGTGGTTCACCAATATCCACTGTTCTGCAGCCACCACTGCTGATACCCAGGCAAACAGGGTCTGGAGTGGACCTCGGGCGAACTCCAACAGACCTGCAGCTGAGGGTCCTGACTGTTAGAAGGAAAACTAACAAACAGAAAGGACATCCACACCAAAAACCCATCTGTACGTCACCATCATCAAAGACCTAAGGTAGATAAAACCACAAAGATGGGGAAAAAACAGAGCAGAAAAGCTGAAAATTCTAAATATCAGAGCACCTCTCACCCTCCAAAGTAACACAGCTCCTCACCAGCAATGGAACAAAGCTGGACGGAGAATGACTTTGACGAGTTGAGAGAAGAAGGCTTCAGAAGATCAAACTACTCCGAGCTAAAAGAGGAAGTTCGAACCAATGGCAAAGAAGTTAAAAACCTTGAAAAAAAATTAGACGAATGGCTAACTAGAATAACCAAAGCAGAGAAGTCCTTAAAGGACCCGATGGAGCTGAAAACCACGGCACGAGAACGTGACGAAGGCACAAGCCTCAGTAGCCGATTCGATCAACTGGAAGAAAGGGTATCAGCGATAGAAGATGAAATGAATGAAATGAAGCGAGAAGAGAAGTTTAGAGAAAAAATAAAAAGAAACAAACAAAGCCTCCAAGAAATATGGGACTATGTAAAAAGACCAAATCTACGTCTGATTGTTGTACCTGAAAGTGACGGGGAGAATGGAACCAAGTTGGAAAACACTCTGCAGGATATTATCCAGGAGAACTTCCCCAATCTAGCAAGGCAGGCCAACATTCAGATTCAGGAAACACACAGAACGCCACAAAGATACTCCTCGAGAAGAGCAACTCCAAGACACGTAACTGTCAGATTCACCAAAGTTGAAATGAAGGAAAAAATATTAAGGGAAGCCAGAGAGAAAGGTCGGGTTACCCACAAAGGGAAGCCCATCAGACTAACAGCGGATCTCTCCGCAGAAACTCAACAAGCCAGAAGAGAGTGGGGCCGAATATTCAACATTCTAAAAGAAAAGAATATTCAACCCAGAATTTCATATCCAGCCAAACTAAGCTTCATAAGTGAAGGAGAAATAAAATACTTTACAGACAAGCAAATGCTGAGAGATTTTGTCACCACCAGGCCTGCCCTAAAAGAGCTCCTGAAGGAAGCACTAAACATGAAAAGGAACAACGGGTACCAGCCACTGCAAAAACATGCCAAATTGTAAAGACCATCAGGGCTAGGAAGAAACTGCATCAACTAATGAGCAAAATAACCAGCTAACATCATAATGACAGTATCAAATTCACACATAACAATATTAACCTTAAATGTAAATAGGCTAAATGCTCCAATTAAAAGACACAGACTGGCAAATTGGATAAAGTATCAAGACCCATCAGTGTGCTGTATTCAGGAAACCCATCTCACGTGCAGAGACACACATAGGCTCAAAATAAAGGGATGGAGGAAGATCTACCAAGCAAATGGAAAACAAAAAAAGGCAGGGGTTGCAATCCTAGTCTCTGATAAAACAGACTTTAAACCAGCAAAGATCAAAAGAGACAAAGAAGGCCATTACATAATGGTAAAGGCATAAATTCAACAAGAAGAGCTAAGTATCCTAAATATATATGCACCCAATACAGGAGCACCCAGATTCATAAAGCAAGTCCTTGGAGACCTACAAAGAGACTTAGACTCCCACACAATAATAATGGGAGACTTTAGCACCCCACTGTCAACATTAGACAGATCAACGAGACAGAAAGTTAACAAGGATACCCAGGAATTGAACTCAGCTCTGCACCAAGCAGTCCTAATAGACATCTACAGAACTCTCCACCCCAAATCAACAGAATATACATTCTTTTCAGCACCACACCACACCTACTCCAAAACTGACCATATAGTTGGAAGTAAAGCACTCCTCAGGAAATGTAAAAGGACAGAAATTATAACAAACTGTCTCTCAGACCACAGTGCAATCAAACTAGAACTCAGGATTAAGAAACTCACTCAAAACCACTCAACTACATGGAAACTAAACAACCTGCTCCTGAATGACTACTGGGTACATAACGAAATGAAGGCAGAAATAAAGACGTTCTTTGAAACCAACGAGAACAAAGACACAACATACCAGAATCTCTGGGACACATTCAAAGCAGTGTGTAGAGGGAAATTTATAGCACTAAATGCCCACAAGAGAAAGCAGGAAAGATCCAAAATTGACACCCTAACATCACAATTAAAAGAACTAGAGAAGCAAGAGCAAACACATTCAAAAGCTAGCAGAAGGCAAGAAATAACTAAGATCAGAGCAGAACTGAAGGAAATAGAGACACAAAAAACCCTTCAAAAAATCAATGAATCCAGGAGCTGGTTTTTTGAAAAGATCAACAAAATTGATAGAACGCTAGCAAGACTAATAAAGAAGAAAAGAGAGAAGAATCAAATAGACGCAATAAAAAATGACAAAGGGGGTATCACCACCAATCCCACAGACATACAAACTACGATCAGAGAATACTATAAACACCTCTATGCAAATAAACTAGAAAATCTAGAAGAAATGGATAAATTTCTCGACACATACACCCTCCCAAGACTAAACCAGGAAGAAGTTGAATCCCTGAATACACCAATAACAGGCTTCTGAAATTGAGGCAGTAATTAGTAGCTTACCAACCAAAAAAAGTCCAGGACCAGATGGATTCACAGCCAAGTTCTACCAGAAGTACAAGGAGGAGCTAGTATCATTCCTTCTGAAACTATTCCAATCAATAGAAAAAGAGGGAATCCTCCCTAACTCATTTTATGAGGCCAGCATCATCCTGATACCAAAGCCTGGCAGAGACACAACCAAAAAGGAGAATTTTAGACCAATATCCCTGATGAACATTGATGCAAAAATTCTCAATAAAATACTGGCAAAACAAATCCAGCAGCACATCAAAAAGCTTATCCACCATGATCAAGTGGGCTTCATCCCTGGGATGCAAGGCTGGTTCAACATATGCAAATCAATAAACGTAATCCAGCATATAAACAGAACCAAAGACAAAAACCACATGATTATCTCAATAGATGCAGAAAAGGTCTTTGACAAAATTCAACAGTCCTTCATGCTAAAAACTCTCAATAAGTTAGGTGTTGATGGGACGTATCTCAAAATAATAAGAGCTATTTATGACAAACCCACAGCCAATATCATACTGAATGGACAAAAACTGGAAGCATTCCCTTTCAAAAATGGCACAAGACAGGGATGCCCTCTCTCACCACTCCTATTCAACATAGTGTTGGAAGTTCTGGCCAGGGCAATCAGGCAGGAGAAAGAAATAAAGGGTATTCAATTAGGAAAAGAGGAAGTCAAACTGTCCCTGTTTGCAGATGATATGATTGTATATTTAGAAAACCCCATTGTCTCAGCCCAAAATCTCCTTAAGCTGATAAGTAACTTCAGCAAAGTCTCAGGATACAAAATCAATGTGCAAAAATCACAAGCATTCTTATACACCAATAACAGACAGACAGCCAAATCATGAGTGAACTCCCATTCACAATTGCTTCAAAGAGAATAAAATACCTAGAAATCCAACTTACAAGGGATGTGAAGGACCTCTTCAAGGAGAACTACAAACCACTGCTCAATGAAATAAAAGAGGATACAAACAAATGGAAGAACATTCCATGCTCACGGGTAGGAAGAATCAATATCGTGAAAATGGCCATACTGCCCAAGGTAATTTATAGATTCAATGCCATCCCCATCAAGCTACCAATGACTTTCTTCACAGAATTGGAAAAAACTACTTTAAAGTTCATATGGAACCAAAAAAGAGCCCGCATTGCCAGGTCAACCCTAAGCCAAAAGAACAAAGCTGGAGACATCATGCTACCTGACTGCAAACTATACTACAAGGCTACAGTAACCAAAACAGCATGGTACTGGTACCAAACAGAGATATAGACCAATGGAACAGAACAGAGCCCGCAGAAATAATGCCACATATCTACAATTATCTGATCTTTGACAAACCTGACAAAAACAAGAAATGGGGAAAGGATTCCCTATTTAATAAATGGTGCTGGGAAAACTGGCTAGCCATATGTAGAAAGCTGAAACTGGATCCCTTCCTTACACCTTATACAAAAATTAATTCAACATGGATTAAAGACTTAAATGTTAGACCTAAAACCATAAAAACCCTAGAAGAAAACCTAGGCAATACCATTCAGGACATAGGCATGGGCAAAGACTTCATGTCTAAAACACCAAAAGCAATGGCAACAAAAGCCAAAATTGACAAATGGGATCTAATTAAACTAAAGAGCTTCTGCACAGCAAAAGAAACTACCATCAGAGTGAACAGGTAACCTACAGAATAGGAGAAAATTTTTGCAACCTACTCATCTGACAAAGGGCTAATATCCAGAATCTACAATGAAGTCAAACAAATTTACAAGGAAAAAACAAACAACCCCATCAAAAAGTGGGCAAAGGATATGAACAGACACTTCTCAAAAGAAGACATTTATGCAGCCAAAAAACACATGAAAAAGTGCTCATCATCACTGGCCATCAGAGAAATGCAAATCAAAACCACAATGAGATACCATCTCATACCAGTTAGAATGGCAATCATTAAAAAGTCAGGAAACAACTGGTGCTGGAGAGGATGTGGAGAAATAGGAACACTTTTACACTGTTGGTGGGACTGTAAACTAGTTCAACCATTGTGGAAGTCAGTGTGGCGATTCCTCAGGGATCTAGAACTAGAAATACCATTTGACCCAGCCATCCCATTACTGGGTATATACCCAAAGGATTATAAATCATGGTGCTATAAAGACACATGCACACGTATGTTTACTGCAGCACTATTCGCAACAGCAAAGACTTGGAACCAAGCCAAATGTCCAACAATAATAGACTGGATTAAGAAAATGTGGCACATATATACCATGGAATACTATGCAGCCATAAAAAATGATGAGTTCATGTCCTTTGTGGGGACATGGATGAAGCTGGAAACCATCATTCTCAGCAAACTATTGCAAGGACAAAAAACCAAACACCACATGTTCTCACTCATAGGTGGGAACTGAACAATGAGAACACATGGACACAGGAAGGGGAACATCACACACCGGGGCCTGTTGAGGGGTGGGGGGAGGGGGGAGGGATAGCATTAGGAGATATACCTAATGTTAAATGACGAGTTAATGGTGCAGCACACCAAGATGGCACATGTGTACATATGTAACAAACCTGCACGCTGTGCACATGTACCCTAAAACTTAAAGTATAACAATCATAAAATTAAAAAAGTTGTATAATTTTAATAATTAGAAGCTATAATTACTATTTTAATTCATTTACTTAGAATATGTTTTATAATATAAACAACTTAAAATATTTTAAAATTAAATTTTAAACAATGGTCCTTCCAAGGTTCTTTTTCAAAAAAGTTGTTAACACTATCAATAGACTGGAAAACAGGTTGTCCCCTAGATTGTATTCCATAATTTTATTACTTATATAATTTTTAAAAATAAATCTATACTATAAAAGACAGTTATGATCTGACCTAGGAATAGCTCTGTATATCTACGCAGTATTTCAATTTCTATGTTTTATTCAGTTATAAATTTCAATGCTCCTCATCTGCCATATACTGCGATAACTGCTAGGAGAGGAACATTAATAAATATATGATCTCATTCCTGGAGATCAAAATTAAATGGGAAAAAAGAGGGACATAAATGTCTAACAGTAATATAATAGACAGGTAGGTAGTAAATATCATGCAAATAAAATAAAAGGAGAGTGATTGATAGAGATTTCACTAGAGTATAAGACAAGTTGAGAATAGGAAACCTGTCTGTCTGTTTACAGATGCATCCTGGCCTCTGGCACAATGCCAGGCACATGGTGGGTTGTCAATAAACAGTGGTTAAAAGAAATACTGAGCAAGACAGTAAGTGACACAAATGTTATTTGGAGATGCTTAACACGAGTTTATTCTTGACAATAAGCAATACATCTTGTAGGCATATAAAATGTGAAGAGCAATATGTACATTAACATGGAAATGTGAAAAAACAAGGTACTTTTCTCAATGAACTCAAGGAATAGCAAGAAATTCTATATCTTCAGAAAACAGGATGATGAGAATAAATGAAAATGGAGCTAGATTCCAACAGCTTTCTAAGATAAGTTAACTTAACTTAGAAAGATAAAAGTTAACATATCTTATATCTTTGGGCAATGGATAATTATTAAGGAAGGCATTTGTGCAAGTGAATGGCATGATCAGTTTTTTGTGCTTTAGGAATACAACTCTGGAGAGTGAACTGCAGAAGAGGAGAAAGGCAAGTTTAAGTAGAAGTTAAAAAAATTTTCTGAGCAGAAAACTTAATAACGGCTTAGAGATGGAAAAAAGATAGAGGGCAGAATCAAGGATGAAGTCTAGATTTCCGGATTGGGTAAATTGATGTATGATTCTATTCACTAACAGGGAATCCTAGAGCAAGTACAGATTTGGGGGAAATTTTCTACCAGCTGTAGTAAGCTTATGCACCAAAAGTAAATAACAACTAACCTTACAATGTTATAAGTTAATTGGCTATTTGTTCCTACATCAAAAACACTTATATTAGTCAGGCATGGCTACTCCAGAGGCTGATAGTAGGCGGATCCCTACAGCCTGGGAGTTCAAGGATGCAGTGAGCTATGATCATGCCACTGGACTCCAGTTTGGGTGACAGAGCAAGACCCTGTTTCAAAAAAAAAAAAAAAAAAAAAAATTTAATATGTTTAATTAAAAATGATTTGAAACCACATTTACAGGCTATCAGTTTTCAAGCCTGTGTTCTTAAAAAATAAGTAGATTACCATAGAAATACCAATTCCAGGGTCAAGTGTGCCTAGAAAGTTGCCCACAGTAATCTGCATTTATAGGAAGTACCCCAGTGATTCTTATGCACACTGAAATATGAAACATGCTATAAAGGCTGCCAGAATGTCATACAACTAGATTCTGATATCTCTTTGGGTTATTTAATCTGAAATCTAAGACTAGAACCTACTCTATGAAATATTCTTATCATCTTCAAATGTTACAATATAAAACAACAACACTGACACAAAAATAATAATTACTAATACTATACACACAGAGAACCTATACTATTTGTGCTAATATTTTTGCATGAATAATCTCTTTTAATCTCCACACCAACCGTATAAGGTAGGTACTACTATTATTGTCCTCATGTTAATAAATGAGGCTTAGAGACATAGTTCACTTGCCTAAAAGTCACACTAATACCAGATATGGCAATGAGATCTGAACTTAAGCTGTATGACTCCAAAGTCTACCTTTTATTCCTCAATATATAATACAATACAGACTACCTAGTTGTACTGCCTTGCATAGGACAATGTACCTTCAGTGTTCATACCGGTTTATAATTACACACTTAATTGTATAATTATTTGATGTTTATCTCCCTATACCACAATTCTGCTTTATTTCACCAATGTGATGTCATCCAAATACCTAAAACAATGGTTGGCAAACAGTAACCACACTCAAAAAGTATTTGTTGAATAAATGAACTTACTATTCAGTAATAAATACACAGAAACTTTAAAATATACCAAATTCTGTTTCTTGATCTGGGTTCTGGTTTCATCTCACCTAAATTAGGCTATTATCAAAAAGACAAAAAAATGCAGGGAGCCATGAACACACCACTGTACTCTAGCCTGGGTGACAGAGCAAGACCCTGTCTCTAAAGAAAAAGACAAAAAGTAACAAATGTGGAAAAAGGGGAATTCATATACTGTTGGTGAGAATGTATATTAGTAAGTACAGCCATTATAGAAAATAGTATAGAGGTGCCTCAAAAAACTAAAAATAGAATTGCCAAATGGATGATCCAGCAATTCCACTACTAGGTATATAAATATAGCCAAAGGAAACGAAATCAGCATATCAAAGAGAATGAGTAAACCAAAGAGATACCATATTTTTTGCACCACTATTCATAATAGCCAAGATATAGAAGCAACCTAATTGTCCTTCAATAGATAAATGAATTTTTTAAGTGTGGTATATATGCACAATGGAATATTACTCAGCCATTAAAAAAATAAAATCTTATCATTTGCAACAACATGGATGAACCAGGAGGACATGATCTTAAGTGAAATAAACCAGGCACAGAAAGACAAACACCACACAACCTCTCATATGTGGAATCTAAAGAAGCTGATCTCAGAAGTACAGAGTAGAAGAGTGGAGGGTAGAGGAGAAATAGAGAAAGACTGGTCAATGGGTACAAAGTTACAGTTAGGAGGAATAAGTTCTGGTGTTCTCTTGTGCAGTAGGGTGACTATGATTAACAGTACTGTATTGTATATTTCAAAATAACTAGGAGAAAGGATTTTGAACATTCTCACCACAAAGAAATGATAAACATATGAGGTGATTGCTATGGTCTGAATGTCCCCTCCAAAGCTCTTGTTGAAATTTCATCCCCAGTGTGGCTGTATTGAGAGGTGGGGTCTTGAAGAGGTGACTGGATCATGAAGGCTCTGTCCTCATGAATGAGTTATCACAGGAGAGGAACTGGTGGCTTTATAAGAAGAGAAGCGACCTGAGCTAGCACATTAGCACGCTCAGCCCCCTTGCCATGTGATAACCTGTGCCACCCTGGGACTCTTCAATGACAGCAAGAAGGTGTCGTCAGACAGCCCCTCAATCTTGGACTTCTTAGCCTTCATAACGGTAAGAACTGAATTCCTTTTCTTATAAATTACCCAATTTCAGGTATTCTTTTATAAGCGACAGAAAACTGATTAATCCATTAATGGATTTACTAAATACCCTGATTTGACTTTTACACAATGTATACACATATCAAAATGACACTGTACCCTATAAATATGTAATTATTATGTGTCAATTAAAACCAAAATATTTAAAAATGTTTAAAATATACCAAGCTCTGTTTTGATCTGGGTGCTGGTTTCACAGGTGTCAATCTGTCAAAGATTCATTGAGCAAAACATGTATAATAAATTCATGTCTCTCTATTCAATAAATAGTTAAAAAGCAAGAACGAAAAAAAATTTTGTTATTTTGCCAGATATTAAAGACTATGTTTATTGTCCTTTTATAGTAAACAAGACTATGCTTCTTAAATTGACTTTTAACAATCTGGCATTTATAACAGAAGAAGTCTCTAGGTCATACCTGTGAATTCTAAAATATAAGAATGGACAAGGGACTTACTATCTTATGAGTAGTTATAATAATGATAGTTATAATATGGACATACACAAAAGAGGGAATAAAAAAAAACTATGCTGCTTCAAAATGTATCTACTTCCCAAACTCTGAGCAACAAGATATGAAATAATATAATTTTCCAAAAACCCTAACCAAACTTATTTCTATTGCTTTGAAAAGGAATCTCACTTTCTAAGGTAAGAACAAACCTAATTAAATATAATTAACAATGCAATAGCATTCACCCAAATTTGTCAAATACAAAACTTTTAACATGGCAATGCATAGGAAAACAAAAAGAAAAAGGCAAACAAAAATTTAAGCCTGCTGTCTACCTTCAGAAAACCACATTCTGATCCTTTTCTATTCCACCCTCTCAAGCACTATATTCACGCAGTGCTAAAAATCATGTTGCCAGGTTGCACTTGCTAGATAAAGAACTAAAGCCTAACCATTCCCCTTACCTAATCTTTTAATCATTTCATCCTTGTCTATTTTTACATGGTAGATAATTAGTGAATTTATAAAGATTTTCTGGCACAGATGTTTGAAGGAGAAAATGGATAAGACCTGCTCAATGGAAAAAAGGCATCAAGTGCTTTCTTAGACTTCATCTCTTTCCCTTTTCCACAGTAAAATTAGAATTGAGTACTTGGGCTCATAACACCTGTTAAAAGATAATTTGTGGTAGACAACTGAACCAAATTCACAAAGCACTTTTACTTTGTACACAAACACAAAGTATATATGAGTATATACAAAGAATTCAAAAGGTCTTCACCAGACTACAGAAATGACTATCATTCAAAGAAATGTTTTTCATAACATTTTAATGTTATTTTCCTGCAGAAAAGCAGGAAAACTCTGAGCAACAAGATATGAAATAATTTCATTATAGACTGAAAAATACAGTCTGCAACTTGAACAACCCTTTCTAAGACAGTAAAAATAACTAAAAGCAATTATTAAACATTACAATTACTGCATGTTCTGCTACAATTTCTATGTCTTAGTCTGTTATATTTTACAAAGATACTTGTAAAATCATTAGGCTTCCACAGTTCTCTAATTAGGAATCCTTTATTATAAGAGAAAAAAATCAGTTTGTCTTTGAAACAATTCACTATGTAAATGAACCCTGTGAAAGAATGGAACAGCTGTGCCTAAAGGCTGAGACATTAATTTTTATATATAGATATCCAGTCTATTAGAATTATTTAGAAGTCAGTTGTATATTTTCATGTACAGCTACTTTCATGCTTCTGCTTTTCTCTATGAAACATGTCTATAGTTCAGATCATTTGTCAGACAGGTGGCTTCTATGAAGGTAGTAGTTAAAAGGGCTTACCTTCTTAGAAACTAATAAGGGAGAGCAAAGGTATAAATATACCTTGGCTGTAGGACACTAGATTTGAGTATGGATTAGCAACCTGAAAAATATGTTGTTACCGTATTATTTTCTAATCTTTCCATTTGTATTGATTCCACATCTTATCTTATTCCAGTATTTTTATCATTAGTTATTCACTATTCTTCATGGATCGTCAGTCTCTTTCACTAGCTCTGTCTTTAAAAATAAATAAATAAATAAATAAATAAATAAATAAATGCTGGCCAGGTGCAGAGGCTCATGCACGTAATCCCAAAACTCTGGGAGGCCAAGTTGGGAGGATTTCTTGAGGCCAGGAGTTCAACACCAGCAATAAGAGCACTGTAAGACTCCTGTCTCTACAAAAATTAGGGGAAAAAAAAAACAAAAACAGCTGGGCATAGTGGCATACGCCTGTCGTCCCAGCTACTCAGGAGGCTGAGATGGGAAGATCACTTGAGCCCAGGTGATTGAAGCTACAGTGAACTATGATGGTGCCACTGCACTCCAGTCTGGGTAACAGAACAAGACCCTGTCTCTAAAAACAAAATTAAAAAAAAAAAAAAGAAGAAGAATAAATGCTTTGCCCATTGTTTTCTATCTTTGAAATATTACTTTTTTTTTTTTTTTGCCAAATCTGAGATGCAACTGAATTTATTCTTACCTCATCATCTCCTAAACTTCATCAACCTGGTGTTTAAGGCCATCATTCAAATTAAGCTGTCCTCCTCAAGCTTACCATTTGCCTAATTCAAAGTTTTTCTCTCAGCTTTTCAAAACTTTTTGACTTTTCCATCACACTACTGACCCATGCTAACCAAATCCACCATATTTCCCGTGGTTTCTGCAACTACACTGTCTCAATCCTTTTCATAACTATCCTTCACTGTTCCTTATGACTTGGTTTAAAGATTTGTATTCCCTCCTCCTGTTCCATATCCTTTAACATTACCTAAAGCTTTGAGTTAAATGAAGGTTGCCAGGGAAAAAAAATGTTTTAAATGTAAACAACAACAAAGACAACAAAAATTACCTGAAGTACTATATCCTTTTCCTCAGGTTTCTCTTTTCCCTGTCTCTATCAACTCTAACAAATTCAATTTTACCCTTTAAGTCAATGCCTCAAAAGTTCGATTCTAAAATTTATCTATGATTAAAAGCAACACACCTCAGTCTGTATGTTTTGTGGTGTGTCCACCTCAAATTTAGCATGTCCTGTAATCAAATTAATTCATCTTAAAAAAAAACTTAAAAAAATTTCCATCTTCAAATAATATTACTATTAGAAATTCTGGACTCCCTGGAATCTACTCACATCCAAGTAGTCATCAAGTATCACTGAGACACTTTAGAACAGTAGTCCCCAACCTTTTTGGCCCAGGGACTGGTTCTGTGGAAGACAGTTTTTCAATGGACAGGGTCAAGTGGGGGGGATGGTTTCAGATGAAATTGTTCCACCTCAGATCATCAGGCATTAGATTCTCATAAGGAGGGCACGACCTAGATCCCTCGCATGTGCAGTTCACAATAGGGTTCATGTTCCTATGAGAATCTAATGCAGCCACTGATCTGACAGAAGGCAGAGCAGGTGGTAATGTATGCTTGCCCGCTGCTCACCTCCTGCTGTGTGGCCCCGTTCCTAACAGGCCACGGACTGGTACCGGTGCACAGCCAGGGGTTTGGGGACCCCTGCTTTAGTTCATGTATTTTACTAACCTCTTACGTAGACTACATTATAATGGTATCCTGTTTTTATACAAAATTAGTGTTTTGTACAACATTACCTATTCAAAAACTATTATTTCTTTTAGGAAAAACATATGACTAGACACACTGAGACAAATTAAGAAATCAAATTCCAGTCAGGCTTTGCTGTATGAAATGAGTTTAGGTCACGTCAGTTTTAACAGGTCAGCTTATTTATGGAAAAAGCTTTCATTCTCAGAGATTTTAGGTTTTCAAAGTTGTGGAGAAGAGACTATGGACCTGTACAATTAATACTACCAAAGTGAAAATGTTGCACTCTTTTCTACAACTAAGTTATTGAAACTGTTACTTTTTCCACTCTTCCAAGACACAAAATATGTAGTGAAGTATAAATTTAGATCTTAAGTTGGAAAAAGTAACAAAAAGTAAACCATATTGCCCCAGAAATAGTTTGTCAACACAAAGAATTTAACCACAACGAAGAATTTTCCCACTAATTCAGAATAAAAGACTGGTCATTTAGGATAAAAACATTAATGAAAAGAAGGGCTTCTGGCCCTAAGAACAACTACCTGGCTACCAAAGTGTAGCTGTGGACAATCAACATGGGTACCACCTGTGAGCATGTCATAAGTGCAAAATCTTGAGCCCTTCCAGGCCTACTGAACCAGACTCTTCATTATGACAAAATCCCCAGGTGGTCCAACTGTATATTTGTGCAGAAAAAAAGTTAACCTAGCAGGCCTAACTGCTTATCTTTAAAAAGGCCTGCTTGCAAGGTTGACCCTCAGCTGGCATACAGGAACTTAAATTTTGGGAGATTCTGTAAACTGGTAAGGTGGCTCACTGGACCTAAACTGTTTATACTAACAATATGTTTTACATGAAATACTTGCTTTTGTTCTGTAAGTATGGAATTTTGTTATCTGCCAGGTAGAGGCTACCTACTTGGCAATTCCTCAAATAAAAACCCTGGGCACTGAGTCTCTAATGAGATTCCCTGGTTGACAGCATTTCATGGGTTGTCACAATTCATAACTGGAGGGAACTAGCATGTCCTGTGTGACTCTGCTGGGAAGATTCTAGATGCTTGTGCTGGTTTCCCCCAGACTTTGCCCCATGTATCTTTTCCCTTTGCTAATTTTGTGTCATATCTTTTTGCCATAATGAGTTCTAGTGAATCACTGAATCTAAGGATGGTATCTGGGACCTGCAACAAAGCATTAAATTTCAGAAGCTCTGCTTTAGAGAACCCACATGAAATCCTATTCCTAAAGCTTAAGAGCAGGCCATGAGGACTGTAGGCTAACCCTTGAGTCAATGCAAGACAAGGAATTTGTTACGCATAAAGTTAGACCTTAGAAAAGTCTACATCCTAAGAAAAAAGGTGAATTAAAAAACATCCAACAGAGGTAAACAGCAAAGAAAAGCAGCTCTGGGTAACACTGTAAACAAAACAAACAAGAGAGACTCTGCTGAGACTCTGAAGCCACCACATGTGACTTTGGAACATAAATGTACTCTTGCATGGTTAAGGGAAAAAAACACCAAGGTGAGAATCTGAATTTAAAGTAGCCCTTGGTCTACAATGCTCCCAAGCAGCAGGCAGAAGCAAACTCAACCATCAATCACTCCCCACTAACTCATCCAACCAACCAGATAACCACCCTTAGCCTGGGTAACCTAACAAATATAGGGCACAACCAAAAACCATGAACACACAAGTAAACAGCAAAATAAGCCATTATAAACAGAAACAAGAAAAAAAAAGATATAAAAAGACTAAAAATCAGAATTATTCAATGAAATAATAATTATGTTTTATATATCTAAAACAGGGGAGCTGGTAAACTTGTTCATAGAGTCACACAGTAAACACTTTAGGCTTTAAAGGTCTGTAATACAGTCTCTGTTTCAACTAGTTAACTCCACAACTATGGCACCAAAGCAGCCACAGATAAAACTTAAAACAAATAAGCATAGCCATGTGCCAATAAAATGTTATTTACATATGCAGTAGCAAGCCAGATTTGCAAGCCATAATTTGCAAACCTCTGGCTTAAGGGAAAAAAAGAAGTAAAAAGAACACTAAAGAGAACATTCAAAAAAAAAAAAAAGTTATCAAAAAGATCCATGACAGAATAGGAAAGAAGGGAGGGAGGGAGGGAGCGCAGTCCAGGTAGAACTTCTTGAAATAAAAATATCATAACTGAAATAACTCAATGGAAGGGATGAACAGCATAAACACTGCTAGCAGAAGAATTAATGAACGAAGAAAGACCTAGCTGAAGATACTATACAGAACTTGGCTTCTCAGGAAAAAGGAGATGAAACACATAAAAAAGTTTAACAACCAAGAAAGATAATGAGAAACTCTAACATACATGAGAGTTCATAAAGGAGGTAACAAGACAAAATGGGGGAAATGCAATACTCAAAAACCCAAGGACTGACACTTTTCTGGAATTACTCAAAGACTTGAAATACTTAGAATCAGGATGCCCAATGAATCCAAAGGCAGAATAAATAACCACCTAAACACATTTTATTCAAGATGTTTGAAAGAAATTGTTAATATAGACAGAAAAACAGATTACCCAAAAGGAAGGTGATCTAGATGAACAACTTGCTTTTTTACATATATAAATATAAACAAATAAATAAATAAATATATATATATATAAAGTATGCTGACCTATGAATCATTACTCAAAGTACTCTAAGTATCTGTAAAACAATCAGGAAAATTTGAGCACTGACTGAATATTAGATAATACAAAGAACTTACTGCTTTGTTTTTCTTTGTTTTTTTTCTTCTTTTTTGAGACGGGGTCTCTCTCTGTCTCCCAGGCTGGAGTGCAGTGGCACAATCTCGGCTCACTGTAACCTCCACCTCCTGGGTTCAAGCAATTCTCCTGCTTCAACCTCCCAAGTTGCTGGGACTACAGGTGCACACTGCCACACCCGGCTAATTTTTTGTATTTTTGTAGGGACAAGGTTTCACCACGTTTCCCAGGCTGGTCTCAAACTCCTGAGCTCAGGCAATCCACCCACCTCGGCCTCCCAAAATGCTGGATTACAGGAGTGAGCCACCACGCCTGACCTACAAAGAACTTACTGTTAATTTACTCAGTTGTGTTAATGTCACTGTGGTTGTATATTTTAAAATTCCGTATCCCTTAGAAATACATACTGATGATCTGCAATGAAATAACATATACCTTGGATTTGCTTCAAAATGACCCATGAGGGAAGTGGGAGAATATACAAATGAAATAAGATTGTCCCATATGTTTATAATGGTTGAAGGTAAAGAATACATGAGGGCTCATTATACTTTTTTCTCGAATTATGTGTATGTTTGAAATTTTTCATAATGAAATATTTTTAATAAGTCTGATAATCCCAAGTGTTGACAAAAGTATGAATCAATAGCAATTCCTATATATTATCACTGTGAGAATAAAGACATATAGATGGATAATCTTTCTCTCTCCCCATACATATATATACACACACACACACACACACACGCACCTACACACACACACACGCGGCATATAACCAGTAATTCCACGCTAAATTATATAATGCAGAGAAACTTACATATAAGCAGCAGGATTCATATACAAGACTATACATAAAATCACTGTATATAATACCAAGAAACTACAAATAACACAAATGTCCATGATCAAAAGAATGGATAAATAACTGTTATTTGTTTATTAACACTTGTTCTTAGAGTTTTCATCTAAGCATTTGCCAGACACTACGCTGGGGTCTATAAACAAATAATTTTCTCAATACTCATAATGACACTGTAAGATATACAAAATTTTATCCCTTTTCACAAATAAAAAAAGTTAGACTCAGAAAACTTAACAGCACATCTGGTATTTGCTTGCAAATTATGGAGCAAGAACGTGAATTTCGGCTGGGCACGGTGGCTCACGCCTATAATCCCAGCACTTTGGGAGGCGAGGCACGTGGAACACCTGAGGTCAGGAGTTGGAGACCAGGCTGGCCAACATGGCGAAACCCCATCTTTACTAAAAATAAAAATAAAAAAATTAGCTGGGCATAGTGGTGGGCGCCTGTAATCCCAGCTACTTGGAGGCTGAGGCAGGAGAATCGCTTGAACCCAGGAGGCGGAGGCTGCAGTGAGCCAAGATCACGCCATTGCACTCCAGCCTGGGCAACGGAGCCAGACTCTGTCTCAAAAAAAAAAGAATGTGATTTTTGATTTTCCCTTCTACAAACTCACTTTTCATTTCACAGTAATAATTAGGAATGTATATTTTCAAAAAAGGAGTGATATGCTAATTTTCTAAAATAGCTTAAAATTAATACATAGTCACCTACTTATGATGGTTCAACTTAAAATTTTCTTACTTTAAGATATTGCAAGAGCAACATGCATTCAATAGAAACCATACTTTGAATTCTGAATTTTGATCTTTTCCTGAGCAGCAGTATGTGGTAGGATACTCCTTCATAATGCTGGGCAGAAGTAGTGAGTCAAAATCTCAGTCAGCCACATGATTGCAAGGGTAAATAGGCCAGGCGTGGTGGCTCACACCTGTAATCCCAGCACTTTGGGATGCTGATGTGGGTGGACTGCTTGAGAACAAGAATTCAAGATCAGCCTGGCTAACAGCAAGACATCCATCTCTACAAAAAAAAATTTTTAAATTAGCCAGGCGTGGTGGTATGCGTGTATAGTCCTAGCTACTTAGAAGGCTGAGACAGGAGGATCCCTTGAGCCCAGGAGTTTGAGGTTACAGTGAACTATGATCCTGCCACTGCAATCCAGCCTGGGCAACAGAATGAACCAACACTCTACAGTGTACCCAGTCATTAGCATTTTTTGGACATTGTTTTTGCAACCTATCGTGTCTACAAATACTTATTTTTCACTTACAATGAGTTTAGGGAGTTTGAAAGGATGTAATCCCATCATAATCCTAGGGTTATCTGCATAAAAAAAGAACTTTTTACAGTATCACAAAGGTAAACTGTAGTTGATCCAGACCTGTACAAATTACCAATAAGATCTAAAATAAGGTTTCCCATAATTTGCAGTTTATATTTTATGTATGTAAACATAAAATAAAACCAGTGGGGATCCTGGGGAAGATTACTGACTAGTTTAACTCAAGTAGTCCTCTTAATACTGTCAGTCTCCTCAAAGTACATTGACAATGGAATCTACCTTTCTCGTACCTAGAGAGCCTCCTTCTTTTGTTAAAAGTCTTCTGAAATTAAGTGATCTCTTATCAGTTTCTTCTAGCTCTAAACTCTGCTTACTTGGCTTCTATTTTACGATTCCACACCAATGATCTTCACCTACACTATTGCTGAACCCAAACAGCCATTCTCTAGTGCAAAGTTTGGCTTACTAAGAATGCCCTGCTCAGACCAAGGGATAAATATCAAATAAATAACAGTATCAGTTAAGAATCACATCCATGCTACTTTTAGCAATGAAATTTGTAAGAGTATCCAATTGATTAGATTACATCCAAACACTTTCATGAACTAACATTTTAAATAAGACAAATCACTAGCTAAATTTTTTCATAGTTTTTCTCCAATTTATTTTAGGCTATTTCAATGCCCCTGATGCACCTAACCAATAAAACTTTCTCTGGAAAATGCTAACAGTAAAAAATAATACAATTTAATAAGTAGCTAAATCCTCCTCTATTTGCTAAAGGTGCAAAATATCCCTCAGTCAACAAACCAAAACACAGACATTATTCAATTATACTTGTCATGGCAAATCAGGTTTCAACTCTAGTGTCGGCCCTAGTGCTTCCAGGAATACTACTCTGAGGATTATGAACCCTCAGTGTCACTCAGAGGAAAAGAGTCTAGTGATTGCTGAGCAATTTCTACCACAACGGCTCATGTATCTGCCAACCCCAAACCATGATTTTACTTTACCAAAGGCACACGTGCTCATGCTATAGCCTCTTTAAAAAATATTTAGGATCTAGCACAGTGCCTAGCACAAAAATAAATATTTATTAAATAAATGTTTATTAAATCCGCAGAATTAGAAAGCAAGAATAAGGGTCGGGCGCGGTGGCTCACGCCTGTAATCCCAGCACTTTGGGAGGCCGAGATGGGTGGATCACGAGGTCAGGAGATCGAGACCATCCTGGCTAACACGGTGAAACCCCGTCTCTACTAAAAATACAAAAAATTAGCCGGGCGAGGTGGCGGGCGCCTGTAGTCCCAGCTACTCGGGAGGCTGAGGCAGGAGAATGGCGTGAACCCCAGGGGGCGGAGCCTGCAGTGAGCCGAGATTGCGCCACTGCACTCCAGCCTGGGCGACAGCGAGACTCCGTCTCAAAAAAAAAAAAAAAACCCGTCTCTACTAAAAATACAAAAAGTTAGCCGGGCTTGGTGGTGGGCGCCTGTAATCCCAGCTACTCGGAAGGCTGAGGCAGAAGAATCACTTGAACCCGGGAGGCGGAGGTTGCAGTGAGTGGAGATCGAGCCACTGCGCTCCAGCCTGGGCTACGGTGTGAGACTCCGTCTCAAAAAAGAAAGAAAGAATAGGTTAAAAAAAGGTTTTAATTTTAACAACGGGCTGAAAATCTAGATGCTAAAGAACAGATTGCCGGGATCACATTCACTTAAAAAAAAAATACAAAGAACATATGAATAAAAGCTGTGAAATGAAAGACAAGAATTTCCCCCAAATCTGCCTATAAGCCATCCTGATTCAGCACCAAGAAAAAAAGATTGTTTCCAAAGCACTCACAGCCCACATGTCTTAGTGCTGGATAGGTGGGACGACAGTGGCAGTTAAAGTTGAATAAGGGGAAAGATTGACATAAATGAGAGGAAGGGGAGCGCTCATATCCAGAATAAAAATTTATTTAATATTAAAGAGAATAAAGTTAACACTAACTTCACTCATTCTGCTATTTTCAGTACTTCTTCATATTCCCAAGGATAGATTCAACATCTAAATGAAAGCATCTAGCTGCAGCAGCAGCATAAAGTTGATCAAACGAATAGAATAATTTTTGACAAAGATTATATAAGGCTAAGAAGTCCCTTCTGGGCCTCTTGATTTGTCAGTCTACCTTAACCATCCATTCAGTCTACATTTTTTGAGTAACATGCAACTAACTGGAGGTTCTTGAAGAGCAAGGTCTGATTTATCTTGTAACCTCAACCTTCAGAAAAACTGGCAGAATACTCTATGTTATATACTCATTAAATACAGCATTTCCACCCACAGTGAAAAGAGCTGTTGTTAAAATTAGTAATCAGGCATTACTTGATAACTCAAAAATATTAAAGTAATTAGGGTTATACACACATCACTTACAAGGAAATCTATTAATACAACTATCATTTCTACAATGTTTGGTTTTGCTATCTCGTCTTGAAAAACAATACACTACTTCAGTTTCAAGTGATTCAAATGGAATAATCTTGCCCGTCTTGTAACATGAATGAAAGAATTCATTCATTCACTTATTAATTCAGTTAACATTAATTTAATGGCATGTGCTATGAAGTGCCTGCTCCAAGGGCTACAGTCTATTGTCCAAGGGGCAGAGTGATTTTTCTAAATTATCTCACCATATCACACTCCTGCCTGAAACCCTCTAATGACTTCCCTTTGCAGTTGTACCACCCTCTCCAAGTTATTACTTGTCTCCCTGTCTCTCCTAATCTCATATTCCCATACTCTCTCTCTCATTCATCAAGCACTAGCCATACTGGTTCTTTCCTGTCTCGTTGATAGTCACATTTTTTTGGCTAGTTTTTCCTTCTACTTGAAGACTTTCCTCCCTTACATGGTGCCTCCTCGGTATCAATTAAACACTACTACTTAAGAGAAGCTTTCTCTGACAATTCCCCCCCCCCACTCTTTTTCACATACCTGATTTTACACTATTAAGAGCATTTATCAGTACCTAAAATTCTGCACTCATGTGTTTACTGTGTTCTCCCCCCTAGACTATAGGTCCATCAAAGGTAGGGACTCAATATATTTTTTTCACCACTGAATCAGCAGCAAAAGATCAGTACCCAGTACACAGTAAAGGTCAACAAATATTTGTCTAGTGTGACAGAGAGGCAGACATGTGAATAAAATTATGCCAATTGTAAGAAAGGTAAAATGCAATATATTATAAAAGCCCAAATAAAGAAGATGTTCAACACTGCGAGGGAAGATTGACTTTTTGGGAAACTTTTTGTTGGTTACAGAGAAGAAAACAGATTGGAAAAGAACAGAACTAGAACAGGGAGAGTAGTTACGAAGTCAATAGAATCATCAGGAAAGATAATAAGGGCCTGAATAAAGGCATGGCAACAGAAATGGAAAAAACAGATTTGCAAGTATTTCAGAGATAAAATCATTACCATCTGGTCTCAGATTGGATATGTGGAATAAGGACAAGGAACGAGGTTAAGATGTCTCCTGGGTGTCTTATTTGGCCCAATTAAAGTACTTCTCTTAACCCAGAAAGATTTTTAGAATAATGAGATAATTAGCCAGTTTGAAACATATTAGGTTTGATGTACTTGACGACATGGTTACGATGCTGAGTAAGCAGCAAAATTGGTCAGGAGCCCTCAAGCTTAAACACAAATTTGAGAGTCAATCATTCAGTCAACAAATATTTACCCAGCACTTACTATGTCCCAGGGCTGTTCTAAGCACCAAGGATGCAATGGTGAACAAAACAAAGTACTTGTCTCCTCACAAAACTTACATTCCAGGGAGACAAGAAATATATACCGTAATATCAGTAGTGACAAGGGCTATGAAAGAAAAAGCAATAATGCCAGGCACAGTGGCTCATACCTACAATCCCAGCACTTTTGGGGGGCCAAGACAGATGGATCGCTTGAGCCCACGATTCAAGACAAGCCTGGGCAACGTGGCAGAACCCTGTCTCTACAAAAAATACCAAAAAATTAGCCAGGCTTGGTGGCGTGTGCCTGTACTCCCAACTACGTGGGGGTGCTGAAGTGACAGGATCACTTGAGTCCAGGAGGTCGAGGCTGCAGCGAGCCATGATCATGCCACTGCCCTCCAGCCTGGATGACAAAGCGAGACCCTGTCTCAAAAAAGAAAAGGCAAAACGATTAAAAAAAAAAAATGACAAGTGACAGTAAGAGGAGCTACTTCAGACACAGTGATCAGAGAAGGCCTCAGTGATGATAAGGTGACATTTGAACAGAGTTAAACAGTGAGGGATTAAGTAATAGAAATATTGGAGGAAAAACAATCCAGAAAGAATATGATAAAAGTACAAATTTGGGTCAAAGAAAATATGATTAGGAATGACCAGCATAGAAATCATTTCACTAAACACAGTGAATCAGGAGACAGTTAGGAAATGAGAATGGTAGTAGAGGTAGCCAGGGACTAGATTACAATGACAGTATTGCATATAGTGGCAATTTATTTAAAAGTAATTATCTACCTTGCAAATACCACCTTCCAGTATGTAATACAGTGCTGAGAAAAGAGCAGGTGCTCAATGTATTATTTTCAAATACATGAGTGAATAAATTAGTGAATTAATAACTTCCCAAATTTGAGTCCGATTATATCTGACCATTTCCCAAACTCCAATTCATCCTTGAAGGACAAACCAAACAGCAATTTGAAGGACTAATAATATATAGGATAAATTTAAAGGCCTTACAAGCTTTAGCAATCTTCACAAGTAGAATTTTAAAATGTTTTGAACAATAGTAACATCAATGGTTCCATTGATGTTGGTTCCATTGATCCTGTCCCTTGCAAGAAGAATGCTTAAAAGAAAACGACATCTACTTAGTAAGTATATAATTTCTGGGATGTCTGCGAAATTAATCCATCACTCCATAAACTACATTTAGTAATATTTTAATAATCAAATTATCACTTTAGACAAAGTTCAGATCATGTGGAACGGTCACTGGTTTACTGCACTACTTCAGCTTTATTCTAAGGAAAGTCATTTAAAATGGTTGGAAAAAGGAAAATGATGTGCCAGTATATATAAGAGCAATAAATAATATAATCCTGGTTAAAAATATACATTTACTGCATTATATCACTCTTAATAGAATCAAGCAATCACTTAAAATTCACCACTAAAAACAAGTATTCTTTTGGTAGCTAATAATCTACACTCAGTTTAAATCTGCTCAGTGAACTTTTTAAATAGTCTAGACTCAGAGTCAGCAAGGATCTGTCAAGGTTATATTAAGTGTTCCCATCTTCAGGAAATTCCCAACTCACTGTTTTCCACACTTCCAAAGAGTGTATGTATAAAAATTTAATACACTTCAAGTATTTAAAATAAATTAATACTCATAGTTAATTATCAGCATTTAGAAAATGTACTTCATCAGAAACTTCTTTACCTTCATACACTTCAGTATTTTTGTTTCACTTTCATATTTACTCTAGTGCTTTTGCATACTGAAATAAGTAAAAATTTTCTTTATTTTAAAAGTGTATGCTAAAACAACACATGTTGCCAAGTTGCTGTCAGGTATTTAATCAATTTCCTACAAAATACCCGGTTTAAATTTCTCGGAGACAAGCACCAAAAGAAAGGCAGTGGAATCTTTTTCTATTCCAACTCTCACATCACTATTTCTTAGGGGGCAAATAATCACTGAAAACAACAAAAAAATCTAAATATTAAAACTTATTTTAAATCAGGGAACATAAAGAGGTAGCAAGTACAACAAAAGAAAAATGTAATTCATCTATATAGCATACTCTATTTAAAGGGTCATCTGAAGAAAGGCTAGAAATAGCAAAATAGAAACAGAAAGCAATGAGAGAAACAAAAACAAGGCAGAAAGAGAAACAATCACACAGAGATAGGTTATAAGTATCAATCAGATGTTAGATACTATCAGTCTAATAAAGTTCTAATATATCTATTAGAAAATCCATGACATTACTTTATGACTTCCGTCTATGTAAAACCCGGAGTGGTATAAGACAGTTCTAATGGTTCATTTTGAACTCTTAAAATAGAGAATCAGAAAAGATATTTATATATGTATGCTCTTTCAAGGAGAAGGATCTCTATTTTGTATTCTAACAACTTTTCAACTTTGATGCACAATTACAACTGCATGTTGTAAATCTAACATATTAACAAATATTGATATTTCCACATGAGCACACTGTTGAACTGAGGATGTTTATCATCTTCCCTTTTTCTCTGTAGAAATACTAAACTGATTTTGGTAATCATCCCAGAAACATAATTAGGTCAACACAAAACTTCTACTAGATTACAATTCTAATTTTTTCAACTTTCTAATCTGTAGTTTTGAAGTCTTTATAAATAATTTGATTATTTTTCATTAAACAGTCATTCAAAAAAAAGTTCACCTATCTAGACATATTATTAACTGGCCAAAACCTGTTCAATGAAAAGTTCAGGCTGAAGACACAGAAGAGAAATGGAGAAGATGATTTAAAATTTTTAAATTAAGGTGGAATTACTGTAATTACTTCAAACTTTATCCACTCATATAAACCCACTGACAATCCTAAAGAATCCATCCACATCATAACACACCTGATACACATGAGCAGACTTAGATTAAAATAACTTTATATATACAACATGGTGATAAGACATAACATCAGGCATAAGAAGGCAGATACAACAGAGCATACACTCTTGTTTATCACCATGGATTAGTTTGGCCTGTTTTTGAACTTTACAAAAAGAGTACATCTACTGCATGAGTACATTTTATAAAGTTCAAAAACCGGCGGCTAAACTAATCTATGGCATTAGAGGTCAGGATAGTGCCTTCCTTGGCTGGGAAAGTAGTGCCTGGAAGGAAACAGAATGGGAGCTTCCAGGGTATTGCAATATTATGTTTCTTGATCTGGGTTCTGATTCCCCATGTGTTCAATTTGTCAAAATTCTCAGAATTGTACATTTATAACAAAGACTTTTTGGATCTATGCTATCTTTCAATAAAGGAAAGTTTTTATATAACATTTACTGTTTTCCCTGCAGTTCTGAAGGTCCTCAACAACTTACCCTTATCCTACAAATCTAATACTAAAATTCTATATTCTTATGGTTCCTTTCAGTAAAATGTGTCATGCCTTTATTTATGCCTTATTTCCTCTAGATTTAACCACATTCTACCCATCCAAGGTTGAAACAATCCTCCACTTTCTATGATTTTTTTTCCAGCTCACATCAATCTCTCCATTCTCATCTCTTTTGCTTTCACTGACCATACAAATAAGAATATGTAATATCTATTTCTTTACATCTATGTGCTAAAAATGTAATAAATATTTTACAAACATTTCCTTCAATCCTCAAATAAGTGTTATCTCAAAAGGAGATGAAGAAACACGCTCAGAAAAGGCAACTTGTCCAGCAGAGCCCTTAACTTCTCAAAGGCAGGATCAAGATTCAAATCTAGATCTGTCTGGGTACGACACCATGCTTTTAGTCAATACTAGACTGTCTTCATATCATGCAATCAGTACCTTATTAGATGTTATTTTGTCCATATTAGTTATATTTTGTAACTTATTAGCTATCTTCATATAATCCTACTATCCATATTACATACGTATAAGCCAACTCCATATCAAGTCATACTTCACCTACTCTGAACTATGCTATGAGGCAATTACCTATTTGGAAAACCTGTACTCAAATGTAAGCACTCCAAAAAATGACAATAAAAATTCAAAGTATGTATCATCACCAAGTTTATTCACATGTTATGCATAGTAGAGACTCTTAATTCTTCATCACAACCTATTTATCCTATTTTACATATATTAGCGTAAGTCCACACTTAACAGTTGCCATTCTACAGCACAATAAAAGTAAAAAACAAAGAATTAAAGGACTCCTAAATATAGGGATAATAACTGCATTGTAAAGTGACAGCTGAAAGAAACGTAGAAGCATACAGGAATCAAAAGAGCGGTGAGGTATTACAGAGGGTAGTAATAAATTGTCTTCACCCCACCCCAACACAAAAATCAATATTCATAATGATGACCCTAGCCAAGGAGAAAAAGTTAACATACTTTAACTTTTTCTCAAGTTAATAGTTGGTATTTTCTCAAGTTAGAAAAGAACAGGAACCAGCTCTAGAAACAACTGTATAGAAATGGCTAAAATATACATTTCGGATCTCAGTTAATAACCTGGTTCCTGGGGGTTCCAAATCAATACTCTACAATACATAGAATACTCATTTAGTCTTAGTCATATGATTTATCTTATACATGATGCTGTCTTTGGGAAGACTGCAAAGGGGTAAGTGCATGGGTTTTAGAATCAGAAACAAAGAAAGGCTTCTGAACCCCACCTCTCTCTCTCATAATACCTATATGATCTTGGGCTAGTTAGGCATCGCCCCATTTTCCTCATCAGTTACACAGGTGTATTAATACATATTCTCCTAAGTATGTAGGAAGACAATGAGAATTTAAGTAATGTTTTTAACACACTCCCCAACATACATTATTCAAAATATGGCAGCTGCTGCTACTATTTCTTGTGTTCAAAGACGATTAAACATTTACCAATTAGAACAATGCTGGACACATAACCAGTACTCAATAAATACTTGGTGAGTGGCCTGTGTATAAGAAGAGAAGGGTAACCAAATCTCTAATAGCATACAGCAGGGTCCAGCCTGATTACATCTACTACTTTTTATTTGCAAACACTTACCAAATAAAAGAACTAGGACTAACTGCAGAAAGTTATTTTTTCATTAGATTTTTTGCTAATTCAATGTAAGAGTTTTATCAACAAACATAGCTGCTCAACAAAGGAACAAACCACTGTGAATAACCTACCCATGAGTGGAAGGTCTGAGTGATGGTGGATGACAGCTGTCTGATATTGCAGAGAAAATTCCTGCTTTAAGTGGGAGGTCTACTAATTTCTAAAGTAGCTTCCAAATATTCTTAGAAACAAACATTAGATTCATATATGCACATACCTTTCCGAAATTCATACATATTTAAGCACTCCAGGTGAACACTTAGCAGCAATACATTTGTTTTAAAGGTAATTACATTTTTTCTCGGTGGTACTTTTCCAATATAAAAACAATTATTGATGTATGCAAAGAATTCCTCCCGGAATCAAAAATCAAGTAGAGTTTTTTTAGTAAAACAAAATAACTATTAGAAGAAACAATGCATAGCAAAAGGCAACTGCCACAGTTTACCTGAATCTTAATCATCTCCTTTTAATTTTGATATGAAGAACAACCAGAATCTTTTCAAATATATAACTTTTTTCATTCTGCTAGGTAAAATAATAACATATACTTGTGTATTCAAAACAATGTTGAAATATGACCATGAAACAACAAACTTTCCCATGAGAAAAAAGAAAGACAATGTTAAGGTTTTTATTAAAATAAGGTGGTTTAAGCATTTTTAAAACTATTCCAATCTAAAATTTAACTCACTACAAATTGTCATGTAAGAATTATTCTTATATAACATATGAAATCTTATATGACATAAGAATTAATCTGACCTGCTTTCTACTGTTATGCCATTAAAAACACCGCTGAAAGTTATAGCCTACAGTAATACGTCACTCTAAATAAACAAGGTAGGAAATAGCTTAGTATTCAAACATCCATTATTATAATTTTATACTAATACCACATGTGACAGATATGATTAAAAACTTATAACACATACACTGAACAAACAGTTTCACAATATTCCACTTGCTACCTGATTACATATCCAGAAACTACCACATGGCTAAATGTTAAGAGTTCACAGCTCACCTACCTCAAAATGTGTTTCCAACCACTGGAGTCTCTCCCTGCAACTCCATTCCCCTCAGAGTTTTTCATTTTTCCTTTTTTTTTCTTCTTGAGGGAGGGGAGTGGTGGTGACGGTAGTGTGGTAAACATTAGAAAGTGCATTATAGAATTATGAGTGAAAAAAAGTGTAATTAAAAATTTTATTATATGAGGGTCAAACACTAAGCATGGAAATAAATAGCAATACTATTTTAAGATGTGATTTTTTGAAGTATGAAACTACTGATAAAAATATGTATGTGCACACATCTAAAACAGCTAAATACACTTTTATCTGACAAGCTGTTCCTTCTTAGTAACTAAATTACTTGGCAACCTTCTTTGTTTACAGCTTCTATGTCTCTTCATTCTCTATTCATTATAGGAAACACATGAAATTTCACTGGATTAAATGCAAGATGACTAAAATCCCTGAAGTCTTGTTTTGCTGCTATAATAGAGCAATAATTTCCTCAAACACTATTTATCCTGTACCTAAATCACTAGAGGGCTGGGTAGGGTGTCTGAATTTGGCAATGAAACATTCTGTGGTTTTCAGGATAATCTTCATTTCAAATATTCTGACTGTCAGGTTACATGTTTAAATTTTGAGATCAGAAAATCTGGTGATTTTAGTGTAGAACAAAATAAAAACACCACCCATCCCATTTATATTCTATTTCCAGACTGCATACATCTAGAAATAAGTTTGATAAATTTACAAAGGACTTTGAACATGCACACTCCCTCCATTAAACAGTATTACTGAAGGTGCAAGACATATGCACTACAAAACAATGGAAGAAAAAAATTACTAATTACCTAGGCTTGGGTCTGGAATGCAGACATTTATAGACTCATAGTCACAAGTACACGCAAACAATTAGTATTTCACAGTGTGCTCCAAATCTTTCAGTCCAGCAGTACCTTCTAAGGCCAGAAGAGCCTGTCTGTAATATAATCATTCTTCAATAGTTAAGGGATTTATATCCAGGAAAACAAAACTTACCCCTAACTTTTTCTCAACATTATCTTGAAATACTAAATAATGTACCAGGAAAACGTTCATTCAAAAAATTAAAAGTTTTAAAACCCTGGTGCAGAGCTCTACCTATTTGAATTGCTACTCTTTTATGCAAAGGTCTTACAATTGTCATTATATCTTCACTTCTAAGAGATCTTCCTTCTAGGTCATTCCTTACCTATCTCCCATTTTTTCTGAATTCCTCTAGCTTTTAGAGTCCCTTACAAAGATAATTGGCATATGCTTCAAATACTACTGTCTTTTACTGTACACTGATAGAGCTATATCCCAACAGAAACTCCCTGAAGGAAGATGTATGCCTTCCTCAACCACAACAGTATTAACTAACCCATGTGATCATATAATATATATATAATTAACCCATGTGATCAAAAATATACTGGTTGACATTAATAAAACCATTACAAATCCAAATTAACACAATGGGGTTAAAAAAAAAAAGGAAAAGTAATTGAAGGACGCAGATTCTTGAAAATCCAGGTAATTAAGGTTAAAAAAACGTTTTCTGTATTTCTTACTGACATCTTTAACAGGATATGTTTAAAGCATTAGAATATCCTCAATTTTATATTTTATATAAATGTCATCATTCCAGGTACATTGCTCAGTTTACGCAATCTGGCTGGAAGCCTCTAAAAGAGGAATACGAAGAATATACTTATATTTAGGTTCTCTTTCAACCCTATTACTTTGGGTATATGAATGTTATACGTATTAACTAGTTTTACACAATTATTTTCAATTTACTTTTATGTCTGTAATTTTATAACTACATTTGTTGTATGGATATAATTTTTAAGGAGCCATTCAACTTTAACCTGGCCACTGTAACAAAAAAACACAAATAACAGTATCTGTAGATGACCCAAAAAGCATTAACAGTCAACTTCAATTATTCATACAGATTAACAAATATTTTAACCTGTTTATGTTCTTCCACTAACAGTATTTGCTTAGGAAACAAAAATCTGTGCTAATAATTCAAATAAAATGTAAAAGAAAATATACATCAATCTATTGTGGGAGAGAAAAGAACATAAAATATTTTCTCACCAATATAAAGTATTTAGATTATATATTTAGCATTCTTCTACCATTATTCATCTTTTTAAGGCAGGTAATTGAGAATGGACTGTATTTAATAGCTTGGTGACAGAGGCACAGATACACAGGCAAGCAAATCATTCGCTCACCCCACTGTGCTTTTCGCAGTCTTATTCTTGGTAGCCTGAGACCTGGGAGCGGGAGGAGGCAGCAAGTCACTGCAGGTGGATCACTTAAAAGGAAATTGAGAGTTGACTGTAATTTAAATTTAAAGTGCTATGAAATACCACCACTCCTACATGTATTCATTATTGTTTGTGGGACTACTACTCACAGTGATTTAACAAGGCTACAAATGCTTTCTTTTTAACCTTTTCAATATTCCAGGTCTGTAGTGATATGTGAGAATTACAAAGGTAGGAGGCTAAAGTGCTGCAAGTATAAAGTAGTATGCATTTTAGAGGTGAGGAAATTGAAGCCAGAGAGGTTAAATAGCATGCCATATCTTCCTCAGATTAAAGCAGAACCTCGTTCTCTGGACTTCAACTTCAATGCAACAGTCTAGCAGCCCCTTCAATTCAAAACTCTTCTCCTGGCTTATGTATCAGGCCATTCTTGCATTGTTACAAAGAAACACCTAAGACTGGGTAATTTATAAGAAAAGAGGTTTAATTGGCTATCATTTCTGCAGCCTATACAGGAAGCAGGGCACCAGCACTTGCTTCTGGGATGGCTTCAGGAAGCTTTTACTCATAGCAAAGACGAAGCGTGTGCAGGCATCTCACATGGCAGAGCGGGAGCAAGAGGGAGCTGGGGGGAAGGAGCCACAGGCTTTTAAATAACCAGATGTTGTGAAAACCTACTATCACGAAGACAGCACCAAGCCATGAGGGATCCACTCCCATGACCCAAACACCTCCCACCATGCCCCATCTCCAGCATTGGAGATTACAATTCAACATGAGATTCGGGTGGGGACAAATATCCAAACTGTATCATTCTGCCCACGGCCCCTCCCAAATCTCATGTCCTTCTCACACTGCAAAATAAACTCATGCCTTCCCAACAGTCTCCCAAAGTCTTAACTCATTCCAGCATTAACTCTGAAGTCCAAAGTCTCATCTGAAACAAGGCAAGTCCCTTCCACTTATGAGGCTGTAAAGTCACAAATAAGTTATTTACTCCCAAGATACAATGAGGATATAGGCATTGGATAAACATTGCCATTTCAAAAAGGAGAAATCAACCAAAAGAAAGGGGCTACAGGCCCCATGCAAGTTCAAAACCCAGCAGGGCAGTCATTAAATCTTAAAGCTCCAAAATAATCTCCTTTGACTCTATGTTCCACATTCAAGGCACACTGCTGCAAAGGGTGGGCTCCCAAGGCTTTGGGCAACTCTGCCCTGTGGCTTTGCAGGGTTTAGCCCCCAGGAATGCTCTCACAGGTTTTAGTTGAATGCCTGTGGCTTCTCCAGGTATAGGATGCAAACTGCCAGTGGATCTACCATTCTGTGGTCTGGAGGATGGTAGGCCCCTTCTCACAGCTCCACTAGGCAGTGCCCCACTGGGGACTCTGGGGGGCTCCAACCCCACATTTCCCCTTGGCCCCACCCTAATAGAGATCCTCAATGAGGGCTCCACCCCTGCAGCAGGCTTCTGCCTAGACACCCAGGCTTTCTCATACATCCTCTGAAATCTAGGCAGAGGCTCCCAAGCCTCAGTTCTTGCACTCTGGGCACCTGCAGGCTTAATAATACATGTAAGCCATCAAGTCTTATGGCTTGCACCCTTTGAAGCAGCAGCCCGAACTGTACCTGGGCCCCTTTGAACAAGGCTGGAAGCCTGAGTGGCTGGGATGCAGGGAGCAGTGTCTTGAGGCTGTGCAAGGCAGCAAGGCCCGGCTAGCCCAGGCCCACAAAACCATTCTTTCTTCCTAGGCCTCTGGGCCTATGATGAGAGGGGCTGCTGTGAAGGTTTCTAAAATGCCTTGAAGGCCTTTTCTCCAACTTCACGGATATCAGCACTTTGGCATGTGTTTAATTATGCAAATATCTCTAGCACGTGGTTGCTCTATAGCCTGCTTGAATTCCTCCCCTGAAAAAGCTTTTTCTTTCTTTGCCACATGGCTAGGCTGCAAATTTCCCAAACCTTTATGCAGTGCTTCCTGTTTAAAAACAAATTCCAACTTTAAGTCATTTCTTTGCTCCTACATCTTAGCATGGGCTGTTAGCAGCATCCAGGACACATCTTGAACACTTTGCTGCTTAGACATTTCTTCCGCCAGATACCAGAGGTCATCACTCTCAAGTTCAAACTTCCACAGGTCCCTACAGAATGAACAGAATGCAACCAAGTGCTTTGCTAAAGCATAATGAGGGTGACCTTTGCTCCAGTTCCTACTAAGTTCTTCATTTCCACCTGAGACCTCATCATCATGGACTTCATTGTCCGTATCACTACCAGCATTTTGGTCACAACCATTCAACCAGTCTCTAAGAAGTTCCAAACTTTCCCTCATTTTCCTGTCTTCTGAGTCCTCCAAACTCTTCCAACCTCTGCCTGTTACCCAGTTTCAAAGCTGCTTCCATATTTTCAGGTATCTTTAGAGCAATGCTCCACGCCCACTTACCAATTTTCTGTAATAGGCTGTTCTTGCACTGCTATAAAGAAGCATCTGAGCCTGGGTAATTTAAAAGAGGTTTAATTGGCTATTGGTTCTGTAGGCTGTACAGGAAGCATGGTGCCAGCATCTGCTTCTCGGGAGGCCTCAGGGTGTTTCTGCTCAAGATGGAAGGTGAAGCAGGAGTAGGCATCTCACATGGCAAAGTAGGAGTGAGAAAGAGTAAGAGGGTAGGTGCACACTTTTAAACAACCAGATCTTGCCAGAACTCACTATTGCAAAAACAACACCAAGCCATCAGGGATCCATTCCCATGGCCCAAACACCTCCCACCAAGCCCCACCTCCAGCATTGGGGATTACAATTCAACATGAGATTTGGGTGGGGACAAATATCCAAACTGTTTTAGCTTAAGAGATCACAATTTTCTCTCTTCTCTTCTATTGACTCCTTTCTTCTTATTGATTCCTACCCTATGATATACACCCTCATCATCTTATCTATTTTCATACATTCAAATCTTCAGCTCTTTTTCCATTTATATCCCTTTTCTCAACATCTTACACACAGAACAATCAGACTAGAAATTCAGGGCAACTAAAACCTCCATTCCAGTATTTGCTGCCACCTTTTACACATTTATATAATCACGTGAAATTCAAGGTGCAAAGCTGAACTCATTATCATCCTTCCCAAAATGACTTCTCCATTTTATGGCACCATCAATTTCATTGTCCCTTAGGACAGTAATCTTAAAGTACTCTTTTCCTTCTAATCTCCTTAATACTGTACTATTCTTTTTCCCATGTCTCTCACTCCCTTCTTCCAGTCAATTAATGCCTCAGTGATTATCTGATGGATGCTGGGGGAAGCGGATGTTAAAAATGGGTAAAACAGGCCTCCTGCCCTCAAGAAGCTAAAGATCTAGTGAAGGGGGAAGAAACTGGACAAAGAACTAAAGTAAGACAATGGTAACTGCAATTTAGAAAATAATAAATAAAGACGTAAAAAAGCAGAGAAGGAAGCAATAAATTCCCACTGGGATAAGGAAAGATCTCCAGAAATGGCATGTGACCTCAACCTTAAAGAATTAGGACTTCTATAGATAAACTGTGCTGGAAATGCAATTCAAGGCAAAGGAAATACCTACGCAAGGTCAAGCGAATATTAAACTACATGCCATGTTCAAGGAATAGCAAACATTCTTCTTTGACTGAAAGATTCTCAAGTAGGGGCATACAGTCTCCACGGAGAAAGAGGTGGAATGGGGGTTGGTGCTTTAGACTGGCAAACTCTCCCCAATCCTCTCTGAGAAGGACTGTATGTAATGAAGTGAACTATGCAGAGAGGCAGATATATTGAGATGTGTATGGTTAAAATAGTACAGAAGAAAACCATATGGGAGTAAATCAAAAAAGGCCTTGAATGCCAAACTAAAGAAATGTGGACTGTATTCTGTGAGCAAAAATTAGCCTAGAAAATGTGTGTATGTGTTTTGTTTTGTTTTTTTATTTAAGAGAACAACAAGATCAGATCTAGATTTCTGGGAAATAATCCTGGCAGGCATACAGTAGACCGAGTGAAAAAAGGTGAGAAGATATTACTGCCACACGATGACATAATGAGGATATGAACTGACAATGGGAACAGAAGGAGAGACTGAATTCAACAGCTATTTCAGAAGCTAATCAGAGGAGTTTAGCAATACAACAAAGAGGATAAGCAGCAGATCTCTAGCTTGAATAACAGAGGATGGCGGAAATACCTAGAATGTGAAAAGTGGGTACACTTTGGGGTGCAAAGTTTTACACATCACAACTCTGAGATGATTATCAGACACATACCAGTCACTCACTAAGCCCTGTGACACTGGTTAAGTTACCTGTTTGAGTTTTAGCCCTTTAAAATTTCAAAGCCTATATTCTCAACTGTAAAACAGAGACAATAAGTGTAGCTAAAACAGCTGAATATTAAGTAAAATAATGAAATCAGTGCCTGGCACAAAACTAGTATTATAGTAATAGTATGTATAATAGTAGAATGTGGAACTTAAAAATGCCCATAAATTTTGCAAGAGGTTACTAGCATCTTTTAAGAAATTATTTTCAGTACAGAGGGAGAGTTTTGCTTACAAGACTTTGTTAAGCAATAAAGTTGTGGAGTGAAGACAAACTATTCTGTCTGTAGAGCCTTCAAAAAAAAGTTTTTGTAATATTGTCGTTATCATTCCATATCTCCCACTTTCAGCCCATGCCTAACATAGTACCTGGTCCATGTGAAGAACATAAAAATTGCTTGCTGAACATGAGAAAACTGAGCCAACTGTAAGGGAGAAATGAAGAGAAGATCTTAGTTCTACAAAGAATCTTGAGGAAACAGTATTAGAAGCATAAACGTTTTTCCAAGTTACCCTTGGAAAAGAATAGCAACGCTTTATTCTTTGAATCAGGGTAAAGACAGTAAGTCTGGGCAGACAATTGAGGAATTCACACTGGATGGGCAGCCTCTACATTTTAATAAAGAAATAAAATTCACTGCATAGAGTGGGGGGACTACAAAATCAGTCTGAAATCTGAAGAAAGCAAATTAGATAATTCTTCCATTTTAATATGTATTTGACTTCATTTCTGTAGCCAACGCCATGGTCCAGTCTTCTATCATCCGTCAGATTATATCAGCAGCACCCTAGGCAGCTCCTCTGCTTCCTAACTTTCCCCTTCCCAGGGTATGGTATATTCCCAAGAGAGCACATATTTCCTTCCACTATGTCCACCATTATTCTTTTAAGAAGTCAACCCCTCTATGAGACTTCTCTGATCCTTTTACCCACCAGACAGTTAATCATTCTCTCCTCTGGCTACTATTGGGTTACCTCTGTTTCCTATATAGTTTGATTACTTAATTTATTTTTCCACCTGCAATCATTTCCTTATGTCTATTCCAATGAAACCCTTAAAAGGGGGAAAGAGTTTCCTCATTTTTATTCTTCCAGCAGTTAATTCAGCATCTGGTATATAAATGTTCAGTCAATGTCCATTTTGTCTAACTGAATGATTAAACAAATGAGAAAACTCCTAACCAGAAGAAACTGGAAAATAAAAAGTTAGAGTTCAGGGCCGGGTGCGGTGGCTCACGCCTGTAATCCCAGCACTTTGGGAGGCCGAGGCGGGTGGATCATGAGGTCAGGAGATCGAGACCATCCTGGCTAACAAGGTGAAACCCCGTCTCTACTAAAAAAAAATACAAAAAATTAGCCGGGCGCGGTGGCGGGCGCCTGTAGTCCCAGCTACTCGGGAGGCTGAGGCAGGAGAATGGCGTGAACCCGGGAAGCGGAGCTTGCAGTGAGCCGAGATTGCGCCACTGCAGTCCGCAGTCCGGCCTGGGCGACAGAGCGAGACTCCGTCTCAAATAAAAAAAAAAAAAGTTAGAGTTCAAATCTACATCATTTTGGAACCTTTCTGCTTTTCTAGGTATTAGACAGCAACCAAGAGAGTCAGTTTTTTAGTTCTTAGTGGAAACGTAAAGGAGTTAATCAAAAATTATAAAATTCAACTATACTTTTAAATAAATTATATTCTAATAATTATATTTGAACTAGTGTGTCCATATTCTGGGAATTCACTTTGAACACAATAATTAAAGTATACCAGGAGGGGTTTACCCAGGAAGAACACTGTATCTTTTCAAGTGATTCAGTACCAGTAAAGAGATGCACTACTGGACTGATAAGACAGTCTATCCTTGCAGTACAAATGGCGAGAGGAAGCATTTGGGCTTCAAAATACATTTTGGCATGCATTACAGACAGTATTTAATAATATCATTAGCAAATATTGGGGACTTTCACAAATTAAGTAGTTGTCTGAACAAAACTCAGAGCAACCATTACCAATACGCTGACTGTAAAGTCTACTATAATGAAGTTCCTAAACTAGATAAAAATTAATCCATCAACAATTTTTAACTGAGGCACTCTATGTATGAACCACAGCACTAACACAAGTACCAAAACCAACGAAACTTAGAATTCTTCTGAGCCTCAAGAAGCTTGCAAGGCTAGCCAAGTCATTATTAAATAGTATGAAATGTCCTGGTGTCAGAGACAAAAATTCTAAGGTTCTATGAAATACAGTATCACATTTTATCCTAAGTGAATATAACATACTGCACTTCGCTTAGACTTAATTTATTGGTAATGTCACAGATTGCTTTACAATTGTTATATTCAAGAACTCTAACTCAGATAGACTATACCCAATTAGTATAACAGTATGTTTCAAAAAAAAAAGAAGCTCGAATACCATAATTCCTTATTAACAAGTTTATAATATTCAAAACAACCGTTTAAAGTATTTTTAATGTGAGTTTTAAAACTGTGATTTCACAATGTAGGAAGGCAACTAATGTTAAATATCACTTACAAAGTATCCGGTCTTATGCCAAGTACTTTAATTAAGAACTAGCTCATTTACTTTTCACATTCTTAACCCTTTGAAGTTATCTCTTATTTTAGAAATGAAGAAATCAGGGGTAAAGCAAGGTCAAATAACTTGCCCCAAATCACCCAACTATTAAATCTCACAGCTGAGGTTACAATCCAGAATGATTTGACTTTATAGTCAACTCTCTTTTCACTACACATTGATGGATCCTTTAGGGATTACAATGACCATGTCCTCTATTTTATAATGAGCTTTATTAGGTAACTACACAATGAATCTCTCAAAGATTAAATTTAAAAAATAAGAATAAAAGCAAACACTGCCTTGGCATTAAACAAAAAAATTTTTGGTTGCCCAAACTTTATCTTTTTACATACTGTAATCTAATCCACAAACAGCTGCCCTTCAGCTGCAACCCAAACTGCCTCACAGTTCTCAAATTATTACTAAACTTTAATTCCTCATGAATTTTCTTCAAGCCTTCTTTGAACAATGAAATGTCTGTCACAACAGCAACTTTTTAAAACAATAGTATCACTATAAAATGACTGATTCAGATTAATTCCAAACTTCCTTATGATTTAGAAATACAGATCTCAAACAATCCCTCACTCTTTATTTTTGCAATCAGTTTTAAATGGCTGTGTATACTTTATTCCAAACTGAAGTACATTTTGTCAGGGCAAGCCGAAAACAGCATTTTCTGCACTATCTATATTAACCTGGAAATACCTATGGACATAGGTGCTTACTAAATTCTCAGTTAATATGGCATTTTAAATAGTAAACAGTTACCTGTGTGCCTCAGTAAAACTGGAGTAAGCCAAAATTATCAAATCAGATGTGTACCTAAGCTCTTCCACAACTCAACATTTTTGACACCAAGCAGAGAAACCACTATATATAGGAGCTCGACGAACTCAATTTAAAATACAACTATATATTTCCAGCACCACATCTGAGCAGGTTTTTAATGCACAAGTTAAACTCAAGTTTATTAAGGGCTCCCTTCACCTTCATCTAAAACACATATGCCTGTATATAAATTAAATCACTCACTAATTACATCTTTTACAGACCTGAAATTGTAGAAGTTATCCTTGTTAGGAAGTTTTCTAGTGAATCTATTTTATATAGATTTTTCACATGTGTGTTATAGTCAAGTTTCCAAACAGTTGCACAGAAGTCAAAAGCTTTACATCTTTCTATACTAATTCTCAAAACCGATCTGCTGAAAAAAATGGTGGAAATTAGTGCATTGATAATCTAATTAGTAGCCATTTTCAGGATTTAAGCTCTACTATATTGTATTATATTTTAGAAACTGTCTTGTAAAAGGACCTAGTTCACCCAAAACTAAGTCCCTGAACTTTCAGAATAAAATATTAAGTTATAAAAATGTACTCTTGTAGCTAAGTGAAAGCTGACCATTCAGTTTATAAAACAGTAATCTTACATCGTGATAAGCAAAATAAAACAAATTAGAAAATGCACTATGCTTTCACTCTAGCCGTTGTCAACAAGGAGCCCAGCTTTAACAAATTACTGTAGATAACAGTCATTACGTCAGGTACGACATAGGGTAAAAAACTGATCTCATACAGAATGTCTACAACAAGTTTTTTTGTTTACTTCCTAAGGTGTTTTATAGACCTCAGAAACTGATTCTGTACAGCTGAACCGGGTTACACTCCAAGCTACAGCCCGTGTGAAATATGACTTCGTCGGAATCAGTAGGCTCAATCCTGTTTACCGTGGAAGAGAAAAGAATCTTGTACGTAACTACTAAATCTTCAACGAGATAATGTCGAATAAACTCTAGTACTGTAAGTGATAGAGGAAACACTGGCTAGTAACGGGATTAGGTCATTAAAAATATCACCCGAGTTTCCCCAGTTCGGAAGGTGTAAACAAACCCATCTCCACTGCAGAAGGTAAACAATGAACCTGCAGCAGGGTGAGGGGGCGGTCTTTAGCCAACTACAGTCCCAGCGGCCCGGGAAAGGGAAGCAGAAGGGAAACAGCATAAACCAGACATTTAGCAGTAATGACCAGTTCTAGGTTTCACTACCAAGTTATCAATGCTGCGGGTCCCCACAGGACGGTGGGCAAAGGGGAAAGCAGTCACGCAGTCGGCAAGCACCGAGCAGGTCCGGCTTCTGCTCCGGGGACGGGGAGGGCAGGATGTGGTCGCTCTTCCCTCAAACATCCTCCTGCAACCTAAATAACAGCCTCTACCTCCCTCCAGCTGCCCCTAGCTTGGGCTGCCGGACTCCGGGATAGGTGCAAACCACTCTGCCGGAGCTCGAGCCCAGAGGGTCGCCGGGTCTGCCGAGTTCCACTCGGGGCTCCCCCGCACCCGCAGCAGCCCGAGGCCCGGAGAAGGGCTCGGGCGAGGGAAGCGGGCGCTGGGTAGGGGGATGGGTCCGGCGAGGCGGCCCCGGGCTCGGTTCCCGCGGGCCGGCAGGCGGGGCTCCGGCTCTGGCCCCCGCACCCCGCCGGTCCCGTGCGGGGCCCGCCCCTGCCTCTGGCCCCCAGCCCCGGACCCGGCTCCTCCCCAGCAGCGCGCCCTCGCGGCGCCCGCGGCGCCCCGCGTTACCTCGGGTCAGATCCAGCGGGACGTTCTCCTCGCCGCTGTCATTCCGCCCTGCGCGAAACAGACACACAGCCCCAATTAGGATTGGCTCGCAGGCCAGCTGCGGCTGCCCTGGCTCCGGCCAGCGCCCCGGCTCGCTCCCCAACCCAGGGCCAGGGGAAGGCAAGTGCCAGGGGTGGCGGGCGCCGGGCGGTGGGGAGTGAGGGTTGCAGCGGGCTTACCTCGTACTCGGAGGTTCTTCAGAGAGCGGCCGCGGCCGATCGCCGCCATATTGACGGGTTTCAGTCACAACACCGGAAACCTCGCCCAATCGCGCGAGAACCCCTTCCCCTCCCCGCGCGCCGCGCCCGCCCCCCGCGGCACCTCCCCCGCCCCCTCGGCGGCGACGGCGGCGGGTGGTGCAGGCTCGGCCCCAGCGCTGAGGGAGCACTGAGCCGACCCAAGGTCTGCAAGGAGTTCGCGGCACCCGCCCGCCCACGCCGGACCCGGAGGGCACGTCCGCCGGGAGGGGCAGTTCCCACGAGGAAAGTCCCATTGATGCGAGTTGGCAGTGTAGAGGATGCTCCCCTCCGGCCGCCGCGGAAGCCGTCGTCCAAATGCAGGCGAGCGGGGAGGAGGAGGCCGGGATGCGGCCGGCGGGCCACCTGCTCTCGCCGGCCTGCCAGTCTCCTGCTTGCTCTGAAGCCCTGCCATAGACGGCCCCGCTCCCCCGTGTATCCACTGAAACATTTTTTTATAAAAACGCTGCGCACAGTTTTAGACTCCTTTCCTGGAATCGCTTTGCTCCAACTAAGTTAACACGTAACAAAGTTTGTTTTCCAGCCTCGCCCTTGATCTTCAGAATGCCCCTCTCGGCTAGGAGGGCTTCTCCAAGTGGAAGTGGTTAGGCAGTTTTGTTTTTGGCCGCCAGGCGTAGGACGCGAGAAGGGGGTGCAGCGGCCGGGGACCAGGGCGGCGGTCCCCGCGGTGGGATCGCGCCAGCGCCGGGAGGCCGGGGAGAGGGTGTTCTCTGCCGGGAGCCGAGGCGAGGCTGCTGGGTACTGTGTCCGGCTTTTATGGCTCTGCAGCTCCTAGGATCGTGGCTCATGCAGGTGTTGTGGATTAATCTATTTTATGCATAAGCCTATTAACATTAGGGATTTTAATTCTAGAAACTGCTTAGTTAATACGTATGTGTACACACACACACACACACACACACACACACACACACACACACACACACACACACACACACACACACACCTGGCCACTGACCCAGCAGCTTTCTCTTGAACTACATTTACTTTAAAGAGAGGAGCGATTTGTCCTCTCCAGTTCCTCAGCTCATCTTTCTATTCCATGAGACTGAAAGTTAATTAAAAGTGGAGATCTAGCCTTAACCAGTTCTGTTTTCCCAGCTCCCAGTTAATGCAATATCTGGCACAAATAAGTATTCAATAAATATCTGTTGGATGAGTAAGTGCCCTGGATTTCTAATTTATTCCAATTCTCTGCTTACTTTAAAAAAGAAAAAAAAAGCAATATTGGGGATATTTGTTGAAGTTGTTAATAAGAGTGAACATTTGGAAACACTTAAATGACCAAAGGTAGGGATTATGTAAATTATGTCAACGATTAAAAGTGAAGAGGTAGACTTAGTAATAGGAAATAATGTTCATGATATTAAATCAAGCAAAATATTACAAATTTCCTGTTTTATAATAAAAGTTTAAATATGTACGAAATTAAAAATATACATTATAAAATATTTTATATGTACATGTATGTTGAAAAAAGTCTGAAAATATACATGAAAATGTTAGCTGATTTTCTCCCCTCATTTGTGGAATTACACGTGCACTTTTTTGTTCTTGTTTGCTTGTCTCTACTTTTTAAATATCCTATAGTTAATATATGTCATTTGTAAAATAAGTGGTAAGAAGAAAAATAAAAGGAACATAAAGTAGCATCATCTGGAAAATAAAATAGGAACACTGCTTCCTTAGAATATTGCCAATTATCTATATATTCCAGTTCTTTTTTTTTTTTTAAACCAAGTCTACAATCAGATATCTGCGGCTGATACTGCACTTAGATTTAAGGATGTAACACAATTACAGTACTTTAAAGAAATGTCTTCTGGCATTACCAGTAGTAGTTTTAATGTCAACAAGCGTGCTCCCTCCGTTATAGCTTTAAAAATCTTGGTGCAATTTATTTATTCTAGTTACTGCCTAAAACAAAAATCACAAAACTTGAGGTCTGGCAGAGGGTTGGATTTCAACCCTCCATGTATCACCACATTTCACCCTTAAAGAAAAGTAGAGATCTATCAGTAGAAATTATACCAGATTCTTACAGTTGTTCTGATTTTCAACAAATCTTTTATCATATTATAAAATCCCTCTATATTCTACATTAACTCCTTCCTAATACAATTTAACTTCATTTTCTCTCGGTGTTTTATGAAAGTTGAGTACAACTAATCTACTTTTAAGTTACTTGAGGTACATAAGTGCCTAAATCCAGTAGTATTTTAATCATTATAACTGTATGCTATTAAAGACAATTATTCAATTACTCTATTTCTTGCAGGAGAAAAAATTACATTCAATCTTTCATCGAAACTAGTTTTTTCTCTGTTACTATTTCAGTCGTTTGAGTGGTTAGGTTCTCCATATTTGCTCTTAGAGTGAATGGCAGGTCTGGTGAAAAGGAACAAGTTATTAGTGTTTGCAAGTGACACTCAACTAGGAAGCAGAAGTTTAGATAAATTTTAGTAAGGAATACATTTTATAATGTGTTTGCTTTTTAAACAGTAGCACTACTTTATTGTTTATAGTCAGATTGATACTTGTTAAAACCCCTAAATTTTCTTCTTTGATACTTGCCAATTGCTAGCTATTCCTCCTTTTGAAACTTCTTTTTCTTCCTTGCATCTTTTAGCCGACCCATATGACTTACTCATTTTGTTTACTTCTTACTACTTCTCCAATTTTTATTTTGATTCTAATCTGGTCATTGAGAATGTGACTTCCTCTTCTTAGTTTTCGTTTCCCAGCTAGGTTTCATTTGCTGTGTCAGTGACTGTTTTTTTTTTTCTGGTAGTATTAGTCATTGATAAAAAATGTTCTATAAGAAGATCGAGTCCAGGACCATACCTTTGGAAGATAACTGCTTAATTCTGAGGATACAATTACTCCATTCATAGTCACTCCCTTGGTTCTATTCTCTACCCTCCTGCATGCAGTTAATAATTCTAGTATATAACTAGAATTCTAGTAATAATTCTAGTATGTAAACCATATTTTATCGGTTTGGGATACAGTTGTAATACTGAACAGAAACAAAAGCCTTATCAAAATCTTAGTTCCCTTTAATCTCTCTGCCTTGGTACATAGGCCATTTGAAGATAAAGCAAGTAAAAAGCCACAAAATTTGGTCAGACTATTTCTTGGTAACTTCATAGTTAAACCGCACATTTGAGACATCTAAAGGCCATTTACACGACAAGCAATGAATTAAATTTAACAAATGTTACAATCCCATCCAGTGTTAATTATGTCTTGGTCACAGCAGAACAGAGCCCCTGAGTATTGTGTCTTTAAATTTTAATCTCTGTCCCAAAATCTCATATAAATTTCCTTTTAAATAATTCTTTAAAGAGACTCTCTATGACTAACAGTTTTAAATGAAGAATAAACCTATGTTTATGGAAGATGAAGATATGTTAAAAAATGAAATCTAGAAGGGTATGCAGTAAAATTTCAACAGTTATTATCTACAGATGGTAGAATTTGGAGTGATTTTTCTCTCCCGTTTTCTCATTTTACTTGTTCCCAAACAAATTTTTACTCATGAATTTTTTTAGGAAAACTATTTTAGAAAAATTTTGTTGGCTATTCTAAACCAAAATTATAAACAGTTGATTATAATAATGACTTACTTAACAGGTCATTATAAACAATCAAAATTATTTGTGCATCTGTTCATTAAAAAAAGAACTTTTGCACATACACTGCAATACATATATATTCACTTTTTAAATTAAATTAGAACTTAAAACATAAACACAAAATAAAAATGGTTAAAAGTAATTTTTAATGTTATTTTACTAATGACACGAATACAAAGCAATGGGGCTGAATATACTTCATTATTCTCGACATTTCTTGTTATATACTTTGTGATACTGAAATTTAAAAGTCTAGTTCTAAGAAGAGTTTATGTGGGTATAGGGTTTTAATAGCTGAGACCTCACAAAATGCAAAGTTAAAAATGGAAGAACTACTGTATTGGCCGCATTTCTAAACCATAAAACTCATTTTCCCATTTCGTCCACCCAGTGATACAAAAGCTTTTTGAAATGTAATTTGGCTAACAAATATCCATCTTCCCTAATGTCAATCAGTTTTCCTATCAAACTAGTAATTTGGCTAACAAATATTCATCTTGCCTAATGTCAATCAGTTTTCCTATCAAACTAGAAGACATAACATTTAGAAATTTTCAGCAAAATGGTTGCAAAACCATTTATCTGAAAGATTTTGAAGCAGATTGGGAAACTCTGTTCCCATGATTTTCAAGTGTGCAGATATGAAAATTTATATATGTGACACATTTATATTTTAAGTTTTTTCAGAAAAAAATCACAAAACTGAAACACTTTCAAATATCTGTTTTCTAAATGCTCTCATCCTAGCACAGGTTTTTTGGAAGTATTAAATTTCTTAGTTATTGTTATCACATCTACCTTGAAGGGAAATTTTTTTTTAATTTTTTTTAAAAAATCTGATAGGTAACATGCTACTCGAAGCCACCAGTCATCATGAAAAAAAAGCTTGCCACTAAATAAATAGTAAACACCTGTATAATACAAAAGATTTTCTTCACCTCTCATTTCAAAGTGTGTGAAAATTAAACTTTTTAAAAAGTCTTATTTATACAAAATTATCACATGTGGTACTATCTCTGTACTTCTGTATGAACTCCTTTTTAAATTGATGGGAACTGCTTCATCGATTTTCATAAAACATTGTTCTTATTAAGGAAGTTGTTTACTGATAAGGACACCTGGTATTTGGTACTTTTACTTTGATGGCACAGAAAAAAGCTTAACAGAATTAAGCCAACACCGTAAGCTAAGACATAGTTAGAAATATTTATTCTTTCATTCAACTGCACACACAGCAAAGCTTGTTCATAATGCTTATTTGTTCAAATGCCTTTTTCTTCAAATCTTCAGCCTTCCCCTGCCCCACCCCTTTTTCTGCTTTGGTTGACCAATAGGTTTGCGTTTTAGTTTTGTCAACAAATATTTTTCTCTGTTTTTTTTTTTTTATTCCCAGCCATTTTTTTAACCACAGTAGGAAATAGCACTATATTCCCAACTGATATGTTCCTTTTTGTCTGTTGCTAATAAGAAATCTTTCTCTTTTCACAGGACAGGGTGGCTCATGCTTGTAATCCCAGCAGTACGGGAGGCTGGGGCAGGAGGATCCTTTGAGCCCAAGAATTCCAGACTAGCCTAGGCAACGTAGCAAATCTCGTCTCTACTAAAATAGTAATAATAATAATAATAATAAGTTATCTAGCATGACGTCATGCTCTTGTAATCTCAGCTATTTGGGAGGCTGAGGTGGGAGGCTCACTTGAGCTCAGATTTTTCAAGGCTGCATTGAGCTATGATCACACCACTGCACTTCAGCCTGGGTAGTAAAGCAAGACCCTACCTTGAGAAAAAAGAAAAAAATCTGTCTTTTTGCAAAGTAATGGATTCAATATTGCATGACTTCTAACATCACAGAAAAAATACAGAAAATTATCTTTATTTTCTGTTTATGTTAAAAATATTTTGCTAATCTGGTAGCTTTATAATAGCTGACATCTCAAGGAGCAATATATAATTAGACTCAGATAATAGTGAAGGATAATGCATATAAATTCATATTTCACATAATTCTAATATTTTTAATTTTAAAAAATGTTGGCTGACATTGTGACATCTGATTGCATTATCATTGCTTTTTCCTTGTAATGAAGCTGATAAAGTGCTAAAATCAGAAGTATCAAGTCTGCCATATTTTAAAACCTGTACTGTGCTTTTATTATTTGTGTTACATACAATTTCTTTGCAAGATTCTTCTTAAGCCGTGTGTACATTTTGTGAGGAATAGTTTATAATATCCTCCTTAAATCCACTTACCTAGATAAAGTATATGGCCATATGCCAAAGTGGAGAGAATTCCTGAGTCTGTTGTGAATTCTTCTGAGTTGTAGAACTCCCAATCTTCCCTCAGAATACTTATATGACTCATGTCAATTTAACCTTCTGACAAGATGACAGCTCCATTGTTAATATGTATAATAAATATTAATAGTTTACCTTTTTCTTTCATTTCATTTCTTTTCTTTTTTCTGTTCTCTCTCTTTCTTTCTTTTTTTTTTTTTTGAAGGGGGCACGTAGGGGTAGGGGACTAAAAAAATTCCTCCAAATTCCTCCACAAAAAAAAAAAAATAACAAAATAGGACACTGAAGTCAGAGTGAGGAGCAGTGAGCAACTAGAAAACTGGAAAAAAGGTCCTCTCTAGCTATCTAGATCTGAAGACTAAGCCACTGCAAGGTAGGAAAGCAGAACATCAGGCTCTTGCGTTAAGTCCAGGATCCTAGAAGTGGACCAAAGTGGACCCAGGTTGGTAGTGCCCCCTGGCTTTCAGCAGTAGCAATTACAAATCCTTTTTGGGGAAAGTCCATTACTTCATCAGTTCCTAGGATCGTCACATATCAAGATCAAACAAATAAAAGCTCACATTCAAAGATCATTAAACTCATAGAAAAAACTGACTATGAGTAAGAATCCGTATAAATCAAAATAAACAGAATTCTATGCCAAGGACTTCAGATATTGATGATATGAAACAAAATACAAAGTAGCTATTCCATATTAAATAATTTTTTTCAAATGAATTTATTATTCTATCCATGATAGAATAATGATTGTTGGATGTACCTTCCTACAATAAACAATTGTTAATTTAGACAAATATATGAAACAGCAGTGTTTAGGCACTGGACAATAGTGTGGCACTATGACCTTGACATAAAAGGAGCAAAAAAGGTGAGTTTCACCTTCCCTCCAGCTTTGAAAATGCAACACAAAATTTGTGGAACCTAAACAGAGCAGCAGTCTCACGGAATGGAGGAAAGAAAAACTGAAGTCGAGATGAGGGGCATAATACCAGAGATGAGAGAGCTGTGCAAAGTAGGAGCTCCAGAAATCTGCACTGGGATCCCTTTGCTTATTTAGCTGAATTTTAAGCTGAACAATCATAGGGTAAGACTCAGTGAAACATGGCAAAGAACAGCCCCTGGGGGCTCTGAACTAAATGGAGATTCCAGAGGTTGCAGATTGCTGAAAGACATCCAACCGGCAAGTAAAGAGACTTTGGTGAACACTTTGAGTATGCAAGTAAGACACCCAAAAGGCTATACGTTAGGAAATGGGTTGCACTGAGATCCCACAAAGGCCATAACTTATCGAAAAGGATACATCAGTCCTAGAATAAGGCTGCTATAGATATACCTAAACAGAGTTCAAAGTCAAGCCCCAATAGGATCAAGCTGATCTCCCAATAAATTAACTAAAGAACAGGGTTTAAAACTAAACTCAAAAATACAACAACAATATTCCAACTCTCCGACAAATCACATTGGTAACGTTCAGCATACAGCAAAAATTTTATGAGATTTGAAAAATGAGGAAAATGTGACTCATCCTCATGAGAAAAAAATCAATTAAAAACAAGACCAGAGGCCGGGTACAGTGGCTCACGCCTGTAATCTCAGCACTTTGGGAGGCCGAGGCGGGCAGATCATGAGGTCAGGAGTTCGAGACCAGCCTGACCAACATGGTGAAACCCCGTCTTTACTAAAAATACAAAAATTAGCTATGCGTGGTGATGCATGCCTGTAATCCCAGCTACTCAGAAGACTGAGGCAGGAGAATCGCTTGAACCTGGGAGGCGGAGCTTGCGGTGAGCCGAGATCATGCCACTGCACTCCAGCCTAGGCAACTGAGTGAGACTTCATCTCAAAAAGAAACAAAACAAAACCAAAACCAAAAACCAAAAAACAAAAAACAAAAACCAAGACTAGAGAAAGCATGGACATTGGAATTAATAGAGTTTCATAAATATGATCAAAGATTTAAAAGAAATGTTGGACACAGTAAGTAAACAGATGGATACTCTCTAGAGAGAAATGTATTCTGTAAAAAATAACCAAGTGTGCATTTTAGAAATGAAAAACACTGTGCCAGAAATGATGATATATTAGTCAGAAATTCACTAAATGATGACAGATTGTACCCTAAAAAAGAAAAGGGTTGTGAATTTGAAGACAAACCAACAAAATGCATAGAGAAGAAAAAGACTGGGGAAATAAGGAAGAAGAAAAAGCCTTAGTAACCCATATAAAAAAAATCAGGCAGTCTGAAATATGTGTAACTGAAATCCCAGAAGCAGAGGAGAGAGAGATTGGGGCAGAGAAAATGAAGTAATAATGGATAAACCTCTAGCTAAATTGACCAAGAAAAAAGAGACAAGCAAGAAATAACAAATATCCAAAATGAAGGATGGGCCATTAGCATAGAACCTATAGATGTTAAAAGTATAGGAAGGGAATATTAACAACTTTATGCCAATAAATTTGTTAACTTAGATGAGGTGGACCAAATCCTTTAAAGACAGAAAACACCAAAGCTTACTCAAGAAGTTATTTGGTAGATATGCAAAATGATTATAAAGTTTATATAGAAAGGCAAAGGTCTAAAATTGTCAGCACAATACTAAAGAAACACTATCTGAATTCAAGACTTACTCTAATGCCAGAGTGAAGACAAGACAACTTTAGAGAAAGGATGTATATATAAACTAATAGGACAGAAATGTGTTAGTCTATTCTCACACTGCTATAAAGACATACCCAAGACTGGGTAGTTTATAGAGAAAAGAGGTTTAATTGACTCACAGTTTCTCAGGGCTGGGGAGGCCTCAGGAAACTTACAATCATGGCAGAAGGGGAAGAGGCACGTCTTAAATGGTGGCAGGCAAGACAGCAAATGAGCAAAGGGGGAAGCCCCTTATAAAACCATCATATCTTTTGAGAACTCAGTGACAATCATAAGAACTCCATGGGGGAAACTGACCCTGTGATCCAATTACTTCCCGTCAGGTCCTGCCTTCGACATGTGGGGATTATGGGAATTCCAATTCAAGATGAAATTTGGGTGGTGACACAGAGCAAAACCATATCATAAAGAGCTCACAAAGTATATATATTTAATTAATTATTGATGAAGGTACAAAGACAATTCATTGTAGAAAGAACAGTCCTTTTCAACAAATGGTGTTGGATCAATTGGCTATCCACATACATATAATGAACCTTGATCTGTATGTTACACTGTATGCAAAAATTTACTCAAAATGAATCATAAATCTAAATGTAAAATTGAAACTACACAACTTCTAGAAAAAAAATAGAAAAAATTTCTGTAGCCTTGAGTGGAAGAAAGGAGTTCTTAGATACTATACTAGAAACATGATCAATATGAGAAATAATTGATGGATTGAAGTCATCAAAAAGAAAAACTTCTGCCCCTAAAAAGACACTTTTAAGAGAATAAAAACAGAAGCCACAGACTGAGAAAATGTTTTCAAATCATGTATCTGATAAAGTAATTGTATGCAGGCTATATAAATACCTCTCAATACTCACTAATAGAAAACTAAACAATGAAAAAAATGGACAAAAACTTGAATAGACACTTCACCAAAAAAAATATACCCATGGAAAATAAGCATATAAACATTACTCAGTAAAATTAGTTATGAAGAATATGGTCATTAAAACCACAATAAGATATCACTACATACCTATTAGAAAGGCTTAAAAAGTACATAAAAGGAAAATACCAAAAATGGCAAAGATGTGGAACAAGTGCAACTCTCTCACACAAGAGAGGTGGGGACACAAAATAGCTCAGAGACTTTGGAAATCAGTCAGCCAGTTTCTTTTGAAGTTACACATGCACTTATCGTACAACTCAGCAATCCCACACCTAGGTGTTCCCCCAGTGAAATAATAACTTATGTTCACATGAAAATCTGGATGTGAGTATTTATAGGGGCTTTACTTGTTATTGCCAAAAACTAACAAACTAAAGTCAACCCAAATGTCTCTCAACTGGAGAATGGATAGACAAATTATGGAATAATTGTACATTTGAATACCACTTAGCATTAAAAAGGAACAGATTACTGAATCACAAAACAATATGCATGAATTTCTTTTTTTTTTTTTTTTTTTTTGAGATAGAGTTTCTCTCTTGTTGCCCAGGCTGGAGTGCAATGGTGTGATCTTGGCTCACCGCAAGTTCCTCCTCCCAGGTTCAAGCGATTCTCCTGCCTCAGCCTCCCAAGTAGCTGGGATTACAGGCATGTGCCACCACACCCGTCTAATTTTTTTTTTTTTTTTTTTTTGAGATGGAGTGTCACTCTGTAGTTCACTCTGGAGTGCAGTAGTGCTATCTTGGCTCACTGCAACTTTCGCTTCCCGGGTCCCAGTTCAAGCAATTCTCCTGCCTCAGCCTCCCAAGTAGCTGGGATTACAGGCACACGCCACCATGCCCAGCTAATTTTTGTATTTTTAGTAGAGACGGGGTTTCACTATGTTGGCCAGGCTGGTCTTGAAATCCTGACCTCGTGATCCAACAGCTTCGGCCTCCCAAAGTGCTGGGATTACAGGCGTGAGCCACCACGCCCGGCCTACAATATGCATGAATTTCAAATGTATTATGCTAAGTGAAAGGAGCCAGACTTAAAAGGCTCTATACTCTATAATTTTATGTATTTGACATTCTGGAAAAGGCATAACTATAGTGACAGCAAGATCAGTGGTGGCCAGGATCTTGGGTTGGGCAGTGGAGTTAACTATAACATGGCACAGTGTCATTTTTAGGAGTGATGAAATGAGTCAAATTCTTGGATACAGTGGGGGTTATGTGACTGTATGTGCTTGTTAAACTTACAGAACTGTATATTAAAAAGGGTAAATTTGCCTTATGTAATTTATACTTTAATAAAAATGGAAATAACAGAAGTCATTATTGCAAGCGGTAAAAAATTTATGGAGTACCAAATGAAAAGATCTAGCAGGATTCCAAGAAGGAAAGAATTGAGAGATCAAAGAAGATATAATATTTGAAAAGATTATGCATTTTCTGGGACTAGTGAAAGACAAAAATTAACAAATATAAGAGGGATAATATATGTAAATCAAGATAAATCAAGTGGACACTATATAGTGAAAGTACAGAACACTAAAAACACTAAAAACAAAGCAATCTTAAAAACAAGTGGAAAGGAAAGGCAAATAACTTGCAGAAATTACAATTAGAATAATTATGTAGTTTCCTCAACATAAATAATATGGAGAAAAAAGGAAAAATATCTTTAGAGTGCTGAAGAAAAATCAGTATCAACCAAAATTTCTGTATTTTTAATACCTATCTTCAATAAAAATGGAAAAATTAAGTTATTTCTATATAATCAAAACATCTGGGAATGGACTTCAAGATGGCCGACTAGAAGCATTTCATACTTGCCTCCTGCCCAAAGAAGAACCAAAATAGTGAATAATCACACTTTGAATGGATCATCCAAAGCAGAACACTGGAATTCAACAGGAAAGTGACAGAAAAACCTAAAGCAAGGAAGGAGAAAGAAGCGAGGCAGCCTTCTCAGCCAGGATTGTCTGGGAGTGGGGAATACAGGGAAAGGGTAAATGAGTGACCCCCTGCGGACTATGGTTCCACCATGACTTCTGCAATCCTAGTCACGGGAAAGAACCTAGACCCTTACAGGCCCTGAAACTAGCATGGGGAGCTACTTGGAGACGGCATAATGGCACTGCTCCAGGGAAGGAATTGTGCTGGGTCCCACATTCCCCCTGAGTCATAGACAGCTACAGTAAGGCACCATTTTGAAAGCCCAGCCCACGACAGACTAAGCACTGTCCTGGGGCCCAGTGGCACCAGAGCTGAAGTGTGAGTGAGGCTTAGGCTGTTGCCACAGAGGCTGAAACATGAGTGCGGTGCATGTTTTCCACCCACCAACTTAGGCTGCCATCATCGAAGGTGTCCCTGCCCTTCTCAGAGGCAGGGCTGCAGCACGGCCACTGCTTTGTCCAACTCCAGCATTCCGCTGGAGGCCTGGGGATTTCCCTGCTTCTGCCTAACATTGAAGGCACCTGTACACACAATTAGGGGGTCTGAGGACAAGCCTGCTTGGCCTGGCTTCAACCCCTCATGCCAGAGCATATAGTCTGGGAACCTGGGAACTGTCCAGTTCAATCCACCACTATTGGCACCTGAGCACTCTTCCCAGGGAGGCATGAGGTTGGGCCTACTCACCTGATGATACAACCACTGCTGGTACCTACCTGCATGCGCCACATTTGGGCTGGAGACTAGCCCATCCAGCCCATTGCAGCCACCACCAACACCAGCATGCACCACTTAGGACCCAGAGGGTTGTCCTGCCCCTGTGACTGACACTGCCCATCCCATGCTGGCTGCCTAGAGGCCTGAGAACCCCACTGCCTTCTTGGCCCACAACTGCCACTACTGACATCCAAGCAAGCCACTTTGAGGCGCGAGGATCAGCCAGCCTGGACCTGCTGACTCTGGTGCCAACATAAGCTGCTCAGGGGCCCAAGGACAGGCCTCAGCCCACCACTGCCACCACTGGGGCCCAAAGACTGGCCCACTTGGCATCCTAGTACTCAGCAAAACTTCACCACAGCCTCCATTAATAACCACATCCTATGTCACCAAGAAAATCAGATACCACTGACGCTATTTACAGCCAAAGAAATCATACAGAGTCTACACTCACGCATACACCCAGAATCAAAGCCAAGGTATGCCACCCAACCAACACCATAGATACATCTTCAAGAAAAAGTCCTCCCTTAAGAAAACAAATTCAAAAAATTGAAAGAAGTCTGTTATACCAGATGCACAGATATCAATGTAAATACACAGGAAACCTGAAAAAGCAAGGAAATATGATGCCTCCAATGGAACACAATAGTTCTTTAGCAAGAGACTCTAATTGATAAATTTACAAAAGCCCAGAAAAAAATGGCTGAATGGATTAAAACAAAAACAAAAAACATGACTCAACTAGATGTTGCCTACAAGAAACTCATCTCCTATATAAAGACATATATAGACTGTAAGTAAGGGGATGGAAAAAGATATTCCAAAAAAATGTGAACCAAAAGCAAGCAGGAATAACTATATATAGATTAAACAGACTTAAAGCCAAAAACAGTAAAAAGAGACAAAGAAGGTCAAATTTTTATTATAAAAACATCATTCAGCCAGCCTACATAAAAATAGTAAATAGGTCAGATGCAGTGCCTCATGCTTATAATTCCAGCACTTCGGGAGGGTCAAGGCAGGAGGATCACTTGAAGCCAGGAGTTTGAGACCAGCCTCATCAATACAGTGAGACCCAGTCTCTAAATAATTTTTTAAATAGTAAATATATATGCACTCAACACTGGAGCACCCAGATATATAAAACAAATGTTATTAAATTTAAAGGGAGATATAGACTCCAATACAATAATTGTTGGAGACTTCAACACCCCACTCTCTGCATTAGACAGATAATCTAGACAGAAAATTAACGCATTAGACCAAATGCCCTAACAGGCATTTACAGAACATTTTGCTCAGCAGCTACAGAATACACATATTTTTATCAGCACATGGAACATTCTTCAGGATAGACCATATGTGAAGACACAAAACAAGTCTCAACAAATTTTTAAAAATTGAAATAATATCAAGTATCTTCTCAGACCACAATGGAATAAAACTAGTCGTCTATAACAAGGGGAACTTTTGAAACTGTACAAATAGATGGATGCTCCTGCATGACATTATGACATTGGGTCAATGAAGAAATTAGCAAGAACATTTTTTTAAAAATTATTGAAACAAATGAAAATGTAAACACAACATATCAAACCTGTGAGAAACAGCAAAAGCAGTGCTATAAGGGAAGTTTATAGCAGTAAATGCCTACATCAAAAAAGTAGGAATATACTTTTACTAAGACCCAAATTAACAACCTAATGATGTACCTCAACTAACTAAAAAAGCAAGAATAAACCAGGCACAAAATTAGTAGATGGCAATAAATAATAAAAATCAGAGCAGAACTAAATGAAATAAAGACTAAAAAAGTAATATAAAAATTTATAAAATAAAAAATTGTTTTTTTGAAAAGAGTAAATAAAATCAATGAATCACTGCCTGGAGTAACCAATAAAAGAGAGAGAAGACCCATATAAACACAATCGGAAATGAAAAAGAAGGCGTTACAACTGATCCCACAGCAATACAAAAGATCATGAGACTATTATGAGCAACTATACATCAACAAACTAGAAAACCCAGACAAAATGGATAAATTCCTAGACACACACGACCTTCCAAGATTGAATCAGGAAGACATAGAAAACCTGAAGAGACCAATAACAAATAAAAAAGTTGAAGCAGTAATACAATGTCTCCCAACAAAGAGAAGTTCAGAACCAGACGGCTTCACTGTCAAATTCTATTAAACTTTAAAGAAGGACTAACATCCAGTATCCTCAAACTATTCCAAAAAATCCAACAGAAGGGTCTTTTCCCTAACTCATTCTATAGGGCAAGAATTAACCTGATGGCAAAACCAGACTCAACAAAAAAGAAAACTACACACCAAACTCTCTTTATGCACATAGATGCAAAAATTCTCCCCAAAATACTAGCAAACTGATTCCAACAGCACATAAAAAAATAATATACCATGATCAAGAGGGATGTGTCTCGAGGATGGTTCAACATATAAAAATCAATAAACATGATACATCACATTAACAAAATGAAGCAGAAAATTAATACGGTTGATTACATACAATCTCAATTGGTGCAGAAAAAGCATTTGATAGAATTTAACATCCCTTCATGATAAAAACTTGCAACAAACTAGGCATAGAAGGAACATACCTCAACATAAAAAAGGCCATATGTGACAAATCTACAACTAACATTGTATAGGATGGGGAAAAGCTGAAAGCCATTTCTCTGAGAACTGGAATAAGATGAGGATGCTAACTTTCACCACTCCTATTCAACATAGTAATGAAAATCCTAGCCAGCATAATCAGGCAAGAAGAAGAAGTAAAATACATCCAAATTTGAAAAAGGAAGCGAAATTTACTTTTTGCTGATGATATGATCATACATCTAGTAAAACCTAAAGACTCCACCAAAAAACTTAGATCTGATTAATACTTTCAGTAAAGTTGCAAGATACAAAATCAACATACAAAAATCTGTAGCATTTCTATATACCTATAATGAACTAGCTGAGAAAGAAATCAAGAAGGCAATCCCATTTACAATAGCTACAAAAAAATACCTAAGAATAATTTTAACTAAAAAAGGTGAGCCATCGCTACAAGAAAAACTAAAAAAGCACTCACTGATGGAAGAAATTGAAGAGGAAACAAATGGAAAGACATTCCATGCTCATGGATTGTAAGAATTAACATCATTTAAGTGATTATAGTGCTCAAAGCAATCTACAGATTTAATGCAATTCCTATCAAATTATTTATGTCATTTTTCACAGACTTAGAAAAAGGTAATCCTAAAATTTGTATTGATCCAAACAAGAGCCCGAATAGCCAAAGCAATCCTGAGCAAAAGAGAACAAAGCTGGAAGTGTCACACTACCTGATTTCAAAATATATTACAAGGCTGTAATAACCAAAACAGCATGGTATTGGTATAAAAACAGACAAATAGACCGAAGTAACAGAATAGACAATCAAGAGATAAATCTATGTATTTATAGTCAACTGATCTTCAACCAACTCACTTAGGACATACATTGGGGAAAGGACAACCTCTTCAATAAATGGTTCTGGGAAAACTGTGTAACAATTTGCAGAAGTATGAAATTACACCCTTATCTCTCACTGTATGCAAAAGTCAACTCAAGACAGATTAAGGACTTAAATGTAAGACCCCAAACTATAAAACTGCTAGAAGAAAACATTAGGGAAAACACTTCAGGACATTGGTCTAGGCAAAGATTTTATAGCTAAGACCCCAAAACCATAGACAACAGAAACAAAAATAGACAAATGGGATTATATTAAACTTAAAAGCGTCTGCACAGCAAAGCAATCAACAGAATAAAGAGACAACTCGTTGAACAGAAGAGAATATCTGCAAACTATTTATCCAACACGGAACTAATATCCAGAATATGCTAGGAACTCAAACAACTCCATTTTTAAAACTAAATAGTCCATTAAAAAGTGGGTAAAGGACATCAGTAAACATTTCTCAAAAGATGACATACAAATGGCCAACAAGTTTAAAAAAGTTGTTCAACATTCCTAATTATCAAGGAAATGAACATCAAAACCACAATGAGATATCATCTTACTAGAATGGTTATTATAAAAAAGACAAAAAATAATAGATGCAGGTGAAGATGTGGAAAAAAAGAAAACTCTTTTACACTGTTGGTGGGAATGTAAATGAGTACATTCATTATGTAAAACAGTATAGAGATTTCTCAAAAAATAAAAAACAGAGCTACTATTTGATCCAGTAATCCTACTTTGGGTATTTATTTAAAGGAAAGGGAATCAGTATATCAAACGAATATCTGCACCTTTATGTTTATTATAGCACTATTCACAATAGCAAAGATATGGAATCAGCCTAACTGTCCATCAGTGGATGAATGAATAAAGAAAATATGGTATATATACACAATGGAATACTATTTGGCCATAAAAAGGGATGAAATCATGTCATTTGCAGCAACATGAGTGGAACTGGAGGTCATTATGTTAAATGAAATAAACCAGGCACAGAAAGACAAATATTGCATATTCTCACCCATATGTGGGAGCTATAAAAGTTGATCTCATGGAGATAAAGAATAGAATGATAGCTACCAGAGGCTGGGAAGTACATGTGGGTGGGAAGGAGGGTGATCAAGAGTGATTGGTAAATGGGTACAAACATACAGTGAGTTGGAATAAATAAGTTCTGATTTTCAATAGCAGAGTAGGATGACTATAGTTAGCACAATGAATGTATTGTGTATTTCAGAGTAGCTGCAAGAGAGGACTTGAAATGTTTGTGACACAGAAATGATACTCAAGGAGATGGATACCCAAATACTTTTACTTGATCATTACATATTCTATGCATGTAACAAATACTCACATGTACCCCATGAATAAGTAAATTATTATGGGGTCAATAAAAATGGGAATGTTTACCACAAGACTTGACTAAATTAACTTTATTATGTGTACTTAAAGAAGAAGAAAGTGGCCTTGGAATGACAGTCTGAGATACAAGAAAGAATATGAGTAAAGAAATTGGTAAAACATATAGACAAATTTAAACAAAAACATTCTGCCTTTAATAATAATAGCATTTTAATTTTATGGTTTGAAAAGGAACGAAATAAAATACCTGACAACAATAGCCTGTCATTTAGGAGCAGGGGATCTTAGTCACACATTGTTGTACTTGCCTTTTTATATATGCATCTTTGTTGCAAATACACTCAAGATGAAAAGTGCAAGAAACTGTGTATATTTGGTTTTCAGGTGGGATAGCATCTGGGAGATTATGGAGAGATGTGTTGAAGCCACTGCCTTTGTGGAAGCTTCTACCTATGCAGGCCAGGAGACAAGGGCTTGGTGGTGTGCTTGGGGGTGGAATTGAACAGTGACTCTGTGGAATTGAACAGCTTGACTCTGTGTCCCCACCCAAATCTCATCTCGAATTATAATCCCCATAATCCCCATATGTCGAGGAAAGAACCCAGTGGAGTTGATTGGATCATAGAGGTGGGTTCCCCCATGTTGTTCTTGTAATAGTGAGTGAGTTCTCATGAGATCTGATGGTTTTATAGGGCAGTTTTCCCTGCTTTTGCTCTCTCTCGCCTGCTGCCGTGTAAGATGTGCCTGCTTTCCCTTCTGCCATGATTGTAAGTTTCCTGAGGCATGCAAATCTGTGAGTCAATTAAACCTCTTTTCTTTATAAATTAAATTACCCAGGCTCAGGTATGTCTTTATAGCAGTGTGAAAATGGACTAATACAAACAATGAAGCCAGCAGTTGATACGAGCTCAGAGTAGGAAAGTAAGGATCGTCTGTGACCCACTGAATATGTTTGTGTCTGTCCATTACCATGTCTGACTGCTACGACTTTCTGAGAGTAATAACTTCTGTGTGGTGCTTGTTTTCCAAATGCTGCACAATTTCTTTCATTGGCCAATTCTAACCCTATAGAGAGAGGGATTCTGGGATGTGTTGTTTTCACTCTGTGTGGGGGTCCCCAAGACTATTCCAGGTGTGAGGATTTGGCTAGCAGGACTCACATGACTCAGCATACAGTCATACTCATGGCTATGATTTATTACAGTGAAAGGATTCAAAGCAAAACAAGCAAAAGGAAAGGGCACAATGAGTGAAGTCCAGAGGAAACCAGGTACAAACTTCCAAGAATTCTTCTCCTGTAGAGTCGCACACATACTTAATTCCTCCAGCAACAGTTTATGACAGCATGTTTGAAATGTTGTTTCCTAAGTCTGCGTGTTAAAGACTTAGTACCCAAGGTTTTTATTGAGGGCTGGTCACATAAGTACCCTCTGCCCAGCATGAGCCAACATTCCAGACTTCCAGGGTAAAGCAGATGTTCAGCGTAAATCATATTGTTTGTACAAACAGTCTAGGCACAGCAAGCCACTCTTATCAGTTCTGGGAATGGTGGAAATCCTCTCAAAATCCAAGTCCCCAGACACCAACCCAAAGCCAACTTTTCAAGCAGGATTTTTTAAGGCAGCAGTTTCAGGTCTGCTGTGTTAACTATTTTCTGCACAGGGCCTTAGACCTGGTGCTTTACTGTCCAAGTCGAAACAGACAATCCAGCACATGGTGCTAATAAAAAGAGAGATTGGGTGCCTAGTGGCCAAAAATACCAAATCTCCAATACAGAGGTGATTATTATGTTCACTACAATTTGAGAGCATTAGGTAGATGCCACATTTTCTTCTGTGGGTTTGGAGGTATACATCATGTTCAGGAGAAAATTTCTCTGTTCTTATAAGTACCCACCTGGTAAGCTGGGAAATGAAATTTACACATATTGCTTTAAAAGTTGAAGTAACCAAATATTTAGCAGTTATGCCTATCTCAGCTATATGCTTTTCATTTTGTTGTGACAGAGCTAATCCCCTTCATTGCAGGGTGGTGTTGGTAATCCACACATATATCTGAGTTTCACACACTTTCAGCCAAAACAAGTAGTTGGGACTGAGGCTTTAAGTCCCAGTAATGTTGATGCTAACTTAGTAATGTTATGAGAAATTATGACTCACCTTTTAAAATACTTTCTTCTTTCACTGATAATAGTGCAACTAATCCAAAAATGCCTGGTGAAAATGTGAATAAGTATTATATTTTTTTACTTTTCAAATTTAATCCGTTTTAAACTATGTAAAGAAATACCAGATTCTTTGATAAACATGATCACAATTGGCCATTTGTTGTGTTGGAACTCTGCCTTTGTAATGTCTCTGACAAGTAATTTTTTTTTCATAATTGTATATTCCTGGTGAACTTCATTTGGTTGGAAATTGCCTTTCATTTAATTTCCTTTTTTAAAAAAGGAAACTGGAAATTATCCTTTAAAATGTTTTTGAAGCAACATTGCCACATAAAAAAGTACTTAAAAATTAGCTTACACAGTGAAAACAGCTGTAGAAGTATCAAAATAATGTAACCAAGAAGAAGGAATTTCATTTCATTCTCTTTTAATTTGGCTTATATTTGTAATGACTAATTTCACATGACAAAATACACTGCAATAAGTAATTTAATAACCTGTAATTGGCCAGGTGCGGTGGCTCACACCTGTAATCCCAGCACTTTGGGAGGCCGAGGCGGGCGGATCATGAGGTCAGGATATCAAGACCATCCTGGCTAACACGGTGAAACCCCGTCTCTACTAAAAATACAAAAAATTAGCCAGGCGTGGTGGCGGGCGCCTGTAGTCCCAGCTACTCAGGAGGCTGAGGCAGGAGAATGGTGTAAACCCGGGAGACGGAGTTTGCCGTAAGCCGGGATTGCACCACTGCACTCCAGCCTAGGTGACAGAGCGAGACTCCATCTCAAAAAAACAAAAACAAAAAAACCTGTAATTAGAGTCATAATGTCAAATGCTTGTGATACAGGTACCTGGAAGTTAAAAAGATATTGGGACATCTGAATCCAACACTTCAATGGAAAGGCTACCATGAAAGACCTTCTGATATACAAAATATCTAGTAATGCAGGAAAACACATAATAAGCATTTCTTTGAATGTATGGTTGATATCATAAGAAAGGAAGGGAAATCCCCCGGGGCTGAAAGACTGGCTTCTAGGGAGAAGAATGGAAACCAGAATGGTTAGCTGCAGCGTACATGATGACTTCCCAGGGTCTTTTGACAATGTTGACGTTCAAGAGACTTGTGTTTTAAAGGTAGTTGGGGAAACATAAGATTTTGGGTCTATGCAAAGGTGGGAAATTGAAAGTAAGACTTCTCTCACAGATAGAGCCTAAGATCTGGAGGGACTGTATCTTCAGGAAAAAGGTGAATTAGAATAAATTATCATTCCAGCCAAGGGACATGTTGAGGTTCCCCTTTCTGTCCAGTTTTGGACTCTGAGTGTAGAAAGAAAGGCTCCCTTGAGGATTCAAGCATACTGTTGCGGAGTTTTAAAGTTCTCATCTACACTTACTGGCAAAGTCTGGGAAATTCCAAGTAAATATATTTTCTTAAAGTCCTGCATTAGTATAACTGGGACACCCAAAAATTGCAGAGATAAATCTCTGGAAAATGCACCCTCGTGCCAGACATCACAGGATTTCTTCAGAAAAGGCCCACCCAAAGGTGAGCAAGAATCAGCAGAATCACAAAAGAGGAGAATGATACTCCCCACCAAGAATTTCAGATAATAAAATTATTACATACATAATACAAATAATGATGTTAAAATGTTTAAGAGAATAAAAGACGGACTAAAAAACTATGAATACAAAACCAGCAATTGAAAAGGATCAGATGGATTTGGGAAGTAATCAAGTAGGCATTAGGAAAAATATATAAGATTAAAAACCCAATGGATAGGTACTTTAAAATCTACCTGCAATAACAATATCTATCGTAAATGTTTTATTTATATTTACTTCTATTTTTTTGAGACAGGGTCTTACTCTGCTGCCTAGGCTGGTCAAGTGCTGGGTTTAAATAGTTTTATAAGTAAATTGTATCAAAATGTATAAGAGGCCGGGTGTGGTGGCTCATGCCTGTAGCACTTTGGGAGGCCAAGGCAGGAGGACCGTTTGAGGCCAGGAGTTAGAAGTCAGCCCAGTTAATGTAATGAGACACTGTAAAAAAAAAAAAAAAAGTTAGCTGGATGTGGTGGTGCATGCCTGTATTTCCAGCTGCTGGGGAGGCTGAAGCAGGAGGATTGTTCGTTGGTAGAGAGGTTTGGACCAGTCACTAAATGGCCCGGAGAAACTATTTATCTGCTTATTCACACTGGGGTGAGGGAGGGAGGAAGATCTACATTTCTGGGTGGTTCAAAGAACTTAAAATGAAAAGTAAAACTGTAAAACTTTAGAATAAAATACAGGATAATATCTTCATGAGCTGGTGAAAGTAAGTGTTTCTTAAACAAGACACAAAAAGCCATTTGGCACTATCTATTCAAGTGGAGGATGTGCAAACCTGCGTACCCTACCCTTTAGTAATTCCCCTCCTGGGTATATGACATAGAGAGAATTTCATCCATGTGTCCTAGGAAATTCTGACATGAACATTCAGAGAAACATTCTTTAGGATAGCAAAAATATTGGGAACAATTTAACATGGCCTTCAATTGAAAAATAGAAATATCTGTAGGTTAGTAATTCAATAGAATGAGATACCTTTTCCAAACATAAGGAGGAGCAACAAAAGCAGGATGCAGAAAAGTACATACAGGCTGGGTGCAGTGGCTCACACCTGTAATCCCAGCACTTTGGGAGGCCAAGGCAGGCAGATCACTTGAGGTCAGGAGTTCAAGAACGGCCTGGCCAACACGGTGAAACCCCATCTCTACTAAAAAATACAAAAATTAGCTGGGCGTGGTGACAGATGCCTGTAATCCCAGCTACTGGGGAGGCTGAGGCAGGAGAATCACTTGAACCCTGGAGGCGGAGGCTGCAATAAGCTGAGATCATGCCACTGCCTTCCAGCCTGGGCGACTGAGTGAGACCCCATCTCCAAAAAAAAAAAAAAAAAAAAAAAAAATTTAAAGATAAAAGAAAACTACATACAATATGATACTAGCTATATAAAATTTTTTAAAACACCAATAAAATAATACTGATAAATTTCCATATGTAATGAAAACATAAATAAATGCATGGAAATGATAAACAGTACAATTGGATGCTGGTTTTCCCTAGGAAGGAGGGAAAGAGGAAACAAAGTGTAATTGGATGAGGTACACAGGTAGCTTTAAATGTATTCGTAATGTTTTATTTAACAAGATAATTATTTTTTAAAAAGTGACTGATGGAGACAGAAAACTGTTGTACTATTATTATAAATAAAAAAATAAACATTCAATCAAATTTATCTTCCAATACTAAGAAAGGTTAGGGGCAGTTTATGATAAACAAGAAACCATCATTAATATAAGGTCACAGCTTAATTTCACAAGAGTATTGCCTTTCTTGTTCACCCACTTTATACATCATATGTGACTCTGAATGGTTTTTGCCCGTTTGCAAAACTAAAATCCACTTTCAAAGGGTAAGCATTTATTATATTTCAGTAATGAAGATATTAAAAATCAATTTTCCCTAAGTACTAAAGGCAAATTTGAAGATACAATCTCTCTGCACCCCCTTTTTTGGCATAATAAGAAATCCTAATAATTTTTATTGATATGTAATATTTATACATATTCATGGGGTACATGTGATATCTTGATACATGCATAGAATGTGTAATGATCAGGTCAGGGTGTGTAGGCTATCCATCACCTTGAATGTTTATTTCTTTGTATTGGGAACATTTCAAATCTTCTCTTTTGGCTATTTTGAAATATACGATGAATTATTATTAACTATAGTCACCCTACTGTGCTATTGAACATTAGGCATTCCTTCCAGCTAATTGTATGTCTGTACCCATTCACCACCCTCTCTTCCTACCCTTCACCCGTCCCAACACACCCTTCCCGGCCTCTAGTATCTATCATTGTACTCTCTACCTCCATAAGATCAACTTTCCCAGCTCCCACATGAGTGAGAACACGCAGTATTTGTCTTTCTGTGCCTGGCTTGTTTCATTTAATATAATAACCTCCAGTTGCATCCATGTTACCACGAATGGAAGGATTTTATTTCTCTTTTATGGCCGACTAGAGTTTCATTATGTATATATACCACATTTTCTTTATCCATTCATCCACTGATAGACACTTAGATTGATTCCATATATTTGCTATGGTGAATAGTGCTGTAATAAGCACAGGTGTGCACTATCCCTTTTGTTTTTTGTTTTGTTTTGTTTGTTTAGAGACGGGGTCTCTGTCGCTCAGGCTAGAATGCAGTGGGCGTGATCATAGCTCACTCCTGGGCTTTAGGGATCCGCTTGCCTCAGCCTTCCTGAGTAGTTGGGACTACGGGCATGCCCCACCATGCCCAGTTAACTTTATATTTTTTATTTTTAGTAGAGACATGGTCTTGCTATGTTGCCCAGGCTGGTCTAGAGTTCCTGGCTTCAAGCAATCCTCCTGCCTTGGCCTCCCAAGGTGCTGGGATTACAGGCATGAGCTGTAGCACCTGGCCAGGTATTCTTTTGATATGCTAATGAATCCTAATTTTATGGAAAATATTGAAATAGGTATACATCCCCTCATATTGACTGCTTTGGAGGGAACAATACTATTCTGGATATGTAAACTCAGATATGTTTGCTGAACAGTCAATCATACCATGTTGTCATCATTTTTCTTCAGTTATTTTAAACTGTATAGCTCATAATACCAAATTTATCTAACATTAATTAAATGTATATATATTAAATGTATATATTAGATACCAAATTTATCTAACGTTAATTAAATGTATAATTAAATATATATTAATCTAACGTTAATTAAATGTTAATTAAATGCATGTAACGTTAATTAAATGTATATAACTTCCTTTCTTAAAACTAGGCATTCGACCTCATTTAATATTATTTTTATTCTGATTGCCATCTGTATCATAACAAAAAAGAACTAACAATTTTCCTAATTTCTGCCTTCCTTGTGTCTCACTGATAATTTTCAAGCTTTTGTTTGTTGCTTATTATTATTATTTAGTGAGATAAGGGAGAAGTGTGTATCATATATAAAATGACAGCAGGATATCACAATTAAGACCTTGTGCACAGGGTGTAAGCCTTATTGGCTTTGTAATTTGGGAAAATCATATATCATCTCTAAACCTCATTTTTTTCTTTTTTTTTTTTTGAGATGGAGTCTCACACTGTTGCCCTGGCTGGAGTGCAATGGCACAATCTCGACTCACTGCAACCTCTGCCTCTGGGGCTCAAGTGATTCTCCTGCCTCAGCCTCCCGAGTAGCTGGGATTACAGGTGCCCGCCACCACGCCCGACTAATTTTTTTTTGTATTTTTAGTAGAGACGGGGTTTCACTATGTTGGCCAGACTGGTCTCGAACTCCTGACCTCGTGATTCACCTGCCTCAGCCTCCCAAAGTGCTGGGATTACAGGCATGAGCCACCACGTCCGGCCGCCTCATTTTTTAAAATGACTGAGTGGGAGGGTATAAAAGCCCAGCTCCCTTGCCTCAAGGTGACATAATTCAGTGATGCCTTTCTTGCTGTGGAATCAGGTGAGACTGGGCTTTAGCTGCCTCTACGTCTTTGTCTAACTTCTCCTGTGCTCTCCTGCTTCCTCACTCCTTACAGGTTTCTCCTGAGAGCACATCCTTAACAAATCCCTTGCACAAGAATTCCTGTCTGGAGCTCTGCTTCTAAGGAACCGGACTGTTGTGGACTGATTGCTTGTGCTCACCACACCTCCAAGTTTCATATGTTGAAACACAATCCTTAATGTGATGGTATTTGGAGGTTGGGTCTTTGAGAGGTTGGACCTTTGGGGACTTAGGGATTGTATTGGGAGGTTGAGTCTTTGATAGTGAAACCCTCATGGGTGGGATCAGTGTCTTTATAAGAAGAGGCCAGAGAGCTAGCTCACTCTCTGCTGTAGAGTGAAGACAAGAACTAGGCAGTCTGCATTCCGGAAGAGGGCCCTCCCCAGAATCTGACCATGCTGGCACCCTAATCTTGGGCTTCCCACCCTCTCCAGAACTGTACTAAACACATTTCTATTGTTTATAAGCCACCCAGTCTGTGGTACTTTGTTATAGCAGTCCAAATGGATGAAAACACCAACCTAAGATATCTTCCTAGTAAGTCTACTTCTGTAGATAGATACATTATGAATAGTGGAGATCTTTGGTTGTTGTTTCTCCTCTAGATGAATGCACAAACACCTATATGTGTTCTTTAATACCTTATGGTTTTGGTTTTTGTAGTTCTGCACATTCATTTAGATCTTGGAAGTTAAGTAGCCACTATAGCTTAGTGCACCTCTTTTAGATCCATACATATTAAAGATGAGAAGCCAAAAGAAAACTCAGGTCCCCTGAGGCATGTGGGAGGATTTCAGTGCTTTACTTAACACAGCTTCCACCATTTAGGGTGAAGCTCTGACAAACATATTGAATTTGCTTAAGTATAGTAACCTAAATTTCAATCCTAACTTAAAAAAGATTCCCTTTAGTACTGCTGCTAGAGACATGATGGAGAGCTAAGCTTTCATGTATGATTACATATGTGTTGAGATCATCAAGTTGAAAGGGAAGATGTGGTTTACATTACTAAATAATGAACTTAATATAAAGTTTTTGAAAAATATGACAATATTTCAAAGATCTATTTCCAAGAACCGAGATGAGAGGGCTTACATTGGTGGTCATTGCAGATATTTCTTCACTCTCCTTTGTTGATAACAACCTGGCCTCAGACAGCCTACATTATTATGAGAATATTATTCTCAGTTGAGCACATCCCAAACCACAGTTTGACTGTAGACTTCTGTTTAGTTTCAGGTGAGGGTATTTGCAACATTTCAGATGCTGAAGAATGTTGTGCAGCCACATTACTTTTTATGATCATATTCTTATTAGATCACTCAATGGCCTTTGGTGCTACTAAAAGCGATGGAATCTGGCTATTATAGACACTAAATACATCTTGTCCATCACTCACCTGTACATAAAGTTTCCACAATATTGGCAGGGTTGGATAGCTAGAGTGGCCTCTCCTTCATCTGATTTATTTCTTATCATAAATGGCAGAGGTTGCAGACTAACTGCGTGGGCCAAATCTGGCCTACGGAGATATTTTTTTGCTCTGAATAGTGCATTTAAAAAATTGAATTTACGATAAAAACAAGTGGAATTTTTATATATAAACTTCGATTTCAGCTTCTCTTGAAAAGGAGGAGAATCAACACTGGGCTCACAACTCATCAGAGCTGAGTCATACGTACATCAGCAGGACCTACGTGGGAACCAAATAGCAAACTCAAATTGGGAAATTTGAGGAAGGTTTCATTCAGTGATTGTTTACAAATGTGTGAACAGTATGTCAGGAAGCCACAAAGTAAAACACAGTACCCTAGGGCTGGTAAACACAGGAAGTGGTTGCAATCCTGAAGGGGCAAGTCCAGGGAGAAGCACTGGAACCTAGAGAGCCAGCACAATGTGGAAAAGCCTGTCCGACAGAGCTGTGGCCTTTGAGTGAAGGACACCGCCACCTTGTAAGGATTTCCCTGAGAGGATGCCGAACAAATAAACATCCAAACTTCACTCCCCGTCCCTCTCATTGAGTGCTATTGCTCCCCCACGGGCCCAGTGAAACTGGCAGCTGAAGTCAAGGGAACCTCTTGAGTCCAGTCCATAAAGGTTGGTCTCAAAAGGCACAGAACAGGATGGAGAAGGTTGGAGAGGGGGAATCCAGAGGACCAAACAGAAGATACCCAGCATAATTAGCAACTCATTCCCATGGACAGAGCTTATATTCTACAGTTTGCCACAGGCCCCTCCCTACCTTCTCTACTGTCTCCATACCAAATTACCATTTATCATCATGCCAATATGATGTTTCTCACAGGACAAAACTAATTTTCTACCAATATCTGTATCAAAAGTGAGCAAGGAATGATAAAGGACCAAATTATTCAAGAAGACTGAGGGAAAACAATACATCAGAGAAATATTAGTATGTGTTTAATATGTAAGCAGAATATACCTTGATCTTCTTTTAAAATATTTTTGGTTGGTTCTGGTGGCTCATGCCTATAATCCCAGCACTTTGGGAGGCCAAGGTGGGTGGATCACTTGAGCCCAGAAGTTCAAGACCAGCCTGTGCAACATAGTGAGACACCCATCTCTACAAAAATAAAAAATTAGCCAGGACTGGTGGCACATGCCTGTAATCCCAACTACTGGGGATGCTGAGGTGGAGGATTGCTTGAGCCTGGGAGGTCAAGAGTGCAGTGCGCTATGATGGCACCAGTGTACTCCGGCCTGGCCAACAGAGTGAGACTGTGTCTCAAAAAAATTTTTTTTATATACCCTGTTTCACTCATGAAGTCAAGTTTGCTTTCCCTGAATTTTTTTTTTTGAGGCAGAGTCTTGCTCTGTCGCCCAGGCTGGAGAGCAGTGGTGCGATCTCAGCTCACTGCAACCTCCGCCTCCTGGGTTCAAGCAATTTTCCTGCCTCAGCCTCCCAAGTAACTGGAACTACAGGCACATGCCACGACACCCGGCTAATTTTTTGTATTTTTAGTAGAGATGGGGTTTCACCGTGTTAGCCAGGATGGTCTCAATCTCCTGCCCTCGTGATCTGCCCGCCTCGGCCTCCCAAAGTGCTGGGATTACAGGCGTGAGCCACTGTGCCCGGCCTCCCTGAATTTTTTATTGGGAAATTATCTTTCCACCACTAAGTGTAGTCTTGTTTGGGAGGATAATTCTAGGTGACTTTTTGCTACTATGGGAGCTGAAGGGTTAGAACCCTCCCTTCCCCCACCACATGGTCAGGCACATGACTCAAGCACAGTCAATGGAATTCTCTCTGCAGGGACTTTGACTCATGAGTAAGTTACTTAAGGGCAATAGTAAATTTCTCTTGCTTGCTGCCAATCATGAATAATAACTGAATCATTATCTAAACTGAGGAGGGAGACCATTAATAGGTTGATATTTAAATATACTTTCCAACTTTTGGAAACTTTTCTAACTCAGTAGGCTGTGGAGAGAGTTATAGAGGAATTGCTGGTTGCAGATGAACCCCCAAAGATGAGAAGTACCTGTTGAGCATTTATCCATTTCTCAAATTTGCAAATAAAGCTGAAGATTGTGCTTATGCTCCAGACTACTTTAGGAGAATGTACATATAGCCTACTGTTTTCCTGGAGAGAACAGAATGGAAACTGTTCATGATTGTGCAATGTCATCTTGTACAGATCATGACCTTCCCAGGATGGCCCACAGATAACCACGAGCAAGGCAAAATCACAAAGGCTGGCTATGTTGGCCTGAAGGACGATAAGTATTGGGCCGCATTTACTCCAGAGGCCTCAGTCTGGTCGGCTGAATTTTTGTCAGGCTTGCATCATGTTCAACCTCTTTCTCTGACCAATCTTTCCTCCTCCCCTTCCTTTCACAAATATTGATCCTTAATAGACATCTCTTCCCTCAAACTCTATCCCATCTGTTTCCAGAAAGCCTGATGAGCGACATCATTGCAATCAGCTTGGTCTTGATTGCTTCAGTGAATCTTTCTCAGGTGGCCAATGACTTACATGTTGGTAAATCAAATAGAGATTTCTTGGTCATCAATTTATTTAACCTCTTATGGCATCTGAAATAGTAATTAAGAAAAAATTACAGTGGCAGCCCACAGGATTAACACAGTCCTTGCAGACACATCATTCATTGATTCTTTAATTATTAAATATATAATGAAGGGCTTCAAATATGCCATAAAGTAAGAAATATAAAAACAAATAAAACAAAATTATTTGTTTTCTAGGAGCTCTGTTTAATGATATTTCATCAGATAGAGAGTAAAAGAGGAGAAAGAGAGCAGCCTCCATGTTTTGAGCTTGGATGACTGGATGATTCAGATGTCACTGAGGTAAAATCTATAGGAGGGATAATTAGTTTTAGGGGGAAAGAGAAAAGGTTCCTTTCTGAGTTCCATGAGTTACAGGTACCTGTGGGATATCATGTAGAGATGACTTTAGAGAAATCGTAGCAGAGATCGAGTTGCAGTAAGTTGACGATTGAATATACCCTGAGCATATGGCAAAGGATGAATAGGGATGGGAGATTCTCAAACGTGGCTGAGCATTAAACTCATATTTAGAGTTAAGGAAAAATGAACTCCAAAGTTTCTTCCCTAGAGATTTTTATTTGTTGATCTGCAGAGAAAAAAAAAATGTGTATTTTTACAAACTCTTCAGATGTCCTGTGTTCAGTTTGGATTCTCTGGAAAGCAGACACCAAGAGGGAGTGAAAATGGGAAGGGAGGAATACATGTGTGGGTGGGGAAGAATACATGTGTGAGAGAAAATGGGAAGGGAGCTGGAGAAGGCTGGAGGAGCTGACAGACTGCTATGCAAGTCTATACCAATAAAGGCAGGAGGGAGGATGGTTGGAAGTGTCTCAGAGCACTCTGCAGGTTTAGCAAGCTTGTCAGGGAGTCCTCAAACTGAAGTTGGCCATGTGAGGAGTTCTGTGTCTTTCAGGAATAGGCCTGCCTCAGTATCCCTGCAACACTCAGTCATTAGCTAGAACAGCCTGATCTTGGCACAAACATTGTGATGGATTTCAGAATGCAGCAGCTGGGGACTTTTGGACAATTAAATGCCCCATAGTTGGAAGTCTTTGAGGCACATTCTCCTGGCTGCCACATATACCCTGCCATTTTAAGACAATGAAATGAGGGGAAAAAAATCCAAACGGGCTGTAGCTGGACAGGTTTTTGGGCCCAAGGCAAAGTTTCATGTTGCTTTTTAGATGGGAAAGATTTCAGTGTTTGTAAGCCTAGAGAAAGGAATCTGCACAGTGGGAGAACTTAAAGATAAAGAAGAGGGATAGCCAGAGGGAGGCAGAAAAGGAGAAGGAGAATGGGAAAGAATGAATTGTAAAAGACAAACACTCCAGAAAAGGCAGGAAGAAATGGGATCCAAAGGTTATGGCTTTGAATTTAAGGCATGACATCTTATTCTCTGGGACAGTGTCTGGATATGGGTTAAGGTCAAAGGTTGTAGGGAATTGAAAGGAATTGCGTTTAGTTATCTTAATTTCTGACACAAAATAGGAGTCAAAGTATTAGGAGTCTTGGTAGAAGGTTTGGTCTTGAAGAGGAGATATCCCGTCTTCTGAGGCTGAAGCTAGAGTCAAGGTTGGATGCAGAGAAAGACTGTTTTGTAGATGTAGGATCAAGTTAAGAGAGAGGAAGCCTGATGGCCTCAATATTAAAAAAATATATTTATTTCTTTTTTTTGAGACAGGGTAAATTTTTTTGAGACAGTGGCACAATCATGGCTTACTGCAGCCTCGACCTCTCAGGCTCCAGTGATCCTCCCACCACAGCCTCCTAAGTAGCTGAAACTACAGGCATGTGCCCCCACACCCAGCTAATTATTTGTATTTATTGTAGAGACAGGGTTTTACCTTGTTGCCCAGGATGGTCTGGAACCCCTGGGCTCATGAAATGTGCCCTCCTCGGCCACACAAAGTGCTAGGATTACAGATGTGAGGCACCGCATCTGGCTAGCCTCAATTTTTTTAATGAAGTAGGAGGCAAGGTTATCCATTGAAGGTATTATTTATTTGCAGCTCATCTTAAGTGACAAAATTCCATACAGAAGACTATAACAGAAATCATATTTAATATATTAAAATTAATACTTCAAATATCTTTCACATTAAGATGATTATCTATTGTGTAAATCTTTCCTAGGTATGTGTGTCTGTTTCTTGATGTGTAAACCAAAACTCTGAAATATTCTCTTGATCTAACTTTGACTTTTAAAAACTGACATTGTACTGAATTTACATAATTCTCAATCAGAAAAAAAATTACTGTCAGACTGCAATGCAAGTCTGCCCCAATGAAGGCAGGAGGAGGGATGGCTGGAAGTGTCTCAGGGCACTCTGAAAGTTTAGCAAGCTTATCAAGGAGTCCTCAAACTAAAGCTGGCCAAAAACTTCAGCATAAAAACTATCCTGTCTGTGTATTATATATATTTATTACCAAATTTAATAAACAAAAACCACTTTTGAACCAGGTAATTTTATCTAGTGTGAAAAGAAATTAATCACATGGTCATATACTGGCTAGTGCTCTCTAAAAGTAGACATTAAAATATTTCATAATTGGAGGGAATCTTTGGAGATTAGTGGCATCTAATCTTGGGGCCTCAGACACCCAAAATCTATATATTGACCAGTGGAAGTTGATGATTTGTTATCAAATTTCAAAGCACCTAATGGAAACCCCACTTCATCTCTGTGAAGATTTTCAGTTCCTTTACAGTTATTTGAAATTATTTCAATTCTGTGGAGCCACTTCAGAAACTCCAATGGGCCTTTGCAATATTAAAATGTGGAGAATGCATTAATCATTATTTAATCAATGAGTTTAAAAAATAGACAAAAGCTTCTGAAACATGGGACTGAAGTAGGCGGAGCATTATAAAAGCCTAAGGTAATTGGTAGTGAAGAGTTGGAAAAACTTACTTAGTCTAATATTGTAATTTACAGATAAGGAAACTGAGAAGATAAATAATTTATTCAATATCACTCGATGGTTCATTAGTAGAAGAGCCAGCATTATGATGTACTCATTTTGTACTCTAGGAGTTGTTAAAAAGCACTTAATATCTTCTTTTCTTGGGTGTTAGCATTTTTCATTTTTTAAATCATGCTATTTAGTGTTCTTAACATTTGAAACCCAAATGGTTCACATTTTGTTTTTGGATTGCTTTGGGAATGAGTATGTACTGTTAGAGAAGGGCCCAATCCAAACACTAGAATTTTAATAATTTCTACTCCCTCTGCTGGCCAACTTTCCAGTAAAATGGATTTTAAAAAAAGAGAAAAAAAAATCTAGCGGTAATTGAAACAAAAACAAAAACTTTAAAAAGTGTCTTCATTATAAAGAGGTGCCATGCATAAAAGCCTAGGTAGTTTCAAGGTCCATTCTTCCATTCCTCATGATTTTAGGGTTATCCTCATTCAGATCTACTCTAGTTATAATAGTACTTTAAACAGAGCACAGAATTAAACCATTAGTATGTGAATCTGCAAAAAGAGAACTTGTTTTAGACTCTTCTACAGTTTAGACTTCAATGTGCATACTAAATGCATAACATTCGTATCAAATAATTAACATTTATATACAATTAACAAATAAGGACAAATTTTATACAAAACTTCTACTACTGCTATAATTTTTGAAAACATTTAACCCACTAGCAAGAGGTAAGACAGCACTGCCTTTTTAAAAGACAGGTCACTTGAATAGAGAATATAAGATATAACCATAAGTAGAAGTATAAACAATAATTTTTCTTCTTGTGGAATGTTTTTAAATTTCCTTTCTTATATTATTATTCTTCCTTAGGTTTTTTTAGACAGGTCATTTCTTCCTGAATGATTTTCCTTTTTCTTTTATTTTTATTTTTTGAAGGAGGATTATTTACTGGTGGTCTAAAAGAAGTACCTTCAACTTCTTCATAATTGTAGCCAAAGCGGAAATGGAATATTTAATAATTCTTACATCTCACTAATGTAGTCTTCTGAGTTAACAATTAAGCAGAGAGATTATTTTCTATGTTCAAACTTTAAACACTTTGTAAAGATAATTGGGATTTCATAACAAATGATAATAAGTGGTTTTGTGCATTAATTTTCTTGATACCCAATAACATGCCAATTAAAATCCAGACTTCACATTGGCACCTAATGAACACAGCAGAATGACCAAAGTTGAGTGCTAGTCATTGTCATAGATGCAGCCTGAAAGGAAAAAATACAAATTTAAATATAGTTATTAAAAACATATTCTCTAAGTATTCCAAGTTTGGAAATGTGGGTGATTCATACTCTCCTGGTTAAGGATTAAAAAAAATAGAACTGGCTCACTTTATAAAAAATGAGTTAAATGGAAGATCATATATTTAACTTTTATTATTTAGTATATAATTCAACAAAATTTCTGGACAGATTTATTCTCTATTAAAATGAGACTCAAGATTATTTTATGTGGCACTTAGTCATATACTTTTTGGTAGTCACTCTGAACGAGGTTGAAGATATTAAAGAGCAAGACTCATAAGTTTAAAAGACTAAAGGAAATCATGATCAACACTGCATCATTTCAGTTAGATTAATTTTTTAGATTACAGTTTGGAACTATATGATGCTTAGAGAATATTGGTATTACTGGTTATGAAATAAGTACCTATTTATTTGCCAAAAATGTTTATTTGCTTGGATAAAAGAAATTCTTATTATGAGTCACAGTACAATAAAAAATTTCCCAAATATTTTTATACTTCTGTTTTCAAAGAAATAAATAAGGTTTTTCCTTAATTTTCCATCTTGTGGGAAATGCGGTATTTTCCCCCCATTATGCCAGGGCATTTACCTTTTCTAACATTTTCAAGTGATTCAAATTCTGATCAGATTGGAAGTCTCTAATCCAACAAGCTATTTTTAGCATTTATAAAAACAGTAAATTCACTATGACTGTTCTCTAGGGTGGTACTACATAAGACTTACCATCAGCAATATCATCATAGATCTCTCCATCACTGTAAATGTAAAAAAAAATTTTTATTTTAAAGAAACTATGTTCTTGGCATTAGAGCAATATATAGAAGAATAGAGTAACAGTATAATTTTATAAGACACAATTAAGACTTTTAAGCATAGTATGCATTTATAAGTAGAAATAAATTTGATATTCATTATCTCTTCTTTCATTGACTTAATCTAGTCCTCTGTTTCATTTTACATACAGAATAATTAAAACATGCTTCAAGAGCATAGACTATGCCTTACTCATCTTTATAAGACATGTTTGTTAACAATGTACTAAACATCATGGTACAATACTCCCATTGGGGATGTTAATTCAAAGCTGCAATGGACTTTTATGTCTGTTAATATCAGATTCATACTTTCACTTGAATTTCGAATGGTGAATTAAATACAATAATAATTGGCATAGGAAATGGTTGCATCATTTTCACATGTTTTCTAATTATAACTCATACATATAATAAAATATATAAATATTAGTTACAGAATAAGTAGCCAAGATATGATTATTATGGTGATTCTTATGTAATTTTAAAACTATTACTTATGATTATAGGCAGCATCCATAATAGTAATTTTGGTACTTTTACACATTTTAGGTTTTGCCTGGCCCTGAATCTTTGTGATATTTTCTATCCGACAAACATACTGAATCCCTTCTATGTACCAGGAGACAAAAATTTGAGTAAGAGACAAGCTTTGCTTTTAAGTACCTTATAATCAAACAGGAGATTATATAAGAAATAAAAATAGAGAGCATTATAAACATGAACATTGCCTTGAAATGTAAGATATACTTCTAAAATTCAGAAATGTAGGGTGGCTTTGTCACTTAGACCAGAACTACTCTTTGCTGTACAATCTCTGTGCTTTATCATGGAAGCAGCAGCAGGCCCTTCAAACTGCTGCCAACTATGGCAGATGCTGTGAGTTCCCTATGTCTTCTGTTTGGATCTTTTCTCTGAGATGGAGGGAGGGTTTGGCTAACGGAAATCTCATCCAAATGCGAGCAGGACAGGTTTTTCTGTCATTTATACAATAAACATTTATTAAGTATTCGCTTCAATAGGTGGTGAACCAACAATTACTTACAGAGTATGCTTTCTAAATTCTCTCAATCAGCCTGTAATAATCACTGATGGAGATGTTGTCCTATTATTTGCCACACATTCTGTCCTTAAAATTTGTATCTTTCATAGAACAAAACCTATTGAAAGTCTCTTGCCTCCCACTGTGATTAATGTGCTCAGGAGAACAAAGGTATTATGATTATTTTTCTTTGGCCTTTACTAGTTTGCCAGCAAAGCTCTTCACACTGATTTGTGTTTTTCTGATTGGTGTCAGGTTGTTGATGGGTACACAGTTTGTGACTCCTTCTGGATCTTTTCATTGTGCTAAATTCTGTAAATCTTTGCATTGGCACGTGACCTAACCTGATAATGGAGTTCGTTTCTTGCACTGGGTTACTTGGGACAGAATCTTATGTTTCAGGGGACTCCAAAGGCACACTAGTACCACACTGTGACAGACTGTGACAATGTCTTATTCATAAGAATAGAAGAATCATTGATGACTGTCTTTTTTTCTGGCATGCTTCCATAAAAGGCAACATAGTACTCTACTATGCCTAGTGTGAGTGAAGCAAAGCCCTTAATTAAGGGCTAAATTATGAACTGTTAACAGGTGATATTAGCACCTACTATGAAGTCACTAATTGGTCCCAAATTAATTCCACTCAATCAATTGCATTAGCAAGTAAAATGCAAAATATTGATGAAAAGGTTACTGGCTTTGACATGTCTTCAGTGTTTGCTGAGAGCCTAATGAATATATAAAACTATTAACTATGAGCTGTACAATTTTAAATGAGAAGGGCTCCTCGCCTATTTAAAAGAGTAGCACTTCATGGAAACCTAAACTTTATTATGGATACTAACATGTTAACGTTAGTATAGCATATTGTTTTTAAATTTATTTATGATAGTTGAGTAGGTTACATTATTTAAGTAATATTATAAATATTTTAAAAAGAAAGGCACAAAATTCTTTTCACAAGCATAGTAGTAGAAGAAAATGGGCTTACTTGTCCGCTAGGTAACTCCGAAGGACATAACCATCTACGAAGGAAAAAGGAAATAAATTGTATCAATAATACAGGTTGAAAAATCTTTAGTACTTTTTTCAGGAAATCAAAACACAAGAGAGTAATCATAGTATATTGAATAATTGTATCTATCTCTGGAAATGACCCATTTTTCTTACTTGTGTCTACTTTTGTGTCCTTCCTTTCTTCTCCTTTTCTCCCTAACTTTTCTCTTTCTCCAGTATGTCTCTTTTTTCTCCAATTTCAACCTTTCCTCCTTTCCCCTTTAAATAAAAAAGCAACTTTTTTCATTAAGCTACTGTAGGCTGTAGCACAGAGTTCAGTGTGTTACCCCCATGATCCAGTTTTAGGAAGAATTTAGTAAGCATAGATTATAAAAGTCATTTATTGGTAAGTATTTTAAATACCACCAGATCTAAGACTTACTTTCTAAAATTTTATTATATTGAGCAGAGAGAGAACTGTATTCAACTCCCCTTTCAGATCCCAGCCAGCTATTGACTACTAGGGGGACTATGCATTGTAAATAGTCTCAAACAGGTCTCTTTTACTCTGTATGGAAGAAATTCCTCTACTGTTTTGCTATTGGACAGTATCAACATTTGCATTTCATCACTCATGGAGCAAAAGCATTATTGGAAGAGCACATACTATGGATTCTATGATGCCTGGTTAAGTAGAAAATAAGCCATATTTTATGCAAGAAAGCTAAGTTTTGTTGTTGTTGTTGTGTGAGGGGCACCTTATATTTGCCTCTCATTGTGCAAATGTTTCTCAGGAAAAATAGGAACTATTTTTCTTAAGAAAATGCCTGCTGATATCTAATTAATATTACTAATCTTTGGAATTGTTAGTTTTGTGTTAGTGCCTAAAATCTGTTGTATGCTTGAGATTAGTACCATTTATTGCTTCCTCAATACAATCTCTAAATAATTTCTCTCAGTGAGTCAATCTATTGGTTTTGGTCCACTTTAGATCTAATTTTAGTTCTGAATCAAAGCAAATGTGTTACAAATTATAAGGAGAAAGCTCATAAGCAAAAATTAATAATATAAATGATAAACTTACGTAAATGTATTGATGTCATATTGCCAATGATTAAACATGAAAATATTTTTTAAAAGTTGGAATCATAAAACTGAATTTATACATTAAAATTTAAGAAAATGAACTTTCCCTTGAAGTGTTATAGGGTTAAAAAAAACTCCACTAAAATATTTTATCAAGAAGCTCACTACTTTTTAATAAAAACAATTTATAAGTATCATATTTGGGAAAGAAAGAATCAAAGTTACCCTTGAATTCTCGTAGTAGGAAAATAATGAGACATGTGCCAAGATAATAAAAGCACAATAACATATTACTCAGAGTATAAAAAACTAGAAGTAGGAAAAGTAATGAAACACTAGGAAAGTAGGAAAGTAATGAAACATGTGTCAAGATAATAAAAGCACAATAACACATTACTCAGTATGAAAAATTAGAACACGTTGCACCTTCCTTTATATTTCAATTAATGCAAAAGTAGCAAAAAGTATTAATGTAAGAACACCTACAATTAATATCTATAGTCCGTGGGTAGGCTTTGATATCACAGTTCATTTCATGTTAACAGACTTTCTTTTTAAATAAGGTATACATAATAATTTAATGTAATTTTTAAAAAGGGATAAGCTCATGTCCAACAAATTCAATTCTACATGTGTCTCTCAAAAGAGAAAAATCTGTGCAAATAACAAGCTTTTAGAACAAATTGTGGATTTTGTATCAGGGTTCTCATAACTGAAATAACTCTTTATCTGTACCCATATAGGGCTACACTAAAATTTGAACAGTTTTCTACAGATAGTAATAGTCATTGACTTCTTTTTATCAGTTAAAATTGGGGGGTTCTGCTTTCATTTTGGATTTTTTCCTAAAACAAATTGGAAAATAACACAATAGCAAATGTTCCCATAATATACTCATGTTGATGTTAATAATTTAAAAATAATGATGTATATGAACTGAAGCTTTCAACACTGAAGTCAATCTCATATGATTTGGTAGGGATTCATACAGTCTCTGAGCTAAAATTGGAAGATAAATTAGAAAAATATATAAGAATTATAAACTGTTGTTAGAGACTGAAGTTATTCTGGCATCAAATATAAAGTTCAAAATGAAGAGAATGTAATCACCATTTTTAGAAATTAAAGATTTTTATTTGCTTACGCTTTTAGGTAATCTATTTTTTAAAACTCATTTATGCTAAAATGTTGCAGGTTTGGATAAAACACTAAACGAAAAGAGAGCTAAAACAGTGCTTTACATGACCAAAGTTAATCATTCATGATAGAGAGCTTAATACTTCAACTTTACAAATTACTTATAAAAAACACATTCTCTTAGATTCTCAACCTGTATTTCCATTCCCTCCTATATCTGTGTGTTCAAGAGTTCTAAGGAACAGCCTTCTCCTGTGTTGAACACTTTGTTGCTGTTGTTGTGTGTTTGTGTGAAATACATAAACATCAATAATTGGGACTATTATTTAAGAAAAATGTATTAGGGAGATGGAGTGTGAGATGGCACTGTGCTGCAAAAATGATGTGATAACACGGGGCTTGTTAGCTATAAAGTCACAATTATATAGCATTTTTACAGGGTAAATGACTTTTAATACAGCACAGGTTTTCCTGTCTAGTACCTTTAAAAATCTCAGCTAAAACTTCACTCTATTAAAAGCGTGATTCGTGACAGTGTCAAAACAAGTGACTTACCATAAATTTTTATATAATCTCTCCATTATAGGTCCTAGAAATACATATATTTTTTGCGGTAGGAAAATCTCTTTGTTCATGTTACACATGTACATGTATTATAGGGAATGTTAGTGAAAAATATAAACACATGAAATAACAACAACAACAAAAATCTCATCATGGTCTGTATCATGTAGAAGGGCAGCTATGTTTAGCGCTGTAATATTGTGAGTGCGGTCACACCAGGGATTCTCACATACAATATGAAATTATTATTTGGAAACCTCACATTTATAGAGCAGAACACAACGGCTTGAAACAAATGTTTTGAAATATGTGGTGGGGTAGAGCTAGTTAGGAAAATAACACCCACCTCCCATATGTGCCAGTTAATTTCTTCCCCAAATGTTTGCTTGCTACAGTGCAGATGTGTCTCAGGATGAATGACTCACCTTTTAGAAGGGTATTGTGAATACAGATTAACCAAGGAAATAGAAAATAATCTTTGGAAAAGTGGAAATTATCTTCATTCTAATATTTTCAAATTTTTTACTTAATAAAAATGACAACATACTATTTCATCATTTCATTTGTTGTGGGTAAATCCAGAAATAAAATTAAATGTACTCAATTTGGCCTCATGCAGTTTAAAAACAAGAAAATCATATTGCATAGATTTACCTAGGCAAGTGGAACAATGTCCAATTTCAGTGGAAAATGCTCATAGTATAATAAAAGAAAAAACAGAGCGTTGTATATAATACTGAATATAAATTATTATCCTAGTTTTATAAAAACGTTCACTCTTCCCCTCTTCTCTGTTTATATTGTTATTTCTGGGGCTTCATATTTGGACGACATTTTAACTCTCTAAATTTTAAAAATTTTCTTTCAGTGTGCATGTGTTGTTTTAAAATTGAAAAAAAAATTATGTAAGTTAAAAAAAAATGATCAATTGGATTTGGGAAGATCGAAAGCACCTTTAAAATCCCTTGGTCTTTGATGCCTAAAGAAAATGGAGAGCATTTTGGCCACAAATAACTCAGACAAAAAGTATCTTATTCTACATCTTTTGTAGAAAATTTTTTTCAGTGACAGGAGGTGGGAAAACTCACAGCTTATGAGACATAGAGTTGTGGAATATGTATAAATACTAGTGAGAAACTCTAAACATTTGGAAATGTGCCAGAAATTTATATTTAAGAGTTCAACGCCTACACAGTAGGAACTTCTACAAGTCAATGGGTGAGACTTGATCGAATGTGATAATGCCTGTAAAAGTGGCTGATGTCCCACTGCGTAATGGTAAGGGATTGTTGTTCTTGCTTTAGCCTTTAGTTGCTATCATTACGAATTTAGGTTGAAGTAAGCTATGCTTTTCTTTCTTTGATGGATTAAAGAAGAATGGAGGGTAAGGATAACATTAGTTTCACCATGGTGCTGGGTTACAAATGCAAAGGCATTTGTAATCAAAGATGCAGAAATAAGGAACCAAAAGATTTAGAGGCTCTGCAATGGCATATAACAAGCTAACTACATCACTAAAGCCAAAGGAGAGAATGTCTGTCTTCTAACCAGTTAAACTATTCAGCAGACTTCTTTCTGTGAGTATCTGTATGTCAGACTTTCATCTGGCTATCCAACTGCAGTTTCCAAATTGTTTCATTCAATCCAGCAAGCCCCACGCAAGGTGCAAGGCATTGTGTAACGTGCTGACATTACGATGTTGAGAACATTTCATTGAAGTGACTCTGAAGCTCAGAGTCTAATAAGAATAATAGGTTGGTAAAACAATAATGACAATGACAGCAGCAAAAGAAGTATCATGGTAGATTTGAGGAGACATTAATTGTGATGGTGTGGCTAGGAGTAGGTACTGGGGGTGCTTCTAATTTTAGATGACAACTGAGTTGTTTTTAATAGAGAATCATGGGCATTCCAAGTTGAATAAAGTAGCATAGTAGGATGAAACACATAATTTTTTTTTTTTTTTGAGATGGCGTCTCGCTCTGTCACCCAGACTGGAGTGCAGTGGTGCAATCTCGGCTAACTGCAAACTCTGCCTCCTGGGTTCAAACAATTCTCCTGCCTCAGCCTCTCTAGTAGCTGGACTACAGGCATGTGCCAACATACCTAGCTAATTTTTGTATTTTTAGTAGAGATGGTGTTTTGTCATGTTGGCCAGGCTGGTCTCAAACTCCTGACCTAAAGTGATCCGCCCACCTCCGCCTCCCAAAGTCCTGGGATTACAGGCATGAGCTACCGTGGCTGGCCAAAACACCTAATTTATTCAGGGAATGACAAGTAAATAGTTTATATTTCTGGAGTGTCAGTTGTAGATGGAAAACAGCAGTGGATGAGGGTAAGCCTAGATGATAAAGAGTTTTATGTGCTCGCCTAAATACTATATTTTAAAAAATAATATTTGGGTAACATTGTGGGGAAGTTGATTCTGAGTGTAAGGGCAAAGATAGACATATCACTAGAAAGGCTATTGCAATCATCTAGGAGAGGGAGGGTTAAAAAATCTTATAGAGGTGTGCCAAGAATGAATTAGCTATTTTTAAAAATTAAGAATGTCAAGGACCCAGTCCATGGAAGGAGTAAGCAGGTTTGTACAAATTAAGAAAGGCAGGAAGTTAGGAAAAATAAAAATGAAAGTAAGCAGATAAGGTGATTAAATCATGAAATAATACTTAACCCGAAAGTCAGTAACATGCTCCTAGTGCCTCTCCCTTACACCCGCATCCTTACCACGTGAGTACTTGCAAATCCAACTGACAGTACTTGCATTTAAAAATTTTTTCACTGATGGCTTTTCTCTGGCTTCTGGAACTCTGTCAGCTTGCTGAATATCCTGAATTACTCCCTACCTTCCCAGGAATAGACTTCAGCTCCTGAAGGACAGGAGTTTGTGTATAAATACCCCAATTTGTTTCCCACTGGATGGGATAACACTGACACTTGGAGGTCTCCAGCATGATCAAGCTCCAATAATCCAAGTGGTAACTTTTTTGATCATAAGACTTTATCGGCTGCCTTCGCTTCTCTATCTCATTCACTTGCCACTGGCATTTTTGCAGAATCACTTTATGGGGAAGCCAAACTAAGACAAAATCCAGCCCATAGAAACTCTTTACATAAAAAGCAACATGTATATAAGTGCTACCATATAACCATGTGGTTTCCATCCTGTCTGAGATGTACCCCAAAGCCATCTAAGAATTTAGGTAGTTAACGATGAACTTGGAAACTGTAAAGTGCATTGGTACTGCAGCAGAAAGAAAAAAGATATTTACATGAAACTCTTGATTGTAATCTATCAGAAGTTTACGAAACATTTTCACCTCTCATTCTTAGAAGATGACACATTCTAAGAGGACAGGAGGCCTGTAGTATTTGTAATAGTACTTAGAATTATTGATGTTCAAATAGAAAATGATATTAGATTATGCAGTTATTCTGAATGGCTACTTATTCTTAAGGTCAGCTGGTTCCTAGGAAGATAAGAGTCTCTTCTCTGAATTTCTCTCACTGGTGCCGTATCTATTCCTGTCCATCTATATCCATACATGTTTGTTGATGAGATCATAACATCCTTGTTACTCAGGATATGTGAAGATCTATGCTGATCCAAAGACCAGCAGCATCAATTACCTGGGAGCTTGATAAACTGTAGAATGTCATGCCATTTTTATAAATGTAAGGTGGAAAAAAATAAGCAAAAAAAAAAAGAATGTCAGACCTCACATCTGCAATTTCAACAAGATCCCCATTGATCTGTATGCACTTCAAAGTTGGAGGAATGTTGCTTTAGATAAGATTTGCTGCTAAGCATAGGAGACTTAGGTCACTATGGCAAGAATTTCTTCTACCATACCAAGGGCAAGATATGTAGAAGCTTCTGCTTGTGCCCTGGAGAGAGGTCTGTATGACAACTACTAGGACAATTCTCTCTTGTAAAAAATGTGAAATTATTTGGAAAGTAGAGGGCAGAAAATACATCATTTAGACTCATCACCTTATTGAGACTGATTCCTATTTTGGTATTTAATTATTTTTTAAGTTTAGCTTCTCTTCTTTGCATGATTTTATAACATGGCTATAAATCCTACACCAAATTAAATAGCTTTCTTACTTTTTCTACCATATGTCATGAGAGATTCATCATATTACTATCATAATTTTCATTTAGAACATTCAATTGGGTGTATTCATCGTAACATTTAATAATTTAAAAATCTTTGAACTTTTAAACATTTTTTGATGAACTTTTGATGCTTATAGTTCTTTTAGCACTTATGGCTATTCCTTAAGGTAGATCCTCGCAAATCCTAGTCTGAATGGGGGTTTTCTTTGTCCCCTGGGTATCTTTCTACACATTATCTTCAGTGAACTTCCAATCTTAATATTACACTGCCACTGCCCTTTATCTTTTGTACCCACATTCTGTATTTTCCTTTGAAAAGCCAACCACACCTCCTCCGTGATAAACTTTACATCCATTTCCTCCACCCTTGAGTCACTGTGTTTTATTCTTGAAACTCCATTTCAATTCCTGTCCCTGAGTCACCTTCCTCCCATTAAAATTAAACTTAGAGTCCATGTTTTCCATGCAGATTGACCAAGCTGATATGGGGCAGCTGTAGTGGCTATCCAGTTTCAAATATAAGACAATGTAATTTTGAATTACTCTTCTCGGGATTTAAATACGCTTTCTTTTGAAATTTGACAAAAATATTTCCATCTGTCAGTTTTCTTTTATTTTCTAATTTTTTCTGTTTGTTTGTTTCTTGAGTCAGGGTCTCACTCTGCCACCCCAGCTGGAGTGTAGCAGTGCGATCATGGCTCACTGCGGCTTGGAACTCCTCAGCTCAAGTGATATTTTTCTGCCTTAGCCTCCCAAGTAGCTGGGACTACAAGGCGCACACCGCTACATCTGGCTAAATTTTCTTTGATTTTTAGTAAAGACTAGGTCTCGCTATGTTGCTCAGGCTGGTCTCAAACTCCTGAGCTCAAGCAATCATCCTGCCTCAGCCCCGCAAAGTGCTGGGATTACAGGCATGAGCCACCGCACCTGGCCCCCATCTGTCAGCTTTAATAGCTGATAAAGTCAAAGGAGATGGGAACTTTTTTGGATTTATTTGGAATAGTATGTTGCACTAAGTGTGTTCAAATAGGAAATGAAAACAAGTGAATTTGTAAGGTAAGAAAACTGGAAATTCTAGGTGTGAAATATCCAGAATTCTACACAATTCTGTATAATTTGATATTCTCCATAATTTTAAAAGCAGGCCAGAGCAAGAGACACTGTCTACTTTAGCACAGTGGTTCTGACTTTAGTGTATACATGAACAAGCTAGGGAAAAAGTTATCATCACTGTTTTTACCTGATTTCTAGAACTCATGTTTCAGCAAGTCAAGGGTGGGTACAGGGAACTGCGATTTTAATACACACGCAAGGGCTTTCTGATGCTGATGGTCTGTAGTACTGCATTTTGAGAAGCAGTAATTTGGCATTATCTTTGACACCGAGTATATAGATAGTATATGGTAAATAAAAAGAGATTAAAATACATTGGTTTCAGCACAGCATAATGACCAACTTCTGAACGTTTGCCACAATTTACAAAGGATAGGGCAAAAAGATAGATAAGAGTTAGTAAACACAGAGTAGTCACTAAAACTTGTTTGGTTGTTAAATTCTGGAGTGACATATATATGCACATATTATAGTATAAGCAGTGACTTACATTTCCCTTCTTCATTTCTGCAGAGAACTTTTGTGTCATCTGTGGTTTGTATAACTTCTAGAGATTCACCAGGTTTTACCTGTAGATCTCTGGTTCCCCACTTTTTAGAAGTTATGGAAGTTGTAACTTTAGTTGAATATAGGACTCTAATTTCACCATCATACTAAAAAAAAAAGAACAATATTTAAATTATTGGTTTATGTGCATTATTGAAACAACTTATTTATGGATGGATTTATTAAAAAGTTATTTGCTAAAGAGATAATTCAGTGTTTTCGAAATATAATGTAGGAATATTAAAGAAAATGTTGAGGGACAAACATCATTCATAACCTCACCAACCTAATATAATAATTATTTTTAGTACTTTCTTATTAAGGTTCAAAGGACAGCTAAATTTAGGTGATTATCACAGTGTGAATACTGTGCATATTATAGCTTGCTTAATCTTTTATAAAAATAAATTTAAATCTAAAATAAATTTTGTTCAAAATAAAAGAGTTATAACGGCTAACTGTAATATTGATAATTACACTTTAAAGTGTGCATTTTGTTACTTAAAAATCATTGGATTTTTCAATAGTGTTTTTTTTGTTACTTAAAAATCATTGGATTTTTCAATAGTGCTTTGTACTTTGTATAATATTTAGATATGACATACTTTAAATTTTTTCCTGAAGTCTTTTTCTTCTTTTTCCTGCTTTTTTAGCTTCTTAAGGTCCTTTTCTTCTGTCTTAGCTTTTCCAACATTAGTTCCTTGACTAGAACGGCAGAACACACATAAAACAACACTTTGTTTAGAAAATTAAAAAGAATAGTCCATAACAGAGACGATTCATAGCATTATATTTTTAACTTTTTGTTTCAGTTAATTCTTTTTGTTAGAAATCCAGTAACTGTCATTGTAATAAATGATGACATTCCATAATGTAGGAGGGTTTCCTCAAGCAAATATAGATTATGAGAATTAAAATGGAAGTGAGAGATTAGATTCGTTCTTATACTGAACCATATAAAATCACTGAGTCATGGTTTAAACTTGGTTGCATGTCAGCAGTTTCATATGACTTAATCTATTCTTAAACCTCCCTAAATTATCAGCCCTTTCTAGATAATTATGTAGCTTGGCCAATGTCATAAGAAAGGCTTTTTAAAAAAGAAGAGTTCAAAAACAATCAATTTTTATGGTTTATAACATTTATACGTTGTTTTGTTCACATCTACTTAAAATGCAGCTAGAGTTTTGGTTAATAAAAAAACTTAAGTAAAAGTTAAGATTTTAGATATTATAAGAAGGAGCTTTTTAAAAAAGATGGTTATTACTGATCTTTATCTTCATCCCTTTATCAATTGTGTGTGTGTGTGTGTGTGTGTGTGTATGAAAGAGAGACAGAGACAGAGAGGAGGAGAGGGAGAAAGTAAGAAAGATAAGCACATCCTAAGTGTTTAGATCAGTTAATGGACTTACTTTTTTTAAAACTGCTAGGATCCAGGTATAGAAATCCACTATATTTTGTAGATACCAATTATCCTAATATAAGTGAACAAGCCTAAAACAGTGATTTTTGTAGCCTGTCCGCACACAGGATCACCTGGGAAGCTTTTAAAGCATACTACTGCTCTTGCCCAATTCCTGGACATTCTAATTTAAATTAATTTTAAAATTTAATTTAGTCTGAGCAAGGTCCAGGTAGTGCTAGACACATTTTAAGAGCTTCCCACATGATATTAATTTGTAACCAAGGTTGAGAACCATTCACTAGAGTTAAATTATGGATGGTAGGGAAGAGCTATAGATATCTTTAGTGAGCATTTTAAAAATTAGAATATATTAATTTTTATTTAGATGATCTAAGATAAAGTTTTGTTTGTAACCAATTTATTTTAAATGTTTAATTCTCAATTTTGGAATCTTAGCTTTCGTTCATTCATTGTGGAGAGAATTAGCACAATATCTATATCAGGTTCTGCGTCTGCCCTCAGTACTGCCTGCCTATGGTAGTCTGGGCATTTGTGGAATTACTGCCCCAGATTAACTCTCTGGGGCAATCAGAATATACGTGAAAGTTAGAAATGCCCTACAAGCTATCTTTAAAAAAATTTATTGAAATTTATTTAAAAATAGAATACGACATTAGAGAACACAAACTTGCTTTAAACTCTGAAAATAAGCAAAATGGGGAAGAAAATTGTCCATATCACATAAAGCTTAGTTAGCTGGGGTTTATTTTGTTTGAAGAATAAGGCCAGGTGTGACTCTTTGTTCCTAGAGAGCGATTTTATGGAATGTGATGTACAGTAATGTAAAGCAAAAAAAAAAAAAAAAAAAAAAGCATTAACAACTGTCAAGGGTTGAAACACCACTGGTGAGAAATAGTAAAACCTGAACATATTACTGAAGATTCCATTTTTGTTTCATGGAGAATTAAAAAAAGGGCAACGGCTCTCTTTTCATCTTTCTTATTTGTTTTGCCTGTGGAACTTGATCTTCATATATGAATGATGGCATATTTTCCCTTCAGAGTCTTTGATTTTGATACTCTCTCTAGTTCAATAAAATTAGTTTAACAATTTTGGTAAAAAATAAATACTTAGCGTTTACTCATGCATTTTTACCAGTACAGCTCAGAAGACACAACTTACTGTGTTCCATTTATGTTACTTTCATCCTTTAATCAAATACAGGATCTTTTGAGTCATCTTTCTTTTCTCTTGAAAAAGCTAGATAGGTGTTCTTGCTTTTATACTCAGTATGTATCAAATCATTTCATGTATTTATTGGATTATGAGAAAGCAACCTACCATGTTATTCTCTATTTCAAAAAAAATTCCAAAAGGCACTCCTTTTGTATTACTTGATCTGAACTGATTTTATACAATTTTAGCCTAAAATTAATTTTTTTAAGATTTGAATGTAACCTACCTAAAAGTCCTTTTAAAAAATAAATCTTTTTTTCTTTTTTTCATAAAGGAAACTATCTTGTAGAAGACGGAGGTGGCTTGAACAAGATGGGTGAGTGCTGAGATGTAAGCTAAGAAGTATATTCAAGAAAAAAAGGTTTGGGGAAAACAGTATGAATAAAGAGAGGAGAAGAATCAGTGAGACTGGTTGTGACCAAGATCTTAAACATATTTCCCCAGTGAATGAATGAATAAATAAACCAGACATCAGTAAGTCACAGGCCCAAGGTTAATCAGGAAACAAGAAGCAGAACCAGGAGGATGGAAGAGAATGAGGGGAGGAAGGGGTGGAGGTGGGGGCAAAGGATTTGGGCTATCTACTCACAAACCTCGCAGGGAGGGTAGAGCTGAGATTGGAAGGAAGCATAGCTTTAGAGAGGAGTCCAGAGCCAACAGGATCGCACACAGTAGACACACATCCCACTGGGTTTTTATTTCAGTTGAATTTTCTTGAGTATTCTCATTTTCATTACTTCATTGTAATGAAAGCATTTTAATTACCTCATCTCTGCTGATGAAACAGGGAAATCAGAGGTATCCACATCATCGTAAACTTCATCTCCCATGTCTAACAAAAGACAGAATATCAAAGGTTGAAACACTGTTAGTTTAGATTTTGATATGAGCATTCAATGATGTTTTTAATATAAAGATTGCTTCAAGGACAATAAAATAAGTTGTCCTAGTGTCTCGGTAAATTTCTCCTGGAAGCATTGTCTGCTTCTGAAAGGGGAGAGGTTATTATTTGCCAGGATGCATGTGTTAAATTATTCAAAAAACCAGTGACCATAATGATAATCATCGTTATCTGGAAAAAAACTCATGGAACAGTGACTATGATTATCTGAAGATCTACAAGTGCAATGAATGTCAGGAGTGGCAAATTGCTGATAAACAAATCAACATTACTGGCCACTGGCAGGATGAAGTAGAGACAGAAATTGAGATTCTTATGGGATTTAGGGTGCTGTGATAATATATATCATCCTATTTAAATGTCTCTCTCCTTCCTTCCTCCTTTCCTTCGCCTCATTGATCTGTTTCCCGTTACCTTTTACCTTACAGTGATATTAGGAGTGGCACCACCTTTAAATGGAAAGATTATTTCTTTTAATTAAATACTTCTGTTACCAACAGGTATTGAGAAACAGTATTGGCAGAAAAGTTGTCATGATCTTAACTGGTTCAATGGCTTTTCCAATCATTAAAGCTTTTTCTCCCTTCTAGACTTCTTACTAATAAAGTCAGGAATAATGCTTCCTCCCTGCACATATTAATTACTCTACAGTCAATGAAGCTGAAGAGATTGAGTTGAAGAAATTGCAAATATTTTAAGGAGTTATTACCATAAAAAGTTTAAATACTCTCTGGTAGTGGCAAGGAATTTATTTCCTTTATAAAATCTCCCCCTCTATGTCCTCCACCCTCGTGTGTATTCAGGTTAACTAATTTCACACGATGAAACTTGCTCAGCTGCGTGAAAAATAAATACTTTAAAAAATATCATCTAGAAGGGTCAAAGTTACTACTCCGTGCACATGCACTTAAAACATATTTAAGAACAACAAGCAATTCTAACAAAACCTTATTTTTTACAGAATTGATTACTTTTGTTTCATTTTATACCCACTTTTTGAGGAGTTAATTTTTTTGAATACTTTAAAAATATTATAGATTAGAACACAAGCTTATTATCAGGCACTGATCAGCTTGAGTTTGTCCCTTACATATTTTCAAATTGATAACTGAAAAGAAAGTTCTAATGTCAGATAAAGGGTCTATAGAAGAATAGATTACCTCTGTGTTGGTTTGCTCTTTTAATATACTTATAAGTTAAAATAAATAAACTTTTTGAAAGCCCCTGAATATTCTTAAGACAACATTTTATTTCGTTCAAAGTAAATTTTAAAAACATCTAAAGATCTGTCTCAGCAGGGATGAAAAAATAGTAACTGATAGAAATTTTATAAAGAAACTGTTATATTTAACATTTTCCAAATACAATATAAACTATCCATTTAAATATTCAAAGAAATTAGATTTAGAAGAGGCTTACTGGCATGTAATCTGGAATGTTTTTAGATATCCTTATGCAGAAGTCTCATATATCAAGCTTGGACTGAATTGAGGCTGGGGGATATAGGGAAAATTGGTGCTTATCCCTTCCCACTTATCCCTAACCCAATAGTGGCTCTTGGAAGAACAGTTTAAAAACTATCAGTCTTTTTAATTTTTCTCATCTTGCTATTTTATCATTGAGCACCTGTGACCACCCAAGGTAAAGTTACTTGCTCAAGGCTACACAATTTATTATTTTCAGAGTCAAGACTTTAATGCAGATACTATATCCAGAGCTTTCCCACTACCACACTGCAAGAAATGAAGATACAGAACATACAATCAGTTTTTATTACTTACCCAATTGTTTAGGAGGAGCAGGGAAACTACAAAGAAAGTGAGAACACAATTATAATCAGACTAACATGAACACAGAAATTGATTCCGTTATATAGGAGAGTATAAAGGGGCAATAGCCTAGAGGCATATTGGGTTACTTCATCTGTTGACCATCATTTCTTTCTCATCCTCCATTTCTCCACTAAGTCCATTTCTGTTTATCAATTTGGAACTTAGCAAGACATTTTTTGAACCCCAAATGTTTGCCAAAATGTCCAGAGTCAAGATACTCAATTGGTTTATTTTGCCCATAGCCACTGGATCAAAATTTCCAGATTTGCTATATGAGGTTTGGGCATAATATCAAGCCAGAGTAAATGAAAGGGACTCAGTATTTTGGAGGCATCGTGGCATACATATTCTGCCTCCAAACTGCTTATTTGAATTAAAGAGCAGAAATACAGACTCAAAATTAATAGAGGTCACAGGAATATGACCATGTTTCCCAATATGTGCATATATACCCCAAAACAGGAAAATGGTGAATAAGAGGAATATTTACTTAAACCAGAGAGTGAGAGCTTATTAATTAAAGTGCTCTGAAATCAGAATTAAGTGGCATTTGGCTGCAACAGAAGAAGACCCATGCTTCTATTTTCTGAAATATGACTTCTAAATACACTCCACACACACACACACACACACACACACACACACACACACGTACACACACAAACACACCACGGAAAGAATGGTGCACAGAACAGAAATGACTGGTTAGAATAGAATGTGAGGGATCATTAATTCAAATGATCCCAAATCAGATTTGGATAGTATGTAATTGAAGCAGAAAAAAAAAACCCTCTCATTTTTAAGTAAGGGTTATATTTGAGTAATGCTGCTCAAGAGAAGGTTTCTTGTGTTTTCCTAGAATTTCAAGTGTACTCTTTATTGACTTGTTGCTTTGGTGTTTTACAAGCCAATTGGGAATGCTATATGGAATTAACATCTTATAAAGACTTGAGCTAAATGTGGTGAATTCATGAGCTAAATATAAAACAGAAAGATTTTCTTGTACCAGGGAATATGATTAAGATCTTTCAAATTCATATGTATGGAATTTATACTAAAGGATTATTTTTGGAATAGAAAGAGAAAAGTTATGCCTTAGATTTTATTTGGACAAACTTAAGATGTTTAGAATACTTTTAGTATAGGAAAAATTATTAATATATCATTAGAGTGTAATATAGTTAAAAGTCTTTAATTATTGTACTTAGAGAAAAAAATTCAAAATTATGTTCTTTATTTCAAACTATTAAAAAGAATGTATATTTTGAAGAGTATTCAATATAAAATACTATGCAGTAAAATGTGGCATTGGAATTGTGAGTTTTCAGATGTAATGCTATATTTTAAAAGGTCCTAGTAAATGGGTGTGTCAGTGTTTGTGTATGACTGTGTGGATGAGCGTGAGAGGGTATGTGTGCAATTATGTGTACATGTGTGTTTTTGTGCATTTTTGTGAAGAAAGTAAAATATATCTTTGAACTATATGATGATTTCTGAGTACTTGGCCTTCTTTTATGTAATGCAGGAGCTTAAAGGTGACACCATAAACGGGGCTAAGATGATTAACGGAAAATTGCATTAAGATGATTTAAGTCTATCAGAATTTGGTTATTGGTTATAGAATATTAGTAGCATTTGATTCAATACATATTAGTGTAGTTATTGTACACTGGATTTGGTTGGTTGACTCTTACGATGAACCTTCATTATTGTCTGAGTCAGAGACTTTAGGTTTCTCTCGTATACTTTTCTTTCTGTCATCTTTTCCCTTTAACATCTTCAAAATCCCCCAGGACCACGTATTACTCTTCTCTTGAACCTGTAGTGTGGAGCTTTGGAGCATGCAGGCATTGATCAGAATGTAATAATCAGCGGCAAGTGAAGACATTGTGTGGACATTCAGATTCTTTATAATCATTAATCATTACGGCCACATTAATCATTCAGGCAGTAAATAACTCATTTTATTGGACAAAATAGTGTTATTAAATTTACAGATCATGGTGATTGAATACTGCTCCTACGAACCTGATCATTTTTTTTTCTATCAAGTGAGAATTCTCCCACTTCTTAAAATGTGAAGCAAGTCCATAAGGATTAAGTTTCAAAGAACTGGATGTGGTGGCTCACCCCTGTGATCCTGGCACTTTGGGAAGCCAAAGTGGGAGGATTGCTTAAGCCCAGGAGTTTGAGACAAGCCTGGGCAACATAGCAAAACCTCATCTCTACTAAAAATAAAAAACATTAGCTGGGTGTGGTGGTGCACACCTGTGGTCCCAGCTGCTCAGAGGCTGAGGTAGGAGGATTGCTTGAGCCTGGGAGTTTGAGGCTGCAGTGAGCTATGATCCTACCACTGCATTCTAGCTGGGGCAACAGAGTGAGACCTGGTCTCAAAAAAAAAAAAAAAAAAAAAAAAGCTTGGACATCAATTTTGCTTTATTTATGATTAAAATGAAGTAATTAAGAAATCTTAGGCCAGGCACAGTGGCTCACGCCTGTAATCCCAGCACTTTGGGAGGCTAGGGCAGGCAGATCACCCGAGATCAGAAGTTCGAGACCAGCCTGACCAACATGGAGAAAACCCGTCTCTACTAAAAATATGAAATAACCCAGGCATGATGGCACATGCCTGTAATCCCAGCTACTTGGGAGGCTGAGGCAGGAGAATCATTTGAACCTGGGAGGCAGAGATTGCGGTGAGCCGAGATCGTGCCATTGCACTCTAGCCTGGGCAACAAGAGCAAAACTCAGGTCTCAAAAAAAAAAAAAAAAAAAAAAAAGAAATCTTAAACTTTTAAATATGCCATTTAAAATGGAAAAAGAAAATTTATTTTCTTATTGACCTAAAATATTTTTATGTTTATAAATTGTTATAATTATTATAAATGAACAGATAATTATTATTAAGTTAAAGGATTAAGTATTCAATACTGGTTCTGCCATAGGTAGCATAGGTCTCAATTTATTTGGGTTGCCTATATTATAATCATGTTATTACACAAGGGATAGCCATGCAACTGATAAACTCTTCAGGGATTGTTGTAAAAGTAAATTATTGATCAATAAAGACTTTATTAGGAAAGACTTAAAAAATATCCACAACTGCCAGTGCACTCCAGCCTGGGCGACAGAGTGAGACTCTGTCTCAAAAAAAAAAAAAAAAAAAAAAATACACAACACCTGTAATTTATCTTTTGTTTTCATTTCACTTGTTTTGCTGTAGTTATTGAAGTTCTTCCAAACAATCAAACACTTCGTTTGAAGTGTGGTGAAATTACACTTCCTGGTTTACAATTGCTGTTAATTAAACATTCAAATCATTTGGGGTAATGTGAGAAAGAACACTATTTTCCGCTTTTTATTTTAACTGGAAATCAAAACTAAATTTCAATGTATATATAATAATTTGCAAAAAGCAGTTCACTGATTATTCTTACCCATCATCAGCATCTTCCTCTTCAATCCCATCATAAATGTCATCATCTGGTGGTGGAGGGAATATCCCTTCATTTGGATTGGAGGAAAATCTTCTGTTAATTTTATAATTTGGCCATGTAATGCTCACTCAGATTTTAATTGTAAATCTTCCTTATTTAACTGCAGAGAGCATTTCACTTTCATGTAAACCATTTAAATAAAAACACTTTGTTGATTATTTTATAAAGAATTCTTAGGGGTGAAATTACAATAACAAAATGAGGGCTAAGAGGCACTGTGGACTTGAGTTGAAAGGAATGAGGGTGCAAAAACATGAGAAAAAGTAAACTTAAATAGGGCATGGAGTTAAATATTTATTGTGGAAAAAGAAGTGAGGAGGTGATACAAATCTAGCTAACTAGTTAATGGTGAGGAGACATTTAGGAAAAGATACTGATCAAGACACAAGAGAAGAAAAGCAATGGGATGAAAGGTGAATTTGTAAATATTGATGGTAGTTGAAACAGAAAGAAGTGAAAAGTGACTTTTAAAATACATATTTTTGAAAGTTAAACTGTTTCTGGTTTCATTTGTTATTCTATGCTCTTCAGGAAACTTGCAATTTGACAGATATTTACTTAACAATTGTTTATTGAGTAGTTTCTATGTGCAGGAATATGTAAAATGACCTTGAAATTTGACTTTTAGTATGAGAACTTTAGCACTGCAAGTGTTAGATCAAATCCCTTATTTTGTTGCTGGGAAATATAGGGGCCATTGAACTACAGTCAAGGTGACTAGATAGGTTATCATCTAAACAAAAACACTTCCAAAAGTGAAGGAGAATGCTGTTATTAATTGTGCTCTGATGACTGGAATAAGTCAAGACTGTCCTGAACACATTGGAGTGGAGTCACCATACCATCTGTAACAAACTTAAAAGAAAGAAGTGGCTTACTCTGAGTCACTTGCTGGCTAGCTCTAGAATCCAGTTTATTGACTCTCAAGCTAGTGTTCTTTCCATCGTATTAAGATCTCTCTCATTATTTGTAAACTAAAGCATTTTTTTCATTAATATACACAAACATGATGAAGGCTTATGAAGAAATTATTGATAAAAGTGCATGGTTTCCCATGCTCACATATTAGAATAATTAATATTGCTAAAAGGACCATATTACCCAAAGCAATTTACGAATTTAATGTAATCTCTATCAAAATACCAAAGTCATCTTTCACAGAATAGGAAAAACAATCCTTAAATTTGTATGAAATAAAAAAGAGCATTAATAGCCAAAGCAATCCTGAGCAAAAAGAATAAAGCTGGAAGCATCACACTCCCTGATTTTGTGTTGTAACCAATCAGCATACCGTTGGTATAAAAATAGAAACAAAAACCAATGAAACAGAAAACAGAACCCAGAAATAAAGTCACATATTTATAGCCAACTGATTTTAGAAAAAGGCACCAAGAACATACACTGGGGAAAAAACACCCTTATCAGTAAGTGGTGCTGGGAAAACTGGATATCCATATGGAAAAAGAATAAAACTAGGCGCCATCTCTCACCATATATAAAAATCAACTCAAGATAGATTAAGGATTTAAACATAAGACCTAAAAGTATAAAACAACTGTAAGAAAACATAGAGAAAACACTCCAAGACATTGGTCTAGGTAGAGATTTCATGACTAACACCCCAAAAGCACAGGCAACAAAAACAAAAATAGACAAATGGGATTATATTAAACTAAAAGCTTCTGTATGGCAAAGCAATCAACCAACAGAGTGAAGAGATGGCTTGTTGAATGGGAGAAAATATTTGCAAACTATTCATCTCAAAAGGGATGAGTATTCAGAATATACAAAAACTCAATCAATTCAACAGCAAAATTCCCAAACAATCCCATAAAAAGGTGGGCAAAGGATCTAAAAAGACATTTCTTAGAAGAAGACATACAAATGGCCAACAGGCATATGAAAAAATGCTCAACATCACTAATCATCTTACCCCAGTTAGAATGGCTGTTATCAAAAAGAAAAATAGTAACTGATGCTGGCAAGGATGTGGAAAAAAAGAAACTCATACTGTCGGTGGGAATATATATTCATACAGTCATTATGGAGATTTTTCAAAAAAACTAAAAATAGAACTATCATGCAATCCAGCAATCTCACTACTGGATATTTTTCTGAAGGAAAGAGAATCAGTATATCAAATGGATATTTGCATCCCCAAGTGTATTGCAGCACTATTCACAGTAGCAAAGATATAGAATCAACCTAATTATCATTGGATGAATGGATAAAGAAAATTTTGTCTATACGCAATGAAATACTATTTGGTCATAAAAAAAAAAGAATGAAATCATGTCATTTGCAGCAATATGGATGAAACTGGAAGTCATATTAAGTGGAATAAGCCAGATATAGAAAGACAAATACTGCATGTACTCACACATATGTGGGAGCTAAAAAAGTTTGTTTCATGGAGGTAGAGAGTAGAGTGATTGTTACCAGAGGCTGAGAGGGATGTAAGAATGTGTTTGGGGGGACATGAAGAGAGATTGGTGAATGGGTACAAGCATACAGTTAGATAGAAGGAATAAGTTCTAATGCTTAATAGTAGAGTAGGGTGACTATAATTAACAATAATACATTGTACATTTCAATATAGCCAGAAGTGAGAACTCGAAATGTTCTCAACACATAAAAATGATAAATGCTCATGATGATGGATAGCCTAAATACGCTGACTTGAACAATACACATTCTATGCATGTAACAAAATAACACATGTGCTCCATAAATACATGCCAATATATGTATCAATTGTAAAATGTCATTTTAAGAAGCGTGTGGCTTACCTCCACTTCCACTCTGACTGTGGCTAGAAAAGAAACCCAGAAATATTAAGTTAATCTATGAATTACTTAGCTATGAGGAAGAGAAGTACATATCCTGATTAGTTATTCAAAAGAGAAATAACATTCCAGTCGAAAGTTCTTAGAATGCTATATGTAAAGAGGAAAAAATGTTCCTTATCATCATAGATGGGTAATGACAAGGCAACAAAACAAAACAAATAAAAACAACAAGAATTAAGTTAATTATGCACTATATATGATATAGAAAATGATGATATTGTTTGCTTTTGACATTTTTGTATGAGGTTGTTTTCAGATGATACATTATGACATCATTCCATAGATGGACCATTAAAACAAGCCCCAAGGGTATTATTATTCCATAAGTCACATAGAGCAATTATTGTTGCATTAAATTAAATTATCTTTCAATATCTTTTGACCACAGCATTTTACTCCTAGTCTAATAGCAGTCATTTTTCTTTAAAGGGAGAACTTTAAAAAACTTGAAATCTCATTCAGGGGGCTTTTATCTGGTATGACTGCTGAATCTGTAAATCCAGATTGCCTGTGTTTCTTACTTACTTTCACATCATTCTATATTTTCTCTATTTTAGCATTTATGTTATAATTGTCTGTTTTCTTGCCTATATCTCCCACTAAAATGTGATTTCTGTGAGATCAAAGGAAATGTAGACTGTGAGAATGGAAAAAATCCCAGAAATCATCTCTTCAATTCCCTCATTATACAGAAAAGAAACCAGGCTCTGAGAAATTAAGTGACTTGACCACGCCCACTTTTACACCTAGCTGCACTCACTATACCCCCAGTTTTCTGCCAGCAACAGATATCAGTTTAATGTTAGTGTCTTAGAGGACAATTATATAGTACTCATATCTGATTTCCTAACGTTAAAAGTGGGTGAAAGAAATTGATCTGATGCAGATCTCCTGTTAAATTTGAAATAAAAACATAAAGTTGCTGTCAGGAACTTTGTAGGAAAACATGCTAGAAATGTCTTCCTATATAAATAAGGAACTGCTTTTTGAAGAAGTTGCAGTACACTGTCTGCTTGCTTATGTACCATTTTGACATTTATTTTTCCTGACTCTTCCCTCTGAGCATGATGCATGAAGCAGGCAGTTGGAATTATGTGAAGAGCTGCATTCTGCTTGGCTGCCACTCTTGGCAGATACTTTTCATCTTGGATTTTTATACCAATTTCCAAAGAACAGGGTTGTTGGAATAAGGAGCAAAGCTCCTGTTTTATTTCATGTCTAGAGCAATTATTCAACTTCCTAAAATGGCCTGTTTAGAACATTTGATGAAAACATTTGATGAAGTGAAGAAGAGGTAGAGAGAGCAGGATGTGACAGGAGACGAGAGGGAGAGAGAGAGATACATGGAAGGAAGAAGGTTTACTATGAAATGGTAGAGGGGTATTTGCATTTGCAATTCCCTTTTCTTCAATGTTTCATATTTACTGTAGATACTGCTTTAGTGGAGAAGGAAAAGAGAAGGACAGCTGTCAGGGGCTGTGCTTTGAAGCCTCAAAACTGCTCCCGGAGTTTGAAGCACTCACAGCCATTGCTCTTCACTCTAGGGAATCAGGAAAGAGCTGGTAGAGTGCCTGAGCCAGGAATCATGAGCAGGAGGGAGAAGATGATGCCTTCTCTTCTTATTCTTGCCAGGGCAAGCTGCCGGCTACACTCAGCATCTTCCCTTTTTCTAAGAACAAAGCATGTTCTGTTATGAGATCTCTGCCCGCAGCAGCTGCAGTTTCAAAAATAAAACATGTATAGAAATGTCTTCTTCTTTAATTTTCTTAGTAAGGGTGCATAAGAGAGGGCTAGATGCTAGTAAATATTGTGGGGCTATACTTGTTTAAGATACTGAGCATTAAAACCCTACAACTCTTCCAACTTCCTGCTTTTACTAAATATAAGATTCTTTTTTTGTTATATGTTTACTAAAGTAGAGCAGGTTTTTAGAGTCGTGGTATGTATGGATTCAATAAAATGGAAAAAGGTGATAATGCTAGTTTTGGGAAATATTCACCCAATATGGTTAAACAAAGTTTCATTCTAAGAACCTCATTGTTTTTTCTGGATTTGTTATTTTTTTCTTGAGTATGCACATCCATGTAAATATGCGCAAATAATGTAACTGGAATTCTTTCACCAAAAATTAAGGGAGTGTGCTTTTTAAAAAACAAAAGGCACACACAAAGTATATACATTGGTAATATGCTTGACATAGTCATGAAAATTCTGTAAGTTACAGAATGTGACGATTTGGAACTTCATCTGGCCTCAAAACTGGCATTTACTGACTCACACTAGGTCGATGTTTGACTAAAGTCAGTTAATGATCTCCAAACTCTAGTGCATGCATTGTATGTTTTGGTATATGTTGCATAATTTATGTTTAGAACATGGTAAGAAGGCATAGCCGGCTGTAATTCATTTTAGAAAGACAAAACTGCTAGAAAGCAGCATAACAAGCTTAACTGATACCATGATATAAAAGATCATAAGAGGAAAATTTAATTCTTCATGTGCTTTATAAGTGTATTACTAATTTGGTGTTTTAGAAATGGCTGACAATGAAGATTGTTTCCTTTGAAATTTGAGTTATGAAGAATGCAGACACAGTTTTACCCAGGTGAAGAGCTAGCACAGATGATGTTTTTTGGGATCACAATGGAGGTTTCCTAGTTTTATAAAGTAGTCATCAAAAAACTAAAGTTCTGAACTGGACCAGAGATTTTCCTCCTTTCAACTTGAGGGGATTATGGCTTTAAACTGAAAACGGAGGTGTTGGAGGAAAGAAGGAATGAAAGGAGAAAGGGAATGGAAAAGTACAAAAGAGACAAAAGAATGACAAAAAATCAGAGCTGGAACAAAGAGAAGAAGAGGAGAGATGGAGAGAGGAAAGAAGCAGAAGACTAAGAAAGGAAAGAAGAGAAGGAGAGGTACAAGGGAGGGATGGCCAATCTCCTCTCATTGGTCCTCCAGAAAGGATGTTCTATTCTGTTCCTCTATACCAGGAAGGTGTTCCCATAATTCTTGAAGTGAAGGTCATTTTAATCTAGTGGAATGGGCCGTGGAAAGTTGGACCCTTAATTGATACCTAGGGATCATAAAAAAACGGAGTTTTTACTTTTAAGGAGCAAACTGGGGTTGCCATAAAAATCATTTTTTGTCGTATTTTCAAAAAATAACAACAAATATATTTAGAATCAGAGATTTATGAGAAAAAATGGGCTAAATTTTATATTTTATGCTTCATATTTTACCAAATCATATTTCATTAGGCATATCCCTAAGATCAAGTCATAATGAACATTATAAAAGTGTTTTAGAATGAAAACACATTTTACAAGATCTGGCAAATGGCCCACTATATTTCAAGTAGTATTTGATGCATATAATCAAAAGAAAGACTATGGAGTTTCAAACGACCTTTCACCCATGTTGGGGTTATTGTAAGTGGTCATTTAGTTTAGTGATAGAGAGCAGTAGGAGTTATGGAGGGTAAAATTCTAGGATCTTAATATACAAAATTTCTGACAAGGAGACAGTTTGATCTGTTCTACAATACGTACTTGCACATACCTGCTAATATCATCCTGCTCTGCAACATCATCATATACTTCTTGGTCATCTTCAATAGGTCTTGAAGGGGCACCAAGAGAGTCTTTTTTCAGTTTCAAAGAATCATAGTCAATCTCTACAGCAGTTGTTTTAATATAGCCATCTACCAAAAAGGGAAATATTTATGTTCAGGCAACTGTAGTTTAAATATTTTAAAGTTGTGAATAAAATATCAATTGCACATTTGCTCTTTAAACTTTCCCCTGATTTATTTTCTTGTAGTTCTGATTTGTAGACCTCCCAAGTAGACCCAAATTTTACTGTACTCTGTCAAAGTCTAATCCTGTTGTAGTTTAATGTAAGCCTACCTTCTATTTTAAATATTCTAAAGTGATTCACATGAAGCATTTTTTCTTTTTAACATCAATGAAAAACCTAATGCTGTTCGTTCCTCCTGGAATAATATAAAACTGTACGTTGTTTCCCACAATATAGATAACAGATGAGGTGAAGACGGAACTATACCTGCCATTTAACATTTTCCTCCCTTTGTCCACTCTGTAAAGTACTCCTAACTCGATGCCTATGACGAGTTCTGGAGGAATATGTACATTGAATATTGCCTCGCAAAGAAAATACTTCGAAGCCATAGAGAAATTTGCACTCACATGAACCCCTTGCTGTTCTGCCCAACCATTTTCCTTCTGGGTTGTCTGTGATGCGGATGATTTCAATTTGCTCTCCTTGCTTGAAGCTCAGTTCATTCTTTCCTCCTTTGACATCACAACAAGCTTTTGCAAGATGGATGACTTGAATAGGGCCTGTTAGCTGCAAAGAGAAAAAAATAGTCACAAAAGATTTCCTTATAATTTAGAAAATCTTTAAGGAATGCAATTTTGAAAGATATAAGTCTACAACTTGCTAAGCTACCTATAACCAACATTTACAGGGTTTAACCAGAAATTGAGGGTGAATGTTTTTCTTATAGGAGGGGTTAGGGAAAAATCACAGGGGCCAAGCAGGACCAGCTAAGACAGGTGAACATGTGCATGGGGTCAGGAGAGTGAGGCAGGGATCTGTTGACTAGGAATTCTGCAAGAGGCCTGCAAAGGCAGCCCCCAATAACTGAACAGCGTTTATGTACAACAATCCATGCTGTGTGCTATGTATCTTTATGGAATATGCCAGGATTCTGTTCAGAAGATGGAGTTTTTTCCCCTTTGCATTGTTTGTAAAATTGGAGCAGACATTACCTGCTATAAACAAGATAACATTTCAGAAATAAGCTTGTAAATCAAATAATAGCAAGCAAATGTTACACGAGGTTTTTCAAATTAATATTCTGAACAGTATGGTGGCTTATTGATAGAAGGATAATGATGTTGGTTAGACTATGAATCCTAAACTCTTAATTTTCTAATCCTAAATTGGTGTCTTTTCAACAGAATTTCTTGAATCTTTTGATATGCAAATATGCATGACGACTTTTGAAGAAGCTCTACCTTTAATTTATTGAATTTATGATGGCATTAATTATAAACATTTATCATTATCATGTACCACTAAGAAATAAAGAAAATAATGTAAGTTAAGTTATGATATGCCATGATGCTGATGAGGCTCAGTTCTCATATTTATTTAATTTTTTTTACCTATTATCTATTATCATCTTGTGAAAGGAATATGGCTGGTGAAGTCCTAGTTTTGACAGACTTTTGAGTTCATATTTAATGGTATGATTTCCATATCCTATCTTTTCTTACTAAAAATATTATTTGAATGAATGAGATAATGTAAAGCTGAATTCTCCAGAAGAAACATGGAAAAACCCCACATAATTCCTTTAAATCTACAATTTCTTCATGGAAAGTATACTATATAGATTTTTGTTATTTTTTTTTGAGATGGAGTCTCGCTCTGTTGCCCAGGCTAGAGTGCCGAGGCCCGATCTCAGCTCACTGCAAGCTCTGCCTCCCAGGTTCATGCCATTCTCCTGCCTCAGCCTCCCAAGTAGCTGGGACTACAGGTGCCCGCCACCACGCCTGGCCAGTTTTTTGTATTTTTAGTAGATACTGAGTTTCACTGTGTTAGCCAGTATGGTCTCAATCTCCTGAACTCATGATCCACCCACCTCGGCCTCCCAAAGTGCTGGGATTACAGGCCTGAGCCACCACGCCTGGCCTACGATATAGATTTTCATAAATTAATTGAAATTAATTTTTCACTTGAAAAATATAAAGATTGGTAGTCATGCATTCTGTATAAGTAAAATGTTCTAATATTAATACGGTAATCATAATTTTACTTACATATAGCAAGCTTTTTCAAAATCAAATGAGAATCTTATGATACAGTGTATGCTCTGCATTATTTTAGTTCCATAACAAACTTTCTGGAGTAGTATCATTTATCCTTACTTAAAAGATTAAGAATCAGCGGCTCAGAGAAGTTAAGTGAGAAGCCCAAGATCACATAACTTGTATGTGCAACTGGAATTTGAATCAGTTTGTCTGGCTGACTTGATGCTATACATTTTCCTTGCACCATGCATTGAACCTTTGCTTTAATGCAATAAATATACCGGGAAGTTATATATAAATCATTTTTAAAGAAATTTGAACCACATATTAAATGCTCCAGAGGAATAAAAATACTTAAAGAAACCATACAGTGAATTCTTTTTGAAAGAATAATTTTGTAATTCAGATAATCACCCTAAATATGTCTGACATGCCAGACCCATGCCAGATGAGCCATGTCATCAAAGATGGTGTAGCCAGGAGAAAATAGCCCCTGAGTGTAGCGTTTACTGGTGGTAGTAATGGTAGAAAACACACAATTACCAGAGATCAGAGAATACAGAGGTCAGAATCCAGACAGACAAAGAGGGATGAGAAACAGCAGTTATCAGAAGTCAGCATGTACACAGACTTAAAGGCAACAATATAACTCATGTATAGATACTAGCAATTAGAGTAGATCATGGAAATCTTATTCTGAGACAGGTCTGGTTCACCCTGGAGGCACTTGTGTCCAATGCCCCCCTATAATACATACCACAGGGATATTTATGTGTGTGATGCTAATTCATAGTATAAGTAGGCTAATATGAAATGCATTATGGGGAGAGACAAGATGGGTTTGAAAAGGTAAATATTCATTCACTCAATCAACATAAAATTTCCTGGGTGTCCACTAATTATGAACCAATATATTTATTTAAATTTTATTATATTAGTTCAGGGATAAAATGGTGTATTGGACAAAAAAGTACTGTTATGAAGATAATTACTCTTTAGAGAATAATGAATAAGTAATTCTTCAACTATGTAAGTTTTCAAGAATGGTACCCCTTTTGTGTGAAAGGTATAAAAAGATGTTATTCTTTCACTCATTAGCAAGCAAGCCCTTACTTTAAATTTCTTCTTTATTTCTTGTTCTTTCTTTTCTTTCTCTTTCTGTTCCTTTTTCTCCAGCTCTAACCTCTTCTTTTCTTCCTTTTCCCTTTTCTTCTCTCTTTCTTTGGATGCTTCTCTGTGAGTAAAAATTGTTAGGTTGTTTTCACATCTGCAGGTGTTGATGCGTCGGAACTCCCTACCTAGAAGTTTCTACTCACAACAGAAAAGGTGGTATCTGAAGTACAGTTGAAGGTAAAAAGCGAAAGGTTGTCAAAATCCGGAATGTGTGAGATTATTTTTAAAACCAGTAGGAGGCACACTGCTGAGGATACCTTCCAAAGGCTCTGCTTTCCCTGACAACTTGTGCCAGCAAGTGGAAGCCACCGTTTATAGAGGCCCCATTCTTGCTGTATGTTCGCATAAATAGAATCCATCTCTTTTTCTCTCTTTCATATGCACACGTGCCTGTGCATTCACAGGTACACATATAAACCTTGGCTCTGAAACTTGAGTCAGAATTGGTTGAATAAACACTGGGTAGAGAAAATTAAGGTATCTGAGATCAACATATGATAAAGTAAGATAATATATTCATTTCTACTTTCACCCACTTTCCAAGAAATTTCGTTTCCAAGAAACTTCTTTGTTTAACATCTTTCCACTTTAGCAGCTGACACTCTGACCTCTGGGCGTCATGATAAATTATTTTTCATAGCACCCCGTGGGTGGAGCTCTGTTCAGGTGAAGAAGGCGTAACATAAATTAACTCATCTGCCCAAGGATACACTAAGAGTAAGAAATCAGATTTCTGTCTCTGATTCCCTGACTGTGGTTTATCTCAGAGGCATGTCTCTGGCCTCTCACACAATAGCTTTTTAACAGAGTCCTTTGTAGAATTCTTAGAGAACTAAATAATTTTGGGTCCTTTAAATTGAAATAAAAGTTATTATACGCCAGTCATTTGAACAAATCAAGCTTCCCTCCTAGTGTTGTTATATACCCACTCTCCCTCATACAAAACATTATATTCATCTTTGAAGAAAACTGTCATGGTAAAAAATGTAATTCATACATGTCTTCATATGTTTCTCCTTCACTGTCTTGTTCCTGTAAAGAAAAACATTGATAATGATTAATTTTTATTATTTAAAAAGTTGACACACATATTACATTGCTTAGACTTAAAATGAAGGCAACAATGTAAATTTTTATAATTTGAACCACATATTAAATGGTCCAGAGGAATAACTACTTAAAGGAGCCATACTGTGAATTATTTTTGAAAGAATAATTCAAATACTCAGTAAAACAACTATTGTATGTAAGTTTGGCTTATTTAAAATATTTTTTTTCTCCTTAGAAATAGACTGGGAAAGCAAAAACAAAATTTCCTTTTCTATCTTGCTATATAAATCAGACGTGTAGTCAGACTTAAGTTTGTTCAGCACTACAGCATTATAATGAGTCAGTGTGATGACTAGTGTGTAACATCTTAAGCATTTTAGATGAAATAAGATTAGAAATGGAAAAATATCATTGCTCATAAGGATTTTCATTTGTTTGTTTTGTACCAATACGGAGTGAATCATAATACTTGTGAAATATTCTGATTATGTCAATATAATATGAGAAGAGAAAAAAATCTGACCTCATCTAGATTTCCAGCACCTAAAAGATTAAAAAAATAAAATTTAATACATTTGTAATAAGGAAGCACTTTAATGTAAGATTATTGGATATGATATAATAATATTCAAAATAGTTCATAATCTAACAGAACTTATGCTTTATCAAAGATACAGAAATAGAAAATCAAATACGTACTTTAGATCTTTACTATGGCTTTTATTTGTGCTGGTGACTTAATTATAAAATCATTTCATTGGCTTTCATAAAATAATGCAAAGGGCGAAAAATAATTAATACACTGTTTATTACCTTTATGAAAAGGGATGTCCATTTGGTTTTCTGGGCTTGCATGGAAAAAGGTATTAAAAAATCACTGTTTCACACCTTTTTACTTATTAGTTCCCAAGGATTTGTTTTTATGTATCAAACAAATCAAGTTAATTGGATTAAAAAAATTTAATAAGAGTTCAGTGTAATATCAAAACTAATTACTGAATATTGAAACAGAATCCAATATTAAGAGCAATAATATAATAATATTAATAATAAAAACAGTGTGGTGTTGGTATAAGAACAGGCAAATAGACCAATGGAATAGAGCAGAAAATTCAGTGACATACACAAATGTACATAAACACACCCATAATATACACATACACACACATAGAGCTGATATAATATAAAGGTAGCACTATAAATTAATGAGAAAAGGATGGATTGTTTAGAGTACAGTAAGGAGAAAACTGGCTCCATACATGAGGCAATTCTGGATTTCTACTAACTCCTCAAAGGGGACTGCAAAGAGATCAAAGACCTAAATATATTTATGTGATAAAGTCTACAGGAAAAAATGAGAACATTTTTATTTTCTAGGAAAAAAGACTTCTTAAATAGCATGAATTACAAGGCAAAATTAATACATTCGATTATATCAAAATTTATTTACATTCAATGAAGGACAGCATGGGCTAAGTTAATAGACAACTGACCGAATGGGAGAAGATATTTGCAATGTTTGAAGTTGACATGACATTAATGTCTGAAATATAAAGGAACCCCTACAAGTTAACTAGAAAAATATACCACTCCCAATACAAAAAATGGTCAAAAGGTAGAAACTGGCAACTTACAGAAGAAGAAACCACAAAGGCTTATAAGCAAATAAAGTGCTCAAACTCAAGAGTAAGCAGAGATATAGAAATTAAAAGGAGATATAATTTGATTCACATAAGAAAAAAATGGAAAGCTGAATAACAGGACCGATTGATGAGAGTGTAGATAGATGCATCTCTTCTGGAGAGCATGCCTGTCATACTCGGTCAACCTAAGTATTCCACAGCTCTTAGCAACCATTCCACTTCAGGGTATATATCTTAAGGATAAGTCTCTGAGAGGTCCGCATGGGGATGAATACAAGAAGGTGTATTGCATTGTTGTTTGTGGTACCAGTGAGTTTGAGGCAAGTGAAATGTGGATGCATACCATGGAGTACAGTGCAGTCGTTAACAGTAACAGGCTAAACACACACATGGTGATATGAATGGGCCCCAAAACCACATTATGCTGATTGTACAAAAAGACGAGAGAAACCTATAACATACTCTTTCTGTGAACTAAATACATGCATACATGTCACAATATGTGAAGAATTTGTGCAAACACACATACACATTAAATATGTTAGAATATTTGTCTGTAGTAAGGAAGGAGGAGAAAGGAAGTGAGTCATGAGGATAAGAGGGAATAAACAAATAAAACGAGAGGGGCCTTGCACAGACCAGTGATGATAATGACCCATTAATGAGCCTATAAGAATGAATAGCTCAAACTTCTGTACCTGAGTTTACAAATAAATAAATAAAATATGTTTTTGTCGTTTACCATCAGAGTGCGTGACACCATCTTGATTGTCTTCATTGACAGGGCTTCTGAAAACGAGAAAGAAGAAACAGTGAACATGGAACAAGTAGATGCTCACCTTACAATGAAAAAGGGAAAAGGATTATTTCATGAATTGTTCTTTTTTCTTGAACCTTTGCTCTGATTTAAAGCTTCAGACATCACTAGCATAGGCTTTAGCCTTATACTTCTGCTGCTCCTGTGGCAGAAAATGGAGAATTGGGAAACTGGAGTATAGCACCATCTATTCATAGTAGACTCATACAATTAATCCGTTGCTTCTGGAGGGTAATATGTTTCCCATTATATTAGTAGTAAATCAACACTTCAATTCTGGGATTATGAGGGCATTTAATTGGTTCTATGGTACACACACAAAAGAGAATTAGTTCTAGGGCTGGGCACCATGGCTCACACCTGTAATCCCAGCACTTTGGGAAGCTGAGGCAGATGGATCACTTGAAGTCAGGAGTTCCAGACCAGCCTGGGCAACAGGGCAAAACACCGTCTCTCCTAAAAACATTAGGTTGGTGCAAAAGTAATTATGGTTTTTGACATAAAACCAATGATAAAAGTCACAATTACTTTTGCACCGACCTAATACAAAAAATTAGCCTGGCATGGTAGTGCACGTCTGTAACCCCAGCTACTCAGGAGGCTGAGGTAGGAGAATTGCTTAAGCCTGGGATGTGGAGGTTGCAGTGAGCTAAGATCGCACCACTGCACTCCAGCCTGTGCAATAGAGTAAGATTCTGTCTCAGAAAAAAAAAAAAAAAACTTACATAGTTCCAATCCCTGACTCCTTCCTTTTCTCCAGATGCTTTTGTCTTGGCTTCACTTTTATCACCCTGAACTCCAAGGTGCTTCATTCCAATGGCTTCACTCCAACTGCCCTTAATAGCATTATCAATACCTGGGCCTTACAAATCCCTAATTATGTATATGACCATTTATATTTTCTATTCCTATTCTCAGTTAATTAACATAGCTGGAGAAAATGGCCGTCAATTTTACTGACTCTGGACATTACAAACAATTGGTATTAAATCTCAGCTGTATCCCCCCTGCTTTTCTACAATCCCATCACTCTTTTTTGTGTAGTCAGCCTTCTCTTGCGTTGTCCTTCTCCATACCTATTAAAAATGTTTACCACTTTCTTCAATGTGTGATTCCTCTCCACTCCCCTATAATCAGATGACCTTGTTTCTTCTTTCACTGATGAAGCAGCAGTCATTAGGTGTGAGCTCTCTTAAGAAAATACATTTTCTTAACCCACAAACTCATCTGCAGTTATACTCATCCTTACCTTCTCTCTACTCTCTGCACCTGTATTCTGAATTTGATCTGAATTCTCAGTAATTTTCTGAGAATCCATTGATTACCCCCTTTCTTCCATGTGTTGCTTTATTACTTATATTCTCCTTACTTCACTCTTTGCCCTTAAATCTCTCATTCTTTGTTTTCTCCCTCAGCCCAAGTTACTGCCATTCATAAGAAACAAACACTTCACTTTACCTCTGTGAATTCTTCACATTACCACAAGATATTCTTCCTTTATCCAGCCAAGCTAAGAAAAAATTGTCTTTATTCACTGACTCTACTTCCTCTTCTCTCACGCATTTCTTTCCCGACTGCAATCTTTCCCCTATTGCCACTTCTTCCCTGAGAGTATTCTTAAAAATACTAGCTACCAAATCCACTGGACCCTCTCAAACTGCATCTCACTTGATTGCTTTGTGGCCCTGGACAGTATTGGCCATTTTGCCCTCTTTGAGTCTCCTTTGTTTGTTTCCATGAGAAATAGCTCCTGGCTCGCTTCTTGTCTCTCTGGCTACTACCTCACAATTTTCTTTGTGGTTTATTTTCTTTTGCCTTCTCTTAAATGATGATGTTCTGTTGTGTTCTGGTCTTGGTTCTCTTCTTCTTTTTTCACTTTGCAGTTTTTCCTAAATGGTTTTATGTACCTCCATAGCTTTATATATGATCTTAATGTTGGCAAATTCCATGTTGAAATCTCTAGCCCAGCCTTCTCTTCTGAGATTCCGATTCAAATATATACATCTTGGGTGTCCTACAGCCAGTTCTGTATTATCATCTCAGAAACTGAGGTTCCCTCCTTTTAGCCCAGCCTAAACCTGCTCTCCCTACTAGGTTTCTTTTCTTGGTGGATGGCACCACAATTCACATATCTATCAAGCAGCAACTCATCCTTTGTTTGTCACTCATCTTCAGTTCCATGTCAAATCAATCATCAAATTACACCAGTTCCCCATACTAATTTACTTCCCTCTTCCATTTCTCGTCTCTCCCGCTAGACACAAAAATAGGATTATATTATCTCTGGAGTGGACTGTTGCAGTAGTCATCTGGTCAGTGTCCTGGTAATCAGAATTACTCCTTCTCTTCCCTATCCTGATAGTCCCTTCTCCAACTTTTGCCATCTTTCTAACACAAAAATATGATTATATCACTCTCATGTCCCATAGTCAAACTCCTTAAAGAGTTAGGAAAGAATATTACTTGAACAAGAGATGCTGGTTGTAAAATGTGTGTTTCACCACATTTGAAGAATGTGGGCTGGAAGTGACTTTTTATCACTAAAACCATAAAATGGGCTCAGTGGATACATTTGTAACTCAGGAAGAACTGTCATGGATATCTGTCTCAGTCTCTACTTGAGATGGTAAATATAGGTAGGGACTAACTGTTAATCTAATAAACTCACTTTAAAAAAATAGAAAATTAAAAATTTAACTTATATATGCTTAGCTTTCTATTTGGGTAAGTGTAAAGGCCCTGTTAATTAACTCATTAAATTTGTCATGACAAGACACTTGTTTTCTTTAGTGAGTCTTTTTCATCCTTGGAACATTCAGAATTAAATACAGACATGATGGAATAAGCCAAACTCATAGTAAAAACAATTTGTGGAGTAAGTTTTATAACCATTGGGATAATGTATGTACAGTCAATTTTTTAAGTATCTGTAATATTTAAGAGATTTGTTACATTAGAAAATATTCAGTTAGACTTGTCACATCAATTTAAAATTTGTGGTGTAGACTTTCTAAATTTTAGCTGAAACATTAAGGAGTCTGGGTATTGAGTGTCAATGGCTGCTCACATCAAAAAAGGAGAGTCAAGTGAACATTATTAGTTCCCGATAAAAGAATACACCAAAAAATAAAAGAACTACATTTGATCCAGCCACCTCTACCTCTCACTCTCAATGTATAGGAAATACAGAGGAGACAGGGACATATAGCTATATTATAGAGAGCAATCAGCAAAATCTAGATGATGGGGAACTATAGTATCCACAAACAACTTGATATCCTCAACAAATAAATTGCAAAGAATTAAAAAAAGACATGGAGAGTGAACTTATATCTTAAAAGAGAATAACAGGCTGGGCGCAGTGGCTCATGCCTGTAATCCCAGCACTTTGGGAGTCTGAGGTGGGTGGATCATCTGAGGTCAGGAGTTCGAGACCAGCCTGGTCAACATGGTGAAACCCCGTCTCTACTAAAAATACAAAAATTAGCCGAGTGTGGTGGCGGGCGTCTGTAATCCCAGCTACCTGGGAGGCTGAGGCACGAGAATCTATTGAACCCGGGAGGTGGAGATTGCAGTGAGCCAAGATCGTGCCACTGCACTCTAGACTGGATAACAGAGCGAAACTGTGTCTCAAAAAAAAACCAAAAAACAACAACAAAATACAAAACATATATGCCAACGTAGATGTGTATACTTTGGATTCTTATTCAAACAACTTAAAACACATATATGTTGTAAGAGATAATTGGAAATTTGAACACTGACTTGGTATTTTATATTAATGCACAGAATCTATTTTTTTAGGAATAACTACTGAAATATTTATAGATGAAATTATATGATGTTTTGTATTAGTTTCAAAATAATATAAGAGGCAAGTGGGTGAGGGTATAGATAAGACAAGATTGGCCATGAGTTTATAGTTGTCGAAGTTGGTGAAAGGAACGTGGAGGCTCGTTATACTATTCTTCCTGCCTTTTATATGCTTAACATTTTTTACAATAAATATACTTCTTAAAAAGCATAAGAAAAATCTAATTGCAAATGCTATTGGATATTTAAGGGAACTGGATATGGTTCAATTTAATAGATTTATGAGAGTCATTTAAATTCTTGAGAGGATTTTGCTTAGTGGGGTGATTAAGTGTGTTCATTCAGATATTTGGAATGTTTAAAAATGAAATTAAATATGTTAATATATACACGCAATATGAAACATCGCAAGAAGTTTCATTAACCACATTTATAAACAGAACTATTGATTTGAAAGAATTTAGTTTGAGCCATGTGAGTTGTCCAATCATTAATCAAAGATCCCCTGAAAATAATTCTAATTTAAATACAAATTACTAGATGTATAAATAAAATAACAAGTCACATAATATAAATTTAAGTACTTAAAGGAAAATAGGCCTTTGCATTACTAATTTTGATGAATTGAATATTAATTAAAAAGATGAAAATACCTAAGACATTAAAATACACTGACATTGTACAGAGTAAAATCCATAGCTCTTTTTATGGCATACAAGGTTCTTATGATCAATCTTGCCCTGTAAAGCTTTATTTCTCATATTTCCTTTTCTTACATTATCTTCTCACATATTAACAGTAAACTCACATGCTGTCTGAACTCTCTCTGGTTTCTTGTTCCTTCATGCTCAGCCCACGCTTCCCTTCTTTGGAATAATCCTCCCTTCTCAGCATCCCCTGCTTGTGGTCCTCCCATTCTTTTTTTTTTTCTTTTTTTTTCTTTTTTTTAAGACAGAGTCTCACTCTGTTGCCCAGGCTGGAGTGCAGTGGTGCAAACGTGGCTCGCTGCAACTTCTGTCTCCCGGGTTCAAGGGATTCTCCTGCCTCAGCCTCCCAGGTAGCTGGGATTCTACAGATGCCTGCCACCATGCCCGGCTAATTTTTGTATTTTTAATAGAGACAGGGTTTCACCATGTTGGCTAGGCTGGTCTTGAACTCCTAACCTCAGGTGATTCACCTGCCTCAGCCTCCCAAAGTGCTAGGATTACAGGCGTGAGACACTGCACCTGGCCTCCATTCTTTAAGCCTCTCCTTAAACAGTCCTTCCTTTGTGAAGTTGTCCCTGATTTCCTTAAGCCTAATCATTGCATTGCTTCTCTGCATCATCCATCCATTCATCCATTATAGTGATTATTCTGTATTCCTTCGTAATTATGGGGTAATTGCTTCAGGTTTCTCTTTTCACTACCAGGCCATAAACACCTTAAGGAAAGGGATTGTCACTTTGCTAGTTAATTTATTATTATGATTATCCTTTTAGAGAGTTATTAGAATAATTCCTGTCATGATAGGCTTTTGATTTTTTTGATGAATTAACAATATTCCAGTAACAACAAGAGACTAACTTTTATTACTAAAGCAAATTATCATTGGTGAAAAGGATGTTAAATCAAAAAGACCACCAGATTTAAGCAATTTACTTCCTAAAACACCTGTATGAATAACAAATACTTCTAAAAGGAAGGGTATTTGCATAGCACATTCATACACGTGTGTCTGCACATTTATGCAAAGCATTTATTACTTGTAGACAATGTTTGCCTGCACACATTTGTTTTATTTATGGACCCAAAATTATAGCATATGAATCTTAGTGCCACTTTATATAGGCCTGAATTTATAATATGTATATTATTAATATTCAATAAATATGAAATAGTGACTATAATAGCAATGATGGTGAAGAATAAAAGGAAAAGAAATGAGGAAAATAAATAGGTGCAGGTGCCATGAGTAAATCCAGATCAAACTGTCAGCAAATTCGCTAAGGGTTCCAAGCATTGAGAAAAGCCCCATACAGAGAGTAAGAGAAAAACAATGGAACCAGTCACAGCCCAAGTCATAAGAAACTGAGCAGAAGGAGGGGGTGAATGAGAAGAAAAAGAAGCTTATCAGTTATGATAATAGGTCTATTCAATAAGGCCTCTCACTATAGATCTTTGTTTTTATGCTATAGCATGTAGAATTAAATAGGAAAAGTAAAGTTAATGACTGTCATTTTTAGAAAGCTTATTAGTGCTTTATTTCCTGATGTATAAAGATGTAAAACTGTTGACCTCTATACTTTTCTTTTCTTTTTTTTTTGGAGACAGGATCTTACTCTGTCCCCCAGGCTGGAGTGTAGTGGAGAGATCATGGCTCACTGCAGGCTGGACCTCTCAGGCTCGGGGATCCTCCTACCACAGCCTCCCAAGTAGCTGAGACGACAGGCACGTGTTACCATGCCCAGCTAAACTTTTGTACATATGCCTGTGTGTGTGTGTGTGTGTGTGTGTGTGTGTGTGTCTGTGTGTGTGTATTTAAATTTAAAATACAATATAACTTTGGCCTCAACTACTTTATTTTCAAAGTTATTTAGGATTGCTGATTCTCACCTGTCTCGAATCTTTTATGCTATTAAGACATCCAGACTTGAATGATATGATTGCAAGTTACTTCTGGGAACAGCTTTAGGAGTAGGCAGAACAGACTGCAGATGATAAAGTCCACCTTGTCTTTTTTTTTTTTTTTTTTCTTTTTTTGAGACGGAGTCTTGCTCTGTCGCCCAGGCTCACTGCAAGCTCCGCCTCCCAGGTTCACGCCATTCTCCTGCCTCAGCCTCCCGAGTAGCTGGGACTGCAGGCGCCCGCCACCACGCCCGGCTAATTTTTTGTATTTTTAGTAGAGACGGGGTTTCACCGTGTTAGTCAGGATGGTCTCAATCTCCTGACCTTGTGATCTGCTCTCCTCGGCCTCCCAAGGTGCTGGGATTACAGGCGTGAGCCACCGCGCCCGGCAAGTCCACCCTGTCTTCTAAAATTCCTTCCTTGATCCCAATTAGAGATTCCACTCTACACCCTAGGGAGAATTGTAAACCTTAGGGAAGCCATTGCTCCCCGCTGCTCTAATGCCCGGCTCCTGCAATTCTTCCCTTTCTCCACCCTTATCATTATATGTATATTATATGTATTTTTTATATATATATATATATATATATATATATATATATATATATATATATATATATTTGTAGACGCAGGGTTTCATCATATTGCTCAAGCTGGTCTTGAATTCCTGGATTCATGTGATTGGCTCACCTCGGCCTCCCAAAGTGCTGGGATTATAGGCATGAGCCACCATGCCCAGCTGGCCTTTTACTTTATTGGCTATTCATGCATTTAGCTTTTAATTATCAGCAGGTTTTTTTTTTTTTTTTTTTTTTTTTTTTTTTTTTTTTAAAGAAGGAGGAAGAAATCTACATGACACATTAAACTTTGTTCTATACCTGCCTTACTGGGAGTAAAATCTTGCGGCCTTTTCTCTGGAACATGTCTTCCTATATTTAACCCACGAGGAATTTGAAAACTGACTTGTTTAAGCCAACACTTTCCAACTAGTGTGAGAGAAGACTATCTGGCAGCTGGCTACTGATACGGCAAGTCTCAAGTTTCAGAACATTTTAAGCATCTCTAATTAATGAAAAGGTTATAATGGTAAATTCTTACTTTTCCTCCAATTTTACAGACAAAAAATAAAACACACACATAAACAGAAACCAAAAAACCCTTTAAACTAACTATGAATGACTTCAGGGTAAGAACTGTTGAACCTTCCCTTTTCTAACCTTAGTCACTTCCCATTATTTACTATTTTTTATTACATCACTTTTCCTGTCTCATTACTATTAATAACCATGTAATTTGTTTGATATGCCAAAACACAACCATTGATTCTGTTTCAATATGAAAAATTATGATGTTAAAATTATAATTTAAAAAGGTACCAAGAAATGTATTACACTAAAAGGTGTTGATTTGAACATTAAAAATGATAAACATGCTCTTTTGACCCATTTCATTTTCTCTTCAAATGCCTGAGTAAAAATAGCAGAAAATGTAACAAACTGATTTCTGACCACTAGGTGGGGAAACAATACAATTTAAAATACAATATAACTTTGGCCTCAACTACTTTATTTTCAGTTATTTAGGATTTCTGATTCTCACCTGTCTGGAATCTTTTACACTCTTAAAACATCCTGACCTGAATGATATGATTGCAAGTTACTTCTGGGAACAGCTTTAGGAGTAGGCAGAACAGGCTGCAGATGATAAAGTCCACCCTGTCTTCTAAAATTCCTTCCTTGATCCCAATTAGAGATTCCACTCCACATGCTAGGGAGAACTGTAAACCTTAGGGAAGCCATTGCTCCCTGCTGCTCTAATGCTTGGCTCCTGCAATTCTCCCCTCTCTCCACCCTTACCATTTTTCCCTCTTGACTGGATCTTTCCATCAGCCTACAAAAGTGCTGTTATTTCCATCTTTAAAAAGGCTCTTGATCTCATTTCTCCCATCAGTTACTGTCCCATTTCTTTGGTTGCCCTTTCTTTGTAAAGGAGTTGTTTATATTTGCTCTGTCCAATTCCTCTCCTTTCATACTCTTTTAAAGCCATTTCAATCAGCCTTGTATCGCCACCACTCCTGACAACTTCCCCTGCACTGACCTCCACAGTCCTCACTTTTTGGCCTCCACCAGCACCTGACACAGTTTCTCACTGACTCCTCCTTGGATGCTTCCTTTCCTGGGCTTCCAAGACCCCGGCGTTATTGATTGTTCCTGTTATTCTCCTTTGCCCCTTCTCCTCCTCCCAGGCCTCAGAGAGTTACAGTGCCCCAGAGCTCAGTTCCTTTCTTCTCTGTTTACACTCCCTTCCTTGGTCATCTTAACCAGCCTTATGACTTTCAGTGTGAAATGTGTTCCTATTTCTCTCCTATTTTAAACCCAGAACTTCTTACCCAATTGGATGCTTAAAAGGTACCTCAAACTTAACATAGCCATGACCTCCAGATCTTCCTCACCTTTGTTAAACAAAACTTGTTCACCTTTGTTAAACAAAATCTAGGAGGCCATTTTTTTTCGACTAAATTCCCGCACTGGGCCCCAGAAGACCAGATTAAAAATCAAAATGGAGTCACCCACGCTCACCAAACTGAAACTGAGTTGTTATCTGGCCTTTTGGGAAATCAGGAGAGAGAGAGAATGGCCTAGCTGCCTGAAGAGGCCAGTTTTCGCTTTCTGTCATAATAATGAAGCTCTGTTTTAATCTTTACAGGAAAGACTGACCTGAAGTACCTGATGTTAACCAACCCATTATCTTTCTATTGTTCTATCTCCCTGTACCTGCCTTACAAGGAAAGTAACTTTGAAATGACCAATCCACTTTTTGGTTTTTGTTTCTGCTTTCTTTAGTTCTTTTTGTTTATAAAGCCAACCTCCTCTGCTTCAATCTTTGGAACACTTACTTTACTTTATGGAACAAAGTGTTGCCCAATTTTAGACGTGCAAATAGAAACTCTTGAGATCTTTAGATCTGTTGTGATTTTAACATCTTCATCCTTTGACATCTTCAGCCTCCTCATGGTGGTGCTTGGGCTGATGGAAGCATGATACTTACAGTTGCTTGGGCCAAAAACACTGGAACCACCCATTCTAGATTCCCATTTTCCTTCATACACTAAATCCAAATTCTTTTGTCTCTCTCTTCAAAATACACCCAACATATGGACACTTCTCACCACCTCCACTGTTCCCATCATGGTCAGTGCTACTGCATACCTTGCCTGCATTTCTGTGATATCTAACAGATTTCCCTGCTTTGACAATTGTCTACCTACTGTCTCTTCTCAGCATAGCCATTAAGGTGATTTTTATAAAGCACAAGTCAGAAAATGTCACTGCTCTGATGTAGCTCTTTGAGTGGTTCCCATTTCACTCAAGATAAGCGCTGCAATCTCTATCATGGCTTACAAGGCCCTACATAAGCTGACTCTTTCCCTACCATTCCTTCCCTTGCTCTCTCTACCTGCGCTCTGTGCCTAGAACAGTCTTCCTTCATGTCTAACTCCCTTACTTCCTTTGAATCTTTGCTCAAGTATCATTTTCTATTAGGTTGGTGCAAAAGTATAAATATATACTTCTCTCAAGCAGCAACATGCTGTCCCCAATGCCACCCTCACACTCCACCTCCACCACTTACCTCTGCTCCGTTTTCCCTTTAGGAAATATGTTAGGAAGTATCAAGTGCTAATACCATATTCTTTACCTGTTTATTATTTATTTATTTTTGAGATAGGGTCTTGCTCTGTCACCCAGGCTGGAGTGCAGTGGCACAATTATGGCTCACTGCAGCCTCGACTTCCTGGGCTGAAGCAATTCTCCTGCCTCAGCCTCCTGAGTATCTGGGTCTACAGGCATGCACCATCATGCCCAGCTAATTTTCAAATGCTTAGTAGAGACAGGGTCTCGCTATATTGCCCAGGCTGGTCTCAAACTCCTGAGCTCAAGCGATCCTCCCACCTCTGTCTTTCGAAGTGTTGGGATTACAGGTGTGAGCCACCATGCCCAGCCCTGTTTATTATTTTCATTTCTTTAGTTTCTTGGTCCCTGCTTTGCAGGGGTCTTTGTTTGTTTACTAATATTTCCTGAACTCCTATTACAAAAGCACAATGTAGTGGCTCAAAAAATACTTGTTGCATGACTGTAAAGGAAATCTATTAGATCTTGACTTGAGAGTGGTCTTTGATTAGAAAAGGGAGGAACGTTTGCAGGTTGGCAGAGGGAATGTTTGGGAAATACTCATGTATGTGTTTTGAGGACTGGTGCTGTGAGAAGCACAGAAACACCTATATCTTTCACAATTCTTCTTACAGACTACCCCATACATTGCCCCTTCATGTGAAATATAAACTTTTGAGCCCAAACATCAAGGCCCATTTTGGTTTCATTTCCTCTATGTATTTCTAGCTTCCCCTTCTTGGGGAAAATTTTCTAACCCAGAGATTTCTTCGTTGTGGAATTTACTTGAGCTTTCTGATGGGAGCTTGAAAGTCTTTCACTATACATATTTTCCCTTTTGAAAAAGTAGCTGGATATCATGGAGGATTAGAGGCTTTAAACTGACATCCATAAATTCAAATGCCTTGAAGGGTGTGCAGCCCATTAATATAAATGCACAACGCAGGTCATATGTAAGATAATAGCCAGGAAGCTGCTCTAGCACCTTCTACTTACTATCCTTAAACCCCCAAGAAAGCATATTAAAGTTAAAAAATGGTGGTGTTTTTCCATGACGAATATGTTTTCTATCCTTTCCCTAAATTGTAGTCATCAAGCATGTCAGGGAATCTGTCAATCCAATATTGTTATTAACAGTTTCCATTACATGGATTATGGATATTAAGTATTTTGTTGTAAGGAACATCAATCTGGTAGGGGAATTTAAGTGAAGGAAAATCAAATTGTACTAAATATGTTGAGATATTACTTATTTGTGATAAAGGAGAATCATGTTAAGCAATTTTCTACAAGAAGAAAGGGAATATCTAGTCCATTTTGTCTTAAGGATTTATGCTTGCCATTGTCTGAATATTCTTAAAATGACATTCCATTTTATTCCAACCTGCCACTCGCTTTTTCCTTTACCAACTTTTCTATTAAATCCTGGATAAAGAGCCCATGCATAGCAACCCCTACAGTGCTGACATTTCTGAAAAATATCATCTAAGAAAATTCAAGCAAGAGCAGGCTTGAATAAAAGTTTCCTAGATGTTAACGCCCAGCCAAAAATTCTGATGGATGAGAGAAAATCTGTATTATTGTTTAATTAAAGGAGGCTATTTAGCATAGTAGTTTAAAGCACACTTACTTTGGATTCAGACTACATTGGTTGAAATTTTTATTCTACACTATTTTGTGGTCTTGGAGAAGTTACTTGGCTTCTTTGCAGAGCTAAAGTTCCATTTCCTCATCTGTGAAATAATGATGATACTATCTAATCAATAAGGTTATAGAGATGATATATGTAAAAGTCCTAGCACCTCATAAGCAGTCAGTAAAAATATGGTGATGGAGTGGTGGTGATCGTGATAGTGGAGGAGTTGGAGATGTTGATAGTGGAGGAGTTGGTGGTTCTCAAGAAAGCTTCAGAACTTTTTAAAAAACAGTGGAAATTTGCTTCTATAAAGGCTTAAGGGGAAACCCAACATAAAACAGATAAATAAGAATGGCTCAGAACTGAGCAATTCTAGGGGTATTTGCACTGCCAGCTTGGCCAGCTCGGCCAGCTCAGCCAGCTCTTCTCCCTGCCAGCTGCCCACTTTTGTAGACCCAGAAGTTTCCCATGGAACTCTCAGCATTTGACCAAGCACAGTTTGAAAATCTACGGCAAGAGACTAGGAAAGAAATCGCAAGATAATCTTTTGCTTACTTTAGGTCAAACGGAGGTTTAATGTTTCTGGGAGGTAGGCTTGGGACTGGTGGTTGTGATGGGTGAGATGCTGGCAATGGTGGTTGGCTGGCCGGATGGGATGGTGGAGGTGGTGGCAGGGAAGTTGTTGAGTAAGACGTCTGGCCTTTGCTAGTACCTAAGAAGCAAAGCAAACAATACCATGAATTAAGACAAATCTTCAAAAAGAAGATTGTTAATTGCAAACATAGTTGGCTACAGATAAAATAATTTGGCAAAAATTAACAACTGGCTATATGGAATTTTCAATAAAGAGTATGTTTATTTTATTATTATTACTACGTTGTGTGCTGTATATCTTTTGTGAGACAGGGTCTAGCTCTGCTACCCAGGCTGGGGTGCAGTGGCTCCATCATGGTTCACTGTAAGCTCAGACTCCTGGGCTTTCGAGATCTTCCTGCCTCAGCCTCCTGAGTAGCTGGGACTACACGCGTGCACCACAATGCCCATCTAAATTTTTTTTAAAATGTTATACTTTTTGTAGAGATGAAGTCTTGATATGTCACCCAGGCTGGTTTTGAACTCCTGGGCGCAAGCAATCCTCCTGCCGTGACCTCCCCAAATGTTGGGATTACAGGTGTGAGCCACTATGCCCGGCCTTATTCATCCTTTACATCAATAAGATGTATTACATATATGTATATACGCATAACACACATACACACAGTGTTTTTCCTGGTTGTTAAACATTTATCATCAGCATACCGTTGCTGGTACCTAAAAAATTTCTAGGTTCTATCTGCTAAATAGTGACTAGAATCAGTTGTTTCTATATCTTTCCTCTTTGTTTTGATCCTCTTCCTCTCACTCAATCCTCCATCGACTTTCTGGTTTCATATATTGGGCTTTGGAATTACGCAGGTTGCCTTGTTTTCCTAAATATGGAATTTTAATTTCTTTCTCATTTTGGGGTGATTTTCTGAGAGGAAAAGAGGATATCTTGACAAACATTTTGTTTTAATTTTACCTGCCTTTGAGTACAAATGAGGTCATTTTTTCATGTTTATAACCATTTTCCTTTTTTTTTTTTTTCCTTGTGAGAGGGAGTCTAGCTCTGTCGCCCAGGCTGGAGTGCAGCGGTGCGATCTCGGCTCACTGCAACCTCTGCCTCCCAGGTTCAAGTGATTCTCCTGCCTCAGCCTCCTGAGTAGCTGGGATTATAGGTGCCTGCCACCATGCCCAGCTAATTTTTATATTTTTATTGGAGACGGGGTTTCTCTTTGTATTTTTAGTAGAGATGGGATTTCACCATGCCCGCCGCTGTGCCCATCTAATTTTTGTATTTTTAGTAGAGACAGGGTTTCACTGTGTTGACCAGGCTGGTCTTGAACTCTTGACCTTGTAATCCACCCGCCTTGTCCTCCCAAAGTGCTGGGATTACAAGCGTGAGCCACCTCGCCCGGCCTCCTTTTAATTGTATTATTTATTCAAATACTTTGCCTATTTCAAAATTAGTATTTTCCTTTTCTTGGTTTCTAAAATATTTTTATTAAGGATATTAATCTTTTTGTTTCTTAACTGGACCAACTGAATGTAATTAGGCTGCTTTGGATCCTGCTTTTGCCTGTCCATACATTAAAAATATAACACAACGAAGAAAGCCTCTCTTTACAAACTTCAAAAAAAATACGGCACTTCACTGTAAATTTCCTTAGAAGGGTAATGCCAAGGTTTTACACAGCATGTGACACAAACACATTCCTAATTTCTTCTAGATATTTCTCCCTCTTGCCAAAGCTCTTCACTTAGGGTAATTGCTGACCATATTGCCCTCTCTCTTCATTCTCTGACCTCACCCTAGTGTTTCCCTTCTTCCTGGAGTCTTAAAATCTGCTCAGGCCCTGCACTGCAGACTCGAGACCCTCTAGGCCAGGTACAGTTCCCACAAGAATAGTTCTTCTTTTGCAGCTATTTTTAGGGGATAGAGGTAGACAGAATTAGTTCCCCTATAAATCTCATGAATAAAAAATTCCAACTCAAGATATTTATGTTAGAAATGTTGAATCCGGTTCGTTTTTGTCCTAACTAAAATAAAAATTTTTGGATATATCAGACTTTTCCTCCAGTCTATTCAATCAATCCTTTCGTGTATAATTTCTGTCACTACATTATCTTTAGGAAGGCCTTCCCTAATTTGAGAACAGATAATTATAAACAGTACATTTTCTCCTACTTCGCTGTGGCTTAGTTTTTTTGTTGTTGTTGTTTTTTGTTTTTTAAATTTAACACTTTAAAATTATTAGTAATTTATTTTGGAGTTTGGTGTGAGATAGAGATTTAATTTTATGGTGATTGTTGTTGTTGCTCCTAAATCATTTAGCAAACGTTCTGCACCATTTGTCTGATAAGCTATTACTTACCAATTTGACATGCCTCTTTTATCATAGAATAAACATTAAAAAGTCTAGTGAATGTGACAGATGAAAATGGCATCCAGTTATTTTAATTCATAAATAATATGGTTCAGTAGATTCATAAATGATTTAAAAGCTGTACCCAAAGAGAATACGCCTCTGTGAGTAGATGTTAATAAACCGTCCAAATAGAGAGAAAAATATTTATTAGCCATCTGTGACTTATCCTCTCATGGAAAAGATTTTGACAAGCAGGAGGCATTACCCTGGGAGAGTGACTTAAGGCCGACAAGTGAGAAGTTATAGAAATGGTGTAGGGAATGGTGAGTCCTTTGAATTGGAAACACTGAAAACTGACTTTCCCAAACCCAGGCTTTCTGCCTTTACACAGGCTTATGAGACTCTAATGGGCCCTCTGTGGTTCTGCTTACTCGACATCTATTCTCCTTTCTGTGGTTATACTAACTTGAGAAACCCAGGAAGGGGTGTGCTTGCTCTTCTACCGGACTTGGAACTAGAAGGGGGTCCTCCTTGAGTTGCCAGCAGCAGTCTTGCCACTGCCAGAGTAGGGCTCGCCTGAGAGTGCAGCAAAACCAGAGGGAAGCAGGGCAAGAGATGGAAAGGGACTGGTTAAATTTTTAAGAAAAATTAGTTTTGGACAATTGTCAAAGATAGTTTGAAAGACATAATGAGGCACTAAACTAATTGAACATACTCTTCCTCATCAAGCTTGGGAGAACATATGCTGAAGTCTTCCTATGTTACACTACTATGTGGCAGTGAAACACTTTGCTTTGCAAAACGGGTGGTCACTTTCAAATACTGCTAGGAATACATTTGCATGTATACAAAATAATTCTAAGGAAAAGCATCTTAGTTTTTCTGGAGGAAAAAACCAGTTAGACTTACTTTAATGTCTAACGATTGACATTAGAGTCTAATGATTGACTCTAAAATCTCAATCTGGACTTTATAAAGTGTACTAAAATATAATTAGAAATATTAACATCCTCAAAAGCAAAAATATGTTTTTATTCTGATGGAAAGAAAGGGGATGAATATTGAACTATAGTAAAATGAGCAAAGAAATAGAAACAATAAAGATAAAAATATCTGGGAATAATGATATTAAATAATATTAATTAATCATGCAATTTTTGGCAAGCACCATACTTGGCATTCTACATATGTAATCTTATTTATTCTGTATAACAGCCCTATGGGGGTATATGTTATTATCTAGCTTCCATTTGATAGTTAAGAAAACTACCCAAGTTCAGAGAATTAGTAAGCCGTAGCGGTGGGTTTCAAACTTGGCCAGAATTTGAACTCTAGTCATTTTTTTTTATGATGTCTATGCACTTTCTGCTATGCTCTACTGCTTCTCAAGGTAATTAAATGAAAATTATTACTAAGCTAAAATAGACATTAGCAAACTGTCCTACAATCTGGGCATAAGTTCAGCTTTTTTGATTTGTATTTTTCCTCTTAGTGTGATTTTATGAGTGTTTTCAGTTTAATGCAGGAAAGACCTGGCTCTAGAGACTGTAAGGCTCACATATCGGGGTGTTCTTGATGCTAAATTCAGATGCCTTAGAATTTGATTTTGGAAACCAGAAAGCAGGGATGTAAACATTCAAGCTAGTAGGAAATAGGCTCTTAAAGATGAATGACTGATAATAGCTGGTTGGAAAAAAAAGCTCTCAAGAACTGAAATCAGGGAATTTTGAAATAGCATAAAAGAACTTAGAAGATACAAAATAAGGGGAAAGAGCAAAAAGTTTAGACCTCAGTTGGCATTACAAATTGGGGATGTGCAATTTGAGAGCTAACACCTAAAACTCTGATCTAATTATGGACCTCATCTCCCAAAGCTCAGGGGGGGAATGCCTGGGTATCTGTGATTTGAAAGTACTGGAACTGAAAAGACCATGTAGAATGTTTTCCTCAAAGAAAGACAGGATTGTGCAGGGGTATGGATCCCTGTAGTAGTGGGCAGAGCTGGTCTTCTGGACAGTGCAGGATGGTTCAGCAGCAATGAGCTAATCAGATGAATTTGCAACCTACTACCCACTGTTGTCCTGAGACAGACTGAGGAACTGTGCTCTGAGCATTTTAACAGGAGATCAAGGCTTCAAGAAGGACATAATAGGCATCTTGCTAATAAGTCAAGTGGGAGCTTGAGTGACTAATGACAAAAAAAATTAAGGAAAATTGGTTGTATTTATATTAGGGAACAGTTTATAGCAGTTACAGAAAAATGGGGAGAATTGCGAATAACAGGGAGTGAAATTGCAATATCTTCTAGAACACAAAAACAATTCTTAAAAATCTAGGAAGTTAATAACCTCTGACTCAAACTTTTCATCCTTTTTAATTGTGGAAGTTTGGAAGAGATCTTGCACAAGTCACGTTCCCCTGCTCAGGCATGCTGGAATGGGCGGAGCACCGGGGCCATTTTATCATGAGGAAATGACCAGGAGAGACTTTCCATGAGTCAGTGGGTGCTCAGTGGTTATCTGGCCCTGCCTTGAAGAATTGTTCCAGGTTCACTGAAATGCAGGCTACCCAAAATGGTGAGATTTTGTCAGGATCTAAATCTCTATAAACAGAAAAGTGGATTTGAGGGCAATGGAAGATGGAGCAGGGACAGAAGAGGTGGAAATGAATAGAGAGGACCCAACGAGGGTGGTGGTATACTCATGGGAAATGGAAATTGTATTACTTCACAAACTTTGCATTTTATGTATTTCTGTTGGTCAAAAATGCTGGTTCTGGATACTTTTACAACATTCTGGTAACAAAGATCTATGAAGACTTAGGATATCTACCTTGTAGATTCTAATGTTTGTGACTTTTGACTAAGAAGGTACCTAAAGTCTTCATGTCCCGAGGGGCATAAGGAACATGTGGAGATCTGGTTCTCAATTTCATTTTTAAATCCATGGATTCCTTAACAACACCAAAGACGTTATACCATATTGCTGCTCCCAATTGCCACAAAACCCTGACCCTAGACTTGGCATTTCTAATTCTGTTTTTCTTGGGGTATCTTAGACCAGGCATTAGAAAACTTTGATTTTATCTCCAGCTCTATCACCAAAGAGCTATTTGTCTTTGGCAAATCACTTAATCTCCATGTGATTTAGTTTCTCCATCTGTCAAATGGGAGTAATCGAGCCCTAACTACCTCAAAGGGTTTAAGGATGAAATAAGCTAATACATGTGAAAGCATCTTAAAAAGTCTGAAGCATTGCATAAACATAAAAGATGGTCACACAAGGCTGAGGGGTGCCACATATAAAATCATTTCTGTTACTTTAACTTAAGAAATTTGGAAATTATTTAATTTCATCATCTATTTGTTTGAGAATTATTAAGCATTTGTCTCAGATTTTAGCCGTGGGCTGGCAACTCGGCATATAGACTTTTATTTTCTCTGGGCCAGTATAGGTACATAGCATTTCCCATTCAAACAAGAAGAAAAGCTCTAGCAACTACATGGCGCTGCCAGAGTCTGTATTGGTGAACTCTGCACTAAGTAGTTTGTAAAACTATTTGAGTGGACACTTAATGGAATCTCTTATGGTTGCATGGCCACATACAGTCATTTGCATCTAAAGTAAACACAGAATTTCTCAGGACTGAGTCTCACTGAGATCTTACCACATTTACCATAAAGGTTGTTTGTAATCCCCTTCATTCCCAGACCCTACCCTTGCCTTCCTCACGTACTACAGATGACCTTACCTCTTATTTTACTAAGAACATGGAGAATGCCCCATCTGACTATCTCCACTTGCCCTGCATTCTAACTGAAAATCTCCTGATATCTTGCTCTCCCGTTTTTCTATTGCTCCAGATTCTCTGGAAAGATGGCATTCCTCCTTGCACATTCTAACAATGGCATTTTAGTTCCCATCAGTGCCTGCTTCCTTGTACAGCCCACTCCCTTTATTATTAACTCCTTCATTGCATCAAGCAAGAAACATTCACTAAGCACTTACCATGTGCTCTGAACTGTGCGTTTCATCTTTTCAATGCACTTTCCATCTTAAACATGGTCTGATATCTTCAACTCTATAGAAGAACAACAGTATCCTTTTTTAACCTCTTCCCCCACCCTAGATACCAGCTGATTTTGTTCCTCTTCTTCATGGCCAAACTTCTTGGAAAAAACCCCTACATTTGCTACTTCTATATCTTAAATGTGTTTGGATGGCCTCATGGAGAAGTAAAGAATGAAAGGCTTAGGTTTAAATTCAGATTCAACCACTTTTATATCAACCTTCCAGTTTTTATTACTCAATATGAAGACTTGGTTAAGTTGCTTGACATCTCCAAGTCTTCATTTTCTCATCTGCGAAATGGTCACATACATGCACTCTGCAGAAGCATCTGACACATGGTATGGTAGTTCTTAATAAATGGTCCTATTCTTCTTAGCTACTAATTGATCTGGCTGTCCCATTCATACACTACAGTCTACTCCCCTCAATTGCAAAGAAAACAATAAACAAACAGAAACCACTTTTTCCTCAAATTAGTCATGTCTAATCCTAGATTTGTTCGAGAATCTTAGAATAGTCTAAGAATGAAGAAGTTTAAATCCCTAGATCTACCCCAGTAGGCACCAAAACAACCAAATACTACTTCCAGATTCTTCACTCCAAAACACACCAGAAACAATTTTCAACATGAGGATTTGAAAGACTGGCAGAAAGAATGTTTGTGCTGAAGTTATTGAGGCCAGGGCTTGACTACTAATCCCACCCAGTATTAGCTGTAAGGCACTGGGTAATTTATTTTGCTTCTCTGGGTTTTAGATTCTATGCCTATTAAAATGGGACTACTGACTCTTAACTTGCAGGGCTGCTATAAGAATTCAAAATATGTCTATCTGCCAAGCACACAGTAGGTATTCAGTGCTACTTATGAATTACTCTAGGAACTAAGACAGTTGTGTTCTGTATGGGATAGGCGCTTTAAAGATCGATAGGACATGTTTATTTCCATCTGTGCAGAGAGATTGGGATCATCATACTTCAGTAACTTTTATTAGAAGTTTTCTAAACTGCCACCTGTGCTCGAAATGACATGCTAATTGCCACACATCTGACCATTCTGTTAAAAGCAAGATTTAAAAAAACTGCCTGCCCTTTTGAAGTGTGGTGTGGCTGTCCTGTGATTCCCTGGTGTTATCACCTAGCTCAGAGAGCTCTCTGTTTGTACGCAGAGCACTGGTATGTGTTTTCTCACACCATTTTTATTTTATTTAAAATTACCATAAATTACTTTCTCATTTATTTATTCATTTTCTTCCTAGCTAAACAGTGAGCTTCTGAGGTGGGTCTCCACTGTCAACACCTGCGTATGCCCTATGACACTGCATGTATCACACATTTAATGTTTCACTGATTGATTTTCTTTTTCTTTTGTCCTTTTTCCATTTAGAAAACAAAAATAATTTAAAAAAGCAAACTGTAAAATAAATATCTGCACAGTAAAACATTTAAGAAAATATAGGAGGGAATGCTGAAAAGAAAAACCCCTGTTCTAGACCCCCATAGTCTAGTTACAAGCCTCAAAGACAACAGTTGTTACTAGTTTCTTAGGTATATTTCAAGAAATATATTCTATGTATTTTTTTACAGAAATGGAACCATGGTATATACATTATTCTGTACTTTGCTTTCTTAACTTAATTTTAAAAAGATGTTATATATTGGCACAAAAAGAGCAATCTGGTTTTTTTTTTTTTAAATGACAGTGGAGTTCTCCATTGCATGGATTTACCTTATTTTATGTGACCAGTCTCATTATTTCTGGTCACTTAGGTTATAAAAATAACCACTGAAGTATAAGTCACATAAATAAACTGGTTTAAAATATACAACTCCATGGTATTAATATATTTACAGTTGTGCAACCAGTACTATAATCTAATTTTAGAATATACACATCACCTCAAAAATAAACCCCTGTACTTACTGGCAGTCACTCCCCATCCCTATCCCCAAACCTTGCTGCCATAGGCAGCCAATAATCTATTTTTGGTTTCTTACAGATTGGCTTATTCCAGATATTTCATGTCAACAGAATCATACAATATGTGGTTGTTTGTGACTAGTTTCTTTCACTTAGTTGTTTTTGCAGTTCAATTATATTGTAGCAGATATTAATATTACTATCTTATGGCTGAATCATATTTCATCATATGTCACATTTATTTATCCATTCATCAGTTGATGAACATTTAAGTTGTTTCTATCTTCTGCCTGTTATACAGAATGCTGCTATGAACGTTAATGTATGTCTTCGTGTGGACCTATGTTTTCATTTCTCCTGGGTAAATACCAAGAGTAGAATTGCTAGGTAACTCCATATTCAACCTTCTGAGGAACTCTGGATTGTTGCTTATTTTATGCTATTTTAGACAATTACAATTATAAAATTTTTCTTGTATGTATGTCTTTGACTGCAAGCATAAATGTACCTGTAGGATAAATTCCTAGAAAGTGAAATCGGTAGGTCAAAAGAACTGAGCATTAAAATATTTTGGTAGGCTGGGTGCTGTGGCTCACACCTGTAATCCCAGCACTTTGGGAGGCCGAGGTGGGCAGATCATGAGGTCAAGAGATCCAGACCATCCTGGCCAACATGGTGAAACCCCGTCTCTACTAAAAATACAAAAATTAGCCAGGCGTGGTGGCGCTTGTCTGTAGTCCCAGCTACTCGGGAGGCTGAGGCAGGAGAATCGCTTGAACCAGGGAGGCGGAGGTTGCAGTGAGCCGAGATGGTGCCACTGCACTCCAGCCTGGGCAACAGAGACGCCATCTCAAAAAAAAAAAGTTTTGGTAAGTAATGCCGTTTAGTGATTTTTTTTTTTTTAAACAAGTGGGAGAATACCTGTTTTACCATAACTTCACTGGCATGTATATTATCACACATTTTTGGTCTTAATAATCCTGATAGGTAAAACATAAATGCTATATCAATTGGATTTTCATATTTATAAGTGAGACTGAGCATTCTTTCATATGTTTATAAGACATTTTATTTGTGTGAGTATGTCTTCTTTATAAAGAATATTAGAAGTACAGCATCCTATTTAATTAAATAGCTGGAAAAATGAACATTCTCTTTTATGATTGGTATTTGATATAATACAGAGTTTCATATACAATACAAACATATTAGTAGATATTGTTATGTAGGTAAAAGTATCATTAAAAATTTTCAATCCTCGGCAGCCTTCAAGTCTAAGGACTTGAAACGCCTGGGTCACAGACTTAGAAAATCTAGTTTTACGGAATTTTTCCTTGCCCTAATTCAAAGCCATCTGCTCTTATCTTCAAAGGATTTGTAAACCATTGTGAATGGGAAATTTTGAAAACCAATTTAGTTGAAAACAAAGCACTGTAATTATATTAGTATGAAATCTTTTGCTTTGAATGCAAACTGCCAAGAAAATGTTAGGCAGCTTAGAACAGTCCAACAAAGTGGAAAGAAAAGTAATACTGAAACATCAATGTTTACATAGATAATCAAAGCTGAAATTAGAATGGAGGTGAAGAGGTAGAGATCAAAACAAATCTAATGATCAATGAGAGGAAAATAAGTACAGAAAGGCTTTGATCACTGTCATAAACTCTTCCAACTCAGATCTAACTTTAACATTCAATGTCTCTGAATAATTTTTTCAACAGTTAAAAATTCACCTCCCCAATAACTTTGTTGGTTATTCAATTATATGTAATCATGAAAGGTAAATTGTTTTTATAAATGAGTTTATTCATTTTCCAGTCATAAAATAATATGAAATTCAAATTAGGCGGTAATTAGACAGGATATTGCTGACTTTTGGATCTTTTTTTGGAAGGTTAAGTGTGACTTTAAGAAGGAAAAATGTCAGCATATAAGAAAAGTTCTTTGTCAGATGCTCATAGATTACAGGGTGTCTCTTCCCTCCTCTAAGATACAACATATTTGGGCATAAGGCAATAACTGAATATTCTTCAAATATGAAAAGTTATTTTAAAAGTGTACTAATAACTTCTATAGGAGCAAAGAAAGCACTAGAAATCAAGTTTTAGAAACATCCTCAGATGAACACTTTCAATTTTTGAGGGAATAGTGAATGTTTTGGCTAAATCAACAGTAGAAATCCTTTGAGAACACTTTTAGGATAAAATCAATATAAGCCAGTAATATAACATCTATAAGCAGAGAAGGAATAAACCTTGATGTGCAGAGGCAATAGCACATCCTCAGGGAGAGAGAGGGGCAAACAGAGGAGAAATAAAGCATGTGCTCCAAATTCAGCTGTCTGTGGGTGCCAGGCAGGAGCATGCCTGTGTGCACTGAGCTGGGAGCACGTGACCATGGTGAACAGGAAACTAATGCCCTGTCTCAGTGGGTGGCCACTGTGGGGCTCCAGCCCACTGTAAATATGTGAAGAAAAAGACTAGATTTTTCTATAAAATCCTCTACTTTTTGAATGTTGGCAACTATTAAAACAAAAGAAATCAATCAAACAAAAAACTCTGCACACCCAACACAGCACATTTTTGGGCTACGTTCTTTTTTTGTTGTTGTTGTTGAGATGGAGTTTTGCCCTGTTGCCCAGGTTGGAGTGCAGTGATGTGATCTCAGCTGACTGCAACATCCACTTCCCAGGTTCAAGCGATTCTTCTGCCTCAGCCTCCTGAGTAGCTGGGATTATAGGTAACCACCACCACACCTGGCTAATTGTGTATTTTTAGTAGAGACAGGATTTCACCAGGCTGGTCTCGAACTCCTGACCTCACGTGAACTACCTGCTTCAGTCTCCCAAAGTGCTGGGATTACAGGTGTGAGCCACCATGACTGGCCTGTGCTACATTAATTTATGACATACACCCTTTTTAAGTAAAGAAAGAGAAAGCCTCGCAAAGAAATTTTAATAAAGGAAATTGCCTGACCAGTGTGGTTCATCCAGGAAGCAAGCTTTTCCTTGCTAAAACTATGAAGTTTTGAAAGGGACAAATTAGACCATTAGACCAGGCAAAGAATTGTAATGCACTGGAGAAAGAACTAGAATTGCCAACAAAGAAGGCAGAGCTTCCCTGTAGTGCCTGGACAGAGCAAGTGTTCTTAGCGTGACTCAAAGGGAGATAAAGTGACTATGACTCAGTAAACCTGTAAGAAGCACAACTACATATACAGACATGTGACAAGAGAAGGTACTCAGTTAAGTTAAATATTTGCTACTTTTGCTATGGCAATGACTATTGTTGCCATTGCTTACAAAAAATAATCATAAAATTCATATGGAAGCAAAAAGAGCCCTGAGTAGACAAAGCAATCCTAAACAAAAAGAACAAAGCTGGAGCCATCACATTACCTGTCTTCAAATTATACGACAAGGCTATAGCAACCAAAACGGCATGGCACTGGTATAAAAATAGACACATAGGTCAATGGAATGGAATAGAGAGCCCAGAAAGAAAGCCACATACCCACAGCCAACTGATCTTTGACAAAGTCGACAAAAATGTACACTGGGGAAATGATACTCTATTCAATAAATGGTGCTGGGAAAATTTGACTGCCATATGCATAAGAATGAAACTGGGCTCCTATCTCTCACCATACACAAGAAATTAATGCAAGATGGAGTAAAGATTTAAATGTAAGATCTGAAGCTATAAAAATACTAAAAGAAAACCTAGGAAAAACTTATGGTCATTAGCCTAGGCAAAAATTCATGGCTAAGACTTCAAAAGCAAATACAACAAAACCAAAAATAGACAAATGGGATTTAACTAAACTAGAAAGCTTCTGTCAGTAAAAGAAATAATCAACTGAATAAGCAGACAATCTGCAGATTGGGAGAAAACATTTGCAAGCTATGCATCCAACAAAGGACTCATATCCAGAATCTACAATCAACTCACAACCCCCAAAATAATTTCATTAAAAAGTGGGCAAAGGACATTGAACAGATATTTTTCAAAAGAAGACACACATGTGGCCAACAAGAATATGAAAAAGTGCTCCACATCACTAATCACCAGAGAATTGCAAATTAAAACCGCAATGAGATATCATCGTACAGCAGTCAGGATGGCTATTATTAAAAAATAAAATAATAAGAGATGTGGGCAAGGATGTCGAGTAAAGGGAATGCTTATACACCGTTGGTGGGAATGTATATAAATTAGTACAGCTTCTAGAGAAAACAGTATGGAAATTTCTCAAACAACTAAAAATGGAATTACTGTAAGATTCAGCAATCCTACTACTGGATATTCAACCAAAAGAAAAGAAATCGGCCAGGAGCAGTGGCTCATGCCTCTAATCCCAGCACTTTGGGAGGCTGAGGCAAGCAGATCACCTGAGGTCAGGAGTTCAAGACCAGCCTGACCAACATGGTGAAACCCCTTCTGTCCTAAAAATACAAAATTATCCGGGCCTGGTGGCAGGTGCCTGTAATCTCAGCTACTCGGGAGGCTGAGGCAGGAGAATAGCTTGAACCCAGGAGGTGGAGGTTGTGGTGAGCCAAGATTGTGCCGTTGTACTCCAGTCTGGGCAACAAGGTGAAACTCCGTCTCATAAAAAAAAAAAAAAAGAAATAAAGATATCATTTTACCAAAAAGACACCTGCACTTGTATGTTTATCACAGTACTATTCACAATAGCAAAGTCATAGAATCAACCTAAGTGTCCATCAATGGATGAAACTTATAAAATGGATGACACTGATAAAGAAAATGTGGTATACGTGGAATACTACTCAGCCATAAAAAAATAAAATTATGTCTTCTGCAGTAACATGGATGGAGGTAGAGGACATTATCTTAAATGAAATAATTGAGAAACAGAAAGTCAAAAAGCACCTGTTCTCACTTGTAAGTGGGAGTTAAATTAAATATAGACGCGGACATAGAGTGTGAAATAATAGACCCTGGAGACTGGGAAGGGTGGGAGGGTTGGCAAGAGTGAGGGATTGGAAATTAATTAATGGGTACAATGTACACTATTCTGGTGATGGTTATAATAAAAGCCCAGACTTCATTACTACACACGGTATCCATGAAAAAAAACCCCTGCACTTTATCCCTTAAATTTATATAAATAAAAAAAGAAAGGAGGGACCCTGAGTCAAAATATAGCACATAAACATAAGATGATAAATCAGGTTTTAGAGGAGAGAAAGATATATAAAGTTGGTGCAAAGGTAATTGCGGTTTTTGCCATTACTTTTGGTAAAAGCTGCAATTAACTTTGCACCAACCTAAAAGAAGAAAAGACACAGAAGGAAAAAAATATAAAAGCCACAAAGAAGTAGTGGGGCACAGTGGAGAGAGCGAGCGTTTTGAAATGAGATGATGCGGGGATCAAGCTTCTACTAGAGGTGTGATCTTGGGTAGTTCTCTCTCTCTCTCTGTCTCTCTCTCTCTCTCCCTTGTTTTTGTTTTTGTTTTAAGTTATTTTTTATTACACAAATAATACATGACTCATTTCTGGAAGAAGCTTTACAACACAGATAAAGTAGAGTTTCAGATGACCTCTCACTCCTCCTTGCCCTCTCTTTCCCAGAAACTACCATTGTTTATCTTTGCAGAACTTTTTCTAAGTGTTTACTGACCTTTGTATGTATGCACAGGAATATCTGATTAAAAACCTAAATTGCTCTGCATGCTGAATATTGTGCTGCCTATTCTGGGCCTATCTTGTTCTTTGTAAATGTTCCAGAGTATTCTGTGTTAGGGATAGTCCAGGTTTGTTCAGTCTTCCCCCTTGACTAAAAACAATGTAATGTTAAGCATCTACTTGTGCTTTTCTGTGTAACTGCAGGGCAGTGGTGGGGGGAAGTGTTCTAGGACAGAGATCTAAAAGTAGAATTGCTGAGATGAAAGATTTGCATATTTTATTTTCCTGTAGGATCTGCCAATTGTCCTCCAGTGAGGCTTCAGCAATGTGCCTCAATGAAGTCTTGTCTCCTCATACCCTCTCCGTCACTGGACGTTTGTAATCACTTTTTAATTTCATTAGCACAATCACTTAATCCTCCAGGGCATCAGCTTACTCTGTAAAAAGGCAAAAATTCTACTCCACAATAAAGTTATGACAATTATATTATTTAACAACAGTGCCCATCACAAACTCACAAAAGACACTTTATAAATGTTAATTCTCTTCCCTTATTATGGATATTTTAGTGAAAAAAAATTAGTCAAACTAGATGTGTCTCTGTGTAACTTTCTTACGGTGCTAATAAACCTTTGCAATTGGTAGCATGTGTTTAACTGCTGAGTAAGCCTATTTTTTTCAAAAACTTTTAGCCCACATTCATATTCCATTTTTAATTAAAGTGCCGTAATCAGGAATATTTCTCTTGAGTTTAGCATTGCTATATTATCATGTCATGTATTATAACTCAGTTTTCCCACTACATTTCTTCTTTCAATTACTGTAAAACCTTTGTTTCTGTAGTTCATCATGACAATGTTTGGCCTGCACTTGTTAGCCTGAGACAAGTAAAGGTGTATTTTAATGACAATTAATGAAAAAGTTATTCTTCCATTAACTTTTTTTTAGACTTTCACTGAATGAAAACATAATGTAAAAAATTGTGTAAGAAATTTGTGGATTTCTGAGAATGTCCAAAGACCTTGGGTTGATCTATACTGCCCTAATTGCCACAGTTAGGTTATCAATTGCATGTAAAGATACCTCCACCTTATTTATCTAATCTGTATACTTTGCTTAATAATTCTAACTATAATATCAAACAATGCCAGGTTTTACAGCTTCTAAGTCTAATTCTTAAATCTTGTCACTATATTATAAAAATTAAGTTAAAAACCGTAGTCACATTTACTGTTGTGCATATAATCGTGTATAAAGTCCAAACATAATAGTCAATTGGTGAAATGAACACATAATTAATGAATATGTAATAATCATTCATATTAATTCCTTTTTTCTTTTTTTAATCAAAATAGGAAACTTTTTATTTTTGTCACTAAATACAATTAGTTTCCCTGATTGTAACCCATTATCAATGTCACCTAACATATAGATGGTCTGTACAGAGGTGAACACCACCAGCATCTTTCTCTACATGTATATTAGGACCACTGAACTCAGAAAAAGCAGAGTTGAGCTTGTTAAATTATTGTCTCTTTTAGAAACTCTTACCATTTAAAGGAAATAGGAAGATTTAGGTAGCAGAATACTTGCATAATAACTTAAAAAGTTAAAAGCTTGTAGTGATAAAATAATCTTGTGCACATTCTCAGAAATTTTAGGCAATTGGCCTTCTTGCAGATCCCAAGTTTAGAAAAAGACAACTAATCATTGCAACATCTGGGCTCAGTTCATTTGCCATATGGTTGGTCGTGGTGCATTTCTGGTGTATAAGTCAACAGAACAATCATGACCCAGAGGTGAAGCCAAGCCATATATATAATCACAAAAACTCATGCTATGGGGTATCTTTGGAGAAAAATTCCCAGACGAATACTAAACCGGTCAATTGAACTAGCTTTGTGAATTTTTCCGTACATTCCTGCCAGATTAGTTTCTGTGCCATTAAAAAGAACAGGAACATTTCACAGAAGAGTGCCTTCACCATTGACAATTTCAGACATATTAATCGAAGACCCGTTACTACTACTTCCAGAGGCAGAGTCCATCTGCTGTTTGAGGTGCTCCAGTTGAAAGACCAAGGAGGGCCAGATGCAGTGGCTCACGCCTGTAATCCCAGCACTTTGGGAGGCCGAGGCGGGTGGATTACCTGAGGTCAGGAGTTCGAGACCAGTCTGGCCAACATGGTGAAACTCTGTCTCTATTGAAAGTACAAAAATTAGCCGGGCCAGTCGAAGGTTAGATAGTTCATGTGATTTGCCATCTTCATTAGGTGTTGGGATGTGCTCAGTGCAGGCAGCATTTGATGATGCATTTTCCAAAAGAATTTTCTTCAGTGGTTTTGATGGTGGTTATACTGGGGTTCACAGAACTAACACTTGACGTCCAAGAACTCTGAAAGACAGGTGTCTTTCCTTTTTCCTTTTTGATTTCCACCCTCCCAGTAGGCTCCTTCTGTGAACTATTAAGGAAATTAAAGGGCAGCTCATCATCAGGTTCTGACTTTCTTGTTCACACAAATTGGGATGAAGGCCTAGGAACAGATGAATTTTCAATAGGATGAGAGGCCTCCACTGGTGTCCTAGATCTTACTTTCACATTTGCAGTGCCAGCTAAGATGGTGGCTTTTTGATTTCAAATGTTATCAGTTGCTGATGAAGTATAAGTAGCTACAGGTCAAGTCTGATATGTCAAATCTGTATTTGAACTTCTGTGAAGTTCAGTATAGTCAGTATTTTTGCTATATATGATGTTGCTGGTGGTGGTGTCTTTCCTACTGAGAGCTGTTGCAGCCCCTTGATCAACTCAGTTTAAAAGATCTTCTGTCTTTCCAGCAAGATCAACAAACCAAGACATGATGGCAGCAGAATAATCCTATTGGCAAACCTGAGGACTCTGGGCCAGCTGCACCGTGGTCTTGTCGCCGTCCTGGGCCGGACCCCCTCAGCAGCAGACCTGGAGGGGGCCCAGGCTGAGTAAACTTCCCTCCTTTTTTCTGATTCCCTACATCCAATACATGAGAATTCCCCATTAATGCTACAGCTGAAACTCATTCTAGATTCATCCATTTCTTTCTCCTCCATTTGACCTCCCTTGTGCAAACTTCATCATCTCTTATCTGGACTCTTAACAGTAGCCTCCTCACCAGTTTTTTGGTGTCATTATTATTTGCCTACAGCTGATGCTCTACACAGGAAAAAGAGGTCCTAAAATGCAAACCAGACTATAACATTCCTCTTCATTATGGCTCCAATTTCAATGTCTTCCTATCATAAATTCCAAACTGTGACCTTCTGGATCTATGGAATTTGGTCAGTGCCTACTGCTCCAGCCTCATCTGGAACCATTATTCCTCCTTCATCTGTGATATTCCAGCCCATCCAAGTCTTTCTGTTTCTTTAACCCCATAAAGCTTGTTCTTACCTAAGGAATTTGTACTCCCTGCTCTCTGATCAGAACGCTCCTTTCCCCTATTATTGTATTACCATTCATGTTTCTGCTTAAGTAAATTGCTTAAAAGAATTTTTAGACTGGGCACGGTGACTCACACCTGTAATCCCAGCAGTTTGGGAGGCTGAGGCGGAGGGGTGACATGAGGTCAGGCATTTGAAACCAGCCTGGCCAACATGGTGAAACCCCGTCTCTACTAAAAATACAAAAAAATTAGCTGGATGTGGTAGCACAAGCCTGTAATCCCAGCTACTCGGGAGGCTGAGGCAGGAGAATTGCTTGAACCTAGGAGGCAGAGGTTCTAGTGAGCCGAGATCGTGCCACTGCTCTCTAGCCTGGGCAACAGACACTCTGTCTCCAAAAAAAAAAAAGTAAACCCTGAAGATAGCATTTATACATTTTCTTCTATTATAGTATAGAACAGTAGTTTTTAAGTTGTGGAATCAGGACTCGCAGCATCAGCATCACCTGAGAACTTGCTACAAATGCAAGTTCTTAGGCCTCATGCCTGACCTACTGAATTAGAAACTCTGGGTCTGGGGCCCAGCAATCTGTGTTTTAATAAGCTCTCTAGGTGATTCTAATGCACACTGAAGTTTGAGAATCACTGATATAAAATAAATGGTGGGTACACATGTCTCATTTGAAGTTCAACCTAAAGAGGCAACAGGCAGGCTGTGAAAAGACCAATAACTTCAGAAGTTATTGCACTACTGAAGTGCAATATTGCCTGGTATATACTATCGTCACCTCCCATTCTTTTGTTTTGAAACACAACTTATTTGTTTGCAATTCTTAATAATACCACGTTAACTACCAGCTGACACTTTCAGTTAGTATTTCATTGTCTGAGAGTTCCTTCTGGCTATCACTTGCCCTTTCTGCAAGAGCCAAAGCATACGTGGGCCAAACATTTGCTGAAGTAAGAGAACCTGGGGATTGTAAGGTGGGAAAAGCCTTGTTAAGATGCCATGGCATTACCTCTTTTGTAATTGGACAAACGAGGAAGTGACAAGCAGGGGTGAAGGATGGTAAAGATAATGAGGAGAATCAGAAGTCAACTTTAGGAAATAATATATTGAAAAGATTGGGGAAAACAAGGCAGCATGGTGAGGAGCAGTCTTTAATGCATTCTTTATATAATATGAACCACCAATTTTCTACACAGAAAGGGAACAGAATCAGACAAAGCAGACCCACTGAAAGGATAGAATCCCTTTTTAAAAAAATAATTTTGGCCGGGTGTGGTGGCTCATGCCTGTAATCCCAGCACTTTGGGAGGCCGAGGCAGGTGGATCACTTGAGCTCAGGAGTTTGAGACCAGCATGGCCAACATGGTGAAACTCTGTCTCTACTAAATATACAAAAATCAGCCAGGCATAGTGGTGTGCACCTGTAATCCCAGCTACTTGGGAGGCTGAGGCAGGAGAATCACTTGAACCTGAGAGGCAGAGGTTGCAGTGAGCCGAGATCATGCCACTCCATGCTAGGATGGGCGACAGAGCAAGACTCCATCTCAAAAAAAAAAAATAGTAATTTCAACTTTAATTCTAGATTAGAGGGTACACATGCAGGTTTGTTACATGGGTGTATTGTGTGACACTGAGGCTTGGGGTCCCAGTGATCTCATCACTCAACCAACAGGTGGTTCTTGAGCCCACACCTTCCTCCCTCCCTCCTGTGTCTAGTGGTCCCCAGGGTCTATTGTTCTCATCTTTACATTCATGTGTATTCAGTGTTTAGCTCTTACTTATAAGTGAGAACATAAGGCATTTGGTTTTCTGTTCATGTGTTAGTTCGCTTAGGATAGTGACCTTCAGTTCCATCCATGTTGCTGCAAAGGACATGACTTCATTCTTTTTTGTTGCTGCATAGTATTCCATGGTGTATATATACCATATTTTCTTTATCCAATCCACTGTTGATGGGCACCTAGGTTAATTGCATGTCTTTGCTATTGTGAATAGAGCTGCAATGAACCTACAAGTGCATGTGTCTTTTAGACAGAATGAATTATTTTCCTTTCGGTATATACCCAGTAGTAGGGATTGCTGGGTTGAATGGTAGTTGTGTTCTACATACTTTGAGGAGTCTCCAAGCTACTTTCCACCGTGGCTGAACTACCTTACATTCCCACCAACAATTTATAAGTGCTCCCTTTTCTCTGCAGCCTTTTCAGCATCTGTTGTTTTTTGATTATTTTAATAGTAGCCATTCTGATTGGTGTGAGATCGTTTCTCATTATGGTTTTGATTTGCATTTCTTTGATGATTAGCGATGTTGAGCATTTTTTCATTTGTTTATCGGCCACTTGTACAACTTCTTTTAAGAAGTGTCTGTTCATGTTCTTTGCCCATTTTTTAATTAGATTTTTTGCTTGTTGATTTAAGCTCCTTGTAGATTCTGGATATTAGACCTTTGTCAGATGCATAGTTTCTGAACATTTTCTCCCATTCTTTAGGCTGTTTACTCTGTTGGAAATTTCCTTTGCTGTGCAGAGGCTCTTTAATTAGGTCTCACTTGTCTGTTTTTGTTACTGCTGCAATTGCTTTTGGGGACTTATGGGGACTTATCCATAAATTATTTACCAAAGCCTATGTTGAGAAGGGTAGTTTCTAGGTTTTCTTCTAGGATTTTTATAGTTTGAGATCTTATATTTAAATCTTTAACCCACTTGAGTTAATTTTTGTATATGCTGAGAGGCAGGTGTCCAGTTTTATTTTTCTGCATGTGGCTAGCCATTTATCTCAGTATCATTTATTGAAAAGGGAGTCCTTTCTCCATTGCTTATTTTTGTCAGTTTTGTCAAAGATCAGATAGTTTGTAGAAGTGTAGGTTCATTTCTGGGTTCTTTATTCTGTTCAGCTGGTCTATATGTCTGTTTTTGTACCAGTATCATGCTCTTTGGGTTACTGTAACCTTATAGTATAGTCTAAAGTCAGGCAGTAAGATGCCTTTGGCTTAGTTCTTCCTGCTTAGTATTGCTTTGTCTATTCAGTCTTTTTTTTGATTCCAGATGAATTTTAGAATAGATTTTTCTAATTCTGTGAAAAATGACATTGGCATTTTGATAGTGATAGCATTGAATCTGTAAATTGCTTTGGGCAGGCAGTATGGCCATTTTAATGATATCAATTCTTCCAATCCATGAGCATAGAACATTTTTTCCATTTATTTGTGTGGTCTCTGATTTCTTTCAGCAGTGTTTTGTGGTTCTCCTTGAAGAGGTCTTTGACTTCCTTGGTTAGATGAATTCCTAGGTATTTTATTTTCTTTGTAGCTATTGTAAATGGGATTGTGTTCTTGATTTGGTTCTCTGCTAGAATGTTGTTGGTATATAAAAATGCTACTGATTTCTGTACATAGAATCCCTTTTGGGCCTATCCTATATCACTTATAGAACAAATGACCAAGGAATCAGAATTTCTGTTCCTAGAGATAGAACCATAAAACCCTAGGACTGAAAGTCTTTGAATTTACTGTTCCAGTGCTTTTTATATAATTTGGCATAAACAAACCAGTTGATTATTTGTGAAGCCATCTTCCTGGTTCTGCACAGGACTTTAACACATGGAATAAGAATATCATTTAGACTTAGGGATGACATAGCATAAGGAAACCCTGAAAAACACTCTCCCTTTTTATCAAAGATGAAAAATCCAAGGTCCAGATAAGTTTAATAAATGATTTACTCAAGGACACAAAGCTTAAAAACATGAGCTCCCGGACTAAAATCCTGTTTTTCTTCTTTAAGTCTGAAGTTCTTTCTATCATGCCATGAAATCAAAATAAGCTCTTTCTCTCTTTTTAGTTTGTTTAAAAACCTTAAAAAGATAAAACATAAGCATCTTATTTTTGTTAGTGTTTTCAGCATCTCAATGGTGAAATAACTGAAAAGGTACATGTTACTCTCTAAGATGAAAGAGGAAGCTAAGAAGAGACTAGGCAAAATGCAAAGTCAACAACTAATAGACTAAGGGCGAACAGAAGCAGGGAGACCTCTTCTCCCATAGAGAAACCAGTGTCTCAGCTTTTCTTTGTGATGAGGAGTACTGTAAAATTTTTTAAAAGTTATGGTTCTATTTGTTTGCTTGCTCTTACCTGTGTGTGTGCGTTTGTGGTGGGATGATTATTTAGGAGTAAGCAAGATTGACAAATAAACAATAAGGAGGAGGGGAATTGCTGATAGTCAAGTCTCTAAGCTGGGGAAAGGGAAAAGGGGCATGAGGTAGGAAAAGAGAACAGAATGGAGATCCAGCCAGGCAGACACTACATTGGCTATTCAACCTTCTTTAAGGAGAAACCAAGAATATGTCAAAGAAGGAGCCCAGTTGGTAGGCGTAGGGAGTTTGACAACAGCAACTGGGTTAGACATCTATCAGACAGGGAGACAGGGTTTGGAGAAGACTCCGGTTGATTGATGACTCTGATATAAGCGGTGAACATTGTTGGATTGAGTTGACACCATTCTATCAAGAAAGTGACTCACATGGGCTGGAGTATGCCGGTGTCCAATGGTTGTAACTAGCTGGGGGCTTCTTTTGACTCATTGGGGAAAACCTCTGCCTTCTTCTGGGACTTATAAAAGAGAAGTGACAAAACTTGCTGTGAAAGCAGGTAGAAACGCTGCTGTGTAATTTAATAATAGGCTCAACAATTTATATGCCCTTTTCATGCGGGTACATGCTGTGTGGAATGTTTCTGAGAGATTTTAAACTGCAGGCTCCTAACTACCCAGTATTCTTCCTGGCCACTCCTTAAAGAATGCTGGGCAGAAAGGAATCTCAGAACTCATTGGCTGGTGCCTCCAAATGGGGGTAGGCAGTACCAGCTTTCAAGGAAGTGTTTGGAATTGAGTGCTGGTGTTGGGGGAAGGGGTTGCTTTTGGTCATTACAATAGTGAATAACCTAGTGAATGCTACTGGCTTCTTAGGGGCTCAAGGTCAGGGAGTCTAAAATTCCTATGATAGGAGAATTCTAATGGATAAGGAATAGTGTGTCCCAGACATCAGTGACATTCAAGAATATGGAATCACTCATTTTATAGCTGAGATCCAGAAGGATTATGTGCTCCAGGGGCCGGTACAGAGCACAGATCAGCTCTCCTCAAATACAGCCTCCCTTCTACGGGAACTCATTCTAGTGCCCCACAGTGGCCTCTTCATATTTGTTGTCTTGTGTTCAGAGAATCCCAAGTCATTTTTTTTCTGTTTTTTTTTTTTTTTTTTTTTTTTTTTTTTAAAGACAGAGTCTCACTCTGTCGCCCAGACTGGAGTGCAATGGCGCGATCTTGGCTTACTGCAACCCCCACCTCCTGGGTTCAAGTGATTCTCCTGCCTCAGCCTCCCGAGTAGCTGGGATTACAGGTGCGCACCACCAGGCCCAGCTCATTTTTGCATTTTTAGTAGATACAGGGTTTCACCAGTTGGCCAGGCTGGTCTCGAACTCCTGACCCCAGGTGATTCACTCGCTTCGGCCTTCCAAAGTGCTGAGATTACAGGCATGAGCCACCATGCCAGGCCCCAAGTCATTTTTATATTTGCTTAAGAACAACATGTTTAGAAAGGCACACTGCTGCTATTACAATCATTAACAAAAGATAATCTATACTTTGAAATAAAACAATGAAACATTTAACAACCTGCAACTTTGGATGATCATATGATTGGTCTTCATTTCTTGATTATTCTGACTGGTGTTTCTTTAAAAGTGCCAATCTTTAAAAAGATAAATGCTGTTTGTCTCTCAAAACAGTCATAAATTGTGGGAAAGGAAACAAAGACGAAAACATTAGTTTTTCAGAAATGAGGCTTTTTGTTAAAAGTAAAATAAAAATAGCAACACAACTTCCTGATTTTCTGAGTGAAGTTATTTCATGTGCTAGTTATTTGGTGTGGCTCCTCAAGCCCATTTTAATTGAGATGGTGTAGGCAGCTAAAAGAAATGCACTGGTAAAACCACAACTAGGTTTCATCTTGATAGGCAGGAGCAAAAACAGAAAGGAAAGAGGCCAGCCTAATTTCCAGAGACTGGGGGGTTACAATTTCAATTAGGCATCATGGGTGTGTGGGAGGAAGGCAGTTATCCTCATTCTCCTGTATGTTGTTTCTGACTTTGAAAGATGTAGACTATCTCAGGAACTTTTGTCCTGGCAACAGTAGAATATAACTTTTTGATGGCTTTCATTATTTCCAGGCATTGGTAGCTCACACTTATTTCAGTACCATCCTGAATTTAGTAACATCATGCAGTGGCCCCACAGGCTGGAGGCTAGACACCTATCTTGTTTCCTGAGGGCTGTGGCTAACCTCCAAAGTTTATTGTTTCTGTTGCTGCCTTCTTACTATTGTGCGCCTGCTACCTAGAGAGGACTCTATTTCCTTGGGGTAACTAACAAACCAAAGAAGTCCGTAACCTACCTGTTCCTTTAAATTCACAGAGCTATAGAGCTAGAAGGTATCTCAGGGGTGGTCTAATTCAACCTTCACATTTTGCAAAATGAGAAGGTGGTCAAAGAAGTTATTTGTCCCAGGTCTCCCAAAGCTGACAGAGTTGGGCCCAGGACTGAATCTCTTGACATTAAACCTAACCACATTGCTCAATGTAATAACTGCAGGCTGATTAAGTTCTCTACAACGTATTGTGCTCAAACTACTGATTGTCATAGAATCATTTAGAATGCAAAACTATTTTTTCCCACAGTGAGTTTTACAAAATTTGCCATTGTTTTACTTCAAACTTTTGAGCCTCAACATTTTATATATGAAATGGCACCAACAAAATCTGTAACTCTCTTCATTTTCTTTTTCACGTCCTGGAGATTGCATGTGTACGTGTGTATGCTTTGTGAGATAAGGTGTCTTGCAGCTCTGGCTTTGAACAACAAAGTTGCTGAAGCTGTTAGAAGCTGCAAGAATACCCACTTCCTACTTTACTGGTGACATATTTTTGCAAAGCTGTTCTCACTCCGCTTCCCCATCTCAAGCAAATTAAGATTTAGAACAATGACTTTAAGTTCCCTTTTATGCTACTTCTGCTCTTGTACAGTAAAATAGCTTTCCTGCAAACACAAAATATTTTCCACCAGTGAACTAAAATTGTAAGTATTATCTGTTACCTGCATTGACCTCATGCAGCATTTCCCCCAAAGTTAATTCCTGTGAACATTGGTCCTACTTAGATATTTTGGGAGAAAGAACAAAAAGGTTCTGTGGTCAAATATGATTTGGAAATTGCTGTGAATTATACTTTTCCTTTGATATTCATAGTGTTCATTACTGTCTCAAAGACTTTATAATAAGAGAACTAATTTAACTTTGCTTAACCCAAGATTTTCTGAATGTATTTGAATCATTTTTCCTCTGCAACATTCATGTGTGAACATCCTGCAGAAGGCTTAGTAGATGAGTCATGATGAGATTACAGTAGCGTTTATTGAGTGTGTACTGTATGCCCTACAGTTTTACAAGCACTTTAGTGGGATGATGCCTCTGTCAGGCTCAAATATCATAGAACAAATTCAGACTCTATAGTCGTCAAAATGCCCGTGGTTTAATTTTGGCTGTCCTTCCTATGAATTACATAACATTGTATAAATCACTTAATCTCTGAGCCTCTGAATCTTCACTGTAATATGGGAGAATAAAGACAGACTATGAGGTAATGTGGAGAGAGACGAAAATAAAGTTACTGGTAAAATATCCAAATAAAGTGGAAAAACATGGGCAACATTGAGGTTTTTTTTAACTGCAACAAGATTCAAAAAAATGCATAAGTCCTCCCATTATGTTTCTGATGACAACTGAGGTGAATTTAAAAAATCTTTAAAGAAATATCACCTGGGAAATTAACATTGTGTGTACTAGACAGCTTCCCCCCAACATCTTTTAACACATTGCAATAGTTTTCTGATAGGTACCGGATAATTTTCTTATAATCTTAGGAAATCCTTTATGTTAGGAAACGTATCATCTTGTCAAGCACATAGAAAACTGGCTGAGTTTGAAAATCTTCTATCTAGCCCTGGCTTTCCGCGGGCTGGGGCACAGAAGAGTCCATACGTAGTTTTGCATGTAAATGTCGGCTTGTTTGTTCCCACACTAGCTAACAAGAGTCCTTTTAAGTCCATGATAATAACAGATAATATTTTTAGAGTGCTTCCTGTGTGCTAGGCACTGCTTTGAGAGCTCTACTTATGAAAATATCCATTTAATCTCTCAAAAACCATATACGGTAGGCAGCGCTATTGTTCTCATTTGTAGATGAGGAAACATGCAAATTGTTAACTTGCCCAAAGTCTGGCAACTATGGAGGGACAGAGCTCGGATTCAAACCCAGACAGCCTGGTCCCAAAGCTTGCTAACATGACCACTGTGCACTCCTCCAGACATGGCAGTGGAACAGCAGGATGGGTCTGGGTTCCAGTGTGGGAACAAGAAAATGGGTAGAGTAAGAAAAAAAATAATGAGACAATCTTTTCCATTTTCAGGAGTCAGGGAACAAGTACATACAGTTTATCTTTTCAGTAACTTTTTACTTCACACCTCTCCATTTCTCCCACGGATGCTCTGAGTTACAGGAAAGTCCACTTTGCTCCATTTCCAAGCTTTTCTTCTTTTTTCTTTTTTTTTTTTTTTGAGACAGAGTGTTGCTCAGTTGCCCAGGCTGGAGTGCAGTGGTGCGATCTCAACTCACTGCAACCTCTGCCTCCTGAGTTCAAGCGATTCTCCTGCCTCAGCCTCCCAAGTACCAATGTCTACCAGGCTGGTCTCAAACTCCTGACCTCAGGTGATCCTCCCACCTTGGCCTCCCAAAGTGTTGAGATTACAGGCATGAGTGACCACGCCCAGCCCTGCACTTAAAGCTTTTACTTCTCTCCAGGGGCCTGCACATGCAAGTCTATTCACCCCTACCTCCTCTCCTCAACCTATATCCTCTTCCCTCACTTGCCTGGTTTATGCCTACTCTGTCTTTGGGGCTCAGCTTAGGCATCAGTTCCAGTAGGAAGTCTTCCCTATCTAACCCTCCAGGAATACTTAAGCCTTCAAGCACCCAGTACCCCATATTCTCCTTACCTTGGCACTTAACATGTGGTAATGTAAGTGCCCATTTTTCTGACCATGACTCCTATTAGAAGGTAAACTTCAGGAGAACAGAGACGTAACTGTCTCATCTCTATTGGATTCCTGAGGTCTACAACAATACCTAGCACATGGTTGGTGTTTAATAATTGCTATCCACCACTGCACCATTCCCCAATGTTTGCCATGTCCAGAATAATATTTCTATAATTTCCTTCTTCCTAGTGTATTAACGGGAAAGTAATTTCAGACTCTAGAATGCTGTTGGAAGAAGTGAGGAGGAGTGTTTCTACTCAAGCCTTGCCTCCTTTGTTCTTTTCCATTTTCACGTGCTCACCATTCCCCTGATGCCCTTCACCAGCGCTTAATTCCTATTTCATTCCTATTCTTTTTCCATTCCTCCCATCCTTATGTGTTAGGAGGAGATCCTTTGTAACAGCATATGTGATGAGCATATGCTTTTGGGTGTTGGACAAGACCTGTTAGAAAAGTCCCTATTGAAAGGCTGACCAGACCAACCCAGGAAGACTATGTGGGCAGAACTCTTACCCCTACTTTTGTTCTCTGGCCAGGTATCTTGGCTCCTTAGGGGAAGAAAACAGTTGAGATGGAAGCAGAGCTATTTTAGCAAAAGATGCTAATGCTGTTGCTGCTGCCTCCACGAAGTGGTAAAATGTGGTTGGTATTTCCCACTAAATGCTGGTGTAGCTAAGATGGAGAGCAGTAGGGGCAGAAGGCAACTTGAGAGGAGGCCATCTACTTTCTACTTCTCCAGCTTCTACCCTATTTATATTATAATTTTGTGAATAATAAACCCTTTTATTGAAGCAGTCTTGTGACCAGGCTATATTACCACCGTACATTTTTTATTTTTAATAGCTATTTTGTCAGTATAAGCCTAAGAGATTATATAAAAGATTACTTTTCCATATATTTCTGGAACAGAAATTCAGGGATTTGCTCACTCAGCCAGTCACTCACTCATTCGTTCAACCAATGCTTGCCAAGCACACAGTTCAAAGGTGTTTTGCTGGGCATACAGGGAAACTTGGGGAAGAGGAGAGCATGGTCCTTGCTTTTATGGAACTCATGATACATATGGATTTAGGGACAGAAATAACTGACACCATATAGAACAGAATACGTATGATGTTGTGGGAAATATTAAGTAAGTTTTAGAGGTGTGAGAATTGAGGTAGCAGCAGATCATTATATCAGTGCTGTCCAAAAGAATGTTCTGAGAAGATGAAAATGTTCAAATGTTTGTGCTTATATAGCGTATATAGTATACTTATATACTGTAGCTACTAGTCGCCTGTGGCTATTGAATGTTTAAGATGTGGCTAGTGCAACTGAGGAGCTGAATTTTGAATTTCAATTTAATTTAATTTAAACATCCACTGTGGTTAGTGGATACTATATAGGACAGTATAGAACTGATAGATCTATAGTCTGTCAGGCAGGTAGAATTATAAAAACTCAGAGAAGCATCAGGTCCCAAGAGGTAGGCTGGAGTGTTAACAATGTAGCGAGAACTGAAGCTCCTGTGAGCTCTGGGCCCTTGCACTGCCTGCTTATTTGACATCTCCAAGGTCTCAAAGATTCCTCAAATTGAACATGTTCAAAATAAAAATCATGGTCCTCCCCTGAATCCTGGTCACTCTCTCAAAACCTGTGACCCTGTAATTGTTTAAACTAGAATCTTAGGCATCATCCTTGACACCTACTCATTCTCATCCACACAACCAATCCATTATTTTCTAGTGTAAGTATCTCCAAACCCAACCTCTTTTCTCATCTCCATGTCTACCTCCTTAATCGAGGCTCATGGATTACTACATGATCTCCTACTTCCTTTTTTAATTTTTTTTAATTGTGGTAAGAATACTTAACATAATGTCTACCCTCTTGACAAATTTTTATGTGCACAATACTTAATTGCTAACTAGAGCTGGATTGCTGTACAGCACATCTCTAGAACTTATTCATCTTGTGTAGCTGAAATCATGTACTGGCCTACTCCTGCTACTAGAAGAATTCTTCCCAAACATCAAAACCTCACCAGGTCACCCTCATGTTTAGGCTTAAGCCCCAAGTCCTTAACATGACATATAAGGTTCGGTTCCTGCCTAACTAACTCCCCAGTACCATTTTTTATTGCTTTTCCCTGCTTTCTCCTCACTGCAACCTCATTCATCTTCTTATCATTCCTCAAATAATGCCAGTGTGAACAGAGTGCAGGTGGCACATACAAATGCTTTTTGTGTGTGTGTGCATGCATGTGTGTGTGTGTGTGTGTGTGTGTGTGTGTGTGTGTGTGTGTGTGTGTGTGTGTGTGTATGTGGTCAAGTATCATGTACCGGTGCTATTTGGTTATGTCAAATTTTGAGGAAGCTCCCAGAGGTACTGTGCAGGTGCCTCAAAACAATAAAATAATGCTTTTATTTAGACCTGAGGTCTACCTTTGGTTAATATAAAATTTTAATTACATAAAGGCTTTCAAAAAGACTCAGGTCATGCACATCATTTTAGCTGGGTTAGTAAGTGTGACCCATGCAGGTACGATTTGGGAAGGCAGAGCTTCTTTTAGGAGAATCATCTTCCTTGCTAGGTAGTTCATCATAGAACCAATAGGTAAAAACAAGGAGCTATTATTTAAGGTCTTTGAAAGTCAGAGTACTTGGCACATGGGTGATGTCAAATATATTTAGTAGAATAAAGTGCCCAGTGGAGGCAGAGGAGTTAGTCTCTCCTTGTGCTACTACTTTCCCTACAACAGTTAGCCCTTCTGCCCTGCACGGCATTTGTGCTATTGTTTCCTTTTCCATTTGTTGTTATTATTAATTTTTTCAGGTGTTTCAGAAAAAAATTCATTATCCTCCAAAGTTGTTCAGAGCAGGGTTGTCTTCTTAGGAAAAAGGAAATAAGCTACAGACAGGTCTCATTCTAAGCAAAACTAAGTTGACAAAGTTTGTCTTCAAAAGTCCTTGTGTCTCCTATAGGTGTCTTGTTTCCTTTTTTGGGGGGTAGAAGGGATGGAGTTTCACCCTTGTTGCCCAGGCTGGAGTGCAAAGGCGTGATCTCGGCTCATCGTAACCTCCGCCTCCTGGGTTCAAGCGCTTCTCCTGCCTCAGCCTCCCGAGTAGTTTTATATTTTTAATAGAGACGGGGTTTCTCCATGTTGGTCAGGCTGGTCTCGAACTCCCAACCTCAGGTGATCCACCTGTCTCGGCCTCCCAAAATGCTGGGATTACAGGCATGAGCCACCACTCCTGGCCTTGTTTCCTTTTTTTAAGGTACGATTAAGCTCTAATCCAGGACTGGTTGTATGCAAGTCATCTTTAATTGCAACTAAAACCAAGCGTAATAGATACATTGGACCTGTTAGTATCTATCCCAAGGGTACTTGCCTCTTAGAGAAGCACTGGGTAGAGTGTCGAGCATAAAGGGAGAATGAATGTTGTCCCAAAAGTCTTGTAAGCTTCTACACAAGTGAACTGCCAAATGCTAGCTCTAGTATCACTTGAGGCAAGCCCAGCATCTACAGTGAGATGTTCTAGAATGATTCATACCAACTGCCTGGTTTACAGGAAGTTGTTTTCCTTGATATCTCTATTCTTCCATTCCTACTCTCTATGTGTCCCTAAAAAAATGAGTTTCTATAACAACTCAAAACAAGCTATTCTTGACTTTGTAAAAATCAAAAAGGCATTTGCCACTTAAAGATGGACTGATTTGGGTTAAAATGTTTCTATTGTCAGTATACATAAGAATCTCCTGGGCAAGTTATTAAAAATGGAGATACGTAGGCCTCAAAGCAAGATGTTCTGATTCAGGAAGGGGGCTATGGTGGTGGTGGAATAAGGGCAGGAATCTTCATTTTTAAAAAGCATCTAAGCTCATTCTGGTATAGATGATCCACAGGCCACATTGGGAGAAACACTGCCTTGAGGAATGATGGGTAAAAAGGAAATTTTATAATAGGTATCAGGTGAAATAATTTGAGATGATAAAAATTTATATGATCTACTGGCAAACCCAGTATTATATTACTATTTAGTAATTTAGAAGAAAAGGCAATTTTTGGTTTTCAGAAAGAAAGTAAATAATTAAAAATTAATTTTCTAGGGTAATTTTGTGATCTTATAAGAAAATGTGATTATATTATTCCCAAAAACTATCTAAAGCAGATTGTTGTCAAAGTTTTGAGGTAAATTATAATTCAACCAACTGATCAATGAAATCTGAAATATTTTGAAGTTCTGTTATTGAAATAGAAGAACAATATCTTAAGACAATAAAGAATTCAATTATTTAACAAAAAATAAGTTTTCTTCTATGAGGAGGTAGGTACACTTATCTTAATAAAATCAATAATGTTGTTTGACTTTATATGATTTCAAATTACTACAATGTGCAATTTTGAAAACAAAAGTTAAACGGGCTATTTTGGTGAGTTTGAACATGAAAATCCTAAACCACTGGGTAATACTCACAGACTACAAAAAGGTTAACTTTCTTGCCTTTTCAAGAAAATTTGCCAAGAATTCTCACATTGAATGGCTAGTTCATTTGAAGGAACAATTAATTTCATATTTGCAGAATATGCTATTGAATATGTTACTGCTATTGAAAACTGGACTTTAATATTCTTTGTTGAATCAAGATGCTGAAGTAACTTCCATCAGTTTGTTAGTGTTACTTAAAAAAAATCTCTTCAATAAATGTATACATTTCTTGATGATCCATCCTTTGCCCCCAAGTTCATTTTAATGTTGTAATAGAGATCACTTGTTGGATACAGGTTTTAAAACTAGTATGCTCTCAAAAGCAAGAGATGATGCACAACCTGTTCTAACTTAGTTATACAATTTTACAGAAATTATATGTATTTTATAATAAAATATTAATTCATTAATTATATGCCATGGACATCCTTCAGCATCAATATACATTCATTCTTTTCCCTAGATACAAAGTACTGTAAGTGAAAACAATTTTGACCCAGCTTTAGTTAACTTTAATTTTAGCTTATATGTTATTAGCGTTTATACTTTAATTTTGGAATCTAAGTTAAAATTCTCTTCAGATTTTCTAAGTCCTATGGATAGGGAAGAGTACTCATTAGATCAAGTAAACACTGCTTTCTCCTTGACCTATTTCAAGAATTGAGAAGCCCAGATAAATAATTAACTTCTTTAGGATGGTTGTCTTATTCTTACCATGTGCACACTCTTCATTGTTATCATAAATACACTGTCAATACCTGAGGATGATTGAATTTTTCACTCTTCTTTGCATTGTATAAACCTAAGCCTTAGGTGATTCTTTTAAGATAACCCATTATTTTTCTGATATTGATGCTTTGTAGCAGTTAAATGTCTTACCAATGTTTTCCCCCTTAGATATGTGATTAAAAGTTCCCAGTCAAGATGGTAGGCTGAGCTTCATGTGGCAGCAAGCTCTGCTCACCCTAAATCTCTAGAAAGGATAGAAAAGATAACTGACTAAAAAAAAAATATATATATATATATGATATATATGATATGATTGTGTGTGTGTATATATATACATATATACATATATATACATATATATACACATATATATATATACACACATATATATATATATACACACACACACATAATCACACTGGAAGTAAGAAAAAAAAGCAAACCCACAGTGTGTTAGAAACCATGAGGAATCCCTAAAAGATTTGAAGAGAGATCAGATCAACGAGGTAATAAAAGCCCAAAGAGAGCATGAGAGAGAGCTATAAAAGTTGGAGCCACTCCGTGAGGGTTCCGCACTCAGAGATGGAGAATATTGGGAGCAGGTAGGGGCCCATGGGTGACTACTTGAGGGTATGAAGCAGGGACAGCCGGGCACTTTTGACTTCTACACAACAGAAATACTGAGAACTACGAGTGAGCCCTTGAGTGGGCGAAGCTGAGCAGAGTCCCGCTGGCTGCCTTGTCCAGGAGGAAAGAGGAGCACCTGGATTGAAGACTGGCTGTCAAAGTGCCCCATGTCCGGGCACACTAACCCCACCCCTCTCTTCCCTCAAGCGGGCTGCACAAACAGAAACGGTGGACAATTGAATTCAAGCTCCACTAAAACATGAACACAAAATCAAGAATTTTCAAACATTGAAAAGGCAACACACACACTTTGGGAGGCGAAGGCGGGAGGATCACCAGGTCAAGAGATCGAGACCATCTTGGCCAACATGGTGAAACCCCGTCTCTACTAAAAATACAAAAATTAGCTGGGCGTGGTGGCACATGCCTGTAATCCCAGCTACTCAGGAGGCTGAGGCAGGAGAATCACTTGAACCTGGGAAGCAGAGGTTGCAGTGAGCCAATATAGTGCCGCTGCACTCCAGCCTGGCGACAGAGTGAGACTCCATCTCAAAAACAAAACAAAACAAAAAAGGCAACACTGAGAGAACAGCACTCTGAAGTCAACAAAGAGTAGAACTTATACCTAAGGAAACAGAGTAATACAGCAAGAGAGGCACAGGAAGAGACTGCATCTACAAGAGGATCAAGTTGATGTGATAATGAAAATCTTTATGTTATGTTTAAGCAAAACAAAATGTGATTTAACACCTGCAACAATTGGATGCTTTTTTTTTTTTTTTTTTTTTTTTTTACTATTATTGATCCCTGAGGCAGCAGCTGATAGCTATCATCTATTATTCATCTATTTCCATTGGGTCTTTATTTGAGTTTTTTCTCCTTTTATCCTTTAAAAATATTAATTAAATTGCTGCCAATTATTGTCTTTCTTTATGATGTACTAGGAACTGTGCTACGTGTTTTTACTACATTTCCTTTTAATCCTAACAATAATTCTATGACATAGTAGACTTATTATCCCCATTAGCAGATGAGAAAACTGAGGCTAAAAGAGGCCGAGAACCCTCCTTGGGGTCCTACAGTAATTGGTACAGCTGGTACTGGAACCCAAGTCTTTCTAATAACAAAGCAACTGCTCTTAACTCATGATAAAAAAAATGATTGTGAAAACTCCTACATTCTTCAAAACAAAAAAGTGGTCCTGTCTTCATAATACACCTCACTTCTCACAGATCGTTAAGTGCTCATTGCGCTTTTTGCAGGTTCTCCTATCAACTTCAAAGCAAGCTTAAAAAAAGCTTTCAGCTTACAAAAATACTGTGACACGCTTGAAAAAAATGTTTTTATCAGTGCCACATTCATCCTCTTCTTTTATCATTAGGCTCACAAACACAGGAGTCTGTCTACAGCATGAAAACTTGAGAGTGTTTTTCTTCAACTTGCTTATCTTTGAAGATCCAACGATAAAGCATTATAAAAGAAAGGCACCTTGATTTTAGGACAACTGCCTAGCTTGCTTTTGCATTGGTCTAATTTCTTGTAAGTACCGTATAAGCCTATTTTGAAGACTAGGTACTTAACATACTAAAACATCACTGAAGAACAAGATGAACATTGTTACTAAATGATGAGACATCTAGATAGTGGGGTAACTAGGCCAGTACAGTTGCACTTGGGCAATAATCAGTTTGGGAGCATAAAAAGATGCAGTGTTTTTAGCTCCTCTCATCTCTGAGACTTCCTGGTCAGTTTGGGCAGGTGGGAAGGGGTATCACCAAGCATGGAGAGCTCCTAAAGGAACAAGTGTGGTCATCTTGGGCAGGACTGTGGGCTCCATCGCCATTATGGCCTTTATCAACATAGAGGCAGCTCTTAGACTGACACCCAGTTATTCAGATTTTCAAAGTCTATTTGTTGTAGTGCTTCCATTTTTTTTCTTTGCCTTGCATACCACCAGTAGTGCTAAGTTTTTTTTTTTATATTTAATGAATAGTAATTATATGTGCCACCTGAAAGCACTGTGTGGAACAAACCTCAAGCCAATGCAGGGCAGAAGGGGGAACAAAGACATGAAAATGAAAGGGAATAGAAAACAGGAAAAAGAAAGAAAGGAAAGAGGGAGAGGGTGGCAAGAGTCGTTGATTACAGGTGTTCTGTGGGTAGAACACGTCACCACTCTTCCAGGCTGACGGTCAGTTGGTGTGCACTATCTACCAATTATTGAAGTAGTGAAGTTGCTGCAGCCCTCCAAAGGCCCCGATATCCCTCAGGAACCCTTGGACCTCTTTGTGATCCAGTAACTAAAGGGTTATTATCTGCCATAGCAAAGAACTTGTTCAGCTACTCCAAGTGGTCAGAGCTATGCCATGGAATATGTTAGATATTTGAGTAACACCTTTGCTCTTTCCCTCACTAAGCAAATTTTCAAGAACAACCACAGACCTACTTGTTTGCTTAAATGGATTATTCATTCATTTGCATGTTTTGATGTAATCACTAACTGCTAGTATCTTGGTTCAGTGTTACAGTATTTCTTTTAAGAAAAATATCTATGGCTTAGAAACCCTTCATCTCCCCACCAACCCTTGCACACCTAACCCCAACGTACCACCCCACAGCCCCCGTAGCCCCACTGCCCCCACTCTAATCCTTCTCATCAACTACAGCACTTTTTTTTTTTTTTTTTTTTTGAGACAGAGTTTCGCTCTTGTTGCCTAGGCTGGAGTGCAATTGTGCGATCTTGGCTCACTGCAACCTCCGCCTCCGGGGTTCAAGTGACTTTCCCAAGTAGCTGGGGTTACAGGCGCCTGCCACCACGCCCGGCTAATTTTTTGTACTTTTAGTATAGATGGGGTTTCACCATGTTGGCCAGGCTGGTCTCGAACTCCTGACCTCAGGTAATCCGCCCGTCTCAGCCTCCCAAAGTGTTGGGACTACTAGCGTGAGCCACTGCGCCCGTCTGACTACAGTACTTTTTAATGTGATCCAGGAACACCTTGCATTAGAATCATCTGGTGAAACTTGATAGCTATTCCAATTCCTGAGTTCCATCCCAGACCTCTTGAACTAAAAACTTTGGGGACATTCTTATGCAACTAGAAGTTTAAGAACCTTTGAAAGATGAAGGCACAATTTTGGTGTTTTTTCTTTTGCTTCTTCTGAATATATGACACATTCACTGTTAGAACCACTATCTGTCCTGGTCATCTTTCTCCTCAGAGATCCATTTAGAGCTCACAATGATCAGGAAGACAAGTAAGAGATGCTGGTTGTCTGGGGTATCCTTGTAATATTTTAACTCAGGAAAGAACCTGAAAGCTTTCAAATCCTAGGTCTGGCAGAAGAACGCCTTTTATGGAATTCCTTTTTTTTTTTTTTTTTAGGATCTCTGTTTATTAGGCATTGAAAATAAACAAAAAAGATGAAACAGCCTGACTGTCACATCAATTTGGGACAACTCAGTTTCCGTACTTGCATTGGAATTGACCAAATTGTCCTGAATATATTCTATTCATCAACAGTTCATTTCTAGTAATACAATGACTATCAATAGCAACAGAAAATAAACCCACTTCCTCCCCTGGCCATCTCTTCCCACTGACTTCTTCTGGGAGGAGGCCTTTGAATAAGAAACTTCTGCTAATATTCAGAGGAAGACCACAGCTGTGTTGAAGGGTTCAGCTTGGAGATAGCTGAACTATTCTGAGTAATAAAATGGAAAGAGTGGTTCTGGCTTTTATTTTTTTGCCTTTGGGAAGGATGGGTCAAAGAAATGAGGAAAAGAAAAAAGGGTGAGCTACAGGGAGAAGGCAGGAGCCTGAGTTACAAAATACCTGCTGTTTTTGAAGGACGGAGACTGCCAATATTTTACTTTTCCAGCTCAAGGTGCAATGTAAACCCCTCTGGCTCCTCAAACCTTCGGTGAAGCCTGTCCTGCACACACATGCCTTTGATAAGTGGTCTGCAGTGAAAACTAAGGGAAACTGCTGAGTCCTTGTTTAGGTTATTGCAGTATAGCACAGGGTCAGGGGGGCAATCCCCAAACCCATCCAAGTTAGAAGAAGCAGGAGCCGGAAGCTAGAAGTGACCTTGAGAAATTGAGCCAGTTGCTCCTTCATAGATCTGCAGAGAGCATCAGATTTTTTGAATAACACACAGGATGATGTTTGGAACTAACTTTGTCCTGATTTTAAGGAGCACGGTAACATAGCTTTTATATTTCCTACATTGGCTTTTCTACTTTAAAATAATGTTGATGCTTGTAATTCTCTGTGCTTTCTCAGTAGTTCAGAATTCAGCAATCTCTTCAAATGGATTGCTCCATAAAGCCCAGTATTTTCTGTGGGTTTCACTGACCGAAAAGAAGGGAGATTTGCAATGATGGTTGAAGGAATAAAAAAGAATTAAGATTTTTGAGAAAGAACACAGTTTAGAAGATGAGAAAGAAGAAGAAAGTGGGAAAATGGGAGGGAGAAAGTTGGTTGGGGGCAGGTGATGGAATGTTCCTTGCTAGGTTTTGTAGCACAGGCTGCTCCACCCAATCCTGAGGAGCTATGGACAATCTTAGGGTTAGTGGGGAGAGCAGGGCCCCCAGCTGGTAGGTACAGACCTAGTGGGAGAACTGGACACTGTACCTGGTTGCATGCCACTCAGCCCGAGAACAACTAATTTCTCCCCATGAGGACTAAGAACTCCCAGATTCAGAGAAATCAAAGGCAGCCCCTTGCTACAAAGAAATGAAACTTGCTGCTTGTTAAATGGCTTGTATCAGGTCTAGAAAATTCTCTTTAACTCAAAGAAACAGCGATTACTGAAATGCATTCTAAAGGCTTGCCTTATTCTCCTTCCACATAAAACTGCTTTTTGAAAAATGACTGAGGAGCAAACCATGCTTATTTGTGTGTGTGTGTGTGTGTGTGTGAGAGAGAGATGTTGGCTTTGTTACACACATACATCTCACATCTGGTTTCTAGATGAACCAGAAGTGAGAGGCTGGAGAGGTGGGAGAAACAGAAGTCCTGGAGAAGCTGCAATCTAGATCCTCAATGACTGAGAGCACATGAGGCAACCTCAACTTTTTAAAGGTGACAATTTCGAAGAGAAATAGGAAGTACTGCAGGATTGTAAAACAAACACTAAGGGAGATTCTTTTTCCACAAATACAGGTTTCTTTCTCCTCCCAATAATTGTCGATTACCTTCTATTCCAGAATAAGAAAAACAAATACTCAAACATGGTATGGATGTCTGTCTGAGAGATTTATCTGCTTTGCCATTTTTTGGGGACAGATTTTTAATTGCCTGGTTGTAACTAATCATATCGCCACACAGGTTGCTTTTGAAAACCAGGGGAGCTGTTTTATTCTTCTGATAATTATAAGAAAAACAAGAAAAGAGAAGAGAAGCGTGTCCCTCTTTACCTCCATAGACCTACTGCCACCCCTGGAAACACACAGGCTCTGTTGCCAGGACCAAGGCTGAAAAAGCCGTTGTGGTGTGCAGTCGTGCAGCTGCAGAGAGATGTGGACTGTTATAATAAATACAAACAGCTGATTCTACAATGCAGGTTCTTACTTTGGGGAGAAGGAAACCTCGTATGGTTTTTGGTTTCGATTTTTTTCTATAACCAGATGTCTCATCTTCGGTTACTTTTTCCTGATAATATCTATTGCTATTGAGTGTTCTAGATGTTTTTTTCTACCTTTGATATGCCAGACAGAATGAAGTATAATCTTTCTCCCTTGGTGGCAATTTAAACAAAGAGACATATTTCTTATCTATTTACTAGTGGTTAATATAGCAGTTAAATGTCTCCAACTTTTTAACTCTTTTTCTGTCCCTTATTCCTCAGATGCTGGAAAAACAAATAATCTATTGTTCTAGATGATTCCCTGGACTTTAAAGCCACGCCATAAATATCATTATTGTGCCTTGTCTGAAAGGACAGAAAATTTCCAGTATTTTTGTAAAAATAGATAGATGGATTTTTGCTCATGAGGCATAATTTTGTTCTTCCAATAGCTGGAATTACTCTTTTGTTAAAGAAGTCAATTTCATTTTGTTTTCAAAACAAAAAGCATGCACAAAGACATTCTTCTGGCATAGAAATCCATCATATCAGAAATAGTTTTAATCAAGGCAAAGAAGAAGCCTTTAATGGCAAAAGCGTATTTATCATCTAATCATTTATAAAAGGGTTTTATTTGACTTGGCTTGGAAATTGTTTTAGCAGATTGTATGAAACAAGGCACCTCCTGCAGACTGAATCATAACACATACATTTGTCCAATATTCTTAGCTAGTTTTAAACATTTGATGTGTGTATGCACAATCGAAAGGAAGTCAGAAAGAGCCTTTATTTTTAATTATTATACTCATATGTATTTGTATTTCATTAAAATTTCTTTTCGCTCTCCTTTTTTGAAGTAAATTATAATTTCATTTTAATGCTTTTAATATTTTAGAGGTTATATAATTTTGATCAAATTAGGTAAATCATCTCACAATGCATCTCATACTTTATTTGAGGGTAATGTATTTCAAATTTTATTTATTTCAGCAACTGTAAAAACATTTATTTATATTACAAGTGGTCATATCTTCTTGTAGGCTACTAAAGTTGATACAATGCCAGTTGAATGGGCAATATTTTCTTATTTTTTGAGATGCTTAAACATATATCAGTTTTATCCTCTTGATTGCAGGAAGAGTTCTTATAACAAGGGCAAATCATGGCATATTGCCCTAAGCTATGCTATTTGGAAACTTCCTTTCACATAACTAAGAAAAGCGACAGTTCCTCTTAAAGCAGGGTGAGGATAACTATATTAAGGGAACTCTTCCCTGTAAACTAAATGATAAGTATGGACTATTGTTGAGCTAAAGTTAATATTAAAAGAATAGCTGGTGCCTGAGCAGAAAGAATCTTGAAGGTCAAATTGAGTGTGCAGCAGGGAACCAGGACCCTAAATGTGCCAAGGGAACTTTTCAATGGCAAAGTCTCTGAAGTTGAGGAATCTACCTTTCTCATAGGCCAGCTCCAGGGGCCTTCCCCTTGTCGTGGCTCACTCTCCCATCCAGTGTTCTGTTCACCTCCTCCTCTAAGTGGATTGGCTGATTAAAGGCTTACACAATGATGGCCCTCAAGGCATTTGCAGGTTAGGAGAGGGCAGACTCTATCACAGTCCAGGCATCCAGACCTGGAACTTCCCCATACCCCACTGGGATCATGTCCACAAGACTCCTCAGAGTAGGAGACTTGGGGAGGGGTTAGAGGACACCTGAGTGTCCTTGACCAGTGAGCATGGTCCAGAGAGCATGGAACAAGGCTTGGGGTGGGCACTCAATGCATGTTATTAATAGTTCTGCCATCTTGCTGTCTGCCTTGTGAGGGAGCAAATCGATGATCTTTTTGGAAATGTTGATCCTTAGACTATAATTTAAGTATTTAGTTGGTATTTAAAAATGAGGATGGGAAATTTCAGAGTGTCCCTCCTCCAATTCCCAAGTTAAAAATACTAAAAAAGAAAATAAGTCAAGGCAAACATTATCTAAAACTCACTAGCGGTCACCTCACAAGAAAGGGAAGATAACATCATGCATAAACTTCAAAAAGTCATGGCTAAGGGAAGAAATAGAAGGTTCTGGTGCCACCGGAGGAGAGCTAACCTTCCCACCTGTTCTCTACATCCAGAAGCAATACTGGGGGAAGACAGTGGTTCTAGACAAGCCTGTGAATTCTCTCTAATACACTCCAGGTTGGAGAAGCAAACTGTAAGGTGAGTGAGCAGCCTGGGAAGGTCAAGGAAAATCCTTCAGCATAAAAGTCCTAAATACCACAACAGGATCACACGAGAGGCAGAAGGGGGATGAGCTGCCAGGGCTGGCCCTGCCCTGGTACAGGGCACTGAATGAGATCTCAGAAAATGGAACGGAATCTGGGTCCCCAGTAAGGACTACCCTGGAGACGAGCACAGCTAACATTTATGCCACAGAAGAGTGGATTCAAAGTCACACTCAGAACTCAAATCGCAATTCTGAGGGGAAGGCAAATTTATCACACTGGATTAGAACTTGCAGATGCACTTGTCATCCATCAGCCAGATCAAAAGAACTAGTGTGACCCCTATTCATATAGCACAGTAAATTCCTGAGAGCCTGAGAGAATACTGATAAAATGATTGACACAGACATATCCTGGCTAAGATTCTTGACCTTAAGGACAAAGATTTCTTTGGAAATCCAGGCAGAAAAGCAAATCATTTTCAAAGAGGGAAATTTAGGTTGTCTGCATACTTCTCCACAGTAAATTTAAATGCCAGAATCTTGAAATAAAGACCATGTAGACTGCTTATAAAAATGAAACATTAGCTGGGTGCAGTGGCTCATGTCTGTAATCTCAGCACTTTGGGAAGCTGAGGCAGGAGGATTGTTTGAGGCCAGGAGTTTTAGACCATCTTGGACAACAAAGCAAGACTCTGTCTCTACAAAAAATTTAAAAAATACTAAAGCTGGACGTGGTAATATGTGCCTGTAGTCCCAGCTATTCGGGAGGCTGAAGTGGAGGGATTTGTGCCCAGGAGTTCAAGGCTGCAGTGAGCTGTGATTGTGCCACTGCAGTCCAGCCTGAGTGACAAAGCAAGACCCTGTCTCAAAAAATAAAAAAGAAAGACAGAAAAAGGAAGGAAGGAAGGAAAGAAGGAAGGAAGGAAGGGAGGATATCTTGCATTAAAAAAGACCAACGGATGCTGCTGGGATAGGAAACAAGAGGGAACAGTTTGTTTGCTGGCTTATCTTAGAAGAGCAGAAGAAAGAAGTTTCAAAGAGGGAAGATTAATAGGGGTAGTTCGTAAAATTTGACCAGGGACAGTGTGGTTAAGGGAAGAGAGTCTTTCTGAGGCATTTCGATTATGGGGTTAAACCCAGGTAAGCTGCCTGATTAATAGTAAGTGTGTTCCTCAGACACGTCAACATGCACCAGAAGGAAGAAGCCCTGGAGGTCTTCTGGACAACTGCTTTTTCAGGGATTAAGGAGGGTGGGTGGAATAAATTGGGCTCGGGCTGGAGTAAAAAGAAGAGTGACACCAGCCACAAAGTGTGCACCAGGTCCTGGGAGAACGAGCGTGCAGGGTGTGCTGAGGGCCTGGCTGTTACCCGAAGCTGAACCACGCCGTTGAGCAACTCCAAATTCCAGTCTGTGTATGAGAGAGCTTTGCCTCCAGTGATTCAGTGTCCTGTAATAGTCCAGTCTGTGAGCCGTTTCAGTCAAAGCATCCCGGGATCTCTTCTTTTTGTATCATGTTCTTACGTTCCCAGTGCACAGTGACATATTAATACTTGGAGAAATCTTGCTTTAAAGAATAGCACTTACCGCTACGTTTCTAAAATGTGAACATAGAATCCTTTTTCCCTGTGGTGGCTAGGAGCAACAATTTGGAAAATACTGCCACATGCTGATATAAAACAGTTTTCAATATGTAAATATCTAATAAGGTCATGTTAAGAGAGTACACATAAAAGGAGAATGGGGGGAAAAAGAAAGGTGATAGCTTTGGGGCCTGTGAAGGAAAATCTTACCCACTCCTGGAAACAAGTTACTTGCTGGTGAAAATAGCCCAGGCACCTTTTGGTTTCAAGTTGTTGTAGGCTGGATTAGTTAAATGATACATACACAGATGAGGAGGGGGCCATCAGTCTTTTGTTAATGCCCTCTGGGGCCCTCGCCTTACACCTGTTGCTGTCAAGGTGCTTAACTGATCATTCCTATAGCTAACATATGGAAAAAATCAGTCTTGGTCTCTCAGCAGTATTAAGAACAAGACTAGAAAAAAGGGTCAAACTGAATATTTCCCAGCAGGTTTTTACTAAATCATACATGCAAACCAATAGTCAGGCCAGGGATTCTTATGAACCCAAACTTTGGTGAGGCATTGTGTTGACACATGGGAAGAAGCCCTTTCAGAACTGGCTCAGGACCCAAAAGGAAGCAAAGGAAAGGTTAGTTCAGAGAATATTTTGATATTTTGGGTTTTTTTAAAAAAAACGTTTAGTCTTTTGTAACCTTAAATTGTTCTTAGGAAAAAAAAATTTAGCTTCATGATCAGAAAGCAACATGTTAGAGTCAAGCTTACAGTTTACAAGGAAGGGAGCTCAATAGATCTGCAAGATAGACCCTCTCTTATAACATTTATTTTGTGTCCAAGCTCCATTCAGTTGAGTACAAGTCTACTGGCAGGGGTTATCTATTGTGTTAAAACAATTGCTAAGCTATAGAGTATTAAAATCTAATACTGAACAAAATCTGGGAGTAAATAAATTCTAGTTAAATATAATTCTTTCTTTTTTTTTTTTTTTTTTTGAGATAGGGTTCGCTTTGTCACCCAGGCTGGAGTGCAGTGGTGCAATCTCGGCTCACTGCAACCTCCACCTCCTGGGTTCAAATGATTCTCCTGCCCCAGCCTCCTGAGTAGCTGGGAGGTGCGCACCACTATGCCTGGCTAATTTTTGTATTTTTGGGGTTTCGCCATGTTGGCCAGGCTGGTCTTGAACTCCTGATCTCAGGTGTTCAGCCCGCCTCGGCCTCCCAAAGTGCTGGGATTACAGGCATGAGCCACCGCACCCGGTCTGGTTAAATAGAATTCTGTGAAAGAATAAACTTGAGAAGCTAACAAAAATTTATATTACTTTTGTACTCCAAATGAGAGAATGGCAAGCAGACTGGCTTCTGTCTTCATGGAGCTTATAGTGGTATTTACAAAACAGACAACAAACAAAAGGCATGTTTCAACCAAAGGCCACAGAAAGGGAGAGGAATGAGGATTTTGGGAGTTTCATTTATGCTTGATTCATTGTCTTGTGATATTCTGTGTTTGAAGAGAGGCAGCCCAGCACGAGGAAGTGGAATGCGGGTGGGAACACAGTCTGCGGAATCAGAAAGACATGAGATTGACCCCAGCCTTGTTTAGTCATGTTATGCCTTTGGGCAAGTTACCTAACCTCTCTGAGCTTTAGTTTACTCATAGAATTCCTATTCATGGCTTGAGAGGAATAAACGGCATAATGTGTATGTGGTATATAGCAAGTCCTCAATAAATGATGAATATTTTTAACAGTTAATACATTGGGCAAAGATGATGAGATGGAGGGTATATCTGGGGAAGAGGTTTAAAGAATTGGATGAGAACCTGGAAAGGAAGAAATGAGGTAGAAGGCTATGAAAACAGTATTAGTTTAAAAGGCATATAGAGTTATTAGATGAATGTTTGTTAATTTGAACACTAGTATAATTACTTCTAACAAGAAAAAATAGTCTTTTTGGAGTCTCTGCATTCACTGAGCAAGGCATTTCATTTTGCTCCCGTCAATAACTATTAAATCTTAGTGAATAAATATTTAGTAATAGAATCTCATTTTTTCTAAAGCATAGAATCTCTCTTCTTTCCCATTTTATTACAAGCAAATAAATAATTTTCTAATTATACCATGCAGCAAATAATTTATCTGGAAGCCCTGTTATATGAAAATTCATGCCTAGTCAGGTGTGTTTAGGGCATTTTTTGTTGGAGTTCATGTAAAAACTCCAATCTCAAAAAATTTTAGGGTCTGTAGCAGCACACTAAGAAGCATTTTCCCTGGAAGTTGCCAATCTAAGCAGCTGTGGCCAATCATAATCCAGAGCAAATCCATTGGCCACATTTATTTATTTCTTCCAGGTTGACAGGTAATGGGGAAAGCAAATGCACTCTGGAAACAATGACCTTCGAAAACTGCCTTTGATAATACCAGTGTCTTGGGATAACAGCCATCTATACTGGCTTTGCAGCCTCTCCACCTCTGCTTGGCTGAGTCAGATGCCTTCGCTTGGCTTCAGCCAGTAGGAGATGGCAAAATCTGGGGGCACTTGTGACCTAGTGCCACTTGGGTGCCGCCTACTGCTCTCTACCAGCCTTTGCTGTAGGGAAGGAGGCATCTGAGCGCAGAAATTTCATGGACTTCTGGTGGGAAACCTCTCTTCCAACAATCATTGTTTGACTCTGGCATCATAAATCACAAATACATTTCTATATTACAAACAGAAGTAAGTAAAATGCAGTTTCATGATTCCTAGAATAATATAGTATAATATAAAATGATTTATACTATAAGATGATCAGAATATCATGGGGCTGGTGATAAAATTTTAATGCTAATAAAAGTAATAAAATTATAGACAATGCTCACTTATTTTGATACTATTATATGTCAAATTCTGTATTAAGCACTTACAACGAATCTCATGTAGTGATTATAATGTGCTGGCGAAGTAGGTGGTATTATACTCGTTTTTTCAAATGAAGAAAGACATACACGGAAAGAGGTAAAGCGAAGGTCACATAGCTAGTACATTAGTCATGCTTAAACCCCAGGTCCACTGACTTTGAAGTCTACATTATATGGCAAACAACTCTCATGCTAGGCTCTGTACCATTAATAACATTACTAATAGATAACCTGGCAACTCTGCACATTGGTTTAAAATGGGTTCATTAAACTGCTGTATCTAATTCATGGGACATTATAAGTAATAAAAGACATAAACATTTTGAAAGTCCTTTGAAAAAAGTTAAAATCCCATGTACATATTAGTAATAATATGTATACATACACAGATGGTGCCCTATTTATGACAGTTCAAATTAATGATTACTTGACTTTATGATGGTACAAAAGCAATATGCATTCAGTAGAAACCATGGTACAGTATTCAATAAATTACATGAGATAGTCAACACTTTATTATAAAATAGGCTTTGTGTGAGATGATTTTGCCCAATTGTAGGCTAATGTAAGTGTTCAGAGCATGTTTAAGGTGGGCTAGGCTAAGCTATGACATTTGGTAGTTAGGTATATTAAACGTGTTTTCAGTTTATAATATTTCCAACTTAAGAATGTTTATAAGGATGTAACCCGATCACAAGTCAAGGAATATCTGCATATATATTCTATATAAATAAATAATACACTTATGCTTTAAACATAAACATGCAAACATACATACAGGGGCACGATGGTACATGGAGAAAGTATTAAACTTGCAATCTGAAGACTTGGATTTTAGCCTCAGATATATGATTTGGTTATGTCACATCTCAACACTCATTTGTGAAATGGGGGCGATAATTACACTTAATAAAGAATTTTCCCATCTAAAGACTGTACGTACAATATACCACATGTTTATGTATACGTATATGTATATTATTATTTAATTATTTAATAATTATTTATTTTCTACTTACATACTCCAGAATTATAAAAAATAGAATTTCAGAATTTTAAAAAATTTTGCTACAACAGAAATTTAATTCTTTTCTTTATATTGCTTATCCAGTTATATAAAATGAACATATACTTTCTAATTCTGATATATTTTAACCTTCCTAAATGAAATGGTAAATTACTTAGTATTTCTAGCATTGTTTAAGAAAAATAGCAGTGGCAGGATCAAGAGTCAGCAGACCTGACTTAAAAAACTTTGTGTTCAGAAAATAAATGCTTACTTTATGACACATACACGAGTTTATTTTCTGCAGTATTGTTGCAAAAGAACGCTTTTGGAAACAACACAAATTGTTAAATTGATTAAGCTTGTCACCCATTTACTGAAGTATTATGCAACTCTAGAGAATAATCAGTTACTCTTTATTAAAATGTGGAAAGATATACAGGATTTATTTATTTTAAAAATACAAGGATCAGAGCATTGCACATAATATTCTACTTCATGAGTAAAAAGCCGGGGTGGGGGGTAGTATTTATGTTCATATTTGCTTCTGTGAACATAAAGAAACTTCAGATGGACATATAAGAAATTAAGAAGAGTGGTTTCTATGGGGTAGGGGCTGGAAAGACCCAGAAAGTGGCAGACAAGGGTTAAAGGTAGCTTCACTGTACACCATTTTACACTTACTGCTTTTTCAGTCAGAATGTAATTTCTACTTAAAAGATAAAAGAATTCAAATGCTTTTTAAAAAGGTGAATGCTTTAAAGGGGTATTATTCAGAGTTTAAAGTTATGAATCAGATTGCTTAATCCAGATATCAAATGAGGTCAATCTAGATTAAGAGGGATTGAGTTTTGATTTGTGGAAGAGGTGAATGAATAGAGAACAGGATACATTTTGGAGCATAATACATCTCAAGGCATCAGATGTTGAGGGGGTTACACTGATGACAGGATTTAAAATGTGAACTGTGGCATGGGCTACTGACAGTGAGGAAGCATTCAGGAGCAGGGGAGGGTTGCAAAGGAGAGGAGAAGGAGAACAAGGATAAACTCCGTCTGCTCTGCAGTTCTGCCTGGGTCCCTTGTAGCTTTACTTCACTAAAAATCAGACCTTGTCAGGCCTTCAGAGTCAGAAAGAGGACTTGGTTAGCATTTGTGGCAACTCACTGAAAAGCGTGACACCGGGCAACATGTGTTACCACCATGCTCTGCCACCACCCACACTGGAGCGGGAGTGAAACAAAGATGGAAGAAAGTTCCCAGGGATTTCTGCCTAACATCAGAACTCCTTCCCTGGTGTGAAGTCACAGCCATAAAATGGAGGTCATAATACTAAATTTTTTATCCGAGGTGAAGAAATAAGAGAAATAAGGGACCTTTTAGAAAGTCTCACAAAAATAATAGTTCTGAATTATGACCTGGTAATGAAACAAGATGACAGATGAGGAGGAGATGCAATGTGAAACAAGGATGAACCTTTCTGGAAGACAGATGGTCATGGGATCATTCCAAACTTGCTTTCTGTGTGTTTGAATTAGCAGAGGACTTGATCACTAAGCTGTTTACGAACAAGGAGAATACTGAACTCAGGAAGATAACATATCGCAAGATGTTTCTACAGTGCAAAAACGAAAAACAACCTTTAGGCTTAGAATTGCTTTAACTAGACCATACTTCGGTAAGGAGAAAGATGCGACTACAAGTAGTGTGGTCACCTGTAGGCATCTTGTTTCCCCCTCACAATAAACAACAGTTGCACATCATTTACCTAAAATATTAATCATCTCAGGCATGTGTGAGCTTCTTACATGCAGTCACTCAGTACCACATCCAAGAGAATTGCAGTGATATCTCTGGTAGAAATTTAAACTATTTACCCGAAAGGAGAGTAAAGTACTCCTTTGTCTGGCTCATTTTCCTAACTATATATTACTTTATGAATCATAAAAGTTCAGAAAACTTTATACTGAGAAATGGAAAATAGCTAAAATGTGAAACACAAAGTACCATTTCATGAGTACTGCTCCTTTCTCATTTGAATACTGGGCTTAGGAAACATGATGAATTGTGTGGATATTTGCAGTCACTTAAAGGAGGGCTTGTCATCTCTGTACTATTGACATTATGGCCTGAATAATTCTTTGTTGTGGGACTGTCCTGGCCATTGTAGGATGTTCAATAGCATCCCTAGCTTCTACTCACTAGAGGCCAGTAGCACCCTCCAGTTGTGGCAATCAAAAATGCCTCCATACATTGCCAAATGTCCCCTGGGGGTCAAAATTGTTCCCTTTGGGAACTGCTGACCTACAGGATAGCTCATTTTCTGTCTAACTCCTCTGTGTTGATAGGGGTAACATACCTCAGTCTCATTCAACAGAAATGAAACCCAACAAAGGAAGTAAATACAATGGTTATCATTAAGCAAAACCACGTATCAATGAAGTGGATGCATTCCCTCTCCCTTCCCCCAACAAAACCCCAGCTGACCAAGGCATTTTCTCACAGAATGAAGACTTCCTACTTTCCCAGACCTCCCACATGAAAGAAAAAAACAAGACAAAGAAAATTCATTATACACATATGAGTACCAGATATAGAGAATCATTCCTTGTTACAAAACTTTCCCCAGAAGCTAAAACATTCTCTGCCTTGGAGTAAACCATACTGAATAGCAAACGAGAAAAGAACTCACTGTTTCCAGAAGAGGTTTTGTGGAATTTCGTCAGGTCAACATTTGGTGGTCTGTTGGGTTTTGGTGGAGGTGGACCCAAGGTAAACAAGGGAGGCAATGGCTTCTGTTTCGGGGTGGCTGAATTCTTGTCTCCCTTTTCCTTTTCCTGACTTTGGCCCCATGGCCCCCCCACTGTCAGCTTAGAAGGGGCCTTAGGGAACCTGGCAGGAGGAGTCCCTGAGGCCAACTCTTCCTGATTTATTTTGCTCTGGAAGGTGTTCTTAGCAGCATCTATCTTCCTATCTTCCTTTTTTTCTTCACCATTTTTGGAGAGACCTGGGCCTCCCCTGCTCGCAGCAGGTTTCAAAACCACTCCAGGAAAGGGCAAACTTGAAATCTCCCCTGCATGGTCTTTATTTTCTGAGTCTTCCCTTGCTGGTTTTAAAGGGCCGCTTTTGGACCTGACTCCCAGGGGAGCTGGGGACCCTTTTGATGAAGACACATTCTTCATGGGGCTTTCGTCTTCATGGGAGTTCTCGGTACTTAGGGGCGGCTTCTGGCCAAAGGCGGGTTTGGGGAAGAGGGGCTTGGGTTCAAGATCTTGTGATGCTGACATAAATTTCCCTTTAACCCCAGTCAATTTGGGAAACGCTTGCTTCTGTTCATTTTCTGAGGTTGGAGGAGTAGGCCCAGATTTCGGGCCTAGTGGCTTTAAGTCATGGTCTTGGTTTACACTGTGAAGAGATGGCTTGTTTCCAGGAGGCCAGGGAAATGTAGGTTTGGAATCTTCTTTGGGCAAGTTGATGGGCTTGGGGCCTACAGGTTTCAGAAATCCCACTTTCGCCTCGGGGTCTCTGGTGGTCAAGCTGGCTGGTGTTCCGAATCTTTGGCCTGCTCCAGTGGGCTTTAGAAACGGGGGCTTGGGTTCCTTGTCAGGCTTTTCCTCAGAAGAAGGTTTGACTGCCACAGGTGGCTTTGGGGACCCAAACTTAGGTACATTGCTGGGTCCTGCAGGAGGGCTGGCATTTCCTTGGTTGTTGAATAAGTTCTTTCTTGCTTGTATTCCTGAAGATGAGTTTGGCCCTGTGACTCTGAAGGGTCGGCTATTGACTGAGACATCCTCTGTCGGGTTGCCCCCCGTGTTATATTTCGCCATGAGGGACTTTACATCTGCCTTTCCATCCTACAAACATAGGGAACAAAAAATAGCTGAGAGACAAAAGTCTTACTTGCACAGTTTAAAATACTATACCTTACAGAGCTTCCTGGTTTGAGGCCTGCAGCGTTGCTGATTGGTTAGCAAGATATTGTAACATTTATCTTCCTCTCTGGCAAAATAAGTTGCGAGAGTTTCTTGAAAGAGGAAGGCTATGGTTGTGCATATACTTTTTCTTTTGCTTATCTCGGACTGACTTGCTTATTTTTACTTAAGGAACAAATCCTTTCTTTATTCTCACTGTTTCTCTAGCTATCTTGTTGGATTTACTCTAACTTGGTATTATTTATTTTTAAAGTTTCACTTGAAAAAATATGGAAGTGACTAAAAAAAGATTTCTTCCATATTTTATAATTGAAACTCTTAAGTAGAAACTACCTTTAAAAAATGAAAGTAAGTTCTTCTGTAAATTGAGGCTGTGTGCTTCATACAGCATGGCCATGTTTAACATACATCTCTGTGGTTTGCAAGAGTATTTTTTTTTGCTTCTATCCACATTGAAGTTCTGTTTGTTAACAGGGAGATGTGGCAGAAAAACCTTGCTCATTTTTATAAGTAAGTAATAAAATGACTTCTTCTCCTTATTTGTAATTATTTAGCACTAAAGATTCACCTGTATCCATACTAGCAGGCGATTGTACTCACTTTCAGAATTGTTCTGTTTAGAGGTTATGGTCTGGAGGCACAAGGGGGAAGATAAGGAAGAGGTAATAGGGACAGGCTGTCAGTCTTATTTCCAGACCTTTCTTTCCACAGTCATCCCTTTTTCTCAGAGGTGCTTTTACTGAGTCTCCCCTGCTTGTCTAGAATTTAGGTATTACTTAGCAAAGATAATAGGCATTCATTTTTCTCTGTGAATGTAATCCCATTTTACCTGGGAAAGTTAATGGTGTGTTTGCTCTTTGTCTCAAAAGCAAGGAGTTTAAATTTTTAGTTCTTTTAGAAATATTTCAAAATTGGAGGCTTCAAAAAAATCACTGAAGTTAACCAATGTGGCCATGACAATTTCCCTTTTCATGCTTTAAAGTTCACCCATAACATGCTTTCCTACCTCTCATCCCCCACCTTTCATTGCCCCATACCCAGGCACATTTCATCTTTCAAGGTGCAAAACCAGGTCCCTCCAGCTGGAAAGGTTGCTCCCACCTCCTGACTCATGCACACTTCAGGTGCTTCTATAAGCCCCTATGCTATTTCCTCTTAGAGTGATGAGAACTACCATTTAGTGGGGGGTAAATACATGTGCTTTGTTCTATATCATCCCGTCTCATTCTTACAGTAGTTCTAAAAGAATGACATTATTTAACCCCATTTCACAAGAAAGGAAAATGAGGCTGGAACTGCAGGAGGATGGCATGGCCAGACATGAGAACTGGGTTTAAATCCTAGCCAGAATTGTCATGTGCTTTAAACATGGAATTTGTAAAATGCCTGTCTGGTGTACAATATGGGTTCAATATATGGAAATTATTATTAGAACTGTTATGTAGCAACTCCAGGCCTTGAACATGCTACCTAACAGTTGTAGGAACTGTGAGCACAGGCAGGCAAACTCAGGTGTATCTGGGGCTCTGAAGTCCAGAAAATGTCTCATTTCTTTTTGTATCCCTGCATCACCTAGACCAGGGCCTGGCTCCCTCAGGATTCTAATATATGCTTGGAGAATGAGGGCAGGCACTGAGATTAATACTGTGCATAGTGATTTTACAAGAAATGGTGCCCTCAGCAAGAGTTTCTGTCCATACCAAACTGTAGCAGGGTAGGAGGCTAGGGATTTAGGCAGGAACAGAAAAGCTAACACAGAGCAGCAAATTCCAACTTGAATTTTGTAACTTTAATTTACCTCCCTTATCTGAGTTGTTGGAAACTGCTTGTTTTCTACCTTTCCTCCCTTTGCCACTTTTCTACCACCCCTGACTTCCTCAAATCCTCAAGCAATTCCTGAAGGCAAGAGGCAGGAAGACAGCAGAACAAGGGAGAATTTGGGTGCTTGGGGGAGGGAATAGGAGAGAATGGGTTCTTCCCTGAACCTTCAGAGAGATCAGAGTTGCAGAGGACCCCAAACGTCACTACAAGGGGCATAATTATGGCAGTACCAAGAACAAAAATTTGCCCCCTAACTGAAGGAAGTCTGTCTCTGTGGAAGATGCCTTTTATTCTAGACTTAATTCCATATCATATAATGTATATCCCAGATTTATAACAGGAGGCTACATAGCTGAGTGACTAAGCACAGACTTAGGAACCAGGTGGCCTGGGTTTGAATCTTACTCGCTATGTAACCTTGGACAAAAGGCATCAAAATTCTTTAGGCTTAGTTTTCTCACCTCCCTAATGGGAATAATAATGTGTAGCCATAGGACTGTTAGGAAAATTAAACAACTTGCTGTGTGTAAAACACTTTAAAGAGTACCTGACACATTGGAGGATTTCTGATTTTTATAAATCAAGTGAAATGTTAGTCATTCTGTAGTCCCTTCTCTCGCTGCATCGGTGAGGAAATGGAAAGCAAGAGTTTTAAGTGGTATCCTACTTAGGTGGCAACTTTATGTCTTGGATTTCATGGAGGAAAACCCATGAAATACCCTAGCCCATGATCAAACTCAATGTCCTGGCTTTGGTTTAGAAAATATGGAAGTGGTAGATTTGGATTGGAACGTAAGTCTCTCAGCTGCCAACCCAGACCCAGGAAGCAGTGCAATGTCAAAGTTAATAGCACAGGCTCTGGGGTTATGACTTGAGTTCAAACCTTGACTTTGCCATTTTACTAACCACGTGATCTAGCATGGTAGTTATCCTCTCTGAGGCTCAGTTTTCTACATCTTTAAAATGAGAATAATAACAGTACCTATAGCTCACAGGGTTTTTGTTTTAAAATAAGGATTAAATGGGCAAAGGCATGTAAAATTCTTAGATAAGAATTGCACGTAATATATATGTAATAATTATCTGCCATCTCTGTTTTTCTAATTTGCTAGTCACAAAACATTATTTCTCTATGTGACCAAATTCCGAAGTTACAATCATTAATGTTATGTCCGAATTTTAAATCAAAGTAGCTAGAACTAATGTACTCCTGAATAACATAATAGAGTTATGATATTTAAGTTTGGTTTACCTACACTGTGAGACTTTTCACTGGATGTTGAAAGACAGGGAAAGAAAGAGCAACATGTTCCTATGCAGGACATCTTAGAGCCCCTTAGCCACTAATATGTCTGGCAAATCAGTAGCCTGAACTCTGCAACTATGTAATCACTAATATTGGCTTCTTAGCTTTAGAGATTGTTTAATCATGATGACTGTTAATAAGTTTAGTAGATAAAATGTTCAACACCCAGACTCACCCTTAATCGTAACAATAATAGGTAGTTTTTTTCTTTAAGCGTAATGATAGAAAAAGCAAAAATGATTTTTAAAATGGACATTCTCTCATTCTGATTTCATTGTAGATTGAATATCTATTCAATTATCTAGTACTTTTATTTTTACTTAAAAAAGGGTAGGGGTAATATATTCTTGAGTGATAGAGTGGAAAGTAAGCCTTCTATAACTCCTTAACTTAGTTCCCCAGTTCTAGGCTACGCTGATGTCCTCATTTACCAGTACAGTATGAGTTTATACCTGTTGTTCTGGAATAATGATTAGCAATGTTCCGTTTTAATCTCAAACTGATCTTCCTCAAATAATAAACTACATGGTGACCTTCCCTAGTTCTCTCTAGAGGCAATCACTGTCACCAGTTTCCTATGTATGTTGCTAACCGGTGCATATGCAAACATAAACACACACATATTCACAAACAAACACCCTTCCTTCTCCCACTTTTCACACAGATGGAAACCTCTACTCTGCACCTTGCCTTTTTCTAGGGCTGATATTTGGTAGATATACACCAGTACAGGTGGATATATGATCAGCAACCCTTGGGATTGTTTGGTACCTATGTCAATTCCAGTTGTTAGATATTTTCAATATTAACCCTACTTTTTTCCCTTGCTAGTTGGATCATATTGGTGCGTGTTATTTGCAGAACCTTTTTAACTTACTGATATCAAGATTGGGCTTCTACTTATTCATCAGAGGATGTATTTCACAATCTGGAAGACATCAGATTGTGAAATTCAATTTGCAATTTGCAATTTGAATTTGCAAATTCAAATTCATTTGCAATTTCTTTTCCAAAGCCATTTGAAGCAATTTGTTATTATTTCTACCTGCTATGTATCCATATAATGCTTAGTCCAGATTACTCACAAACATTGCTCACAAACACAGATTTAATAGTAGAAAATCTCTTCATAGAAATTAATTTCCTTTAGCCCCCATATATTTTGCCTTTCCTCAGAATTATGTCTCTTCAGTGGTATAAACTTTTACATTTGCCACAGACCTTGGGAAAATGTCTGTTAACAAAAATGCTTTCGTTACAACCTCCAGATTGACAGTTAACAAACCCAGTTTTCAGAAAATCTTTTTGAGTTTTAGCAATCTGCATAAAAGTAATGAACCAAGTAAACAGTTAAAGGCTGAGATGGCATGAAGGACAGACATCCCATCTTTTCTGTTCCTAGAAAGAAAATCGTCCCTTTTGTAGTCAGTTCATCTACATAGTTTCATTTGGAAAACTAAAAATATATTATCTCTATTATTAGGAACAGGATTTTGTTTTGTTTTAGTTTTATTGTTATATTACTCATGGTTTTAAATATTTCTTGGATATTATGCTAATCTACTGGTTCTTAACTGGGGTGTGGGGGTGGGCCGGGGAATTTCCCCCCTGGGGATGTTTATCAATGTCTGGAAGCATTTTTGACGAAAATGACCAGCCAGGGAAGGGGTTGGGTAGAGGCCAGGGATGCTGCACATCTGTCCTATACGAGAGCCTCCCACAAGAAAGAATTATCAGTCCAAAATGTGGATAGTGCCAAGATTGAGAAACCCTGAGCTAATTCTATTGCTCTTGAATTACTGAAATTAACTTACCAGGAAGTCTGCTTTTAATTTTTTTTTACCATAGACTACACTCTAACACCTACAAATAACTGTATAGAAACTAAATGAGCCACTACTAGCAATGGTTTTTAAAGTTGCCCACCTTTGAAAGTCTCATCTTTAGAACGTTCTTTAAAATACAAAAGAAACAAAACTTCCATAAATCATGGGAAACTAATGAATTTAAAATGACTTGGAAGCCAGGTTTTACCTCCTTAAGATATGTTTGTGTCACTTTTGCAATTAAAGCAAGAGGAGAATGAATCTCTGCTGTGGCTGCTGTTACTCTTCCCTATATAAAGCCCATAAAAAAGGGAATAAAATGACTTCATTTGATTGCATGTAATGCTTCTAATCATGGTGGAGGCAGTAAATGAATAAAATAGTTTACCCAAATCGGTTTTTCAAAAAATCTTTGATAATTTTTTACCATACGTGGAGTTTCTTTATTGTTAGTTATGTTGAGATAAAGTCGTTTGTTACCCATGACTTACTTATTCGGTCTCAACTGCTGGTTCTTCTTATGGAACAAAATTTGTTTCTGCCACTGCCATCATTACCCATGATAGGACCCCAGTACAGTGACATCAGAGGACAACAAGAGGCTGTGAGGGCGATCATGAGTACAAGAGAAACGGTTCCAGAAAGCCAGCCCTCGTCCTGCCTAAGGCTTCGGAGATTGCAGCCAGGGCGGGTGAAGACGGTGTGCTGGTTAGGAGACCCAGGTTCTGTGGGGGTGATGCCTTTTGTTACTCAAACTTAGGACCTGCTCTACAAAGGCCTGACCAGGAGGTGTAACAAAAAGACTGAGGAGACAGAATGTTCTCCCCTAAGCTGGAGAAACTTACCATCCTTGAGGCAGGAAGCACACTGGCAAAAATTTGTAATAGATTCAAGCAATTCAAATTTTTATAGAGCAATAGGATTCTGCATTACTGGTTTGCATCGCCTAGATTAAAGAAAATAACACATATGACCCCCATGACCAAGCCCTCCATCCCTTCTCATCACACACAACACACACACAATGCGCACACACACACACACACAGTGTTTTCTCTTTAAAGAGACTTGATCTGTTGTACCCAGTAAACCTGGAAAAGGGAATGGTCTTAATCTGAAAATAAACTTTCATAAAACTCTTTACTATTAGAAATTACCTCAAAACTACTCCGACTTAAGAGTTAACGGTTGCTGGCTGAAAATACAGTACTCCTGACGAGACCCTTCACAAGCATCGTAGATAACAAGCTCCTCTATCGATAATAGAACAGCAGTGATCTTTTTTATCCCGATTAACACTGTTTAAATATGTTTTTTTTTTTTTTTGAGACGGAGCCTCCCTCTATCACCCAGGCTGGAGTGCAGTAGCGCGATCTTGGCTCACTGCAATCTCTGCCTCCTGGGTTCAAGCGATTCTCGTGCCTCAGCCTCCGAGCAGGTGGGACTACAGGCATGCACCACCACGCCTGGCTAATTTTTGTATTTTTAATAGAGATGGGGTCTCACCATGTTGGCCAGGCTGGTCTTGAACTCCTGACCACAGGTGATCCACCACCTGCCTCAGCCTCCCAAAGTGCTGGGATTACAGGCGTGAGCCACCGCACCCGGCCTATTTAGATTCTTAATGAATTATAATTTACATGTGTGTTCTCTGTTTCCCTAAGGAGATGTAAAAGCAGGAACCTGGTTTTATTTTTCCTCCTCAACAGCAATTCCCTCCCCGGCAAACAAGCAGACACATCCCTGATCCTGGCGCATCTCTTTCCATAATATGCATTGAACGTACTGGCTGATGGACTGCGTTTACTTAAATTTCACCTTGATTGGTCATACAGATGGGAGTGGAGGAGATGATTTTCTTAGCTCCTTTGTTGACCTGCAGTTGTGATTTAAGCACTTGCCAATTGAATATCTATTTCATTGCAAATGGGCTGTGATGCATTCCAGTGGGCTGAGCCTCGGAGGCTGGAGAGAGCACCAGGCCCCTCTTCAACAGGATGTGGGAACTTGACTCTCGCCGCAAATTAAGTTCTTGGGGCGGGAGCCCTTTGCTGCAGGCTCTGGGCGAAGGCATGGGTAGGAGGACCTGGTGGCGGAAGCAGCGGTGGTAGCCCTGATTGTGACAACCCCTGTATGTTTTTCAGTAACTTGTGAAGGTGGAGGTGGAACTGCAACAACCCCAGCGATGCCCTGTCTGCTATGGCCTTGCATTGTGAGGTGTCATGTGGAAGGAAACACCTGACTTAAATGGGGACTTTCTGGGTGGTGTGTGTGCCCCGCCAGGTCCCCTCGGACCTTGGCAGAAAAACCACCACAGATATCGCTGTGCATTATCTCCTGGTCTGGTGTTATTCCGAGCACTGATGATCCGGATCCTTCTCCTGTTTCTACTGTGTTCTCTCTTCCAGAGTGAATTAGAGCAGAAGAAGCAAGATAGCCTAGCAAGTAGTAAAGCTTTGATGGTGATGGTCCACCTCCCAAATGCTGGCGCCTTGTATTCTCTATAAGGCATGTGCATCAGTTGGATTTTTGTGTACCCCCTGTTTTTAGAATCAGGAGCGGGACAATCATCATCATTCTACAAATTCGAACCTTCAATGTTCTTTTCCTGGTTATCCTACAAAATAGCTCCTGTACAAATAGTTTTGACTTTGCCATGGCCTCTGAGGGCTTAAGCATAAATGGATAAGGAAGTTAAATACGACTTTCTAGCCAGGCATGATAGTGCATTCCTGTGGTCCTAGCTACTCAGGAGGCTGATGTGGGAAGACCGCTTGAGCCCAAGGGTTTGAGTTCATCCTAAGCAACGTGGCGAGAGCCTGTCTCTAGTATAAATACATACATATAAATATATATGAGTTTCTATGTGTTTCTGAGGTTTGTTTTGCTATATGTTTTTGAGTTCTTGATGTGGATAGAATGGCGATAGGATGTAGAGAATATAGAGTGAGATGTAGATAGTACAGAACAACAAATGGTCCTAAAACCACTTATTTTTCTTATTCTATTTTACAATTTTTTATAGCAAATTTAACTTACATTTGTTTAGGATAATTCACTCAGCCTGCATGACCTGAAAATACCAAATTAGAAAACAGTTTTTCAGGAATTTACATTTTGACTAACGAACTTGTAGATAATTGAAAAATGTTTTCATAGATATCTTATTAGTGGCTTATTTGGTTCTTAGGCTAATAGTTGATGTACACTTCATAATACAATATAAGTTCTTTCATTTTTTCTGTTCCTCCAACCTCAAAGAGAGACCTAAATTTCAGCTACTATTTCTTTTTCTTTTCTTTTCTTTTTTTTTTTTTTTTGAGACGGAGTCTCGCTCTGTCGCCCAGGCTGCAGTGCAGTGGCGCGATCTCGGCCCACTGCAAGCTCCGCCTCCCAGGTTCACGCCATTCTCCTGCCTCAGCCTCTCCGAGTAGCTGGAACTACAGGCGCCCGCCACCACGCCTGGCTAATTTTTTGTATTTTTAGCAGAGACAGGGTTTCACCGTGGTTTAGATCTCCTGACCTCTTGATCCGCCTGCCTCGGCCTCCCAAAGTGCTGGGATTATAAGCGTGAGCCACTGCGCCCGGCCTATTTCTTATGGTTGTTCTATTTTCATGTACACCCCAACAAAAACTTTATTTTGCTAAGGACATTTGAAGTCTGAAATAAAAATCTTTGATGTCTGGGAAAGATACTGTTTGTCAAGCGAAAAATAGAAATGTTATGCTTTATTTTTTCCCTCAGCCTTCGTGTCACTCCCAACAAACACGAAAACATAGACAGACACAGACACACGCTCCTGGGTGGTAAATTTCTTTTCTACACTCAACATGATGTTAGAAACTGAAAGCTTATTGTCTACATGGAGTGAAGTGGGGGTGGAGGAATGAGGCTATCTGTGGGGTTTTCTAGAGACTTCCTTCCCAGCATGTGAAAAGATCTGTGTGAAAACTGCTAAGAAGAGGAAGAACTCAACGAGCTAACCAAGACAGGTGGCAGCAGCTGGGCACAATGGGTGGCTCAGGCCTGTAATCCCAGCAATTGGAGAAGCTGAGGCAGGAGGATTGCTTGAGGCCAGGTGATTGAGGCTAGCCTGGGCAACAAAGCAAGACCTCATTTCTACAAAAGAATATGCAATATTAGCCAGGCACAGTGGTGAGTGCCTGTAGTCCTAGCTACTCTGGAGGCTGGGGTGGGATGATTGCTTGAGCCCGGGAGGTCAAGGCTGCAGTGAGCCATGAATGCACCACTGTACTCTAGCCTGGGTGACAGAGCAAGACCTTGTCTCAAAAAAATAAAAAATAAAAAATAAAAAAAGGCATGTGGCAGCTTCTAGTCAATGAGAGATCCAGAGTTCGATTTGAGGAAAGTGAAAGCTATACATTAGAAATGGAAAGCTATGGAAGATTCCACAAAGAGAAATAGATAATATTTTGAAACCTTACTCTAAGGAATATGACAATGTGGGATATCCTCCCTGCCCTCAACCCTCCCCCTTGTTCCCATTCCATTTCTTCTCCTTTAGAGCTTTGAAGAAAACGCATTTGGTATTTAGTAATCAGGATTAAACAATATAAGCACATCACACCTCTTAGCTCACTTTTTCTGATAACTGCACAGAAACAAGACTCTGTCATAAGATGAGCATCTTTTCTCACCTTTGTTATAATGGTGCTCTTCACTTTGGGTTGCGCTTTTTCTCATTAAAATTGTGATGTTTTCAATTTCAAGTTTTCCATGGTGTTCACCCTGCTCTTAGCACTCAGCCACTCTCTTTTCCCAGGCACGCTTCTCTTTCCAAAGCACTTCATGGCTTCAGCTGCTCTGGGCTCTCACTTGTCCATTCATTCATGGATTCATTCATTTTCTTCTGAGTGTTCTAGAGACTCCTTGCTTATGTGCTAAATCTAGTGTGTGGCACTTTTCCATGATCTAGATTAACATCTGTGCTTTACTAAAAGTGCTTTTCTTGGCGAACAAATCACCTTTACACGCCCCCTGCCAAAAAAAAAAAAAACCCAACTCTACATATACTCATATAATTATCAAGAAATTCTAGAGTTTAGTAGTTTATACCCATTCCTAATTTCATTATTAAACTAATAATCACATTTTAAAATAACATTTCACATATAATATCTCATTTGATCCTCCCAAAGCCCAATTAGTTTTTAGTGTTATTAATATATAACCTTAAACTGAGTCACCTAAGCTTTAGCAAGTGGTAGGATGAGAACCAAACCCAGGTTCTGATTCTAAATTCTGTGCTCACCCTATATGCCATAGGAACCAGAGTTTTCATTGTCTTTGTCATATAGTTACTAGTTTAAGTTCTCAGCTCACACACAAAACTTTTTAGCAGTTTCTTATTCTAATCCAAAATGTTTTCCACCTAACTCTAGAAATTGACCTCCTGTCCAAGAATCCCTTGTCATTGCAAGGGATGTGATAACATTTGTCCTACTTATGGTTGTGATCCTGGCAGATCTGAGATGAGCAAGGAAACAGAGCAAGGCATGGGGTTTATAGGGCTCAAGGCCAAAACATCCTGATTGACTTTGCAACATCGTGGGCAATCTGAAAGGGGAAACAACTAAGAGAAGACAAACAATTCCGTTTGTTTGAAAAAACATTTAGTCTCTGTGTGTGTGTTGGTGTGGGGGTGAGGTGTTTAGGTAGATGACTATATTAGGGCTTTTTTAGCCCAACCCTGGCTCCAAACAGCTGCCCCTTAGAGTTGGTTACATGAACCATCTAACTGGTAGTTTAGGGGCCCAGGACACCATTCTGGTTCATTCATTGTCTGCCTGAGATGGTGATTATCGTTCATTTGGCTGCAGCCTCAAACTTATTACCAGGGGTGGTTGAAGAGGGGCATAAACAGATACTACGGGAGAAAGAAGTTATAATTTGGGAAGTCCCATGGCAAAAATCAGATTGATAACAATGCATTTATATATAACAACTTCGTCTGAATGAAAAAGTGAAAAAAGTGTTAACATCTTTCGTTAGTTCAAAGAACAACAAAAAATGAAACACACCAAAACCCTTTCCTGTGTTATGCTTTTCTACATACTAAATGGTTTTCAAAAGAAAGTACCACAGAGAGAGTCATCTATTATTTCTAGACAGAATTTTCTTTTAGTTAAAAATGTAAACCAAAATGAGATACTACTTCACATCCATTTGAATGGCTATAATTTAAAAAAAGCAGAAAATAACGAGTGTTGGACAGGATTTGGGGAAATTGAATGCTTGTGCACTGCTGGTGGGAACATAAAATGGTACAGCTGCTATAGAAAACAGTATGGTGGTTATTCAAAAAATTAAGCATAGAATGACCAAATGATCCAACAATTCCACTTCTGGTGTATACCCAAAAGAACTGAAAGCAGGGACTTGAGCAGATATGGGTAGATCCCATGTTTATAGTAGCATAATTTACAATACCAAAAGGTGGAAGCAAACCAAGTGTCTGTTGACAGATAGAGGGATAAACAAAATGAGGTTTATAATACAATGGAATGTTATTCAGTCTTAAAAAGGAAGGAAATTCTGACATTCAAGGAGAAACCTTGAAGACATTACGCCAAGTGAAATAAGCCAGTCACGAAACAACAAGTATTGGCTGGGTGCTGTGGCTCATGCCTGTAATCCCAGCATTTTGGGATGCCAAGGCAGGCAGATCACTTGAGGTCAGGAGTTTGGGACCAGCCTGGCCAACATGGTGAAAACCCATCTCTACTAAAAATACAAAAATTAGCCAGGCATGATGGTGCAAGCCTGTAATCCCAGGTTACTTGGGAGGCTGAGGCAGGATAATCACCTGAACCTGGGAGGCGGAGGTTGCAGTGAGCCAAGATCGCACCACTGCACTCCAGTCTGGGCAACAGAGCGAGATTCTGTGTCAAAAAAAAAATATTGTGTGATTTCACTTATATGATGTACCTAGAGTAGTCAAATTCATAAAGGCAGAAAGTAGAATGGTGGTTGCCAGGGGCTGGAGGGAGGAGGGAACAGGCAATTAATGTTTAATGGATATAGAGTTACAGTTGGGAAAGAAGAAAACGTTCCTGAAATCAATAGTGGCAATGTTTGCGCAACAATGCGAATGTATGTAATGCCACATTTTACCCTTAAAAATGGTTAAAATGGCACATTTTATATTATGTATATTTTACCATAATTAAAAATTCAATAAGAATGTTAAAAAAGGTGTTTGAAGAATTATAAATTTAAATTAAATGTAACAGTGGATCAATGTCAAACATCTAATATGAATAAAATAATAAAAAATCCATTTGAGAAATATAAACACAACTCTCACTGACTACTTTTTTTTTGACTGATAGGGTAAATAAAAATATTTTGAGTGGTTTTCATTGCGATGACGATGGGGAAATGATGAGAAGCACATTGTGTGGTAGGATCACCCTGGGGGAAGTTTTTTTAAAGCAGCACTTGCTGTGTGGTCCAACCCACCCTGCTGTGCTCCTCTCAGGGATCTTTGGGGAGACTCACCAGCCCAGCCAGCCAGGGGTGCAAGGGGGAGGGTGTGGCATCCTGTGGTGTATTCAGAAGCAAACATTATTAAAAACCAGTGGAATCCTGGATCTGTCTTATCCTCACATTTTTCTTGATCAATTACTACCAAAAGAGTGGCAGAAATTCAGTGGCAAGGATTGGGGCACCTTTTGGTGGAGGTACCCTGATTTAGCACGAGTGAATGGGATTGGAATGCAGATGTTGGTTGCTTGTCTATAAATTATGCCCATGTATATGCCAAAAAGATACGCCCATGTATCAGAACCTGTGAATGTGACCTTATTTGGAAAAAAGGTCTTTGCAGGTGTAATTAAGGATCATGCAACGGAATCATTCTGGGTTATGTAGGTAGCACTACATCCAATGACAAGTGTCCTTATAAGATAGAGAAGAAGAGACAGCAGAAGAGGAGAGGGCCATTTTACAAGAGAGGTAGAGGTTTTAGTGATGCAACCACAAGCCATGGAATCCCTGGAACCACCAGAAGCTGGAAGAGGCCAGAAACGAATCCTCCCCTAGAGCCTCCAGAGGGAACATGGTTCTACTGACACCTTGAGTTTAGACTTCTGGCCTCCAAAACTGAGGGAGAATAGATTTCTGTTGTTGTAAGCTGCCTAGTTTGTGGTACTTTGTTACAGAAACCACAGGAAAATAATACACGCCCTTACAAAACTCCCAAATTAAACTTTTTTCGTGTGTGTGTATAATACGATTTTTAATATTGCATATATTTATATTAGCATATATTAGAAATCTCTAATATAAAAATAGTGGTATGCATGTTGTTAAAATTCTACCCGCAGCTCCCTCCTTTGTTCACTCTTTTGTTTATTTGTTTTTAAATTTTATTTTAAGTTCTTTCTGGGATACATGTGCGGGATGTGCAGGTTTGTTACACAGGTAAATGCATGCCATGGTGGCTTACTGCACCTCTCAACCCATCACCTAGGTATCAGGCCCCACATGCATTAGCTATTTATCATGATGCTCTCTCTCCCCCTGCCCTGCAACAGGCCCCAGTGTGTGTCGTTCCCCTCCCTGTGTTTGTGCTGGATTTCTATAAATATCCAACAGTCTATGTGGATGAAGTTTAGGAAGAAGGGAAGAAAGACTGTTTCATGATTATTTTTTGCTGCACCACCATTTGTTGCCATATTAGAGGTGACATCCCAGCTGGGATTATCCCTGGCTTGGAAAGACTGAGTTAGGCATTGGTCACAGGCAGCATGTGAATTTGGTGGCATTTCACCTGCACTTAGAAGCAAAGTCATCCACTGCTCTGACCAACTCACAAGGCGCAGGCTGCAGCAACGTGATTAACAAGGTTATGTATTGAATTTATATAGCTAAATGATTTTCCTGGTTTCTTATCTGTTTAGAGAGGCTGATTAGCAGAGGTAGAAAAACAAGACAACCACTGAGCTTTCCAAATTTATCAGAGAAACCCCAGACCAGCTTCTGATGGGGAAATATTCCTTGACTTCCAGAGCTTCCCACTGGATTTTCATTCCTGCCCAAAGACATTCTTGGTTTATTCCTAGTGACCAATAGAGAGCATTCCAACAATCACTTCTTATCAGTCAGCAACTATATAATAAACACCTGGGACATGCTTGGCCCTGGGCTTTGGTAAAAAGAAAGGAGACAAATGGGCCTTAAAGGTAGAACAATTTCAATTAGAAGCCTGTACAAGGTTTAGAACACAACGTTTGAGAAAGGAAAAAATCCTTAAACATTAGCGAACCAAGGTCCTTCATTTTACAAAAAAGAAACTGCGTAAGGGATCTGTCCAGGTTCACACAGTTGGGCTAAAATCTGGGTCTCTCCCTTGCTCATCCTCTGAGCTTTCCACTGCGCTATGCTGTCTGACCTGTGGGGTGCCAGCTTCTGCAGCAGCTTGCTCTTAAAAAACAGTCACAACAAGAACAGAGGGCAACCCCGATTGCCTTCTGGGCCAGGTGCTGTGCTAGGAGCTTTTCAGGGATCACCTCAAAACAGGTCAATGGAGACGTTACTGTTATCCCCATTTGACAGATAAAGAAACTGAGTCATGGAACCATTTAGGAACTCACCCAAGGCCCACAGCTGGTGCGTGGCAGAGACCACCTTCAAGCTCAGGATCTTGATTCTGGAGTCACAGTCTTAACCGCAACCCCTGGAACCACAGCCCAAACCCGCCAGCGAGCCACGGTTCACTCTCTTCACTTTCTTGTTTTTAGAAATGTTCCTGTAGAGCAGCCTCTAGTAACACCTCAGACAAATGAAATATCATTTCTACATCCCTGATCTCTCTCTCTTGTTAACGTATTGTGTAAATGGTGGAAAATGTGGTTTTTAAAGCACATTGAGGCTGGTAAAAGCTTCAAAGCCACCGCCTGCACTTACTCTTTAGACCACTAGATGTCAGTGTGATTGCTCTATGAAGCAGCCGTAACTTGGCAAGGTGCAGCATTGCACCAGAAATCAGCTGCTGCGAGCTTCCAAGCCTCTGGACTCCAGCAGAAGCTGGGGGGAATTTGAAGCCCAATGGTAGTAAACAAATAATGGACATGACAGTCAGGCAGTGTGGATTTCAACCTTTACAATAATTTCTCAAGGGAAATGGAAACCTTTTTAGCCTTTCCTTTTTGAAACGGATGGTCAACTTTTCCACGGGGTGCCTTAAGTGCACCATAACGCCTTTGATATTCAGGATCGCCTTTAATGGTACATCATAAAACATGTGGTTTTATTGGAAAGAGCACCCTTATCCTCCTCCCCCTCACCTATCACTTATGATTAATTTCTTAAGGTATCGGACTATTTGAAGTGTGTGTATCTCACATTGCATGGGGACGTTTTACTCTACCTAAAACCTCCGGTGGCATTCCCATAGCATGGGCAGAAAATCACAGCCACAACTTCACCCTTCCGGTGATAAGCCCATCTGTTTCCCACGCAGAATTATTTGTATTTAATGAAAAAATATTTAAAATGGTGAATATTAATTATTATTTTACATTAGTACTCAAAAAGTGTATATAGTTTTATCCCCTCAACAACTCCATGAGATGAGTTCTATTATTATCCCCATGTTTAGATGAGAAAACTGAGACACAGAGAGGTTAAGTGGCTCTCCCAAAGTCACACAGCTAATAGAAGGCAGAGTCAGAGGCCCATTTCTATTAATTACTTCCCTGCAAATCAAGTTAAATGGGGGGAAAAGACCTTGTGAATTTTTCAGAAGAATCAGCAATGTATACAAGACAGCCAAAGGCTCCGAGGAAAATTTGGAGTTGCTGGTTGCTTTGAAAGGCCTCCTTGGCTGATCTGCAGCTGTTTGTCATCATTTATCCAGTTTGCCAGGATTCCTTCTGAGAAGGCATAATTCATGGCAGTATAGTCCCTTTCTTTAGTCTATGTAGAAATCTCATGTGAATCCTCACCTCCTGCCAGGTTTGGAGGAAATTGAAAGTTACTCTTTCTCATCAAAAGGATGGACACATATTTGTTAGGAACCAGGATGAAATAAACCATCTGTGCCCAGCTCTGTTGGCAATAAAACCTTGTTTCTGGTTTCACTGCAAGACGTTATTTAACGCTAGTGGCACCAGAGGTTCCAACAAGAACACATGAGAGGCCTTATCCAGTTACGAAAGAGCAAGTGACAGACACGTTCCCGGCCACATTTTTATCTGCTTATCATCCTTTTGGCTACCATGAGGCTGAGTTTTAGTGTCTCCTGTTCATCTCTTTTGCTATTTTCCAACAGAACATGCGTTTCCTTCAGTTATTCAGCTAGCACAGTCTGTGCTGCCAGAATTTGGAAGTGGTGCTTTTTTCCTGCTATAAAAAATTACACATTTATTTGAAAGAAGAAACCTAGGCATAGCTGTTACCTGACTCCTGCAGAAGAAGGCGGAAGGATGGCCTCCTTTAGTGGATCTTCCTGGGCCAGGGTCTGGGCCCTACTCACTTCTAGCTGTCGCATCTGCTCTGCATGTGGAACTCAAGAACTGCGGAGCTTTCTGATGCCTGGCAGGGTTTTGTCCCGGTCAGTGGTTGAGTGAGCCACACCTCCCTCCCCTGACCAGGCAAACTTAGACAAGAAAAGTTCTATTATGCCCTCAGGATATTGAGTAATAAGGAGGAGAAAGGGGAACTTAAAAGTGTCTGTTCAGCCTGGATACTTCTGCTAACATTCCCACCAAGCATGTGATATTTAAAAGGGTAAAACCAAAACAAGATTCTCCTGCCTGCCACCATGTTTATTCAAGAGGAAGAAGCTGTAAGTTCTTTGGACCCATAATCTTTCCACACACCCAGGAGTGTCACCTGCAATGGGGGCCAAAGGGGGATGCTTACAATTAGAAAGGTCCACTGGAGCATGTGGAATATTTGGAAGCTAATTGCACCTGAGGTCAGGAGGTAAAGTGGTGTGCTTGACCATATCAACTGAAGAGTGGTCACTCATGTGTGGAAAGCCCACTAGACTCACTCTGTCGGCTCTCTGTTAGACTATTCTTGAGGCTGGAAGAAATGGAGTATTTAGATGATAATCCATGTGAAAAGACCACCAGTGGGGCTGAGTGTAGTGGGTCATGCCTGTAATCCCGGTACTTTGGAAGGCTGAGGCAGGAGGATTGCTTGAGACCAGGAGTTCAAGACCAGTCTTGACAACATGGTGAGACCCTGTCTCTACAAAAATAAAAAAAAAATTAGCCAAGTGTGATGGTGCATGCCTGTAGCCCCAGACATTTGGGAAGCTGAGGTGGGAGGATTTCTTGAGCACAGGAGTTCAAGGCTTCAGTGAGCTATGATTGCACCACCATTGCACTCCAGCCTGGGTAACAGAGCAAGATCCTGTCTGAAGGAAAAAAAAAAAAGAAGAAAGAAAGAAAGAAAAATAAAGAGAAGGAAAGAAAGAAAGAAACTCAAAAAAGAAAAGAGAAAAAAAGAAAAGAAAAGACAAGAAAAGAAAAGAAACCCCCCAAAACAGAGGCTACCATTGGGACTAAATGAGATTTTAACAAATTGTGATTGTGAAATTAACCTCCCCCACCTTCCTTCTACTCATTCATTCATAAACATCAAACACTTACTGTGTGGGTCAAGCACTGGCCAAGACTAGAAAGATGGAGAAGACAAGGATTTTCCACTCAGTGGCTTATAATCTTACAGACGTTATGCCAGAGATGGTCACTTTCCTCCCCGTATGATTTTCCCTTCTTATAGAGTAGTAGGGTCAGCAAACTATGGCCCGCATGCCAAATCTGGCCTGTGGAATGTTTTGTACAGACCTCAGGCTAAGAATTTACATTTTTTAAGAATTGTAAGAAAAGGGAGAAGAAGCAAAAGAAGACAATGATGGTAACAATGATGATGACAACAATGATGATGACATGGCTGAGACCGTATATGGCCTGAAATATTTACTATCTAGTCCTCTGCAGAAAAAGTTTGCCAAAAGTTTAGGATGCTTATTCTATCCTAAGAGATCTCTGGCTTTTTACCTGGCCCACAGCTACACAGGATAAGGCATTTTCTAGTCCCTCTTGACATTAGATTTGGCCATGTGGTTAAGTTTTAGTCAATGGGATCTATGCAGAAGGGATCTATGTAGCTTCTTGGTGTGTCCTAAAAGAGGGCCCCATCATGCTTTCCCCTCCCAGCTGGCTGGGATGCTGTGGGGGCCTGAGCTCTTCTGATCCAGTGATGACTAAGGTAATACTCTAGGCATGACAGAGCCAGGAGATAGAAGGACCTGGCCCCCAACACAGGAGACAACCCCATCTTCACTGGATTTTGCTAGATGGTTATAAAGAAGGGAACAGGAGGACAGACATTTAACTTTTAAAAATCAGTGTTATGTTGTGTCTCTTTTGCTGCAACCAAACATGTATTATAACCACTATAGAGATAGACACTGTATAACTAACCATGACACACTGTGATGAGTATTAAGCTCAAAGTATGAATAAAGGCATCTGGAAATACCCAGGAATATGTAATTCCTTCTGCATGGGGGCAGAAGAGTTGAGGAAGACTTTACCTAACATGGGACAGTTGATCTTGGGCCATGAAGGAAGCCTAACTGGAATTTGGGATTACTTGTTTTTCTTCTCCTCTCTGCCAACCTCTCTCAGATGGCCAAAACAAAATAAAATAATCCACTGGGTGAGGTGGCTCACGCCTATAATCCCAGCACTTTGGGAGGCCTAGGAGGGTAGGTCACCTGAGGTCAGGAGTTCGAGACTAGCTTGGCCAGCATGGTGAAACCCTGTTTCTACTAAAAAATCCAAAAATTAGCTGGGCGTGGTGGTGGTGCATACCTGTAATTCCAGCTACTCAGGAGGCTGAGGCAGGAGAATTGCTGGAACAAAGGAGGCGGAGGTTGCAGTGAGCTGAGATTGCACCATTGCACTCCAGCCCGGGCCAACAAGAGCAAGACTCTGTCTCAAAAATAAAATAAAATAAAATAAAGTAAAATAAAATAAAATAAAATAAAATGAAATAATCCTCCAAAAGCAAGCAACACGCCCTGTCTTCATGGAATGTACTGCCCCCTCTCCTTTTTCACCTGGCTAACTCCTGCTTATGCTCCAAAACCCAGTGTAGATATGATCTCCTTTTGAACTTTGTCCCACAAGACTGGGTAAGGCCTTCTGAGCTCTGGCGTCTTGTACTCTCTCTTAGTTGTTGGAGATATGTCTGTGTTTCTCACTAGATCATGAGTTCCTTAAGGGTTGGCGGTAACTGTGGCTTATTTGTCCTGGATTTCCAGCTTGTAGTACATTGCCAGGCATACAGAAGGCACTTTATAAACATTAATTAATGTATTAGAGGCCAAGGGCAGCTTCCTGGTTTGTGGGACTCTTGCTCTTTTTTAATGCATTTGTCCCACTAAAGGGAAGGTGAGCCCAGCAATTTATATCTCTCAGCCTCTGTGTCCTAAAAGTATATACATTTTTAAAAGTTTGCTTTCCAAAAAGGCAGAAAAGAAATGTACACATTTAGAAAGTTTTAGTTTAAAAAACTGAAAGTTTCATTTGTTATGAATGGTCTCTATGCTTAGTAGTGTCTGAAAGGTTTGAAGATTTAATAAAAACAACTAAAATGCTATGAGGTGAGTTTAGTAACATGATGGTATGTTTCCGAAATAAGCGGAAGTATAGATACTTGCTCAAATTTATCTTATTTTGAGCTTTTCTTATTATTACATAATAATAAACACCCATTTTTCTATTTTTATAAAATCTTTGCTCACAAAGGAAAATTTGTGCAGTAATATTATTTGATTACAACAAGATGATGATGCTGATAATTACATTTGATTCTCCCCTTGTCACTCTGTGTTATGTGTCTTATAATCAATAAAAGAGGGAGAGGAACAACAAACACTGAGGCCTGTTGGGGGAGGGCAATGGAGGGGAGAGCATCAGGAAAAATAGCTAATGCATGCCAGGCTTAATACCCAGGTGATGGGTTGATAAGTACAGCAAACCACCATGGCACACGTTAACCTATGTAACACACCTGCACATCCTGCACATGTACCCTGGAACTTAAAATAAAATAAAATAAAATTTAAAAATAAAAAATAAAAAAATAAAAGCAAAAGCATTGCTTTTCATGCAAACCTATTTTACTACATGCTTTGGCTACAGGCAACCAATTTTCTGAACTGGAGAATTAATGTAAGACTTTTAAGACACCGTATAGTAGTAGTATTTTCCCCTATCATTTAGAGGAAAATATAAAAATATGAGGAGCATATTTTCCTTTATGTATAGTCCTCCTTGAGATGGTGTTGACAGAAGGTGAAGTTGAAAAGAATTACTTGCATTATGTTTCTAAAGGAAACCAGTAATGTAATATTAAGTTATTATTTGAATATGAAGTTTTCATTATTTTTGTGGCTATTCACTAAAGGCCTTCATAAATTACAGGGAAACCTGAGCAATTAAATTTAAAAAAATCATTCAAATGCTTCTTAAATAAAGTTTTTGGTCTTAACATCTGCTACAGAATCAAGCTAACACCTCAGTGCTTCTGGATATTTATTAAATGTTTAGGGCTTCCATTCCCCCATGCAAGAGTAATTCTAAGCAAATGATGAATGTCTCAATGAGTAGCTCATTCTTTGTGGACGTAAAAACTAGGTTTCCACTTCTCTATCTGGTGCAGCTCTGTTGTGCAATACAAGGAGATAAAACCCTAGGTAAGAGAATTAGAGTGGGGGTGGGTGTAGTAGAGATGGAGAAGGTCAGCTTATTCTCAACTCACTACTCCCAGTATCAAATATCCATTTCAGATATAAGAATTTCTGTCTTTATACCCCAGCCCAAATTTTCTACTGTCCCTATCTCATCCCACACTCCCCTCTTCTCCAGGTGGAGAAACCCTATCCTGTGCTGTCTGCTCAGTATAATGATGACTTTGAGGTGTCAGCCTGTTCATGCCTATCACTTGTCAATGTGCTTGCTTCTCTGTCCTCTAAATTAAATACTGTACTTATTGTTGTACTTACTAGCAATTATATTTTTCCACAATTAAAAAAATGATGAAGTTAATATTCTCAAAGGAGTAAATAACACGAAACCGATGGCCATTCCAGCCATCTTTCAAGGAAAGGTGATCTGGTTCTGGTGGCCAAGCCAGCTCTGCTGTGCCAGATAAAAGCCTCCAGTGACTTACTCAGAAAACAAATCATGAATGTGTTTGAAAGTGAAATGATTTGGCCTCCAGTCAGCCTTTAGCACAGTCCTGACGGTTTCCCTTACTACAGGGATTAAGCGTCCTGTGAAAACAGATGGGGGAGGGCTGCCACCTTCTGCTTGCTCACCCAGGGAGTGGCCTCCCAAGCTTCGCCACTGCTCCAGACAGCAGCAGATGAAGCTCTGAGGAGTCCACGCCTTTCTGGAAGCTTGTTGTTGCCCTGCCAACATATATTGACTTGTCAAGAGCTCTGTCTTTAAGCCAATCACATCCTGATCACAGTTCATTAAAGGTGTGTATTCCTCTAGAGAGCTCATTGTCTGTTGTCAGAAATCACTCAGTGCCCAAACACATTAGGATGAGAATGGACTGTGTAGGAGAGAAGAAAAGAAATGGGTTCTGCTTATTTTCTTTGACTTTAACAGCTACTTCCCCTTACTCAACTCAACACTCATGTACACATATCAGAGAAGCATTACGATCTGCAAGCTGCAGGACTGGCTCCTATTTAATGTGTAAAAAGTGGCTTTTCTCTACTTTCCTCTCCCTAAATCCTTCTAACTTCAACCTCTTTCCTCTAACCTGCTCATTCTTCCTGCTTTCTTCCAAGTAGGAAACTACTTGGTTAACATCAGAGATTTTTCCACCTCCAAGCTTCTAAAATTCTAGAAATGCATTTATATTACGGAAAGTTATAAGGGACTTGAATACCTTCCAGAGGTTTTTGCTACATGGGGTTTTATTAGTGGACAAAACCTTATAAAAGATGTCAGCAATCTTTAAGAAGCAGAGGTATGAGAACAGTGTCTGCTTCCCCACTTCGCATCCTTTAGTCTCTTCCTGATTTTCTGCCATGCAGAAGAGTGGTCACTGAAGATTTTTGGTTTTGTATAGCTAGCAGTAAAATATATTTGAGTAAGCACTGCAAAAATGTGAATATTTATTAATGAACCCATATATATACATGTATGTATATATGTGTGTATGGTGTGTATGTGTCTGTTACAACATTTTAATTGACAGAGCATTAGGCTGGGAAGGCTCCAGAGTTTTAGGTTTTTATGTTAGCAAACCAAAGCCCAATATAAACAATAAGATAAACTTTACCAATTAGAATGGCCAACTAACATCTAAGTAAAGACTTTCCCAATCAGATACTGCCAACTAACCTCTAACTAGTCTTTTTGCTCTAAACAGTCAAATATATTTTCTTTGTCTTTTTTCTTAGTGCACTTATGAAAACTCACTGCCCATGCTGCTGGGGTGGAGCTTTCTGAACCTTTTGTGGTTCTGATGCTGCCCAATTCATGAATTGTTTTTTATTCAAATAAACTGCTAAATTCATCTTGTACGAAATTTTTCTTATAAAGTATGTTATGCATATACTTTAACCATTATAAAGTGCAAACAAAAATAGAAAATAAAGGAAGAGATTTTTAAAGTATAAGATTTCTAACAATTTCTCTTCATGCCCAATGAACTGTCTTGAACACTCCTCCTGAGATACTCATTTTATTTTGGAGGCAACTGATAAAAAAGAGTGGAGAGAGAAAATCATTGCACTAGAAGTAGGCAAAGCATACAGGGATCTTTCAACAAAACCATAATGTTCACCAGTGGTTGGTTCCACTTTTTTAATAGTGTTAACAAGTTCCTTTGCTCAGCATGCAAGTGTGCACCAAGCCCACAGTCTGATCCAAGGCTTATTTCGTCACAGCATTTTGCCCCAGCTGCAGGCCTCTCATGGGTCCCTGGTTCACAATTCTGAGGGTCTTACTGTTGCTCTCCTGGCTAGGTAACCACATAAGAGACATTTTCCCCTGAATGTCCAACAGGCACCATCTACACAAGACTGAAATGCGAGCTGAGGATTGGCTTTAGACTCCTTTCTCTGACTTACATGTTCATGTGTAACCAGCATGTCCTGTTGCTCCTGTCTCCCAAGTGTTGTTTGAATTCAGCCTTTTCCCTCCAGTCTCAGTGCACCAACTTCATCATTTCCTGCCTCTTTAACTGCAGTGGCTTCCGATAGAATTGTTCTGCCTCTAATCCTTTCTTTGCAGGGTTGTCAACATGATCTTCCTATGCTTAACTGGATGATATTTGCTTAAGCCTTTCACTAGCTTTCCAAACCTTTAAAAAAAAAAAAAATCAACTCTTTAAGAGTACATACAAGCGTTTCCTTCATCAGAGCTTACTACCTCTTCACTTGCATGTGGCATTGCTTTTGCTTCTCTCACTTCATGTCTTCTTCCACATTGTCTTACCCTTTGTTAATCCACCCTTTTTCAAATTCAGCTAGAATTTCACCTCCTCCATCAAAGTCTCCTCTGACCCTTTCAGAGTATGTATTGCATCGTATGATAGCATTCTACATCTTCATTCTACTAGATCTTGTCAGGGGTAGAGTTCACTTTCTTATTTTCATGGGTGTGTTTAGAATAGTAGTTCTCAAACTTTAGTGTTCATAAAAATAACCAGAGGAGATTAAAGTGCAGATTCCAGATTTAGTAGGTTTAGGGTGGTGCCAGGCAAACTGCTATTGTAACTAGCTCCCTCCTCCAAGTGACTTTCATTTATCATTCTTAGAGTTTAGTGCAGCATCAGGTGCTTAGGCCCTCAATAAATGTCAATAAAAGAAGGCATTCTCTATCTCTTATCTTTCCATGCCTAATAAGAAAATACACTAATATTGGCTGAGGCAAAAGCTATATTGACTACACATTTGTCTGTGGGACTTTTGATAGGCTATATCTGGGTGCAGAGAATAAAACTCACAGCATAAATCTGGTCTTCAGACCTGTTTTTGTTGCATCTCTGTGTGTGCAAACACACATACATTCACATAAATTCACACACACTCACATACGTTCATATAAATCCATTAAAAGTAGTTTGGAAAAGCATAAAATGATGGAGAAACTTGTCCAGATTAAAATATACCAAAAAGATATAAAAATCAAGTGTAATACATAACTCTTGGTTGGATTCTGGTTTGCACAAAAAAAAAGTTGATAAGATAATTTTGGTACAACTGGAGAAATTTCAATATGGGCAATTAAATGTTATGAAATTATTATTTTTCATAGGGGATGCCAATAGTATTATGGTTAAACTAGAGAATGTTCGTATTCTTAGGAGGTGCATGCTGAGATCTGTGAGAATGAATTGTCATTTGCACAACTTGTATTCAAGTGGCTTAGGAAATAATTTATATACACACATATGTGGCAACACATTAACAATTTGGTGTAAATCTAGATGAAAGGGATATAGATGTGTGCTGTGTTATTGTTTAAGCTTTTCTGTAGATTTTAATTTTTAAAAATGATAAAATATAAACACTAAAGTGAATTCATGTAATGATGGAAATTTCTAGCTTTCCATGCAAAGTCTGATTCTCTGATGCAACAATTTGCTGGAGCTCTGAAAAGCCTCCAGAGTTTGCCATAATGGCTTCCGTCATTGAAGTCACCTGCCTGAATCCAGTAGGCCTTTGGTTTGCAATCCATGGAAGAAAAAATTTCAACTCCTTAATAACACGCATAAAGCTTTCCTTCATCAGGCCTCATTGAGTCATGAGCTTTTGAAATTCTCCTCCTGATTCTCTTTATAGAATTGTTTTTCTTGAATCCCATAAGATTGACCCAAAATGTTTTTCACTGGGGAAGACCTTTCACCTTGAGAGGGCCAACTGGGAACTGGGAACAGAAGGCTTGGATAAGACATATATGCTGTTTCCATTCTTGACACACATATAAAGCCCAGTGCATCTCTCTAAGATCAATGATCAGATTGGAATAAGATGAAAGACTCAGAGGCAAAGGATAACTTTTAACAAGAGCAATAATATTATTTCCACCTTCTAGGATCTGGGGTCCTGGCCATACAAATCAGGATGAATAGAACTACATTTAGTTGGTAGATAGATAAGTAACCTCAAATGAAACACAGTGAAATCATGATAGAGACTGTCTTTGGGAAGCAAAGGCAAGAAATAGGCCTGAGGAACAATTATGACTGAATTTCAACTTTATATATAATGTTTATTCTTTTCGTATTAGAAAGACTTTAAGCAAAGATGACAAAATCTTTGCCAGTTCTTAGTGATGAATACATTGTTGTTTCTTATATATTCTGTTTCTTCTGTTTGTAAAATTTCTCAAAACAAACAAACCAAAATGTGTCTACCCCTCATGGGACAAAGATATCCACAAATATTTTGTACCATGGACATGCCAACTTTGGAAAAGTTGTCACCTATAGTAATGTGTTGTCAGTTTCTTTCCAGAACTGAAGGAAGTGGAAGTAGAATCATAAGCCTCCAGTTTTCTTGACTACTATTGAATATTAGGAATCATTGATTTTAATTTCAAATCACCAGGGTCAACATTTTTTGATACCGTATTTCCCCGTAATTCCCCAGTGGTTAAAGAAAGAGGTTAGCAAAAGAAAATCAAGACAAAAAAGTAGAAGATACTTCTTATATATGAACTTCCCTTCCTTTTTATTTTCTTACTCTGAGAGCTAATAAAGCAAGATCTCTGACTTATGATGTAATCTTTCCTCTTTTTTGGTTCTGAGAGCTAATAAATTTTAAAACACAATTAGAGTATTACAGTTGATGACCCCTTTGGGATTTTTACCTAAATACAGTTTTCTCTCACGATAAAATTAGGATGGTTCTTTTGTCCACTATAATTTTTTTGTAATGCATGGAAATAAAATGAGATAGTAACAAGGCTTTGTCTTACAGTGGCAGAAGATCTCATCTCTCTGTGTGAAGAGTATGGCTACGATCCTAGGACTGGGGTCTGTCCTGATTCAATGTCCTCCTGCCTTCTTGGCCAGAATGGGACTGGGGCTATCAAAAGGAGCCTGGGACTCAGGACCCAGGGAATAGTGGATGAATCTTTTAGAAGACAGGGGCTGATACTCCCTTACTAAAGGATCCATGTAAAACACAGTAGGACTCTGAGCTTGTTGGAATGGGATTGATGTCCACCATTCCCCAGTAGAGAAGTGCAGACAACAAGCTGCTTGCACGAAATACGAAGCTAATTTGTTCTATAGAGTCATTCTCTGCAGTGTTAAGAGAGTGACTATAAAAGAAGAAACCAGGGGAGAAATCAGCCATTGTCCAGACTTAAATAAAATGACAGTGGAAACTAGTAACTCACCTGAACTGTGTCCATTTCCAGAATTAGTTGAAACTCTAAACTCCTTTAAGTCTGACCAAGGCGGGTGAGTTGGGGGTACATCCTTTGATATTCACTTTTGACATTTATGTCTGCCTTAACTTAGGGATATGATTTGACTTACTGTATGAAAGTCAAATAATGATTAATAGCTACCTTTATTGTGGGATTAACATATTCCAGGCAAGGTGCAGAGAATTTATATAGATTGTCTAGTTTAATCCTCATAATATTGCTAAGGTGATGATTATGCCCATTTTATAGATAAGGGCAATCAGGTTTAGAGAGGTAAAGTGAGTTGCCTAAAAGGCAGAAGAGGTCCTGAAACTTCAGTCTGTATAATAGTCCAGATCCACTTCGTTAAATACACCCAGTGATTCTAAAAGCTGGCTTCACAAGAGAATAACCTGAGGGTAATTTTACAAAATGCTGACAGCCAGGCCCGTGTGGTTCAATTAAATCACAGTACTTGAGTGAGGTGCCTGGGCATCTGTACTCTTCAGAGCTCTCAGATGATTCTAATGGGCAAATCAAGATCGGGAATCTCTGAACTACTTTATACTGTTTCCAACATAACTAAACTCTTCCTATAGTGAGGTAGGCAAAATAACGTCCCCATCTTCCAAAAGATGTCCACCTCCATATCCCAGGAACTGTGAATATGCTACCTTATATAGCAAAGGGGAATTTGCAGGAGAGCAATTAGGTTAAGAATCTTAAAATGAGAAGATTACTCTGGATTATTTTGGGAAGACCCAAGTAACCAGAAGGATCGTTATACATGGAAGCAGATGGCAGGAAGGCCAGTGTCAGAGTGATGCAGCTGAGAAAGACTTGATCAGCTATTGTTGGCTTTCAAGCTGAAATAAGGCCATGAGCCGAGGAATGCAGGCAGCCTTTGGAAGCTGGAAGAGGCAAAGAAATGGAGCCTCCGCCAGAACCTCCAGAAGAAGCACAACTCTGCCCACACCTCAGAGGCTCATTGCAGACTTCTGACCTCCAGAACTATAAGACAATAAATTTCTGTTGCTTTAGGCCATGAAATTCATGGTAATTTGTCACAGCATATATATATGTATATATGTATAATATGTGTATATATATTTCTGTATATGTGTGTGTGTATATATGTATACATATTCTTCCACATCCCTGCAGCTTCTCTTCTGTCTTAAACATGCTTACAGTCACTTTTTTAAAAAGTCCTATCACTGTGTAAAAATGTATTATTACTTCAGTGAATTGGCCTTACCTAGACACCCGTTCAAAGGCATTATCCACAAGGCTGATGCTGGCATCACGGTCTAATGACTGAAACCCAACTGGACAGGGTACAGCTGAGAATTGCTGACTCTGTGAGAACTTAGACTTCCCTGTCTCAGTATACACACACACACACACACACACACACACACACACATATATATACACATACATGTATATATATTAGTAGAGTGAATGGAATGACTGATTGTCCCAGGCCAACCGTAATAAAAATGGAGCATAATCTTGTGCAAATATCTTTCTATTTAAAAAGGAAAATATACTAAAGTGTTGTATCATGATATTAATATTGATTAGAACAAGGAGGAAGAAATAAAGATAATGAGCAGGAAGAGCTATTAATCAAGACATATTTATTCCAGGAGGCAGTTTGATGGAATAGAAAAAAGTACTCAGCTCAGAGCAAAAAAAAAAAAAACAAAAAAAAACAAAAAAAACAAAACAGCTGTAGCCACCAGCTTCAGCTGCTGTTGCCCTGGGATTTCTGTGTTACCTTGGACAAGTCATGTCCCCATTTCCATCCTCAATTCCATGAATTCAATTAGGGAACACATTCAAAAGCACCTGGCACAGTGCTTGGCACATGGCAAGTACGAAATACATGGTTGGCCATCTTTTCTCTCTAAATGTACTGAGTACCTTTTGGGTTACAAAGCTTTCTGTTAGGTGCTATGGCAAAGTTGAATAAGAAAAAAATCTCTTCTCTCAAGAAACCCAAGGCTATTTGGAAAAACATATGATATATTTCTGGAAAATTCATAATACAATGACTATTGCAGGGTAATATATTTCAAGAATGAAATAAACAGCCCAGTCATAAGAAATTATTACACATTGGAGTGCTCCTGAAATGCTACTCGAAGAATGGGTAGGATTTCGTGGGCTGAGAGACCAGGAGATTAGTGCAAACAATGGGAGAAAGAGTGCTAATAAGGAGGTGCTCAGACACTAATTATTTCTCAAAATTCTTATGTGGCTGGGAGGTGAACAGAGGTGCAGAGAGCTATTTCTCTTTCACAGAGGGGAGAACTGAGACAGGGAAGTCTAAGTTCCCACAGAATCAGCAATTCTCAGCTGCACCCTGTCTAGTTGGGTTTCAGTCATTAGACCACAGTGCCAACTTCAGCCTTGTGGATGATGCCTTTGAAGGGGTTTCTAGGTAAGACTGACTCACTGAAGTAATAATACATTTTTACATAGTGAAGAGACTTAAAAAAAAGTGACTGGAAGCATGTTTAAGACAGAAGAGAAGCTTCAGGGATACGGATGAATTGTATATCATCAAACTGTTTGCCTTAGCTCTGAGCTCTTGAGAAATAGGTCAATGTAGAACAATGAACAATGGTGAACTTTCTCTGAACCAAAGATAAGAGTGGCTGAAAGAGCAAGACAGAAAGATACCTGTTTCAGAACATGCACACACACTACACATGCACACACACGCATACCAATCTCCTTCAGGAGTCAGCTTTGATCAAAATGAACATTGCATGTTTGTACAAAAAAGGAACATTTAATATAAACTTTTCTGGCATCAGTAGCCCATATTACCCAGAAATATAAGTCACATGAAACTAAAGAAATGAATAAGCTACCAGGAAGGTGAGTCAGGGCTGCTCTGGGCACCACTCTACCCGTTCTCCTTGCAATAACCCACAGATGTGCAGCAGGTCTCAGAAATGGTATTCAGGCTGACAACGGACCCAGCTGTCCTCTCAAATTGAAATTAAATCCTCATGTAAAGCCATTGTAAGTGTGACATTTTAGCATAAACATTTATTTTATTTATTTATTTATTTATTTATTTTTTATTTATTTTTTTTGCTTTTTTTAAAAATTATACTTTAAGTTTTAGGGTACATGTGCACATTGTGCAGGTTAGTTACATATGTATACATGTGCCATGCTGGTGCACTGCACCCACTAACTCGTCATCTAGCATTAGGTATATCTCCCAATGCTAACCCTCCCCCCTCCCCCCAACCCACAACAGTCCCCAGAGTGTGATATTCCCCTTCCTGTGTCCATGTGATCTCATTGTTCAATTCCCACCTATGAGTGAGAATATGCAGTGTTTGGCTTTTTGTTCTTGCGATAGTTTACTGAGAATGATGATTTCCAATTTCATCCATGTCCCTACAAAGGACATGAACTCATCATTTTTTATGGCTGCATAGTATTCCAGGGTGTATATGTGCCACATTTTCTTAATCCAGTCTATCATTGTTGGACATGTGGGTTGGTTCCAAGTCTTTGCTATTGTGAATAATGCCGCAAGAAACATACGTGTGCATGTGTCTTTATAGCAGCATGATTTAGAGTCCTTTGGGTATATACCCAGTAATGGGATGGCTGGGTCAAATGGTATTTCTAGTTCTAGATCCCTGAGGAATCGCCACACTGACTTCCATAAACATTTCATTTTAAAAAGTTTGCATGCAACTAGAAAGAGCTAGCAAATATTTGGCTGGGCAAATAAACGGTTTGGTTTACAAGGAGGAAGTTAGACTTAGATGTAGCCCCCAAAGAGCTGTGGGTAATTAGTTGACTGGATGAAGAACCATGGTGAGCATCCTTAGCAGTGTCTCCTGGCCAGCTTAGAAACAGAGTTCTATTGGCTTTATTCTTTCTTCAGTTAATCATTGCTTACAAGTCCAGTTGTTTTATATTTGTACTCACCATCTTCTAGAGCAGTGGTTCTCAACTCTTTGGTTTCAAGACCATTGAATGCTTAAAAATGATCGGCAGACTCCAAAATGCTTTTGTTAACGTTGGTAATAAGTGAGAAAACTTTAATTTACTTATTAATGCATTTAAAATAACAATAAATCATTACATATTAACATAAAACTTCTATGAAAAATATATTTTCTAAAACAAAACTTTTAGTGAGAGGCTTGGAATTGTTGTACATTTTTGCAAATGTGTTTAATGCCTGGCATAATAGAAAACAGCTGTATCCTGATGTTTGCTCTGCATTCAGTCTGTTGTGGCATATTGTTTTGGTTGAAGTATATAAAGATATGGCCTCATACAGACATGTAGTTGGAAAAGGGAAGGATATCTTAATAGCCTTTTCAGATAATTATGTAGTATCTAGAAAATTCCACTGAGAACTCAGGAGAAAGTGATAATGAAAAAGACAAGTTAACATAGTAGTATTATTGTGTAGGTAGTTTTGACATTGTGCGTTGCCTGAAAGGGACTTGATGACTCCCAGGCATCTTTGGATGACATTTTGAGAACCACTGCTCTGGCCTTTCTCTAGCTTAGATGGGGTTTACTGTTATCTGTGGCTAACTCTTTAAGTAAACTGACTGTGAACGCCACATGCATGATATCCAGGCTCATTTCTAGGTCTTTAAACAGCATCTTCCACTTAGTTCCATATTCACTGCCCCATCACCACAGCACATATGTCAGGAAGGCTGATTTCTCATGGAAACATAAAGAGTATGAGAAAAGGTCATTCATCAAGGCTGTTTTTGTTTTTAATTGTATTTGTGTTTTTATTAAAATATTACTGATCCTTAAAATGCTTAAATCCAGGCATGGAGACACATTTGTGAATCTTAGTTAATTTATAAATATAAAAGTATTTATGATTGTTTCCTATGGAGCCCATGTCCTAGGCAATGTGATTATAAGATTTAATCAAATGGTCCTATTGTGTCAAGGAGCTCAGTCTTTGAAATACAAAGAGGCAATTAAAAATTACATAGTTGTGGAAAACAGTGTGGCAATTCCTCAAGGATCTAGAATTAGAAATACCATTTGACCCAGCAATCCCATTACTGGGTATCTACCCAAAGGATTATAAATCATGCTACTATAAAGACACATGTACACATATGTTTATTGCAGCACTATTTACAATAGCAAAGACTTGGAACCAACCTAAATGCCCATCAATGATAGAATGGATAAGGAAAATGTGGCACATATACACCATGGAATACTATGCAGCCATTAAAAAGGATGAGTTCATGTCCTTTGCAGGGACATGGATGAAGCTGGAAACCATCATTCTCAGCAAAGTAACAGGAACAGAAAACCAAACACCACATGTTCTTACTCATAAGTGGGAGTTGAACAACGAGAACACATGGACACAGGGAGGGGAACATCATACACCAGGGCCTGTCAGGGGGTCGGGGGCAAGGGGTGGGATAGTATTAGAACAAATACCTAATGCATGCGGGCTTAAAACCTAGATGATGGGTTGATGGGTGCAGCAAACCACCATGGCACGTGTATACCTATGTAACAAACTTGCACCTTCTGCATATGTATCCAAGAACTTAAAGAATAATAATAATAATAATAATAATAATAATAATGATAAATCACACAGTTTATAAATACAAACTCAATAATCAATTTAAATTCCCTGGAAGAAAAAAAGGTCAGTGTAGCTTGCGGGGTAGTGGAATTGTTTCCTGTTCACACCATAACTAGAAATGGAGGCAAGAAACAATGACTGTCAGAAAGCTTGAGGTGAAGAGGGAACTACAGATAATACCCCAAGGATCAGCTTTTTTTTTTTCACAGTCAGTGCAGGATCTTAAAAATGTTTTTCTTGAGAAATGAACAAAGGTGACATTTTTACCCTTTGGGCTTAGAAAGGGGTCAGAGCACAATTCAAAAATAAATAACTCTTGGCTGATTTGATGCAGATGTCATCCACAGTTGTCCAAACAGGGGCAGAGGGAGTGTCTACAATTTGCTACAGATTTACATTTAGCATCTTTGTGAATTCAGCAGAATTCATAAAATGTAGACTACTTTGTTTCCCTTCCTGCCAATTAAATCTAATTAAATCTTTACTTGTTTTTTTTTTTTTGGTATTGTGATGCTAGACACCTGAGTAGATATATAGGAGCTGCCATTTTTATTGTATAAACAGTCGTTAAGCAGTTTTTGAGCAAGTATTTGGTGCTAGGTGTTGTACTGAGTGAATAAATGATGAATGAAACCTGTCTAACATACGACAACTATCAAACATGTATGGGAACTTGCAGCTAATATATCATCAGCTGCCATAAATGAAATCAAACGTCTTCTATATTTCTCAACAAAACTGTTGATAAGCTTCTAGAACAGTGTTGTGCAATAGGACTCTTTTGTAGTGATAGAAATATTCTATTTTGGTGTGGTCCAATATGGTAGCCACTGACCACATTTCACTATTGAGTACCTGAACTGTGCAATTGAGGAACTAAAACATTAATTTCATTTATTTTTAGTTAGTTAAAATTTAAACAGCCACATGTGGCTTGTGGCTACAGTATTGGACAGTACAGGACCAGGACCCTATGATATCTTTTAGTTTTCTAAACCTCTCAGATACTAGATAAATTCTAGGTGTGCCACAAGATTTTAAAAGGTACTTTATATTAAATTCTTATTAAGGCTCAAACGTGGGTTAATGAGAAGATTAACACACCATTTCCTTTGCTTTGAAGTTAAGGATAAATATGAAAATAATCACTAGAAAATTTATCGGAGTAAATCCCTAATTTCAAGAGACCAGTATGTCTTGGAAAACCTGCTGGATGTTCTGGACTTTAATAGACTAAAGAAGGCATTGAGGTTTTTGATAATATAATAACTTATGAATAGGAAAATAAGGTATTCAATAACTCTGGCAAAGAAGTGAAAGCAAATGCAGAAAATATAGGCCATTAATGTAGATCCAATTTCTGGGGGATAGTGTGATGTTGCACATGTGGCTAGAGGAATTATAATGGTTTGGAAAAAATTCAGAAATTGAGATGCCATATCCATAGAGATATAGCAACACCTAAATTTGTAGGGGGTACAGATTTTACAGTCAAAGGTTCTCATCATAGTTTAAAAGATGAAGACAAAGATGCAGACAGCTACATAACAATGAAGAATCAGGGAATAACAAGGAACAATCAAAGGTTTATCACAAGATAGCAAGTTATTAACCAGCAAATTAAAAGACTGGAAATAAATGTTGTAAATTCAGAGGAAGCTAAGCTCACATTGGACAAGGGGGCTGAGATAGCTCTCTGCTGCTTAGCCAGTTTTTATCCTTGGCCAAATTGCTTGACCTGAGTTTCAATGTTGTCATCTATCAAACAGAGATATTAGCTAATGTAAGGTTGCTATGAAGACTGGCACAAGGCCTAACACGTAGCAGGTACTTAAGACTACAAGACTACTCAAGTAGTTATGACTATTCACTACTGCCACCAGGAACTTCTGGAAGTTGCACAAATATAAGAAATGTACTTATGGTGGTGGTAGGCAGTGAGTAAGTGAATTTAATTTGAACAGAGGTTGATGAAGGAAATAGTAGAAAGCAAATTTAACAAGTAAGTTGGGCCCAAATAATCTCTTTTCCTTGAAATCCCGACAAAACAATTTGGGTTTGACTGTCATTGGTAACTGGAAAAAATTGTAGGCTCATGCCAAAAACAACAGTTAGGTAGATTAGCCAGAGGCACCACAAAAGATAAATCGAGTCGAAAGGCAAGGAAGGCAGTTAGGGGGATGTTACAATAATCTAAGTATGAGATGACCGGCTTGCTGAAGATATTAGGTGCATACATGGAAGTAAAAGGGCAAATACGAAAGATATTTTGAAGAAAGAATGAATTAAATTTGGGCTTCGCAGTCTGTGGGTCCAGGTGTTATAAATGAGTTGAGATTGATCCACTAAGGCCTTGGGGGCTGTGGGGAACATTCTAACCTTCATCAAGCAACTACTTCCCACCAAGATGCAAATAGAATTTTTTGCTTACTCAATCAATAAGATATCATCATTTCTTGCATAGGCTATAATATAAAAATTTCTGATAATCACTGAACTAAGGTGCTTAGTGCCAGACTGGATATAAGGATTGAAAGTAAAAAAGAGTTAAAATGACTACAATACTTCAAGACAAAATGAGAGATACTGATGATGGCATAGGTGGGAAAAGAAACCCAGTGGGAGAAATTTGTTTTGAATATTTCAGTTGCTGTGAATATGAAACATTCATACAAATAAATGGCTGGGAAAACAAGATTGCAACAAGAATGAGAGGTTTCTTAGAGATAGAGATTATCTGCATTGAAAATGGAAATCAGTCAATTGTATTTGGCTAAAGCATCACTCAGGGAATGCGGATTAATAGATTCGTATGAACCTGTTTCAATCTCCTTTCTCTTTAGGTCTGTTCTATTATTTTCACCCTTGCTTTAGACAAAGATATAGAAGCATTATGACATTTACAAATCATACAAGTATGGGAGGAATAGCTAATACATCGGTGGATGTAATCAAAATTCAGAATGGTTTATTGACCCCAAACTGAGAAGATACAAATGAACACCACCATGTGAATGTACTTTATGCCACTGAACTGTACCCTTAAAAATGGTTAAGATGGTAAATTTTGTTATGTGTATTTTACAATTAAAAAGAACAATATTTATTGAGAAGTTCTGCATGTATATGTGTGTATATATATGTACATATATATTATATACATCCTATAATATATCTGTGTGTGTGTGTATGTACGTGTATGTGCATAAAATTCCTGTGAGGATAAATCTTAAGGAAGCCTGAGTGGGAGAAAGAAAATGCATTATATTTTTTTAGGTGAATTTTTTACTTTCTTCCTTTGAGTTTCTCCTAAAGAATTCACTCTAGGGGAAAAAAATCCCCCAGTTATAACTTGGCAAATATCAAAATATTTAATTAAGGTGAGATCAATTTTTTTGCAGTACTTTTGTGGGCCAACCCACCTGCCTTCCAAAGAAGGGACAATAAAGAGCAGCTGTCATGTGAGAAAAAAAGTTGATGAGGACAATGAGGTCTCTGTAGTCAAATAGGGAACTATTACTGTGGGTGCAAGAAGAGAGAAAAAAGAGCCCCAAGCCCTCAAAGTGTCTGCATACAATCTCTACAACAGCCAGCATCAAATCAGCACAAAATCTGTCTAGGAGCTTATCCAGAATACCAAAACAAAGATTAAGGAGCATAGATGGAAAGATGATTAAGCCTAAAGGAAAGCCGAGAGGGTATCAGGGTGAGGCTTCATGTTTGTTTACTTCTTTCCTCCAACAGCTAGGCTTTAAACCACTTCTCCTTGTCACATGGTCACACGTGAAAACCTCTTTGTGTGTGAGAACATGCTGGGTATTTCTGCACATGCCAGTGTGCCTTTTTGGCCACCTGACTTGCTCATGGAGACTTATGTGTAAGTGGATCACTCTAAAGGGGGCATCACCAAGTTTGATTCAACATATGCAAATCAGTAAGTGTGATTCGCTACACAAATAGAACTAAAAACAAAACCACATGTTCATTTCAATGGATGCAGAAAAGGTTTCTAATAAAATTCATCATCCCTTCATGTTAAAAACCTTCAACAAACTATGCATTGAAGGAACATACTTCAAAATAATAAGCGGCATCTATGGCCAGCCCACAGCCAACATCATACTAAATGGGCAAAAGCTGGAAGCATTCCTTTTGAGAACCAGAACAAGAAAAGTATTTTCACTCTCACCACTCCTATTCAACATAGTACTGGAAGTCCTAGCCAGAGCAATCAGGCAAGAGAAAGAAATAAAAGGCATCCAAATAGGGAGAGAGGAAGTCAAACTATCTCTGTTTGCAGATGATATGATTGTACAACTAGAAAACCCTATAGTCTCTGACCAAAAGCTCCTAGATCTGATAAACAATTTCAGCAGTTTCAGGATACAAAATCAATGCATGAAAATTAATAGCAATTCTATACACCAACAACATCTAAGCTGAGAGCCAAATCAAGAATGCAATCCTATTCACAATAGCCACAAAAAGAATAAAATACCTAGGAATACAGCTAACCATAGAGGGGAAAGATCTCTACAGTGAGACTTACAAAACACTGCTCAAAGAAATCAGAGATGACACAAACAAATGGAAAATCATTCCATACTCATGGATTGGAAGAATCAATATTATTAAAATGGCCATACTGTCCAAAGCAATTTGCAGGTTCAATGCTAATTCTATCAAACTATAAATGATATGGTTTACAGAATTAAGAAAAACTATTTTAAAATTCACATGGAACCAAAAAAGAGCCCAAATAGCCAAAGCAATCTTAAGCATAAAGAACAGAGCTGTAGCCATCACATTACTCAATTTCAAACTATACTATAAGGCTACAGTAACCAAAATGGCATGGTACTTTCTGCCTTTGAGTCTGTACAAAAACAGACACATAGACCAATGGAATGGGATATAAAGCCCTGAAGTAAAGCTGCACACCTACAACCATCTAATCTTTAGCAAAGTCAATATAACAAGCAATGAGGAAAGGACTCCATATTCATAAATGGTGCTGGGATAACTTGCTAGCCACATGCAGAAGATTGAAGCTGAACCCCTCCTGATACCATATACAAAAGTTAAGGCAGTATGTATTAAAAACTTAAATGTAAAACCTAAAACCATAAAAACCCTGGAAGATAACCTAGGAAATACAATTCTGGGCATAGGCCCTGGCAAAGATTTCATGACAAAGATGCCAAAAGCAACTGCAATAAAACCAAAAATTGACAAATGGAACCTAATTAAACTAAAGAACTTCTGTGCAGGAAAAGAAAATCTCAACAGAGTACACAGACAATCTATAGAATGGGAGAAAATGTTTGCAAACTATGCACCTGACAAAGGTCTAACATCAAGAATCTACAAGGAATTTAAACAACTTAACAAGCCAAAATCAATGCCATTAAAAAGTGGGCAAAGGACATGAACAGGCACTTCTAAAAAGAAGACATTCATGCAGCCAACAAAGCATATGAAAAAATGCTCAACAATACTAAGCATCAGAGAAATGAAATCAAGACCGCAATGAGATACCATCTCACACCAGTCAAAATGTCTGTTATTAAAAAGTCAAAAAATAACAGATGCTGGCAAGATTGAGAAGAAAAGGGAACATTTACACAGTGCTGGTGGATGTGTAAATTAGTTCAGCCAATGTGGAAAGCAATGTGGCAATTTCTCAAAGAACTTAAAACAGAAGTATCATTCGATTCAGCAATTCCATTATTGGGTATATACCCAAGGGAATATAAATCATTCTACCACAAAGACACATGCATGTGTATGTTTATCACAGCAATATTCACAATAGCAAAGATACAGAGTCAACCTGAACACCATTCAGTGGTAGACTGGATAAGGAAAATGTACATATACACCATGGAATACTATGCAGCCATAAAAAAGAATGAGATCATGTCCTCTGGAGCAACTTGGATGGAGCTGGAGGTTATAATCCTAAGTGAACTAACACAGAAACAGAAAACCAAATACTGCATGTTTACACTTCTATGTGGGAGCTCAACATTCAGTACACATGGACTCAAAGAAGGGAACAATAGGGCCTACTTGAGGATAGGAGCTTAGAGGATAGAGAGGATCAAAGGAATGCCTATTGGGTACTATGCTGATTACCCACCTGGGTGATGAAATAATCTGTACAAAAAACCCCTGTGATGCACAGTTTACCTATGTAACAAACCTTCCCATGTACCTCTGAACCTAAAATAAAAGTTAGATAAATAAATAAATAAGGCATCACTACAACAGGGTGTCCAGGACCTATGAGTCTGGTCCATGGAAAATGTAGAGGGGGACATAAGCTTCAGTTCTACGCCCTGATTCTGAGACTGTACATATTCACATCAGCTTATTCCCCACCTTCCTGTGTATGTGCATCTCCACTTTTTTCCCTTCCTCCTACCTCTCCTTCCTCAAAACCTAGAGTGATAAATAGGTGGTAGAAAGGATTAGGGGGAGTGCAGTCAACATAGGGAGTGGGCAAGGGCACTACCCTATTTCCTTATTTCTCCTCATTTTTAAGGATGGGTCTATACTGGCAAAAGACCAGGTATGGTTGAGTTGGCTGTGTCCTGCACAACCGTAAGAGGTGCCATGCACAATGCTACATATGATACAGACCACTCCTAGTGGGAAATCCACCTGATTTGAAGAGCAGTGTATTGGAAAGGAGCCTCATGGTTCAGGCTCTTCTGAATTCTTCCTGTTACAGTTTAAGCTCTTTTTTTTTTTTTTCCTGGAGGGCATCTTTTTAATAAAGATTTGTTCATAGAATTTGTTATTTAAGGTACAAGTCTCTTGTAAACTTACATTAGAGCTGAAAAGGAAGTTTTATTAGGCCAAAGATGTTGCATTACTTTTTCTTTCAGCCATATTCCCTCCAAATTTTTCAGTCACCTTGAGAGGTTTCAGAAATCCTTACATGTTTCATTCCAGGAACTGTTAAATCACTATTTTTTTTCCCTCTCAGTTGAAACAAAGCCAACTTTTAGATAGCCTCAAAACATTTTTCAATCTATTTTAACAATTTTCTTTTTTTTATTATTATACTTTAAGTTCTAGGGTACATATGCACAATGTGCAGGTTTGTTACATATGTATACATGTGCCATGTTGGTGTGCTGCACCTATTAACTTGTCATTTACATTAGGTATATCTCCTAATGCTATCCCTCCCCCCTCCCCCCACGCCACGACAGGCCCCAGTGTGTGATGTTCCCCACCGTGTGTCCAAGTGTTCTCATTGTTCAATTCCCACCTATGAGTGAGAACATGTGGTGTTTGGTTATTTGTCATTGTCATAATTTGTTGAGAATGATGGTTTCCAGCTTCATCCATGTCCCTACAAAGGACATGAACTCATCCTTTTTTATGGCTGCATAGTATTCCATGGTGTATATGTGCCACATTTTCTTAATCCAATCTATCATTGGTGGACATTTGGGTTGGTTCCAAGTCTTTGCTATTGTGAATAGTGCCACAATAAACATATGTGTGCATGTGTCTTTATAGTAGCATGATTTATAATCCTTTGGGTATATACCCAGTAATGGGATGGCTGGGTCAAATGGTATTTCCAGTTCTAGATCCCCGAGGAATCACCACACTGTCATCCAGAGTGTTTGAACTAGTTTACAGTCCCACCAACAGTGTAAAAATGTTCCTATTTCTCCACATCCTCTCCAGCACCTGCTGTTTCCTGACTTTTTAATGATCGCCATCCTAACTGGAGTGAGATGGTATCTCATTGTGGTTTTGATTTGCATTTCTCTGATGGCCAGTGATGCTGAGCATTTTTTCATGTGTCTGTTGGCTGCATAAATATCTTCTTTTGAGAAGTGTCTGTTCATATCCTTTGCCCACTTTTTGATGGGGTTGTTTGTTTATTTCTTGTAAATTTGTTTAAGTTCATTGTAGATTCTGGATATTAGCCCTTTGTCAGATGAGTAGATTGCAAATATGTTCTCCCATTCTGTAGGTTGCCTGTTCACTCTGATGGTAGTTTCTTTTGCTGTGCAGAAGCTCTTTAGTTTAATTAGATCCCATTTGTCAATTTTGGCTTTTGTTGCCATTGCTTTTGGTGTTTTAGACATGAAGTCCTTGCCCATGCCTATGTCCTGAATGGTATTGCTTAGGTTTTCTTCTAGGGTTTTTATGGTTTTAGGTCTAACATTTAAGTCTTTAATCCATCTTGAATTAATTTTTGTATAAGGTGTAAGGAAGGGATCCAGTTTCAGCTTTCTACATATGGCTAGCCAGTTTTCCCAGCACCATTTATTAAATAGGGAATGCTTTCCCCATTTCTTGTTTTTGTCAGTTTTGTCAAAGATCAGGTAGTTGTAGATGTGTGGTATTATTTCTGAGGGCTCTGTTCTGTTCCATTGGTCTATATCTCTGTTTTGGTACCAGTACCATGCTGTTTTGGTGACTGTAGCCTTGTAGTATAGTTTGAAGTCAGGTGGCGTGATGCCTCCAGCTTTGTTCTTTTTGCTTAGGATTGTCTTGGCAATGCAGGCTCTTTTTTGGTTCCATATGAACTTTAAAGTAGTTTTTTCCAATTCTGTGAAGAAAGTCATTGGTAGCTGGATGGGGATGGCATTGAATCTCTAAATTACCTTGGGCAGTATGGCCATTTTCACGATATTGATTCTTCCTATCCATGAGCATGGAATGTTCTTCCATTTGTTTGTGTCCTCTTTTATTTCGTTGAGCAGTGGTTTGTAGTTCTCCTTGAAGAGGTGCTTCACATCCCCCGTAAGTTGGGTTCCTAGGTATTTTATTCTCTTTGAAGCAATTGTGAATGGGAGTTCACTCATGATTTAGCTCTCTGTTTGTCTGTTATTGGTGTATAAGAATGCTTGTGATTTTTGCACACTGATTTTGTATCCTGAGACTTTGCTGAAGTTGCTTATCAGCTTAAGGAGATTTTGGGCTGAGACAATGGGGTTTTCTAAATATACAATCATGTCATCTGCAAACAGGGACAATTTGAGTTCCTCTTTTCCTAATTGAATACCCTTTATTTCTTTCTTCTGCCTGATTGCCTTGGCCAGAACTTCCAACACTATGTTGAATAGGACTGGTGAGAGAGGGCATCCCTGTCTTGTGCCAGTTTTCAAAGGGAATGCTTCCAGTTTTTGCCCATTCGGTATGATATTGGCTGTGGGTTTGTCATAAATAGCCCGTATTGTTTTGAGGTACGTCCCATCAATACCTTATTTATAGAGAGTTTTCAGCATGAAGGACTGTTGAATTTTGTCAAAGGCCTTTTCTGCGTCTATTGAGATAATCATGTTTTTTGTCTTTGGTTCTGTTTGTATGCTGGATTATGTTTATTGATTTTCGTATGTTGAACCAGCCTTGCATCCCAGGGATGAAGGCCACTTGATCGTGGTGGATAAGCTTTTTGATGTGCTGCTGGATTTGGTTTGCCAGTATTTTATTGAGGATTTTTGCATCAATGCTCATCGGGGATATTGGTCTAAAATTCTCTTTTTTTGTTGTGTCTCTGCCAGGCTTTGGTATCAGTATGATTCTGGCTTCATAAAATGACTTAGGGAGGATTGCCTCTTTTTCTATTGATTGGAATAGTTTCAGAAGGAATGGTACCAGCTCCTCCTTGTACCTCTGGTAGAATTCGGCTGTGAATCCGTCTGGTCCTGGACTTTTTTTGGTTGGTAGGCTATTAATTATTGCCTCAATTTCAGAGCCTGTTATTGGTGTATTCAGAGATTCAACTTCTTCCTGGTTTAGTCTTGGGAGGGTGTATGTGTCGAGGTATTTATCCATTTCTTCTAGGTTTTCTAGTTTATTTGCATAGAGGTGATTATAGTATTATCTGATGGTAGTTTGTATTTCTGTGGGATCGGTGGTGATATCCCCTTTATCATTTTTTATTGTTTCTATTTGATTATTTTCTCTTTTCTTCTTTATTAGTCTTGCTAGCGGTCTATCAATTTTTTAAACAATTTTCTTAAAGTTGTCAAATGCTAGAATCCAGAATTAATCATGAGTTATGTGTCTGTTGTACTGCAATTAAAAAAAAGTGTGTGTGTAGGAGGGAGTGGTATAAGAGAAAAAGAAAGAGAGAGAGATACTTTTCTTATCTGTATAGCAATCATATTTTCCTAATGCAAAATGAGATATAGGGTCAAAATACCTATAAATCTCTGGACTTAGCAGGTAGTTAATAAATATTTGTAATGTTTGTGTGGGTGTGTGTGCATCTTTTGCAGTCTGAGGTGGAAGGAATAGAGAATATAACTGATTAGTCTTTCCTGAGACAGAATGGAGAATAACATAACAATTGGTTAGATGGGTTATTCTTCTGAGCTTTTGAATGGGTTCTAGCTGAGAATTCACTATTGTTTCACATGGTCCTGACAGTCCCTGAGATTGAGAGGGCAGAGAAGCGGGTTCTATTAAGGGATATCCAAGAGCAGAGGATTTCTGGGTTGGATGTCCAGACAAGATGAGAAGGAAGAGGAAGAGGCTTTTTTTTTTTTTGAGACGGAATGTCATTCTTGTTGCCCAGGCTGGAGTGCAGTGATATGATCTCTGCTCACTGCAACCTCCACCTCCCGGGTTCAAGTGATTCTACTGCCTCAGCCTCCTGAGTAGCTGGGATTACAGGTGCCCGCCACTACAACCAGCTAGTTTTTGTATTTTTAGTAGAGACGCGGGTTTCGCCATGTCGGCCAGGCTGGTCTCGAACTCCTGACTTCAGGTGATTCACCTGCCTTGGTCTCCCAAAGTGGTGGGATTACAGGCATGAGCCACTGCGTCTGGCCTGGAACAGGCTTTTGTACAGCTTGGTGAGCAGTATTATTGTCCATTATAGATCTTTCTTTAAAGCAGTCTTCATTATAAGACAGAAGGGATGTCTACTTCTACTTTGTTTTTATTTAGAAATTTTGCAGCAACTCTGTTGTTCCAAGAGGAAAAAGAAAGTCTGCTTTTTTCTTTCTGCTTTGTTTTGTCCATGCCTAATCTAGAGAGAATAAGTGAAGTAGGTACCTCTGTTTGGGGTGGACCAGTGGCATGAGGATGAAAAGTGAGAAAACCCTAAGGAAGTAGGGGAAGCTTAGAGCCCACCAGATAGGGGACCCTGTGGCAAAGAGAGACCCTAACCTCAGAGTTGTTCTATGACTTCATCCATCTGTCCACTAACCCATAAAATTGTAGATGTTTAAAGCTCAAGTGTAAGATCTATGTTTTCTCTTGTATGCTAACCAACAAACATGATGGGCATATATTATATAATGAATATAATACTGTATGGTGTCAATTCAGCTTGGAGTTATTGCCAACCAATTCTGCTCCTGTCATAAGGATAATTTGGCATGATTAGTTAATTTTCCCTTAACAGCATCCTAAATGTTCTTAGCTTCTATCACAACTTTTTCCCAGGCAAAGTGAAAATATTTCCTGCCATGAAAGCTCCAAGTTAATACTGTCCATACACTGGTTTCACAGGGTTCCCTCTCTTATGTCTCACAGGTAATAGTTCTGAGAGTTGAAAGTGACTTTTATAGTGGAAGAGTGAAAATTAAAAGTCCACAGGTAGAGAACAAGTCCAGGTTAGACAATGTGTAGTATACCTAGATAAGGGAATCTTATTTGGCTATTAAAAAGATGTGATAGATCCATGTAAACTGAAAGGAAAAGATGTTTATGTTACAGAGTCACATGACAAAGACATGGTGAGGAGCAGAATGGAAACAGCATCATCTACTCAAGGCAGAATAATACAGAGGGTTAGAGCCTGGGCTTTGGAGCCAGGCTGCCTGGGTTTGGACTTCAACTCTGCCCTTACTGTGAGACCTCAAGCAAGTTACTTCTTTGTGCCTCAATTATGTCATCTGAAAATGGGAATAATGTTGACAATAGTACCTATCTTGTAGGATTATGTTAATATGTGTAAAGCCCATAAGATAATGGTGCACACACAAAATGCGTGTTCATATATATATATATATATATATATATATATATATATATATATATGACTATATACCATTTGTCAAATGAATAGCTTTTCTTTCTCTCCTTTCAACTGAGCAAAATAAGCCTTAAAATTTAAATAGTCCTCAGAAGGGTGACTGGCAAAGTAGGTCATTTTCTTGCCTAATGGATTATAGTTCCCAGATACTAAGTTTTGAAATGTTTCAAAGATTTTCTATTTTGTATATCTTTACTTGGCTTTGCATGATGAATAGTATTTTAAATTGTAACATACGGGGTATATATGGAAAGCTTATTCCTACATAATTTGACACATGATAAAATCTTTAGTACGTATGCACAAATAGAGTCCAATATACCATTTACCTTCAGCTCTTATTCAAAGGTTGTTAGACATAAGAAGAATAAAAATTCATAGTTTTGGCACAGTTCAGAAAACTGGGTTCATGTCAACAGATTAACATCCTAAAATGATAAGGACTATAATTTAAAAAGAAAAATCTCACCAAATAAAGGAATACAAGTGCAACTTCTAGAAAATATTATTTATATTGGATATTTTTTACCCCATACATATATTTATAGCCATTTTTCTTTATATGTCAATTGTGACATTTCACCATTTTTGAATATATTACATGGTGAAGTAAACATTCCAGGGTTAATTTCAGCAAATTTCACTTACAAAACATTTGTTGAGCATCTAGTATATGCCAGCACCATAGTGTGCTTTTAGAAAAGTTTGTACTAATAAACATTGAAAGTTTGATGCATTGGCAATAACTTTTTTTCTTGGCTTTGGGCTTACTTTCTTGTTTTTGTTTTGTTTTGTTTTGTTTTGTTTTCAGACAATCTGCTTTCTCTTCTTTGAGGTCTTAGGAATTTGCTCCAGCAGTTTAGAAAGAGTCAAAGCAAGCACATTGGTTACTCAAGTGTAATAAGAAGAAAGTTATTTCTATTTAAAGGAGTCCCTACTCTTGACCACTTTCTGGGTGGGTGGAGAGAGTCAGGTGGAAGCACTCCACAGCAGACTTCATTTGTCAAAGAACTATAAATAAAGAAAAGGGACTTACATGTTGAAAATAAGTTTGAATATAACATTAATTACTCTAATTGACTGATAACCATATAAATTAAGCTTCTGACACCAGCCAGGCACTGGATAAGGAGCTTTTTAAGCAAAGACAAATGCAGACAAGGATGCTTTTAGGGACTGGTTGGTGGAGACAGATAAGAGTGGAAAAAGTTTTCCTGGTAATATGATGGCACACTGAGGACACAAATGGAGAATATCCAGTTCTTTGAGGTGGGGAGAGGCAGGGCTTGACTGGGACAACAGGCTTCTTAGAAAAAGTGACACTTAGGCTGGGCTTGGTGGTGCCAGCACTTTGGGGGTCAGAAATTATGACATATGCTATAACATGGAGAAACCTCGAAGACGTAATGCTAAGTGAAATAAGCCAATCACAAAACAGCAAGTATTGGCCGGGTGCTGTGGTTCAATACTGTAATCCCAGCACTTTGGGCGGCTGAGGTGGGGATCACTTGAGGTCAGGAGTTCGAGACCAGCCTGGCCAACATGGCGAAACCCCGTCTCTACTAAAAATACAAAAATTAGCTGGGCATGATGGTGCACCCCTCTAATCCCAGCTACTCAGGAGTCTGAGACAGGAGAATCGCTTGAACCAGGGAGGTGGTTTTTGCAGCGAGCCGAGATCATGCCACTGAACTCCAGCCTGGATGATGAAGTGAGACTCTGTCTCCAGGTAGGGTAGCCTAAATATCTTAAATATTCCCCTTAGAATGGACAAAGATACCATTGGTGACAGTCTAGCACAACACTGTCCAATGTGGTAGCCATTAGCCACATGTAGCTATTTAAGTTTAAATTTTTGTTAATTAAAATTAAATAAAATAAACAATTTAATTCCTCAGTTGCACTAGCCACAATTTAAATGCTCAACAGTGAAATGTGGCCAGTGGTTATGGCACTGGGCAGTGCAGACACACATGACTTCTCCTTCATCACTGAAATTTCTCTTGGCCAGTGTAGGGAACAGTAAGCAGCCAAGCACTGCTGGAGTGTAAGGTTTAAGGGGGCTATAGCAAGAGCCAAACCTGGGGATAGAGGTTGTGGCCAAAGAATGCCAGCCTTACATGTGATATCATGAAGTTCTGACTTTATCCACTAGGCCAGATGTCAGCAAACATTTTCTGTAAGGGGCCTGATAGTAAATATTTTTGGCTCTTGAGACCACATGGTCTTTGCTGAAATGACGCAGCTCTGCTCTTGTAGTATGAGGGCAGCCATATACAGTATGTTAATGTGTGAACATGGCTATGTTCCAATAACACATTCTTTGTAAAAACTGACAATGGGCTGGATTTGTTCACAGCCATAGTTTGCTGACCCCTGCACTTGGCCTTTAGGAGCTATATGGAGGGTTGGAGCCAGAAATTTACATAATTAGAAAGACCATTCTAGTAGCAGAGAGGGATGGACTTAAGGGGTGAGAGATGCAAAACTATAATAGTGAGTCAAAGAGGACAAGAGCCTAAATTCTGAAAAAAGCCTATTGAACATAGTTGGAGAGAAAATGATGTGTATGTGTTTGTAAGTTTGGTGTCAGTGCACTGGTGGAAATGGAGAAATATAAAATGACTCAGAAGGTGAGGGATGCACTCAGCAAGTTACAGAATACAAGAGGAGGAACAGATCTGGTGAAAGATGGTGACTTCATCATGTGAGCCATCAGCAAAGAGTTAGTAGCTAATATGGTTTAGCTCTGTGTCCCCACCCAAATCTCATCTCAAATTGTAATCCCTATAACCCCCATGTGTTGAGGAAAGGACCTGGTGGGAGATGATTGGATCATGGGGGTGGTTTCCCCCATGCTGTTTTCATGATAATGAATGAGTTCTCATGAGATCTGATGGTTTTATAAGGGGCTCTTCTCCCTTTGCACTCTCTCTCTCTTTCTCTCCCCTGCTGCCATGTAAGACATGCCTGCTTCCCCTTTTACCATGATTGTAAATTTCCTGAGGCCTCTCCAGCCATGTGGAACTGTGAGTCAATTAAACCTCTTCTCTTTATAAACTAGCCAGTCTCGGCAGTTCTTTATGGCAGTGTGAGAATGGACTAATACAGGAGCTAAAGTCTTGAGAGAAGCAGAGAATGCTGAGGGAGGGCAGGCAGAGTGAGAGAGGGGCAAAGATGGTGCCTTGTGTGTTACCAAAATACAAAGTGTGATTCAAAGGATACTGAAAAGGACTTGTTAGAGACAGAGGGAGGAGAATCAGGGAAGAATTGTATTGCAGAAATCGAGGAAAGACTATCAAATGCCATCAACATGTTTAACAAGATTCCACTAGGTTTGATGATTAGGAAGCATTTTGGGAACATTATCCAGAATAGATTTTGTCAAACAAAATAAAACAAAAATATCACCATCAAAGTGTCTGGAACCTCCTTTTTTGAGTAGTATTAAGTGGAGCGATAGTAGGACTTTTCATGTTCTTGGTTCTTTTTCTTCTTTTGGTGTTAAATGGCAGGATTACTTGAAAGCAGAGAGACAATTAGGGTCCTTTGAATCTCACCTTGTAAATTCCATGGTCCCGCAATCACACTATCCTGGGACGGAAGGGCGGGCGAGATCTTATCACCTCTGGGGTGATCTCTGGAAACTTCTGGTGTGAGCTTCATGCTGCGAGTGCTGGGAAGTGGCTAGAAAAACTTTCAAAATGATATGATATTCTGATTTCAGGATAAGGAAAAACAAAAATGGATGACGTCTTAAGCTGAGATTTTATGCAATAACCATTCTTCATACATACAAATGTTTTACCCTGAAGTCACCTTAATAAAGAAACCAAATATTAACATCTTTAAGATGGAATCATGTCATTTTTGAGTGTTTTATTTGGCAATTTAATGGTCAAAAGATGAAAGGATTTCAAATGATGATTTATAGCAACCTTTGAGGATGATTATATTAGGAGAATATTTTACATGTCTTGTGGGTGAATGTATCTCACTCAAACCTTGAGTGATTTGTTGTTTAAAGTTTTAAATTTTAGAACCTGGAAAAACGGAAAATAGAGGCCTGTGATCTGCAACAGTGTTTCTTGAGATAATAAGAAGTAGTGTTTAATCCTGAAGGAATTAATTTAGACCATGAAATTATGAGAATGATACATAGCCCAACACTTTATAAGTTAATATAAATACCCTATAGACCACACTAGGGGAAAATTAAATTGAATTACAACAATGGTAACAACAAAAATATAATAAGTAGCCCTTCATTGCCAGAGACCACTTAGCTCACTCAGTTAGAGGGGAATCATTTGAACTGGAACTGTATTTACTGTGGGATTGGCTGATGCTCCATATGGGCTGCTCTCTACTCCCTGGCCAGATCCTGCCTTGACCTTAAAGCCATCCTGAGAATAGGTAGGGCTACTTGAGTAGTTGGAAAAAATCTCTAAAGAGCAAAGTGTGAAAAGTAAGGTGCACCCTATACATAGGAATGCTAAGAAAGAAAGCTAGACCCTGTATACTAATCCTTTTTTTTTGAAACAGAAAAATACAATTAGAATCAGAGCTAGGATTTAAGAACTAAGTAAAATTATTATAAAGTTTACTTATTTATACATGGATAAGGACATCAGTAAATGTTGTGAAAATAGAAGCAATGAGGGAAGGAATGAGGGACACTAGTTCTATTGGGTAATATAATGTAAAGTAGTAATTTAAAAGGTATGATAAAGGTACAAAAATAAAATATAGGGCCGGGTGCAGCGGCTCACACCTGTAATCCCAGCACTTTGGGAGGCCGAGGCGGGTGGATCACGAGGTCAGGAGATCAAGACCATCCTGGCTAACACGGTGAAACCCCATCTCTACTAAAATATAAAAAAATTTAGCCTGGAGTGGTGGCGGGCGCCTGTAGTCCCAGCTACTCAGGTGGCTGAGGCAGGAGAATGGCGTGAACACGGGAGGCGGAGCTTGCAGTGAGCCAAGATCGCGCCACTGGACTCCAGCCTGAGCGACAGAGCGAGACTCCGTCTCAAAAAAGTAAATAAATAAATAAAAAATAAAAAAATAAAGAAATAAAATAAAATATAGATGGCTCAAAACAGAGTCATAATGTGTAATAATTCTAAAGATAACAAAAACAGGGCATGTGTTGCAATAATTAAAAGGATTATGAAGAGTGTGTAAGAATGTGAGCTAATGTTTATGAATTAAACTTAAGTGAAAAAATAATATGATAATTATGCAAAATGCATATACTTGTAGATAAAGACTGAATGGTCACATAATATAAGGGAAATAGCTATGGCTGTGGAATTTTTTAAAATTTTCTTTAATATATTTTTGATCACACACACAAACACACAAACAATCTGTTATGCAAGGAAGGAGAAATCAATTGGTATAAATTCTTCCCAATTCTTTTTAAAAAGGTCAAAGCATATGTCTTAAGAGAAGGGCTCACAGTATCATTAGCACAGTTAACTAACAATCTGGTACCAACCTAGTAACACACATACAGAGAGAGACATGCAAACTCATACTAAGTTTATGAAACAGCAAGTTCTCTTTGTATTCTACCGCTAGACTGGGTTGGTGCCTTTCTTTTTACCCTAGAGAACTAGGAGAGTGGAATAGTTTAGACATAGGTTCTAGGGCCAGACAGTCTAGGATTGGATCTTTCTGGCTGCTAATCACTTAACTTCTCTCCCCACTGGTTTCCAGATTCATGAAATGGAGTAAAAGTAGTACCTCATCCAGGGTTGCTGCAAGAATTCAATGATTTGACATTTTAAAAATACTTACAACTGTGTCTGGCATAGGGGAAGCACTTAGTAAAATGTTAGCAATTGTTATTCATATTATATTTCTTATTTCCTAAAATACAAAGTTTAAAAAGTGATTTGAACCTTGATATAGCTCAGGACAATGCTATGCTTACAAGGGGTAGACAGAAACAATCCGATTTTTTCTATTCCTAAAGAAAAGTACACGTTTTACTGCTCACATTATCTAGTCTATTAAGCTAATTCTTTGAGATTCACTGAGATGACATTGCAGTGGTAATAAATAAGATACTTCCATAAAATTAGGAAACCATGTTTAAAATTTACAATGCAAGAATGTGAACTGATGGAAACTCCTTGAAGTAGATATATTAAAGATAACTCTCAAATATAAGTGAGTACTTATTTTCACATTTTAAAGACCCAAAGCCTAGTTTTATTCCCATGAAATAAAAATGTCTATAAACACTGCCAAAAGCCATCTGGGGAGTCCAGAACCTCTCCTGCTCTTCAGAGACTGAACCTATGACTCATCATGAATCCTTGGGAAATGACAACAACAAAATCTTTTTTTTAAAAAAAATATTTTAGGTTCAGGGGTTCATATATAGGATTGTTACATAGGTAAATGTGTGTTGTAAGGCATAGGATTGTTACACAGGTAAATGTGTGTTGTAAGGTATAGGATTGTTACACAGGTAAATGTGTGTTGTAAGGTATAGGATTGTTACATAGGTAAATGTGTGTTGTAAGGTATAGGATTGTTACATAGGTAAATGTGTGTTGTAAGGCATAGGATTGTTACATAGGTAAATGTGTGTTGTAATGTATAGGATTGTTACATAGGTAAATGTGTGTTGTAAGGGTTTGTTGAACAGATTATTTCATCACCCAGGTGTAAGCCTAGTACCCAATATTTTTCCTGATCCTCTTCTTCCTTCCATCCTCCACCCTCTGATATGCCCCAGTGTGTGTTGTTGCCCTCTATGAGTCCATGTGTTCTTATCATTTAGCTTGCACTTATAAATGAGAACATGTGGTATTTGGTTTTCTGTTCCTGTGTTAATTTGCTAAGGATAATTGCCTCCAGTTCCATCCACGTCCCATCCATGAATGAGGACATGATCTCATTATTTTTTATGGCTCCGTAGTAGTTCTATGGTGTATATGTACCACGTTTTCTTTATCCAGCCTACCACTGATGGGCATTTAGGTGGATTCCATGTCTTTGCTATTGTGAATAGTTCTGCAAAGAACACACACGTGCATGTATCTTTATAATAGAACAATTTATATTCCTTTGGCTCTATACTCAGTAATGGGATTGCTGAGTTGAATGGTATTTCTGTCTTTAGGTCTTTGAGGAATCGCCATACTGTCTTCTACGATGGTTGAAGTAATTTACACTCCCATCAAAGGTGTATAAGCGTTCTTTTTTCTCCACAACCTAGCCAGCATCTGTTATTTTTTGACTTTTTAATAATAGCCATTCTGACTGGTGTGAGATGATATCTTACTGTGGTTTTGGACAATGACAAAATCTAAGCAAAAACAGCAGGAGCTGAATCTGGCTTATATTTTCTGAAATAAAATTCTATTTTACAATTACAATCTCAGTGTTTCCCTAAATTAGCATATATTGGTTGGCATGAATATCCTCATTTCTATCTAGAAGGAGGATTTTGTTTTAAACTGTGTAGTTACTTATTAAGTTAGAAGCATGGTTTTGCCTTAATCAGAACAGGTTTTTGTAAAATTGCAAGCCTTGTGGAAAACATATTGGCAACTTGAGGCATGCAAAATAATATGGTGGAATGCAAAATAATTGGGAAGAAAATGCATCTGAAAACTAAAGGTGCTTGATGAGAATTTCAAGGCATTGACAAGAGAAATGCTGAAGACAGGACACACCAAATCAAGAGGGATTAGTGCTGGAGAGAGTGCAAAGTGGAAGTTTTCATGAAAAAAGAAAGTTGGAACCAAACATTAAAGGAAGTGCCAGACCTGATCTGGCAGAGGGGAAAGTGAAGGAGAAGCAGCAAAAGCACAGCTGTAAAAGGCAGAAATGGAAAGGCCTTATACTTTGTGTAGGGATATGTCTAGAAAAATATTTATTGAAGTGTTAATAGTGGTTTTCTTTAGATAGTAAGATTTTTACCTTTTCTACATTTTCTTATATTTTCGGAACAATTTATCATCACATGCATCTCATTTTTACAAGAGGAGAAAATCATGGAGCTATTTACATTTGGGGGAAAAGGTTTATTGTGGATATTTCATTTGGTGGATAAATGGAGGTATAAACACATGGGTTAAGAATATAGAAAATGGAGTTCCATATTTCCCAGCTCTACTTGCCCAGTCTATGTGACATTTAAACTTTCCCTTCCACGCTTTTTAAAAAAATTTTAAGCATTTGCAAAAGTTGAAATTAAAGTTGGAAGTTAACACCAACGTACTGCCACCTACATTCTCTAATGGTTAGCATTTTGCATCCTTGCTTTATCACATCTCTCCATTTATCCATTCACCTGTTTTTTTTTTTTTGGATGAGTTTCAAAGTTGCAGACTTCAGTACCTTTTTTTATACCAAATTTTAACCACCCCTAAATTCCTTCCACACACGCACACTCAAGACTTGTCCATAACCTCCAAGCAGGATGTTATTCATTTAAATATGACCCCATTTTCCACACCTAGATACTGCTTCCAGTCCAAACATGTCCAAAATCAGCTGCCTACGCAGAGGACAAACTTTACCAAACCTTATCCTGACTCTTTCTACATACCCAGAACTGTATACTTTAAAGCCAAAGGGAAACTATCTGAACTGCATCACCAACTCCAATGTTTTCAGGAACAAAGTAGGTAACATAAAAAGCAGGCTTGTGGAAGATAAATCCAGTGGGTCTATTAATGAAGACCAATCCAGTCTCAGTGTGGAGGATGCAACAAGAAGAAAAGAGCTACTCAGAGAACTTGAGAAAACAGAATTTACTGTCAAGGTAAGGCTTCCACACTCAACCAGCTAGCTTCAAGGAGCCTTGAATTTTAATCAGTATCTCTCCTTTGTTTCCACTGATGATCTAGGTCACTTAAAGGTCCAAATGTATTAGAACAGTTAACATAGTAAGTGCTCCGTTAAATAGAATCTTTCTTTAATTACAAGTATTTATGGGGGCAGTATTTATAGCCATTCAGTTAAATACAGATCTTAGCAATGGAAAGGTAACACAGATATTACAAATGCAAAAATATGGTGTGTTTCTAGTTTGTGCAAATTACCTGCCCAAGAAGGCATTTTTTCCTCACCTATAGATTGACTACCTGTCTGCAATGAACCCAAAGGAGAAACCAGTATTCACAGTGATCAAAAGGGAGACCTAGCATCATTTCCCAGGAATGTGTTTGCAGCCCTCCCCACCTTTTTTTGGTGTATGTGGCTTACAAATTAAAAAGAAGGACTTACCGTGTGGAAGGGTAGAATAGTGAGAAAAATGAGAATATTGAAGAGTCAAGGAGTCTAGAATATTACGTACGGGTTTTCATGCCGAATTAGCCATCAAGACATGGTTATCCTGGCTGTTTTATGGGAATGCCCTACCTCTCTCCTTGCCCTGCTTATCAAATTAGCTCAGGGTGGCTAGGTTTTACAACCATCTGCAGTAGGCATGGTTGGTAGCTACAGGTGGACTTTGCTTAGAAATCGGAAGCTACGACGATTTCACCCTCACAGTCTTTTTTGTTGGTTTGCTTGATGATTAAGACATAGTTTGGAAATTCCCTGTCTTCCCCTTCTCTGCCTCCTAGATGACTAATTTGAGCAGTGTTTATTGCAGCTGTATTGTGTTGGGTGGCTATGTTCTGCTATTGAAAAAAGTCCACCCAGCCTGAAATGCTGTCTCATGTAGTTGTGGGTACATGTGATAAAATTAATTTCTCTCGGATGAATGTCCTCTTGTGATAAAGTGAATGTAACTACTTTTATTTCAAAGTTGCAATGAGTAAAAGTGATGGTAGTTCTTTTGGACTATGTCCATACCTTGAAAAGTCAAACATTTTCATGTAAGTTCAGCCTCCCAAACATCTGTGAAAGTGTTTTCACTGTTTTCACTAGATTTCACAGAAATAATTTCATCTAAATATCTGTTATAGATCAGATTCAGCAGATGTTAATTTCATCTCCATGTCTTTTCACTTCTGCCAGAACTTGCATAAGGGCTGAATTTATTGTTGGCTTATCAGTTTCTGTAGCTCAAATCTGAGTATAGAATATTCTGAACTCTGGTTTAAAATTCCATTAGCTAGTTTTAAAAGGCATATAGTAAAACTCTAAAATTTTTTATGAGAAAAGTTAATTTTTACCAATGTTTTTAAACAGCATATAACAGTTTTTGGGAAAAAGTAGGACTTATAAAGCAAAGGTCCTAATATGAAAAAAAGAGAAATACCCTTTAAATACTTTTTAAAAAGTCTCTCTTCCCAAGATACTTATTTTGACTTAGGTTCGTCTTGCAGAATTTTTTTTTTTTTTTGCATGTAGAACTTACAAAATCTTTTAGAAATATTTTGTGTAGATTTTGCTGTGTGACAGGCATTATGCTGAAGATATTCACACATAAACCCATGCAACTCTTAAAATAAACTTAACAAGTAGGTATAGTGACTTATCGCTTTTTACATATGGAGAAATTGAGGCACAGAGAAGGTAAATTGTAATGAGAAGAACTGAAATAGAAATCAAGGGAGTCAAGCTCCAGAAGAGATCACTTTAAACTTTGTTCACTAGAAGTTTACCAATTTTCGCTTAGAATTCCAAAACACCAGCATAAGTGATGATCAGAATGGGCTAAACAGTAAATGAATAACTAAAGCAGACTTTGACTGGATGTTTCAATCATTTGGAGACTAAAAAAAAAAAAAAGTACCTGAGCCACCAGGCCAGCCAAATCAAAATCTCTGGGCTTGGCACTCAAACAGCTGCATACTTTAAAATTCAACAGGCAGTTAAAATGGGCAGCCAGGTTGAGGACCACTGATCCAAAGCGTCTTTAGCTGTGTCTGGGTTTGGGAGATCTCAAACTTGAGCGTGCATCAGAATCACTGGGAAGGCTTTGTTAATACACAGGTGGCTGGGCCCCACCTCCTTTCTTATTTAGCAGGTATTGGGTGCGGCCCAAGAAGTTCTATTAAGTTCCCAGGTGATATTGATGTGCTGGTTTGGGAGCACACTTTGAGAACCACCGTCTTAATAGGTTGGAGTAGGGGTGAAGTGTGGTAATGGAGACCTGGAAGTAACTTGATTAATTCTCCTAGTGTCTCATCTACCCTGATGCTGAAACATTTCCTCTCCTTTGTTGATTTACTCAATACCATTAATCAGGGATGAAGGGGGAAAAGAGAAACGAAAGATATGAAGCTAGCCGGGCGTGGTGGCTCACACCTGTAATCTCAGCACTTTGGAAGGCTGAGGTAGGCAGATCACCTGAGGTCAGGAGTTTGAGACCAGCCTGGCCAACATGGTGAAACCCCATCTCTAATAAAAATACAAAAATTATGTGGGTGTGGTGGTGCATGTCTGTGATTCCAGCTACCTGGGAGGCTGAGGCAGGAGAATCACTTGAACCCAGGAGGCAGAGGTTGCAGTGAGCTGAGATCGTGCCACTGCATTCCAGCCTGGGTGACAGAGCAAGACCCTGTGTCAAAAACAAAACAAAACAACAATAAGAACAACAACAACAAAAACCCAGAAGATATGGAGCTAAAGGGAAATGCAGGAAAAGAGATGGAGGAGAGCAATCAACTTCTGGTTAGTAAATGAAAGCTTTTGGCTCTCTCACTGACTTAGCACATGTCAGTGATAGATTAAATATAAAATGAAAAAAAATGTAAAGATAGCAACACTTAAAAAGAAGATAAATCTTTCTGTTTTGGAAAGAGAACAGAGGCACAAGGCAATGAGTGAGACTGGAAGACTGAATAGGCGGCTGTTGGTTCAGGGTATGGAAGGGTTTGTTAATCTAGCTTTTATAGTGTAGGGTCACTCTGTGAAACCAAGGGCAGTAAGAGACATGCTTTTCCCTCCTCAGCAACATGAAAGGGGACTAAATCGTATGTTGCTGAGATTGTGTTGGTATAAACCAGTGATTCTCAACTGGGGGGTTGGGGATTTTGCCCCCTCACACCACCATGGGCCATTCTATCACATCTGAAAATGCTTTGAGTTGTCACATGGGAGGGTGTGGAGGTGCTACTGCTGTCTAGTTGGTAGAGACCAGAGATGCTACTAAACATCTAACAATGCACAAAAGTGCTGAAGTCCAACTGTATCTAGCTGGTAGAGACCAGAGATGCTGATAATCATTCTCCAATGCACAAAACTGCAGGAAACCCAGTTCCAGAACAAGAAACCCTGGACTAAGTACAGCACAGCACCAGGAGCTAGGCCAGTAGGCTGGTTGATTTAGTAACGAGTATGCGAAATGTCCAGAATTACTGTGGGCCTGAATCATCCAGATGTTCATGTAGATCTGGCTCTGGGCTGGAGGCCTCAGGAAGAAGTGGTACAGGTAAGTACAGCATGAGAGAATGTGGAGTGAAGGCAGGTAGAAAGAAAACTAACCAACCGATCAACAAAGCCTCCTTGAAATTTGTCTACAACATGAAATTCCATAACACAGGAAGAAAACTATTAATGACAAAGTGAACTCAACAAAATCATCCATGAAATATACAGTTATATCAATTAAATTAAAACAATAGAATAATCTGAAAAGGACTTTAAGAATTTAGGATTCATTAAGAAATAATAGAATACTATCCAAAACAGAATATAAGAATATTTAAAACAAAAACATGCACATATTAGGCAGGAACGTGGGGGATAAGAGAAACAATTCCAAAAATTGGAAATACAAACTTTATCATTAAAACAAAAACTCAAGAAATAGGATAAAATCTGCATTGGACACTCTAGATAGGGTGAGCAACTTTCCTGGTCTGTCTGGAATTGAAAGGTTTCTAGGACATGGGATGTTAGTGCTAAAACTGGGAGAGTGCTGGACACACTAGGACAGTTGGTGACTCAACACATACGAAAAAAAGTTGTGAATGGAAAGATGAAGCTGATAAATGGATTTAAGATTCATCAAAGAGAGACACAGAGATAAAAAGTTTGGAAGAGCAATTAAAATCATGGAGGATAGGTGATCAGAGACTAGCTTTAATAGGAGCTTTAGACAAAAAGCATAGGAAGGAGGAAATGATAGAGTAATGGCTTTGAAAAGATAATGGCTGAGAATTCTAAAGAATTGAAGAAAGTCATTAGGCTTTAGATCAGAGATTGGCAACTATAGCTTGTTGGGTAAATCCAGACTGACATCCATTTTTATAAATAAAGTTTTATTGGAGCACAGCCACACCCATTTATTATGCATTGTCTATGGCTACTTTCTTGTTACAACAGTAGAGTTCAATAGCTGTGACAGATGTGAGAGGGCCTGCAAAGCCTAAAACATTGACTACTGGTCTCTTTAGATAAAATATTCTTAGCCTCCTGTTTTAAATTGATACTAGGAGTACCAAGCAGGATAAGTAAAAATAAATTCACGTCTCTGTGAAGCATAGTAAAAGCTCAGAACATAAAGATTTTAAAGGAGGTGACAATTTTAAATACAAGGAATGACAATTAGATTTGAAAGCACACTTCCACTGGCAACAAAGGAAGTGAGAAGCCAATCAAGTAAGTCTGTAAAGTGGTGAGGAAAAGTAACTATATATTTAGAATATTTATAGTCAGCTCAACTATCATTTAAGAGTGATGTCAAAATGAAGTTCTCAGTCATTTGAAGACCTATACTGTATACATCGTAGTGTATAATATTCCTATTCTTCCAAATTGTTGATGTTCTTTGACATGACCCTGAATGCGTGGGGATTATACATCCTCATAAATTCTGCCCTGTTTAACTGAGATATGTCCATATGACTTACTTTGGCCAATTAAGTGTAAATGACAGTGATGTTCATTTCCTCCAAGCAGAAGTTTTAAGAACCAGAAATAGGGTTGAAGGATTGTATTAAATGGGCAATTACCCTGTATTAAGATCCTGGTTGTGTTTGTGTAATAATAGTAGAAATATTGAATAATCTTAGAGATTGTTAGACAGCAATCACAGGAACAGAAAACCAAACACTGCATGTTCTCACACATGAGTGGGAGTTGAACAATGAGAACATATGGACACAGGGAGGGGAACAACACACACCAGGGCCTGTTGGGGGATGGGGAGCGAGGGGAGGGAACATAGAGGATGGGTCAATAGGTGCAGCAAACCACCATGGCACACATGTACCTATGTGACAAACCTGCACGTTCTGCACATGTATCTCCGAACTTAAAGTAGAATTAAAAAAAAAAAAAAGAACGTGTGTAGATTAAGACACACACACACACACACACACACACACACACACAAAGAAATTGTTAGACAGCAGGCAAGAGTTATGTGTACCCGTGCAAGAAGATATATGAATCCAGAGCAAAAGAGCATAATTAAGAAACAATGAGGCTGGGTGCAGTGGCTCACGCCTGTACTCCCAGCACTTTGGGAGGCCAAGGCAGGTGGATCACTTGAGGTCAGGAGTTCAAGACCAACCTGGCTAACGTGGTGAAACCCCATTTCTACTAAAAGGACAAAGATTAGCCAAGTGTGGTGGTGCGTGCCTGTAATCCCAGCTACTAGGGAGGCTGAGGTAGGAGAGCCACTTGAACCCAGGAGGCGGAGATTGCAGTGAGCAGAGATCGTGCTACTGCCCTCCAGCCTGGGCAACAAGGCGAGACTCTGTCTCAAAAAAAAGAAAAGAAAAGAAAAGAAATAATGATGAACATGGAATTTTATGAACTATATTGATCAGTGTAACAGAGTTGGAAGCCCAGAAGCAGAGTCCCACAAAGATGGGAAATGAATATGTGGCAGAGGAGGCATTAGAAAGTGATGGGGGAAAAGAACAAGCTAACGTAAATAATACTGCAACCAGTGGTTATCCATATCAGCTAATATTAGATGCCTGCCTTGCATCACAAATATAAATGGTATCCTTATGATTAAAGACCTAAACATGAAAATGGAGTCTTAAAAACAAGAACACTTCAAGGAAAAATTAGAAAAATGACTTTAATATTTAAGGGGTAGGGATTAATTTCTTAAAAGGACATCAAAAGCAGAAATGATAAAGACTTATTTTAAAATTTGACAACATTAAGATTTAAAACTTCTGTATAAAAAAGAGACACCAAAAGTAAAGTTAAAAAGAAGCCATAGACTGGGAGAGCAAAATTTGCAATGCTTGTAATTGACACAGGATTAATGCCTAGAATATATAAGAAATTCCTCTAAATCAACACGAAAAAAAAATCTATAAAAAATGGATGAAACACATGAGAGATAATTTACAGAAGAGTTTATTGGAATGGCTAATAAACTTGTGAAAACATGTTTCATCTCAGTTATAATCAGAAAAATTAAAACTAAAACAATAATGAAGTACAGTTTTACGTGTAACAAATTGTCAAAACTCTATCAATAAATATGACAATGTCAAGTTTTAGGGATGATGTAGAGAAATGGCAACTTTTGTAGAAGGCTGATGGGAGGTAAATCATTACAATGACCTTAAAGAACAAGTTGCTAATGTTAGATAAACTTGAAGGTTCTCATACCCTCTATGCCAAAGGATGTTCATCTACCACTGTTTGAAATTGAAAATAATGGCAACAAATCAAATGTTGGAGAATACATGAATAAATTACAATAGAATTACACAGCAATTCAATAGATTGAATGTGTCCAAAGGGATATTCTTGAAAAAAACCCAATGTAGAGTGAAAGAAGGCAAAGTGCAGAAATCATGAAAAAAAATCTGGGCAAAACAATACTATATGTTTGGAGATATTATAAGTTTTATGGATACACACAGATAAAATCAAAGCATAAAACCATGGCTGGGAAGGCTATTCTGAAAGGCACTTTAAAAATAGTTGTTTCTGTGCTGTGGGAAGGAGGGACATAGAACTGGAAAAGGGCAGAAAGGGACTTTAATTTTCTCTTTTTTAGTTTTAAAATAGATGCCAGAACAGTAATATGCATTAATTGTAGGTTGTGAGTATATGAGCATTTGTTGTATTATGTGTTTCATAATAATTTAAAAAGAGAAGGACATGAGAGAAAAGAAAGGGCGGATGGAATGGAGTGCTAGAATTGGGGAAGTGATATTGAAGTTGCCGAATCAAGAACTGGAGCCCCATGCCTACCCACTTCAAGAGCAAGGGTGCCACAAATTTAGTGTATTCTAACACATGCTCTAAGAAGTGTCTCACATCTCCTCCTAGATGCACTGATGTGTTATATGAGTGCAAGATATCAGCTAGAATTTGAGCCTCTTATCCTTGGCTTAAAACTAACTTGTCATAGTACAGGATTTTTTTTTTTTAACACAGTGGGATAGATCTTGCTGCAGAAGGTAGGTGTCCTCTTTTGCAGAAGGAGAGGATATGAATAGGCCAGGGATGGCAACAGGGAAGTGTGTGGAGTGATATTAGCCTATCACTCAGGACTATGATTGGCCTCCACAGCTTACCTAAAAGAAAAAAAAATCACCTCTCTAATTGAAGGAAGTGGATCAGAACTCCAGCCCTCACAGGGAACCTTCTAGCTCCGTTTCCATACTCTCAGATTTCCCTGGGACACCAGTTCTCAACTGGGGCTTCCATCATGGCCTACAGTTTATTTATTTTCACATCTTAGGACCTGTTCCCCTCAGAAATTCTGTACTTACTTTCTAACTTGGATGTAGTCAAATTTGGGGCCACACTTTTGAGGGAGAACAGGAACAAAGCCAATATTTAAGGCCCAAGCCAGGATCAAGGCTATCTGGAGAGGATGCACGTCACTTCAGAAGTAGCCCTACCCTCAAAATATGAAGCAGGTAATGGCACCCACTCCTCAGCTCAGGTGTCTCCAGTGGCTGCTCTGGTGAACAGTATGATCAAATTCCAGGTCTGAATGTTTGTGTCCCTCCAAAATTCATGTGTCAAAATCCTATCCTCCAAGATGATGGTATTAGAAGGTGAGGCCTTTGGGGAGGTGCTTGGATGTAAGGACAGAGCCCTCACTCTGTGCCTTCTTTCACTCTACATTCGGATATTTTCAAGACATATCCCTTTGGACACATGCAGTTCAATCCAACATTTGACTTGTTGCCATTATTTTCAATTTCAAGCAGTGGTAGATGAACATTCTTTTGCATAGAGCTGCCATCCACACTTAATGCATATGGGATAATAATAATCCTTATAGGAGAAGCCAAAAGAGCTTATTTGTTCCTTCTGGTATGTGAGGACACAGCAAGAAGTTGGCAGTCTGCAATCTGCAAGAGGGCCCTTACAAGACTATGACCAATCTGGCATTCTGATCTTGGACTTTGTAGCCCGCAAAACTGTAAAAAATAAATTTCTGTTGTTTACGAGCTACCCAGTCTAAGGTGTTTTGCTATGGCAGCCCAAATGGACTAAGGCAGCCTTAAGACCCAGCATTCATGTGGCCACTGCCTGTTCCATAAAGCCATCTCTTGTCACTCTCTTCTTCTCTTGCCTATTCTCCAGCCATCCTGGTCTTTTTACAGCTCCAAGCTCTCTCCTGCCTCACCTCTTTTGCACCTGCCACTTCCTCAGCTTGAAATGCTTTCTACCCCCATTTACCCCATGCCCAACTCATTCTCACTTTTTGGTGTAGCAATGCTCAACCCTCACTGAGCCCCACCTCAAGTTTCAGTTTCATTGGTTTCGGGGCCTGAGAAGAGGGATGTTTTATAAGCTGCTGTAGTGATTCCCATGTGCAGCCAGAGTAGAGAACTACTGCTTCAGCCTGAACATCCCCTCATCAGAGACCAGACACCTCTCTCAAGAGGATTTCTCCCCTCCATTTTCTATCTCAGCTCCTCATTTGCCTCCTTCAGAGCTCAGTGCAAGGTATTTTATTTATTTGTTCACTTTGATGTTTTTGATCTATTACTTCCCAGGAAAAGTGGTTCTCCAAGCGTGGGCCCTGGACCAGCAGCGTCAGCCTCATCTGAGAACTTATTAGAAATGCACATTTTTGGCCGGGTTCGGTGGCTCACACCCGTAATCCCAGCACTTTGGGAGGCCGAGGTGGGTGGATCGCCTGAGGTCAGGAGTTCAAGACCAGCCTGGCCAACATGGAGAAACCCCATCTCTACCAAAAATACAAAAAATTAGCTGGGCCTGGCCAGGTGTGGTGGCTCACGCCTGTAATCCCAGCATTCTGGGAGGCCGAGGCAGGTGGATCATGAGGTCAGGAGATCGAGACCAACCTGGCTAACATGGTGAAACCCCATCTCTACTAAAAAATAAAAAAAAAATTAGCCAGTTGTGATGGCGGGCGCTTACAGTCCCAGCTACTCAGGAGGCTGAGGCAGGAGAATGGCGTGAACCCGGGAGGCGGAGCTTTCAGTGAGCTGAGTTCACGCCACTGCACTCCAGCCTGGGCGACAGAGCAAGACTCTGTCTCAAAAAAAAAAAAAAGAAAAAAAAATTAGCTGGGGATGGTGGTGGGCACCTGTAATCCCAGCTACTTAGGAGGCTGAGGCAGGAGTATGGCTTGAACCTGGGAGGCGGAGGCTGCAGTGAACCAAGATCACGCCATTGCACTCCAGCCTGGGCAACAAGAGCAAAACTCTGTCTCAAAAATAAATAAATAAATGAATAAAAGAAATGCACATTTCCAGGCCCCATCCTTGACCCTCCCAGTGATTCTCATGCATGCTAAAGTTTGAGAACCACTACCCTAAGTGTAACCCGTGGGAAGCCTGGACACCATGTGTTGTTCACCCTGCATTCCAATGACTAGCAGAGTGCAGACTTGAAGTAGGAGCTCAAATAACCTTTGTTGAATGAATGAGTGACAGTGCAATTTGACTACACTCCTTTCAGGAGCTCCCATGTAGCTTAAAAACTGGATGAAAGGAACAAAACAAACCAGAAACCCCAAACACAATTTTTACTGTTTTTTTTTTTTTTTACTGACCTAAGGTTTATGCATAAAATACAAAAAAAAATTGTACATGACTAGAACATCTATTTCTTCATTTCTTCCAGAAAATTCTACAATTTAAAATGTACCTAAAATTACTTGCCAAGTAAACAAGTATTATTCTATTGTTTTCATTTTAGGACTGTAAAGTGAGCTGATCTAAGGATATAGATTAAGTCAATTTCCACAGGGGCAGATAAAGTAGAATTCTACTGCCTCTTCTCCCACTTCTAAAATCTAGAATCACACTATGAATAAGGATGTAGGGGAACACCTAAGCCAACTCTGTATCTTGACTGAGCCTCTTGAAAGAGGGCTGAAGAGATAGGGTCAAGATTCCACAGGGAGAAATGGGAAGGTTGAGCTGGAACCCAGCACCCCTTGCTAGGTTGGAAGATGAGCCCAGTGTCGTGTGTCCAATGCCCATCAATCTAAATATCTAATGTATCTATCTTCATAAAACACCAAGTGCCTTTGTGCTTCATTCTCACACATTTCCACAGTTTCCTTACCAATAAGTTACAGGGAAAGGGCAATAAAACGTGAATTTCCTTATAACCACTTGGTCCCCTTTTGGCTTGCTCCCTTCCTGGACAGTTCAGGAAGTGGGGGAGGTGGGGATTGGTCACAGTGGTGACACAGCAGATGAGCTTGGGGTGGAGAAGGGAGTTATGTAGTCATTAAGCCCCGCTTTCTGGATCCTGGGATAAAGAACCACAAAGCCAGGCATTCCTTCAGTCTCTCATCCCAGTGGCCTCTGCAACATTTCAATAAAGTGCACTTTCTGAAAGTAGGAAAACTCATAGTGACCATAGCAGAAGCAGACATGACAGCTGATCCTCAAGCCTACCAGACATGGTCACCAGCCTGAGAATGGACCTGGCACACCCCTAAAGGCCAGTCCTGGGCTTTTCTTTGACTACCAGCTTGTCTTCCTAGGTATCTACTTTTTCTGAGACGTAACAAAATGTAGAGGAGCTCCGGCTCTGAGAACAGATAAAATCGTCCTCAAATTCCAGGCCCAATATTCAGTAGCTGTGTGGCTGTTAGAAAATTACTTACTCTCTACAAGACTCAGTTTACTCAACTAGAAAACAGGGGGAATAGGAATAACTATTTGCAGGAATTGTTAGAGGAATTTAATGAGATAGTGTATGTCAGGGCTTAGCAATGCTAACTGCCAGTATTACTCTCCTGCAATCACTAGGAGTTTCTATGCATACTTTGGAAACTATTTATTTGGGGCTGAAATACAGGAATCCAACATCCATCCAGTGCCCGGCATGTGCCTGTATTATCACAGGGGCTTTATAATTGCAATCTTACTCTCCACAACAATCCTGTGGGATAGCTATCATCATCATCATCATCATCATCATCATCATCATCATCATCATCACGTCATCACCATCATTGGATGAGGAAACAAACCCAAAGCTTAAGTGACTTATGGAAAACAAGTAGTAAGCAAAACAAGTCAACAAGAAGCCAGGGATATAGCCTGTTGACTGTATCTGATCTCTTTCAAGGAGAAAAAATGGAGTTTTTTCCTTTCTTTAATATGCTACATGGCTTTCTGCCACTTGTTGAAGAATGTCAGCAGCAATGTTAGGGAGAAAGAAATTAAGGGGAAGTAACTTAATTTTGAAGTATAACCTTTTCATGCTACAAAAATAGGCATGGGAATACAAAGATAAGCATGTATATGCCATAATTGCACTGAGAAATTCACTTACTATGCCATTATATAGTAAGAAACTTAAAGTATGCTGCTTAACAACAAGGTAACTTGTGTTAGAAGTTTTAAATATATGTAGGTTTTCACCTGGCTACTTTGCTAGGAATTCTGTCAATGCAAAATAATCAGACAAAGTATATAAAAAATGCTTGTGACAGTCTTGTCTATATCACCATAAGGAAAGAAAAAGAGACAACTGAAATGTCCAACTCTATGGAACTGATTAAAACAAATTGTGGGCTACTACACAATTATTAAAAATGATTTATCATTAAAAACTACATTGTAACTCCAATATTATTAAAGATATTTTAAATAAAATGTGAGGAAATAGTTCATAAAGTATATAACACTTATAAAATTACATTTATAAAATATGCATTTAAAATGATGACATTCTCGAAGGATCTGTACTAACCTGGTGATTGTCCCTTAGTTGACAGAATTATAGAACACGCTTAATGTTTCATTTCTGTATATTTATATTTCTTTTTTTCTTTTTTTTTTTTTTGAATACAGGGTTGCCTGGGTTGGAGTGTGGTGACATGATCATTCATCACTGCCGCCTTGAACTCCTGAGCTCAAATAATCCTCCTGCATCAGCCTCCCTAGTAGGTGGGACAACAGGCATGCACCACTAGGCCTGGCTGATTTATTTTTTTACTTTATTTTTTATAGAGATGACATCTTGCTTTGTTGCCCCGGCTGGTCTTGAACTCCTTAAGTAATCCTCCCACTTTGACCTCCCAAAAAATTGGGATTACAGGCATGAGCCTGACCATTATCTATATTTCTAAGAAGTTTTTTTTGAGAAATATGTGTTATTTTTTTTTTCTTTTTGAGACGGAATTTTGCTCTTGTTGCCCAGGCTGGAGTGCAATGGCGCGATCTCGGCCCACTGCAACCTCCGTCTCCCAGGTTCAAGCGATTCTGCTCCCTAGCCTCCCAAGTAGCTGGGGTTACAGGCATGCGCCACCATGCCCAGCTAATTTTGTGTTTTTAGTAGAGACGGGGTTTCATCATGTTGGTCAGGCAGGTCTCAAACTCCTAACCTCAGGTGATCTGCCTGCCTCGGCCTCCCAAAGTGCTGGGATTACAGGTAGGAGCCACCACGCCCAGCCATGTTACTTTTATTATAAGAAAACAATAATCTTTAAAAACATCGTTACTCATATATTATACCAAATACATGCTATCCAGTTAAACTTCCTTTTTTCCTGCTGTTATCTTGTTTTGCCTAAGAAAATCCAAATAGCACTTTATAAACCACAGTGCTCCTGTTTAAGGTCAAGCTGTTTTCTTTTCTTTTCTTTTTTTCTTTTTTGAGATGGAGTCTTGCTCTGTGGCCCAGGCTAGAGCGCAGTGGCGTGATCTCGGCTCACTGCAAGCTCTGCCTCCCGGATTCACACCATTCTCCTGCCTCGGCCTCCCGAGTGGCTGGGACTACAGGCACCCACCACGATGCCCAGCTAATTTTTTGGATTTTTAGTAGAAGCGGGGTTTCACCGTGTTAGCCAGGATGGTCTCGATCTCCTGACCTCGTGATCCGCCTGCCTCGGCCTCCCAAAGTTCTGGGATTACAGGCGTGAGCCACCACATCTGGCCAAGGTCAAGCTGTTTTCTAGGAATCCCGGACCTAAAGACCAAACTTGGAAACGTAGAGGGATTTATAAGTCTCACTCCCACCTGAGCCTGAGACTGTCTTCTACAGGTGTTGCCGCAGGCAGGGTCATGCACTAACATTTCCTCTACCGTGTACTCCCCTTCTCAAGACTCAGTGACTTGCACGCTATCACTCTTCCTTCTTCCTCTCTCCCCCATGGGAAGATTACCCTCTCTCACCTCTACTCTTTCCCTATCCTAACTCAAGGTGCTTTCAGACAATACACAGTCACATCACACATCATTGAATGATCCCTTTATTCTCCCTGTTCCAATGTCTGCAATGCACAATCTCCAATTGAGCAAGCACAGGAGTCATCGTCTCAACTCCTGTCTTCTCACTGGGGGCTGACAAAAGGCAGGTATCCTCTCCGTAATAAGAGAAGGAATAACCAGTTTCCAGTCTTCTGGGGGCTGGGGAATAGCAGACAAAGACAGAAAATTAGCTCTCTTCTATACTCTGAGAGCATATGAACACCACATATATTTTGGGAGCCCTCCTTTTTTTTTCCCAAAGAAATAATGGAAAATTATGAAGCAGAATATTACTGCTGTAGTTCAGCTATGTTATGGGTTAAAGTAGTGCTGGGAACCCACTCACCATTTTAAGTATGCTCCAAATAATGACTTCCCATTAATTTTGAGAAGACAATCTGTCCTTAAGGTTAAGACTGTTTGGGCTTTTTTTGCGTCTCTTAATTAAAATAAAAAAATACATTTTCAAACAAAAGAGGTCCCTTTGTAAAATCTACTGTGTTATCAAAATGGCAATCACCATCATTAATGTTTCCCAACATTCGCCACTGGAGTCCTTTCCTGGGATCCAAACTGCTCATAACAGGAAACTCGACTAAATTACTGGGGCTGGCACCAAGCTATCCTATGAGGCAAAGACAAAGAATGCATATTTTCTTTCTGCAAGACAGTGCTCTTCCCCTATTCTGAAGGCTAGAATCAAAAAAAGGGAACTCTTGAAGCCATGTCTCTCAACTGGCATGAACAAGACTCAGCAGCTTCATCAGCACAAGGAAAAAGTGGCCAAGCAAAATCCCAAAGGCTCAGAGGACCTGACTGTGAAGCACCCTCAACTCTGACTGTTCTATGCAGAGAAGAGTAGCACATTTGCCAGGAGACCAAGGAGAGTTATAAAATCTATTACTTACCATTTTTATTGAAAAGAGTTGATATGCCTGGCACACAATGACCCCGAAGATGGTGCAGCTTGGATAGTGAATGTGCAAGTTAGCTATGCAGAGTGTACTTCCTTTTCTGAGCTGTGTGGTCTGTCCAGCTTTCACACATTGATATGTGAGGCTACATTTGCATGTTATCTCAACCCTCAGAGCATTTGTATAGCTGGCCAGGTTTATCTTGTTATTATTTTTCAATAATACAGGAACAGGTATAGATGTAGCTTTGAAGACTGAAAAATTGACACAAAATTTTTTAGAAGTACCTAGATATTAAATTTTGCTATACATTATTAATGTTTTATATAACTTCTATATTTTTGGATACATATGTGTGTGTGTGTGTGTGTGTGTCTCCATCTCTCTCTTATCTATGAAAGACTCACACCAAAATGTGAATAGCATTTGACTTGAGTGGATATATTATTATAAATAATTCTTTTTTTGTACTTTTTGGAGTTTTTCAAGTTTTCTATCTTGGGTATATAGCACTTGTGTAAAAACATAACTATAATCATTATTAAAAAGAGCAAAAGTATATGAAAATTTTAATAAGCAACTCCAATTATATTTAAATTCATATTACCAGTATTTAAATGAAGGAAACACTCATAAGCTTATCATAGAATGCCATTCATTTCCCTAAAAAAAAAGTACAGCTCAGTCTAGGTTCATGTATTAATTTTGGGGTAATATTTGTTAGCATCAGATGTTAAGGGCATAGTATTTGATCCCAAGTAGTCAGACTTTCCAATCATCCATGTACCTCTCTGAACACATTCTGATATACAGATTTGGCCCCTTTAATTGGAATATTTAGCCTTCTACTAAAGTAAGTTCAAGGGTAGAAGGTCATCTTTGTTTTCCATGGCAGAGGAAAGGCATGATTCCTTTTTTGGTGGTTGCAAATTTCCAGATCTTGTTGTAAGTATTACAGTGCTTATTTAGTGTAAGGTCACCAAATTTCTATACATGATGCTGACCAAACACTAATTAATCCTATATCCATACAAAATCCTTTTTCAAAAAAGATGTTACCTGTTATTTATTCCTTAAAATAAAAATGTTTTCAAAATTAAGACATAATTAGAAATTAATAGGACAGGCAAAAAGCCAGGGTAGGGGTTGAGTTCCAGAAGTAGAAACTGAGATTGTCCTGAAAACTTTACATATTATAAAGAGGGATGTGAGGCATGGTCAGAATCTGGTGGATGGTCAGGAATCTGAAATTGCACATTATCTTACACATAATACATGCTTAATGAATGAATAGAGGAGGAAGAGCAAAGCAAGAGCGAGGTATGGGACCCAGGCATACTTTTAAGTATAACACATTTTCCAGAATGCTTTGAAATGGAGACATTCTTTACTTTCACTAGAAAGCCTCTTATCTACTGTCTGTTAGAATAGAGATCATCAAAGTGCAGATACAGCTTAGGGTAAAGAGAATCACTCTAAAGCAGTGGTTCTCAACCTGGCTGCACATTAAAATCACCTGGGATGTTTTAAGTCTCAGCTCCCAGGCTTCACCCCAGGTTATTATATGAAAATCTGGGGTTGAAACTCAGGCATCAGTGTATTTCAAAGCTCACCATGTGATTCCAAGGTATGTGCATATTTGAGAGCCTTTGCCTTAAAAGAAGGAGCAGGTGACTCATACTAGCAAGATAGTGAACAGATCACCAGGCCAGCCTTGTGGGTAGAAATAATCGTGACACTCTGACACTGTTCTCTACTAAGTTAATCAACATGTTTACCCCATGTACTACATAAAAATTACTTAATCAGCCCGGGCGCGGTGGCTCATGCCTGTAATCCCTGCACTTTGGGAGGCCGAGGCAGGCGGATCATGGGGTCAGGAGATCGAAACCATCCTGGCTAACACGGTGAAATCCCGTCTCTACTAAAAAAAAAAAAATACAAAAAATTAGCTGGGCCTAGTGGCGGGCGCCTGTAGTCCCAGCTAGTCGGGAGGCTGAGGCAGGAGAATGGCATGAACCCGGGAGGCGGAGCTTGCAGTGAGCCGAGATTGCGCCACTGCACTCCAGTTTGGGGGACAGAACCAGACTCATCTCAAAAAAAAAAAAAAAAAAAAAAGAATTACTTAATCTTAGTCATGCTACAATTTCCTCTCTATACCAGTAAGTTGGACACAAATTACATGATAAACAGGAATCTAGCAATTATTCAGTTAACAGTGTAATTTATTGGGTAAGTCTCTGGTTAAGAGAACTTTGAATTTCAATTCATCCATCTAAATTCCATTTCAAGTTGTGCTTATTTCCAAATGCAGATTAAGGTAATTTTTAGTTGTTATTGAAATAAATTTAGTGGTCTTTCAAACACATATATTTAAGAAAAGTATTTTTGGCTAAGAAAAAAAAAGAAGTTCCCCACCCGGCCGGCTGCCCTGTCCAGGAGGGAGGTGGGGGGCGCCTCCGCCCGGCCAGCCACCCCGTCCGGGAGGTGGGGGGCGCTTCTGCCCGGCCGCCCCTTCTGGGAAGTGAGGAGCCCCTCTGCCCGGCCACCACCCCGTCTGGGAGGTGTACCCAACAGCTCATTGAGAACGGGCCATGATGACAATGGCGGTTTTGTGGAATAGAAAAGGGGAAAAGGTGGGGAAAAGATTGAGAAATCGGATGGTTGCTGTGTCTGTGTAGAAAGAAGTGGACATGGGAGACTTTTCATTTTGTTCTGTACTAAGAAAAATTCTTCTGCCTTGGAAAAAAAAAGAAAAGTTGAGTTGAAACTCCCAACTATAACTTGTAGTCCACAAGTATATTTTCATATTTAGTTTTTAAGGCATAATCATGTTATTTGAAAAATATATGTCAAACATCACATATGTGAGTATATCTCCTGTGAAGCCAGAGCTCAGTACATAAGTTCCTGAGCAGGAAGATGAAACAGGAAATGCAACAAAGATGACAGAGAGCATAGTGATACCATCTGAAAATGATAAACCTATGTTTTCGCAGTATGGGCACTGCAATTAGTCCTGCTAATAGAAGGGAGAAGTAGCTTACAGAATGCAAAATAAGTTATAATTCTTTAAATACTGGGGCATGCACTCTCTTTTCATACATTTTTATTTTAGAAAACAGTTTTTGTTCAGTCAATGGTGCAATGAATGAGTCTGCCCCTTCAGTACTCACTGAAGGTGGTGGCTAGGTGGAGACTGTGAGGTCTAGAAGAATGGGGTGGCTAGGGAAAACCAACTTCATTTTTTAAACTCATCTTGCAAGTAGATAAAGGAAAGAACACTAATAAAATTTGAGTAATATTAATGATCATTACTGAGAAGCATCGTCAGTGTTTTATCTATTATGCTTTTTTTTTTTCTTTTTGAGACAGAGTCTTGCTCTGTCCCCCAGGCTAGAGTACAGTGGCACGATCTCAGCTCACTGCAACCTCCGCCTCCCAGGTTCAAGCAATTCTCCTGCCTCAGCCTCCCAAGTAACTGAGATTACAGGCATGTGCCACCACACCTGGCTAATTTTTGTATTTTCAGTAGAGATGGGGTTTCACCATCTTGCCCAGGCTGGTCTTGAACTCCTTACCTTATGATCCACCCACCTTGGCCTCCCAAAGTGCTGGGATTACAGGTATTAGGTTTTAAAAGAAGCATGGTTAAAACTGTTAGCATAGAAGGTTAGAAATAGTTATAAACTCCGATACATTTTCTTTTTTATAACCCGAATGTCTAACATTTTATACAAGAAACAAGTAGCCATCTACTCTACGTGCCCAACATTAATGTGCCTGGCTAAGACCCCTGAGATAGAACAGAGGGATGTCGAATCTCACCTTTTCCAGGAAGGCTTCTCTGCTGCTAGCTCACTGATCTCCTGTTTTTTTCTGGAAGCCTGCAGGCCACACTACAAAATTAAGCTCTTTTAATATGTTTGCCCTTTATGGTTCTCTAATTGTATTGGGTGTATTAGGTTTGGCTCCTCAACTAGATTGGAAACTGCTCCAATGAGAATTAATTTTCATACTTCCTTTTCTCACTCTAAGGTCCTAGGTCAGCTTTTTTTAAAACACTTTTTCTTTTTTTTTTGCCTCGTGAGTTCCTCAGATGAAAGCAATGTTTGTTTTGTACACTGATTCTGCATCTACAACCTTCCTTGAAGCCCATCATTTATGGGAAGCTATAAGAGAACCTTTGGCTAAAATATCGCCAAATACTAAGAGATAGTCACTACAGAGCTGCTCTTTGATCATGAAATTAAAGGAAACTTACAAGCAGATTCATAAAAATTCAAGGAAATTCAGTCTCCCTGTTTGGCTAGATATGAAATAGCAAATGGGAAGTAGCAGGAAAAAGCAGAATAAGAACAGGCATGCTTAAGAAGGCTGTGCAGGAGGAAGTGGGGACTTCCTTGATTTGGGTTATTTCTCTTTCACTTTTTGTTTTAAAAACACAGTGAACTTTTTCACTCTTGTACTTTCTACTTTTAATGAAAGAGGGCCTTAACTCTTCAGAACATCAGTGTTCTGGAAGAAATAGCTTATTAATCAACTTACTTTTGATTAAAAAGAGAGTTTCCACCACATTTTAATGGAACGAGTAGATTGTATTGAAACTCAAGAAAAGAAGGGAGCATTTGTCTTTACAATTTAAACCCAATCCCAGGTGAATATTTACTACAGTAAAAACAATCTGCTAAAATAGGACAATGAAAAAATTAATCTAGACTTCACTTAAGGAGTTTTTATCAAACCAGTTAACCTGGAGAGCAAAGAGACAACAAAGCTTATAGAAGAATTCTAGGTTATATATTACCTTGCTTTGTTTTTTGTAATTTTGTCCATTATTTGTATCACACCCTCTCTTTGGGTCTTTGGGGATGCATGAACTCCATGGGTCTATTGGGTCCTGCTGTTTTCTTCTCGTGATTTCTCACATCATTTGTCCTTGCATTTGTTTCACAGAAGCAGAATTCTAAGTCATAATCCCTTTGCTTCAGTGAGTCTCCAAGACAAGATTTAACTGACACACACTCTCATGGGGTTGCTTATTGCTTTTGCCATTTGTTTAATGATAATTTGATCTTTAATGAATAAAATAAAGAAAAGGTCCCACATCAAAAGGGATCTATTTCTCATTTTTTCTCCTTCCTTCCTTCCTTCCTTTTTTCTTTCCTACTTTTTTTTAATTATACTTTAAATTTTACGGTATATGTGCACAATGTGCAGGTTTGTTACATATGTATACATGTGCCATGTTGGTGTGCTGCACCCAGTAACTCGTCATTTACATTAGGTATATCTCCTAATGCTATCCCTGCCCCCTACCCCCACCCCACGACATGCCCCGGTGTGTGATGTTACCCTTCCTGTGACCATGTGTTCTCATTGTTCAATTCCCACCTATGAGTGAGAACATGCGGTGTTTGCTTTTTTGTCCTTGTGATAGCTTGCTGAGAATGATGGTTTCCAGCTTCATTCGTGTCTCTACAAATGAAATGAACTCATCATTTTTTATGGCTGCATAGTATTCCATGGTATATATGTGCCACATTTTCTTAATCCAGTCTATCATTGATGGACATTTGGGTTGGTTCCAAGTCTTTGCTATTGTGAATAGTGCCACAATAAACATATGTGTGCATGTGTCTTTATAGCAGCATGATTTATAATCCTTTGGGTATATACCCAGTAATGGGATGGCTGGGTCAAATGGTATTTCTAGTTCTAGATCCCTGAGGAATCGCCACACTGTCTTCCAGAGTGGTTGAACTAGTTTACAGTCCCACCAACAGTGTAAAAGTGTTCCTATTTCTCCACATCCTCTCCAGCACCTGTTGTTTCCTGACTTTTTAATGATCACCATTTGAACTGGTGTGAGATGGTATCTCATTGTGGTTTTGATTTGCATTTCTCTGATGGCCAGTGATGATGAGCATTTTTTCATGTGTCTGTTGGCTGCATAAATGTCTTCTTTTGAGAAGTGTCTGTCCATATCCTTTGCCCACTTTTTGATGGGGTTGTTTTTTTCTTGTAAATTTGTTTGAGTTCTTTGTAGATTCTGGATATTAGCCCTTTGTCAGATGAGTAGATTGCAAAAATGTTCTCCCATTCTGTAGGTTGCCTGTTCACTCTGATGGCAGTTTCTTTTGCTGTGCAGAAGCTCTTTAGTTTAATTAGATCCCATTTGTCAATTCTGGCTTTTGTTACCATTGCTTTTGGTGTTTTAGACATGAAGTCCTTGCCCATGCCTATGTCCTGAATGGTATTGCCTAGGTTTTCTTCTAGGGCTTTTATGGTTTTAGGTCTAACACTTAAGTCTTTAATCCATCTTGAATTAATTTTTGTATAAGGTGTAAGGAAGGGATCCAGATTTAGCTTTGTACATATGGCTAGCCAGTTTTCCCAACACCATTTATTAAATAGGGAATCCTTTCACCATTTCTTGTTTTTGTCAGGTTTGTCAAAGATCAGATAGTTGTTTATATGTGGCATTATTTCTGAGGGCTTTGTTCTGTTCTATTGGTCTATATCTCTGTTTTGGTACCAGTACCATGCTGTTTTGGTGACTGTAGCCTTGTAGTATAGTTTGAAGTCAGGTAGCGTGATGCCTCCAGCTTTGTTCTTTTGGTTTAGGATTGACTTGGCAATGCGGGCTCTTTTTTGGTTCCATATGAACTTTAAAGTAGTTTTTTCCAGTTCTGTGAAGAAAGTCATTGGTAGCTGGATGGGGATGGCATTGAATATAAATTACCTTGGGCAGTATGGCCATTTTCACGATACTGATGCTTCCTACCCATGAGCATGGAATGTTCTTCCATTTGTTTGTGTCCTCTTTTATTTCATTGAGCAGTGGTTTGCAGTTCTCCTTGAAGAGGTCCTTCATATCCTTGTAAGTTGGATTCCTAGGTATTTTATTCTCTTTGAAGCAATTGTGAATGGGAGTTCACTCATGATTTGGCTCTCTGTTTGTCTGTTATTGGTGTATAAGAATGCTTGTGATTTTTGCACGTTGATTTTGTATCCTGAGATTTTGCTGAAGTTGCTTATCAGCTTAAGGAGATTTTGGGTTAAGATGATGGGGTTTTCTAGATATACAATCATGTCGTCTGCAAACAGGGACAATTTGACTTCCTCTTTTCCTAATTGAATACCCTTTATTTCTTTCTCCTGCCTGATTGCTCTGGCCAGAACTTCCAACACTATGTTGAATAGGAATGGTGAGAGAGGGCATCCCTGTCTTGTGCCAGTTTTCAAAGGGAATGCTTCCAGTTTTTGCCCATTCAGTATGATATTGACTGTGGGTTTGTCATAGATAGCTCTTATTATTTTTAGATACATCCCATCAATACCTAATTTATTGAGAGTTTTTTAGCATGAAGGGCTGTTGAATTTTGTCAAAGGCCTTCTCTGCATCTACTGAGATAATCATGTGGTTTTTGCCATTGATTCTGTTTATATGCTGGATTACGTTTATTGATTTGCATATCTTGAACCAGCCTTGCATCCCAGGGATGAAGCCCACTTGATCATGGTGGATAAGCTTTTTGATATGTTGCTGGATTCGGTTTGCCAGTATTTTATTGAGGATTTTTGCATCGATGTTCATCAGGGATATTGGTCTAAAATTCTCTTTTTTTTGTTGTGTCTCTGCCAGGCTTTGGTATCAGGATGATGTTGGTCTCATAAAATGATTTAGGGAGGATTCCCTCTCTTTCTATTGATTGGAATAGTTTCAGAAGGAATGGTACCAGTTCCTCCTTGTACCTCTGGTAGAATTTGGCTGTGAGTCCTTCTGGTCCTGGACTTTTTTTGGTTGGTAGGCTATTAATTACTGCCTCAATTTCGGAGCCTGTTATTGGTCTATTCAGGGATTCAACTTCTTCCTGGTTTAGTCTTGGGAGAGTGTATGTGTCCAAGAATTTACCCATTTCTTCTAGATTTTCTAGTTTATTTGCATAGAGGTGTTTATAGTATTCTCTGATGGTAGTTTGTATTTCTGTGGAATTGGTGGTGATATCCCCTTTGTCATTTTTTATTGCGTCTATTTGATTCTTCTCTCTTTTCTTCTTTATTAGTCTTGCTAGTGGTCTATCAATTTTGTTGATCTTTTCAAAAAACCAGCTCCTGGATTCATTGATTTTTTGAAGGGTTTTTTGTGTCGCTATTTCCTGCAGTTCTGCTCTGATCTTAGTTATTTCATGCCTTCTGCTAGCTTTTGAATGTGTTTGCTCTTGCTTCTCTAGTTCTTTTAATTGTGATGTTAGGGTGTCAATTTTAGATCTTTCCTGCATTCTCTTGTGGGCATTTAGTGCTGTAAATTTCCTTCTACACGCTGCTTTGAATGTGTCCCAGAGCTTCTTGTGTGTTGTGTATTTGTTCTCGTTGGTTTCAAAGAACATCTTTATTTCTGCCTTCATTTCATTATTTACCCAGTAGTCATTCAGGAGCAGGTTGTTCAGTTTCTATGCAGTTGAGCAGTTTTGAGTAAGTTTCTTAATCCTGAGTTCTAGATTGATTGCACTATGGTCTGAGAGACAGTTTGTTATAATTTCCGTTCTTTTACATTTGCTGAGGAGTGCTTTACTTCCAACTATGTGGTCAATTTTGGAATAGGTGTGGTGTGGTGCTGAAAAGAATGTATATTCTGTTGATTTGGGGTGGAGAGTCTGTAGATGTCTATTAGGACTGCTTGGTGCAGAGCTGAGTTCAATTCCTGGATATCCTTGTTAACTTTCTGTCTTGTTGATCTCTCTAATGTTGACAGTGGGGTATTAAAGTCTCCCATTATTATTGTGTGGGAGTCTAAGTCTCCTTGTAGGTCTCTAAGGACTTGCTTTATGAATCTGGGTGCTCCTGTATTGGGTGCATATATATTTAGGATAGTTAGCTCCTCTTGTTGAATTGATCCCTTTACCATTATGTAATTACCTTCTTTGTCTCTTTTGATCTTTGTTGGTTTAAAGTCTGTTTTATCAGAGACTAGGATTGCAACCCCTGCCTTTTTTTGTTTTCCATTTTCTTGGTAGATCTTCCTCCATCCCTTTACTTTGAGCCTATGTGTGTCTCTGCACATGAGATGGGTCTCCTGAATACAGCACACTGATGGGTCTTGACTCTTTATCCAATTTGCCAGTCTGTGTCTTTTAATTGGAGCATTTAGCCCATTGACATTTAAGGTTAGTATTGTTATGTATGAATTTGTTCCTGTCATTATGATGTTAGCTGGTTATTTTGCTCGTTAGTTGATGCAGTTTCTTCCTAGCCTTGATGGTCTTTACAATTTGGCATGTTTTTGCAGTGGCTGGTACCGGTTGTTCCTTTCCATGTTTGGTGCTTCCTTCAGGAGCTCTTTTAGGGCAGTCCTGGTAGTGACATAATCTCTCAGCATTTGCTTGTCTGTAAAGTATTTTATGTCTCCTTCACTTATGAAGCTTAGTTTAGCTGGATATGAAATTCTGCATTGAAAATTCTTTTCTTTAAGAATGTTGAATATTGGCCCCCACTCTCTTCTGGCTTGTAGAGTTTCTGCTGAGAGATCAGCTGTTAGTCTGATGGGCTTCCCTTTGTGGGTAACCAGACCTTTCTCTCTGGCTGCCCTTAACATTTTTTCCTTCATTTCAACTTTGGTGAATCTGACAATTATGTGTCTTGGAGTTGCTCTTCTCGAGAAGTATCTTTGTGGCGTTCTCTTTATTTCCTGAATCTGAATGTTGGCCTGCCTTGCTAGATTGGGGAAGTTCTCCTGGATAATATCCTGCAGAGTGTTTTCCAACTTGGTTCCGTTCTCCCCGTCACTTTCAGGTGCACCAATCAGACATAGATTTGGTCTTTTCACATAGTCCCATATTTCTTGGAGGCTTTGTTCGTTTCTCTTTATTCTTTTTTCTCTAAACTTCTCTTCTCGCTTCATTTCATTCATTTGATCTTCCGTCACTGATACCCTTTCTTCCAGTTGATTGAATCGGCTACTGATGCTTGTGCATTCATCATGTAGTTCTTGTGCCATGGTTTTCAGCTCCAACAGATCCTTTAAGGACCTCTCTGCATCAATTTTTCTAGTTAGCCATCCGTCTAATCTTTTTTCAGGGTTTTTAACTTCTTTGCCATGGGTTCTAACTTCCTCCTTTAGCTCGGAGTAGTTTGATCTTCTGAAGCCTTCTTCTCTCAACTCGTCAAAGTCATTCTCCAACCAGCTTTGTTCTGTTGCTTGTGAGGAGCTGCGTTCCTTTGGAGGAGGAGAGGCCCTCTGATTTTTAGAATTTTCAGTTTTTCTGCTCTGTTTTTTCCCCATCTTTGTGGTTTTATCTACCTTTGGTCTTTGACGATGGTGACGTACAGATGGGGTTTTGGTTCAGATGTCCTTTCTGTTTGTTAGTTTTCCTTCTAACAGTCAGGACCCTCAGCTGCAGGTCTGTTGGAGTTTGCTGGAGGTCCACTCCAGACCCTGTTTGCCTGGGTATCAGCAGCAGAGGCTGCAGAACAGCAGATATTTGTGAACAGCAAATTTTGCTGCCTGATCATTCCTCTGGAAGTTTTGTCTCAGAGGAGTACCCGGCCGTGTGAGGTGTCTGTCTGCCCCTACTGGGGGGTGCCTCCCAGTTAGGCTACTCAGGGGTCAGGGACCCACTTGAGGAGGCAGTCTGTCCGTTCTCAGATCTCCAGCTGCATGGTGGGAGAACCACTACCCTTTTGAAAGCTGTCAGACAGGGACATTTAAGTCTGCAGAGGTTTCTGCTGCCTTTTGTTTGGCTATGCCCTGCCCCCAGAGGTGGAGTCTACAGAAGCAGGCAGGCCTCCTTGAGCTGCGGTGGGCTCCACCCAGTTTGAGCTTCCAGGCAGCTTTGTTTACCTACTCAAGCCTCAGCAATGGCAGGCGCCCCTCCCCCAGCCTCGCTGCCGCCTTGCAGTTTGATCTCAGACTGCTGTGCTAACAATGAGCGAGGCTCTGTGGGTGTGGGACCCTCTGAGCCAGGCACAGGATACAATCTCCTGGTGTGCCGTTTGCTAAGACTGTTGGAAAAGTGCAGTATTAGGGTGGGAGTGACCCGATTTTCCAGGTGCCCTCTTTCACCTCTTTCCTTGGCTAACAAAGGGAATTTTCTGACCCCTTGCACTTCCTGGGTGAGGCGATGCCTTGCCCTGCTTCGGCTCACACTTGGTGCGCTGCACCCACTCTCCTGTACCCACTGTCTGACTAGCCCCAGTGAGATGAACACGGTAACTCAGTTGGAAATGCAGAAATCATTTGTCTTTTGCGTCGCTCATGTTGGGAGCTGTAGACTGGAGCTGTTCCTATTCAGCCATCTTGGCTCCACCTCTTTCTTTCTTTCTTTCTTTCTCTTTCTTTCTTTTTTTTCTTTCTTTTTTCTCTCTCTCTTTCTTTCTTTCTTCTTTCTTTCCTTTCTTTTTTCTTCCTTTCTTTCTTTCCTTCCCTTCCTTCCATCCTTCTTTCCTTCTTCCTTCCTTCCTTCTCTCTCTCTTTCTTCTTCCTTCCTTCCTTCCTCCCTCCCTCCCCCCCTCCTTCCTTCCTTTCTTTCTTTTCTTTCTTTCTTTTTCTTTCTTTCTTTCTTTTTCTTTCTTTCTTTCTTTCTTTCTTTCTTTCTTTCTTTCTTTCTACTCTTCTGTCTGTCTCTGTCTCTGCCTTTCTTTCCTTCCTTCCTTTCTTCATTCCCAGTTTTTATCCCAAAAGAAGATTAGGCCAAAAAAGTTGCAAAATACACTGATGTATCTAATGTCACAAATGTTAGTTATACTTTGAAGATTTTTGACTAATAGTCATGTGTTCTAATAATAGTAATAGCCACTATTACTATTTATTGCTTTTCCAGTCGGTTACAGTATAAATGATCTCAGTAAATCAACCTAACAGTTCTAGGAAAGAGATATTATTTTCCCTGAGCATATTTTAGGGCTTAAGGGTTTAGTAACTTGCCCATTGTTAAATAGCCATGCCATCCCCTTTTCTTGGGCCATTTTGCTGCTCTTAGCATAATGGTAGGTAATGGGCATGAGGTGGGGGTGGAAGAGCAAAGAGTGGGGGCCAAATATCTGTCATAGGACAGATATTTGACTGTCCTGTGAATTACATGTGTATATAAAAATTGTTTCATTAAGGAAAAAAACTGAACTAGCCTTTGATCAGCTCTCGTGAGAATTGACTCACTTATCACAAGGAAAGCATGGGGGAAACTGCCCCTATGATCCAATCACCTCCCACCAGGTCCTTCCTTTGACACATGGAGATTACAATTTGAGATGAGATTTTGGTGGCAACACAGAGCCAGACCATATCATTTACCATTTTGGGCTGTTTTCATAAGTAAATATTGGGAGACTAATTTAGGAGATGCTATTGTTGGGTCCCATTAAACAATTAAAAGGGCTTGCAGGGGAGACAATTGTGTAAAGCCAGGGTGAGAATGCTGACCCACACGTCGAACACTAGACAACAGGTGTATGTTGACTGTCTACTCTGTGATCACTAGAATAAATAAGTGACCTGAATTTTGAGTATAAAAAGGGAAAAGTGTAAAAATGTAGCAAAACTCTGAGCTTCCTTTATCCATCAGGTCCTAGTGAACATAAATACCCATCCCACTTCTCTAACTTCTTTTGATACTGGCTTCTTTCGATAGTGATTTAGTATAACGATCCAACTTTCTGGACTGGGCTTCACAGGGCTGTTGTTTTCACCTGTCCTTTTCCTTGAATTGGTGGTGCACCCCCTCAGAGAGCATGTGGAGTAGGGGGCACCTATAATGCACTCCATTTGGGCAAACTAAGCTACATCTGCTCTCTCCAAACAACAGTCCACGCTGACACATGCTAGGCCTAGTGGGTCCTCATCTTTCCCGGTTTCTAGAGATTCTCCTTTAGTTTAGGCCTGGAGACTTTCTGCTCTGTGTTGATTACTGTTGAGCAGTTTCTGGTGTCTCAATAGTGCTCCCTGCTGGAGATGCTCTATCATCAGATATACCACCTTTGGCAAGAAGTCGGAGGACTCTCCATCAAGTGTGAACCTGGGCTGTTCCTGCTATTCATTACCCTAGAAAGGACTCTGATAAATCATTAAGCTAGCCCTAGGGGGTCTGGTCAAGGCTCAGCTCTTTTATTGTTTGACATTTGTAATTCCTAAGGGTGGAAGGAATTCTCAGGTGTTACTCTAATAACAGCCTTGAGCCAGATGCTCTCCATCAAAAACTCTCTCAATAGTGGATTGTTCAAGAACAGAGTTCAGTATTTATACACATTTAACAAATCTTACTCCTCTCTAATTCACACAGTGTTTTGAAGGGCAGGGGACAGAACTTCTCTGGAGCTCCCAGGGCAAATGCAAGACTCTTAAGGGCCAGGGCACATTTATTAGTATGATCTCCATATCATACCTAACATATTAAAATACATCCCACATCCAGTAATCTTTTTATTTGCTATTTAAAAACAATTTTGAAAATTATTTTTAAAAATTTTGCTTTTGAAATTATTTTCATGTAGGTAATTTAGTTACTGTTATCTCCCAGCAATCAAATGCATTCTTGTGAATTTCTGCCAAGTGAGAGAAAGTAACATAATTTATTTATAAATGTGTGAAATGTTTATTAATAGTAACAATAAAGTTAACATGATACATACTGATGTTTAAGCATTTATTAATTCTCATTTTGCATTTTTTTATTTTGATATATTTTTCCTCTTTTCTTTCTTTCTTTCCTTTTTTTAAAGAGTTCTCAGACCTTTCAAAAGGTCTCAGACCCTAAGCACCATGTTCTCTAATGAATAAGATTGTACAACCAATGTTAATCAGCTTCTCAGGTAGGTAACCTTACCTTATACAACTCATAAGGCTAGGTATTAAGTTGGACTATATAAAATTGATGTTTTTTCTTGTAAAATATGATCAAATAGAAGGAATTTCACATAATTTAAACTAATAGTTTATGTTCATTCTATTCTGCTACTGAACACTATCTATATTATTCCTTTCATCTAACTGGATTTTTGTACCCATTAACCAACTCCTCTTTATCTCCCTTCAGTCCTCTGGTAAACTAGTAGTTTTTGGTTACAAATATAATATGTTTTCCCCCTTGGACACATGGATTTAAATCGTAGAGCTAAGACTAGTAAAAGCAACTGCTGTGCACGTGGCTGGTGCTCAGCATTTGCTGAATGAATGTATGCACACCTAAGCAAATAACCAAACTAAACATAACAATGTAAATAAGAGTTAAATTGCATGGTACAGACGTGTGGTCATGGACCTGGCAGAATATGTTAACCATACAAAGCCGTTTGAAAATTACTTTGAAGTTTTTTAAACCAACATTCTGTTTTTAATTTAATTTTGTTTTTTTTTAGAAGAGATTGGCATTTTCCGTGGGATAAAGCAGTTCTGGCGTATTTCACTGTTGACTTCTCATTAGGGAACAAAAAATGGAAACATCACAGGAGTTTAAGGAAGAAAAATTTAAAAAAAAATTATAGACCTAAGAGAGAAGAGACTTCAGAGGTTGGTAGGATTTTCATGAAGCATGTTGCTATTTACTTGGCAGCTAAGATTATCTTCAGGGGTAGGATCTGAAGGTACTAGTGTTTTCTTCTTCCACTGGAGCTCAGAGAAGCCAACAGCTCTATTTTTCATTGGGGAACTCTAGGGCTGGCAATCCTAGAGAAAACAAATAAGTATCAAATCTTAATCATCAATAGGATTTTACTTTGGGTCCATCCACCCATCCGCTTTTTCACCTTCTTATCCTCTTGCACCACGTTGTGCCATACTGTCTAGGTACTGGGAATAGAATGTGGTGTAAGGTACAAGGCACATTTTCATACCAGAAAGGGCTATTTGTCTTGTATACAGAGAGTCAATGTGATTAGTGCTGGAAAAACAGAGGGAAAGTTCTCAGGCAGCATAGATAGAGAACTGATTCCTGGAGAAATTGGAGAAGGTTTCATCAAAGATATGCTAATTGGACTGGGTTCAAAATAGAGGTTTTTAACCCTGGCTAAAGATTAGAATAACCAGTAGATTTTTTAAAAATTCAAAAAACAAAAAACCCATGCCCAGGCAGGATCTACCATGGCTGCTTTTGTTTAATTGGCTTAGGATAGACATCTGTTTTGTTTTGTTTCTTTTTTTTTTTTTCCTTTAAGGAAGTGAGCCAGATGAATCCAATGACCAACCTGGTTGAGAGCCATTGGTCTAGGAGTAGAAACGCACACAAGGAATAAGGGAGAAGGAGGTTCGGTTAGTTGAGGGAGAGAAAGTTGGAAGCATTTCAAGCTAAGTAAATGGTATAGAAAAAGAAAGATGATGTGTTACGGTTTTCAATCTCATCATGGGTGTAAGCTAGTGTAAATTGGAAACTAGAACATTCTATGTCAACATGGATGCTTGGAAGATCTACCTTGAGGGAAAAATTCAACAAGAAAATGTCTAATGTCTCAGCAAGAAGCTGTGGGCCATCCTGGGTCAGGTTTGAAAGGTCAACCAAACAATGCCTAGTGATCAAAGATAATTTTATATTGGGGAAGGGACCTTGATATTCATTATCTATGAAACACAACATATGGAACCCGAACCAAGAACTTTACATAAAAATCTAGTGCAAGACTGATGAAAATGATAGGACCTCCTAAGAAACAAACTAACCCTAAGAATATGTTCATTATCCAGGGAAGACGGGTTTCCACAGGAAATAATTCCCACCAAAAACTAAGCCTGTAATAAAAAATCACTAAGTACTGAAGAAAGCATAATATGCCATGAGAATGAATTGGTAGACTTAGCAGAGAATTGCACTGCAGAAACAATATATACTGGAACAATTTGAAAGAATTCCGTGAAGATATATTTAACATGTTGAAAGCTATAAAGGTAGGAAAATAATCCAGTAGACTAGACAACAGAAAAAACTAGACAAAAGAAAATTGAAAAAGAACCAAATCAAAATTTTAGAAAAATACTTTTAAAATAATCTCAATAGGTCAGCAAATGGATCGACTATACAAAGTTGAATAAAATAATTGGAAAATTAAAAGCTAGAACTAAAGAAATCACAGAGAAATCAGCAGAATATTCTACATAGAGAGAAATAGGTAGAAAATAGACGTTCCAAGTACCAAGTAGTATACATTTTTGGAGAGTGAGAGTTTTTTTTGGAACGCAAAGCACTAGATTGAGACTTTAGACCGATGAGAGACAGAGTTAGCATACATTTATAAATCAATCATTCTAAAATTTAAATTAAATTCTAACTTACATATTTTGTCACCACATGATTGAGTTTCTAAGCCATTTGCTGAGAAGTGTAAAAAATTCATAAAATATTAAAAATTTATATTGTAAGAGATGAAAATATGGTTGAATGATAAACGAGGCTGTGAACTTTGGCTACATAATTGTTTTAGAATTTTGTTTCAGGAAACTGTATTTGTTCAAACAATGATTGCCATAGAAAGTTAATCTTAATAGCTAATCTTGTGATATTAACACTTGGACTAAGATCTCACTAATCTATTAGGAGTCTGAATAATTCTACCAGAATGAAATACTAAGCATAAACTCTTAGGATTAGAAACATGACTAAAGTCATGTTTACTTGTAGGAAGTAAAATAGTTTAATTGAGTCCTATTTGTCTATTTTTGTTTTTATTGCATTTGCTTTTGAGGTTTTAGTTATAAATTATTTGTCTAGGCCAATGTCCAGGAGAGTTTTTCCTAGATTTTCCTCTAGGATTTTTATAGTTTCAGATCTTACATGTAAGTCTTTAATCTATCTCAAGTTAATTTTTGTATATGGTAAGAGAATAGAGATGATTTCTCAAAAAATTAAAAATAGGACTACCACTCAACAGTCCCACTACTGGGTATCTACCGAGAGGAAAATAATCTTTATATGAAAAAGATGCCTGCACACATATGTTTACTGCAGCACATATTTTGATGTGCAATAGCACATATTTACAATACATATTTACAATAGCAAAGTCATGGAATCAACTTTCATGTCCATCAATGGATGATTGGATAAAGAAAATGTGGTACATATGTACCATAGAATATTATTCAACCATGAAAGAGAATGAAATCATGTCTTTTGGAGCAACATGGTTGGAGCTGGAGGTCATTATCCTAAGTGAAATAACCCAGAAATAGAAAATCAAATACCACATGTTCTCGCTTATAAGTGGGAGCTGAACAATGGGTATGTATGGACATAAAGAAGGAAATAATAGACAGTGGGGACTCCAAAAATGGCGAGGATGGGAGGGGGATGAGGGTTGAAAAATTACCTGTTGGGTACAATGTTCACTATTTGGGTGATGCGTACACCAGAGGCCCAAAGCTTATCATTATGCAATATATCCTTGTAACAAACCTTCACATGTACCCTTTAAATTCATAATAAAAATATTTTTAATGTAAAATAATGTTTCCTTATGATTAACTTAAAAATACAATACAGAATCTCAGCTTTCAAAAACACAAATACAGTTAAAAATGCAAAATAAAAATCTAGTGAATATCATTTATATAAAATTTAAAAACATACAAAACAATATCACATATTTTTCATTGGTACATACATATTTAGTACAAGCACAAAAATATGAACTGGAAAGATACATACCAACTTAATGAAAGTGACTGTATCTGAGTAGTAGAAGAGAGAAAAGGCAATAGAATTTTTTTGGGGGGCGGGGATGTGGTACAAAGTAATTAATTGGATGTATTATTGTTGCTTCTTAAAAAAGGGTTTTAAAGTATATATGTCTACGTCTATACACATAAACACATATATATGCAAAGTGTATATGATATATATGTATTAACATTCATCAATTCTATATAGTGAATACCTGATGTTTGTTGTATTTCTGTAAACCTTCTATAAGAATATTTTTATAAAGAGTAATACAATAATTATAATTTATTTATTTATAATTCTATCTTAATATATACAAGTAGAATATGTCAGAATGACACATAAAGGCTGATTTACCCATTTTCACTATTCACTCAATCTTTATCTTCTGTTTATATAAATAATCTAGAGATTTAGTACAAATTAATTCAAGAGCTAGTTTTCAAATTAGATAACCCCAAAGTGCATATTTTTGTCTTTAATCACATCAAATAAATTGTCCTCACCTTCAGAAATTTTTTGTTTACTGATTTCACAGGCAATTCCCTCAAATTTGAATGGGCAGGCACACAAACACTTTCCATCCATTAGAATCACTGTACCTCCATTTTGGCATGTGTGGCATTTTCTTACACTAAATTCATTGATATAGTCTTCAATGGCTCTTTCCAAGTTTTGTTTCTTTAGGTGTGCATTTTTCATTTTCACTGGAACCAGATTATATATAGGAGACAGCTGAAAGGAAGCAAAACATTTAATTTTAGGTCCTTTTTAACTGAGAGAACTTGTAGAATACACTTTACTTAATTATTCATTCACTGATTCATTAATTCAACAAAGACTTATTGAATGTATAGTATTGCCAGATGTGATGTTAGCTTTTAAACAATCAAAACTAGTCAAGATGACTGCTATCAGGGAGGTCATATTACGGAGTTAAGGAGGCTGATATTAATAAAATAATGATGCATAAATTTCAAATAGAAAGTGTGATAGGTGCTACAAAAAAAAAACAGGTATATGTGCTTTAAAAATGAACAACTGAGGGACTTAAACTTCTGGCTTGATAATTTATTGACATATTTTGTGAATTGTTTTTGCTGCCTTCTTCCTTCTCTTCCAGAAGGTAACCAGATGCTTGCTATCTCTTGCCTAAGAGGAGGTTTGTGTGCAAGGCCAAGTCCAGAATGCCCCTGAAGGCAACCTTTTTCTAATTTCTTTCTTGTTTTTTTTTTCCTCTAAAAGTCTAAATTCATTGAGAAATTTTTGTAGAGGGAAGGAATATAGAAGAATGCCACCAAGGAAAGAGATTCCTCCAGAATAGAAAGGGGATAGAAGTTAGTATATACCTCAAGTAACAGGAAACCATAGCTAGATATTTAGCAGCTATTTTGGGAGATAGAAGGACCTATGGGGTGCCTTGAGGAAGCTGCATATGAAGTATCAGGAATCCAGTCTTGTCAGTGATTTCCATTTGCAAGCCTGGCATGGAGGGCTTGGAAATATTTGACTTCTAGTGAACATGTGAGCCTGAACAATAAGGTTATTGAGGTAACTACGATGAACTAAAGGCATATGTAAATTATATCTCCATTTCCCAGATGGAAGTGTTAGGATTCTTATACCAATTTAGACAGCAGGGAAAAAATTTCCTGAGCCCCATCCAACAAGTAAATGAAAGGTGAATTTTCTAGCAACATGGAGGGACATGATCTCAAAATCACATTTAATTAGATGTAAAGAAAATGAAGTAAAAGTATTTATTTGGCACACTCAAATTCCTGCAGTAAGATACACAGTTGCTACACTGAAATCAAGGAAGTTTGGAAAGCTTTGACAATAAATACTGAGCTGAGATTTGAAGGTGTCAAGGCAGAGAGAAGACTATTTCAGGCATACAGTAAAGAATTTTGAAAGTTTTTAAATGGAGGAGGAAGTTGGGAAGATGTTGTTCCAAAGATACAAAATTGTAGTTAGATAGAAGGGGTAAGTTCAGAAGATCTATTGTGCAGCTTGATGATCATAGAAAAAAATTAAAAAGTTCTTATAATGGAGATATCATAACATATACAGGGAAATTTATATGTTCACTTAATTTAAGCAAATTCAATTGTGTAACTAGCAAGAGCTGTTTGAGTGAATAAACTGTTAGAAATAGAGGCACTTTGGTGGCAGAGCACTTTAAAACAAGAGACCACAAAACTTAAAAGAAATGAGAATCTATAGAGCCCAGAGCTAAAACAAACAAACAAACAAACAAACAAAAACAAAAAACAAACCAAAAAAACCCCACAAATTCCTGCAGAAGAATAATGATGGATTAAATAATGTGGACTCATCTTTTCCCTAAGGACAATGAGGAAAGCTAAACAAAATAAAACCAAACATTTTTTTTTAAAACTGCTAAAATGCCCTGGACAACTAATAAGAAAATAAAAAATCACTGATCTAAGATCTGGGAGGAGGTGGAAATCCAAGAGGTGGGCCCAGTATTCTAGGGCTACTAGTCCTCTTGACACATTTCCTAATTCAGCAAGAGTTAGTAGAGAGACTAGGAGGTAGAGCAACACATTACTGAGCTGAGGAAAAAACACTGGAATTCAGATCAACCAAGGTAGACATGCTATCCTTTGATTTGGGGACTAAGAGGGAAGTGGAAGTAGGATAGCTCTGGCAGAAACTGCAGCCCAGTTTGGATTAAAATAATCTTGGATCATTAGTGGGGATGCTGGAAGCTTTTCAAATATAAATATATATGTTTGAAATATACAAAATTACCCCAGGCATCAGGCTACTCCTATAATAATTTTACGTACAGTATTTAGCCCACAGTAAAAATAACTAGGCACACAAGGAAATAACACAACATGAATGAGACCAGTGGAAATTATGGAAAATAGAAACAGCTATGGTGGCTGCCAATGTTTGTGCTATCAGACTTCAAACAATTATCAGACTTTAAACCAACTGTTTGCATAAACAGGGAGATAAGAGACAAGTCTGAAAATTTTAGCAAAGAACTGGAAGTTATTAAAAATAGATTTGAAAAAAAGAAACAAATATTAGAATACAAATTAGTGAATTAGTTAAATAGCAAATGTGATAAAACTGAAGCAATTTAATGAATTGCAATATAGGTAAGAAGAAAATATTGACAATAAAGCATGAAGAGACAAAAGGATAGGATATACAGAAAGAGGGAAGGAAACATAAGTGATAGTGTGGGAAGGGAAAAGATCCATATATTTTGAGCCCCAGAAGGAGAACAAAGGACAGAATAAATAAGAAGCAATATTTGAAAAACTAATGACTGAGAATATTCCAGACCTGGTGAAAAACAACAAGATATCTTATGAATAAAAACTACGGTGAAAAATAATTTTGCAGCTAGGTATTATCAGAGAAAAATTGCTAAAAAAACAAAACCCAAAGACAATGGAGAAAATCTTAAAAACAGTTTAGTAAAAAGCCTTAGTATTTTGAAAGTAGACTAAATTTGACTTTACTAGATACAATCAATAATATTATAAAGAGTCAAATGGAAATGTAAAAAATAAAAAGCATGATAAAAGAGATGAAAAATATCTTTGATGAGTTTGTCAGTAGATTTGACACAGCAAAAGAAAGAATCAGTAAACTTGATAAAAGGGTGGTAGAAATTAGCCAAATTAAAGTGCAAAGAGATAAAAGAATTGAAGGGAGGGAACCCAGAACTAAGCATCCAAGAGTGTGGGGCAATATGAAAGAGACTAGCACATGTGTTACTGGAATCCTTGAAAAAAGTGAAGAGGTTATAAGAAGGGGTTGAGAGGGGGAGAGAAAGAGAATGTGATTGTGGCAGAAGAAATATTTGAAGATATAATGACCAAGAATTTTTCAAAAGTAATTAAATAATCAAACCATAGACTCCAGAAATTTAGGGAACTTCAAGCAGAATAAATATACATCTCATTCAAACTGTGGAAAACCAAAGATTAAAATGAAATCTTCAAGGCGATGACAACAAAGGGAAATGCTACAAGCAGAAGGTCAAAGATAAGAGTTACAGCATACTGCTTATTTAAAAACTATGCAAGCCAGAAGACAAAGGGGTAATATCTTTAAGTACTGAAAGACAAAAACAAAACAAAACAAAAAAAAATCCACACAAACTGTAAACATAGAATTTTATACCTAATGAAATGTCATTGAAAAAAATACTTTTTTTTTCAGAGAAGAAAAAGCCAAGAGAGTTTGATACTAGCTAATGCACACTAAAAGAAATGCCAAAGGAAATTTTTCAGGCAGAAGAATTACCACAAAGAACTAAAATTTGGACCTACATAAAGTAATCATGAGCTCTGAGCATAACTAAAATGAAGGCAAAAATATACCTTTCTAGTTTTAATTGCTCTAACATATATTATCTACAGCAAATGTTGTCGCATTGTAGTATGAGTTTATAGTGTATGTAAAAATTTAAAAATATGTATGTAAAATATACATACACTATAAACTCATGATACAATATGATAAAAATAGCATTAAAAATGGGAGGGAGGATTTGGAAATATAGTGTATTTGTTTTACACTATACATAAGGCAGCATAATATCATTTGAAGGCAGACTATGATAAATTAAGGATGTATATTGTGAATCATATGTTATAGAGTAAAAAATATTTTTTAAAAGAGACATGAGTAATATATCAATACTGGAAATAAAATGGAATCATATAACATACTGAATAAAAAAGAATAGTCAGGACAAGAAAGGAACAATGTAATGAATAAACAAGATTTAACTGAAATGTTAAAGGGAGAGTGCTGGAGTTCAGGGGGAAGCAGAAAGGCATCTCTGGTGGTTGGAAGGCCAGGGGGTCTTACATGCCCAGATTACTACAGAAAGCCATTCAACTGCAAAGATAAACAACTAGGAAGGAAAAAAGAAACAAAAGATATTCAGAATAACCAGAAAACAATCAATAAAAAGACAGGAATAAGTCCTCACCTATCAATAATAACCTTGAAGGTAAATACATTAAATTCCCCATTTAAGAGATATAGATAGCCTAAATGGACAAAAAGAAATAATAGCCAACTATATGTTCCCTATAAGAAACTCACTTCACCTGTAAAGACATACATAGATGGGATGTGAAGGATGGAAAAAGATATTTCATGCAAAGGTAAACCAAAAGCAAGCAAGAGTAGCTATGCTTATATCAGACAAAGCAGACTTCAAGTCAAAAACTGTAAAAAGGAGAAAAATAATAACATTATATAATAATAAAGGGATCAATTCAGCAAGAAAATATAACAATTTTAAATATATATGCAACCAACACTGGAGCACCCAGATACATAAAGCAAATATTAGATCTAAAGTGAAACAACAAAATAATATTTGGGTACTTCAACATTTCACTGTCAGCGTTGGAGAGATTATCTAAACAGAAAAATCAAAAATCCAAGAACACAGGATTTAAGCTGCACCATAGACCAAATGAACCTAACAGACATTTACAGAACTTTTTGCCCAAGAGCTGCAGAGGGCACATTCTTTTAATCAGTGCGTGGAACATTTTCCAAGATTAATCATATGTTAGAAAACATAACAAGTCTCGAAAAAATTTTACAAATTGAAATTATATTAAATACCTTCTAAGACCACATGGAATAAAACCAGAAGTCAATAATCAGGGAAACTTTGGAAACTGTACAAATACATGGAAATTAAACAATATGCTCCTGAATGACCATTAAATCAATTAAGAGATTAAGAAGGAAATGTTTTAAATTTCTTGAAATAAATGAAAATAGAAACAGAACATACCAAAACTGACGATACACAGAAAAGGCAGTAGTAAGAGGGAAGTTTATAGAAACCAATGTCTACTTCAAAAATCTAGAAAATTTTCAAATAAACATCTTAATGATACATTTCAAGGAGCTAGAAAAGCAAGAACAACCCAAACCCCAAAATAGTAGAAGGAAAGAGATAATAATGATCGGAGCAGAAATAAACGAAATTGAGACTGAAAACATATACAAAGGATTAATGAAACAAAAAGTTGATTAAAGGTTTTTATTTTAAAAGAAAGACAAAATAAACAAACAATAGCTAGACTAAGAAAAAGAAAAAAGAAGCCCCAAATAAATAAAATCAGATACAAAAATAGAGATATCACAACAGATACCACAGAAACACAAAGGGTCATTAGATACTGCTATGAACAACTATAAACCAATAAATGTAAAAACTTAGAGAAAATGGATAAATTTCTAGACACATACAACCTCTCGAGTTTGAACCAAGAATAAATAGAATACCTGAATAGCCTAATAATAAGTAAAGAGATTGAAGTTGTAATAAAAAGTCTTTCAACAAAGAAAGGTCCAGGACCAGATGGCTTCAATGTTGCATTCTACCAAATCTTTAAACAAGAATTAACACTAATTCTTCTCAAAAATTTTTTTAAAGACTGAAATGAAGGGAACTCTTCCTAACTCATTTTATGAGACCAGCATAACCCTGATATCAAAACCAGACAAGGACACAACACACAAAAAAACCCATAGACCAATATCCCCAATGAACATAGATGCAGAAGTCCTCTACAAAATATTAGCAAACTGATGGCAACAATACATCAAAAAGATAATACAGCATGATCAAGTGGGCATGAATTATCCGAGAAATAGTTCAACATATGGAAATCAATAAATGAGAAACATCACATCAGCAAAATTATGAACAGAAACCATGTGATCATCTCAATAGATGCAGAAAAACCATTGGATAAAATTTAACTTCTCTTTGTGATACAAATTCTCGATAAATTAGGTATAGAATAAAAGTAATTAAACACAATAAAGGCCATATATGACAAACCCACAGCCAACATAATACTGAATGAGAAAAAGCAGAAAGCTCTCCCTCTAAGAACTGAAACAAAGATGCCCACTCTCACCACTCTTATTTAACATAGTACTGGAAATCCGAGCCAGAGCACTTAGGCAAGAGAAAGAAATAAAGGACACCTAAATTGGAAAAGAGGAAGTTAAATTGTCCCTGTTTGCAGAAGACATGATCTTATATGTAGAAAATCCTAAAGACTTTACCAAAATACACTTAGAACTGACAATCGACTTTAGTAAATCTGCAGAATATAAAATCAACATGCAAGAATCAGTAACATTTCTATTAAAGAACAACAAACTAGGCCAAAAAAGAATGCAAAAAGTCAATACCATTTACAATAGCTACAAAAGAAGATACTGAGGAATAAATTTAACCAAAGATGTAAAAGAAAAACTATGAAACACTATTGAAAGAAATGGAAGAGGATACAAACAAATGGAAAGAAATCCCATGCTCCAGGCTTCGGCCTTACTACCAAAAACAATCTACAGATTCAGTGCAATCTCTATCAAAATGACAATGACATTCCTCACAGAAATTGAAAAAAAAATCTTAAAATTTGTGTAGAACCACAAAGACCTCAAATAGCCAAAGCAATCTTAAACAAACAACAACAACAACAAAAACAAAGCTAGGAGTATCGCATTATCGGATCTCGAAATATATTACAAAGCTGTAGTAACCAAATCAGCATTGTACTGCCATAAAAACAGGCACATAAGCAAATGGAACAGAACAGAGAACCGGAAATTAATATATCTATCTACAGTCAACTAATTTTTGACAAAAGTACCAAGAAAAATAACTGGTTTCTTTTCAATCTTTTCAATAAATTGTGCTAGGAAAAACTGATTGTCCATATGCAGAAGAATAAAATTAACCCCCCACTTTTTGTCCTATAAAAAATCAACCCAATATAGAATACTTTATTGTAAGACCTAAAACTATAAAACTACTGGAAGAAAACATAAGGGAAATGCTTCAGGACATTGGTCAGGGAAAAAATTTTCTGAATAGGATCTCAAATGCACAGGGAACAGAAGCAAAAATACACAAATGGTTTATATCCAATTGAAAAGCTTCTGTACAGCAAATAAAACAATCAACACGTGACCTGCAGAATGGGGAAAAATATTTTCAAACTATGCATCTGACAGGAGACTAATATCCAGAATTTAGAAGGAACTCAAACAACTAACAACAACAAAATAAATAATCTGATTGAAAAATAAACAAATGATCTGAAGAGCCATTTTGCAAAAGAACACACATAAAAGGCCAAAAAGTATATTTAAAAATGTTCAATATCAAACGGATAAAAATAAACAATGCTGGCAAGGATGTGGAAAAAAAAGGAACTCATAACACTGTTGGTGGGAATGTAAACTAGTATAGTCACTATGTAGAACTATATGAAGGTTCTTTTGAAAACTATAAACACAATTATCACATGATCCAGCAATTCCAATACTGGCATTTATCCAAAGGAAAGAAAATAAGTATATAAAAGAGACATCCGCACCCTTCTGTTTATTGCAGCATTATTCACAGTAGCCACATGGATAAATAAATAATGTATTTTTTCTTTTTAAAGAAAATAATGTATGTACACAATGGAATACTATTAAGCCATAAAAAAGAACAAAATCTTGTCATTTGTGGCCACATAGATGGAACTGGAGGATATTATGTTAAGTGAAATAAGCCAGAAAGAGAAAGCTAAACACCGCATGTTTTCTCTTATATGTGGAAGCTAAAAAAAAAACTGATCTCATAGATGTAAAAAGTAGAACAGAGGATACTAGAGGTTGGGAAGGGTAGGGGAAAGACAATACAATAAAGGCCATATATGACAAAACCACAGCCAACATCATACTGAATGGGAAAGAGCATACTGAAAGGGATATTTGTTAAAAGATACAACATTACAACTACATAGGAGGAATAAGTTCTAGTGCTCTATAACATTGTAGGATTACTATAGTTAATAATTATGTGTTATTATACATAGTTTCAGGTATCTAGAAGAAGAATATTGAATGTTCCCAACACAAATAAATGACAAATGTTTTAGATGATGGATACACTAATTACCCTGATCCGATAACTATACATTATCATTATCAAAATATCACTATGTACCCCATAAGTATGTACAATTCTTATATGTCAGTTTAAAAAAGAAATGTCGGAAATGAGCAAAAAGGAGACAAAGAATATACAGAACAAATAAAAACAACTAGCAAGTACAGATTTTAATTTAACTGTTTCATTAATTACATTAAATGCAAATGGATTTAATACACTAATTAAAATACAGATAGTTACTTTAGATAAAAATAGCAAGACCCAACTATATACTGTCTACAAGAAACTCACTTTAAATACAAAGCTGTAGATAGTTTCAAAGTAAAAGGATGGAAAAAGTTATCCCATACAACATTAATTAAATGGAACCTCCTTGGCTATATTACCATACAAAAAATTCTTAACAAATAATATTGTTAGGAATAAAAAGATGAAGTTTTCAATATACAAAGAAGATATATAATCTAAATGTGTATGCACCCAATGACAGAACTTTAAAATACATAAAGCTCAAACTGATAGAACTGAAAAGAGAAATAATAAATATACCTAGACATTTCAAAGTTCTGCTCTCTATAATTGAAAGAGTAAGGGCACAGGAAAAGAAGTCCTGGGCTGTGCTATCAACTAATTGACCTAACTGACATTTACAGAGCATTCTACCCAACAACAGCAGAATACATATTCTTTTCAAGTGCACATAGGCATATCTATGCCTTAAAAATACTCAATATATTGAGAATAATGAAAATAATACAAAGTATGTCCTCAGACCAAACAAAATGAAAGTTGAAATAAGTAACAGAAAGCTATCTGAAAAATCCCCAAATATTTACCCCATTAATTACCACATTTCTGAATAACCCATGTGTAGAAGAGAAAGTCACAAAAAATTAGAAAATATTTTAAATTGAATGAAAATGAAAACACATCAAAACTTGTGGGACACAGTTAAAGAAATGCTTAAAGGTCAATTTACAGCACAAAATACCTATATTAGACAAGAAAAAAATATCTAAAATCAATAATAACAGCACCCAGCTTAAGAAACTAGAAACAGAAGAAAAATTTAAGTACAAAGCATAAGGAAGGAAATAATGAGAATTGAAATAGAAATTGAAATGGGAAAAAAATAGAGAAAATTTTTTTAAAGCTGCTTTTTTGAGATTACAAAAAATGATAAACCTCTACCAGATTAATTAAAAATCAAACAAGATAAGACAAAAGGGAAAAACTTTAAATTAACAATACCAGGAATCCAAGACAGGATATCACTATAGAATCTACAGACATCAGCTGCTTAATAAAATGGAAAAATTCCTTGAAAGACAATTGATAAAAACTGAATCAGAAAAAATGCATAATTGGACTTCTAATATCTATTTAAATAATTGAATTTAGAGTTAAATTTTTTTCTAACAAAGAAGGCCTAGATGGCATTATTGGTGAATTCTACAAACATTTAAAAAAGACATATCAATTCTACAAAAACTTTTTCATAAAATAGAGAAGAATTTACTTCTCACTTATTTTACAGTTAGCATTACTTTGATACCAAAACCAAATAAAAATAGTTAGGAGAAGAAAATTACAAATCAATATCACTCATGAACATATTTGCAAAATATCCCAAGACAATAGCAAACCAAATACAATAGTTTTTAAGCACCAGGTTTGCTCAAAATTTAAATAATCAATATCATTCACCATAACAACTTATTAAAAGTGAAAAACCATATGATCATCTCAATAAAGAAAAATTCTTGGACAAAATTCAACATCTATTTATGACAAAAATTCTGAGCAAACTAGGAATTAAAGGGAACTTCCTCAACCTGATAGAGATAATCTATGTAAAACCTACAGCTAACATCATACTTAATGGTGCAATATTATATTAGATGCATTAGACAATGCAATAATGCAAGAAAAAGAAATAAAATACATAGAGATTGAGAAAATAAAGAAATCTCTATTTCAGATGACATGATTATCTAAGGAATTGAAACTCTCATATATTTCTGGTGGTAATGCAACTACTTTGGAAAAAAATTTGGCTATTTCTTATGTAATTTTGTATAAACACACATATCATATGACCAAGCAATCTCTCTCCTAGAGAAAAGAAAAATATGTTCATGCAAAATTCTGTATTCAAATATTTATAATGGCTTTATTCATAATCACCAAAAAATATCCCCGTCTGGGAACAAATAAATGTCCTTCAACAGATGACTAGATAAACAAACTGTTTAATCTATATCATGGAACTACATATAATGGAATACTACTGAGCAATGAAAATGAAAGGAACTACTCATACATACAAGAATGTCGATGTGTGAATGTGGATGGATCTCAAATGTGTAACACTAAGTGAAAGAAGCCAAATTCAAAAAGTTACGTGATTACATTTATATGGCAGTAAATAGATCAGTGGTTATGTAGAAGTGGGGCAGGAAAGAGGAGTTGATTGAAAATGGACATGATAGAACTGTGTGGTAGAAATGTTTTATGTATTGGTTTTCATGGTGGTTTCATGATTGTAAGTGTTTGTGGAAACCTAGGGCCCTTTACACTAAAAAAAATAAATTTTACTTTACATAAGTAATGTCTATTTTTAAAAATCTAATTACATTAAAATGTATCTATATACTACTCACTAAAAACCAAGATATAAAATTATATTATATGAATTCAAATTGGCTAACTATACCTCTGATAAAGACTCTGATGACTGGAAAATGTACACTAAAATATTAACATTATGATATCTATTTCACTTGTGTTTTTGGATTATATTAGAAAAGGTTTGTTAGGTTAGAGATTTTTATCTCTTTTATTCACTGCTTTAGACTCAATGCCACAATAGAGCCTGGTACACTGCAGGTGCCTAAGAAGTATTTGTCAAAGATGAAAATAGGCTGGGTGCAGTGGCTCCTGGCTGCAATCCCAGCACTTTGGGAGGCCAAGGCAGGTGGATCATTTGAGGTCAGGAGTTTGAAAACAGCCTGGCCAGCATGGTGAAACCTGTTTCTACTAAAAATACAAAAATTAGCTGTGCATGGTGGCAAGCACCTGTAATTCCAGCTACTTGAGAGGCTGAGGCAGAAGAATCCTTTGAAGCCAGGAGGTGGAGGTTGCTGTTAGACAAGACTGCACCACTGCACTCCTGCCTGGGTGACAGAGTGAGACTCGATCTTTAAAACAAAAACAAAAAGAAAAGAAGCAAAAAGAAAAGAAAAAGAAAAGAACAAAGATCATCACATTTGATTTAAAAAGTCCAACTAATCCAAACAAAACTTGAGGACACAAACAAATTGAGAAAAAAAGACTGGAGAATGTGTGCTATGTGCATACCAACAGAGACGTCTGGCAAACATAGGTAATTTAAAAAAAAAAATTGAGGCAGAAAACATTTACTAGAAATAAAGGAAGACATTTTAATTGACCAAGAAAATGTAATAATTCTAAATTTGTATGCCTTTGGTAATATGCCTTAAAATATATAAAATAAAAATTGATCCAAGTACAAGGAGAAATAAATACACAAATGTAGTGTAGAGTTATAGATTTCTTAGAATTTTCTATTTAAACAACATACCATGTATAGAAAGACAGTTTAACTTCTTCCTTGCAGTCCTTAGGTATTTTATTTATTTTTCTTGCTTTATTTCACTGGCTAGGACTCAGTGTAATATGAAATAAAAATGATGAGAGTTAATATTTTTCGTGTATTCCTTATTTTAGTGAGACCAAGTTTAATATTGTAGATCTAAATATAAAAGCAAAATAATAAAGCTGTTGAAGGATAATACATAGGAAAGTATCAAGGCCTTGAGGTAGGAAACAACTTTAATTCAAACATTAAAAGCACTAACTATAGTGAATAGAAAGATACATTTAACTAAGTCAAAATAAAAAAATCATCAACATCATAACCCATAATATGATGCACTGAGAATAACAGAACATTACTTCTGTAGTATTCTTGCCAAATATGCATAACCTTAACCTACTTGAATGCTAAATTGGGAGACATTTGACGTGATAACTGACCAGTCCTCATAAAAAGTGTCAAGGTTGAGAAAGACTAGGAAAGTCTGAAGACCTATAACAGATTGGGAGACAGTAAAGAGATGTGACAACTAAATGCAATGTGGGACCCTAGATTGGATCCTGAAACAGGAAAAAAAAAAGGTTAAGGGAAAAACTTGTGAAATTTGTACAAAACCTGTGCTTTAGCTAATTACTCAGTGTGAATTTTCTGATTTTGATAATTTTACTATGCTTATGTAAATTACTAACATTAGGAGCTGGGAGATGAAGCTTATAAGTGAATTCTCTCTACTATTTCTGCAATATTACTCTCTGTACTATTCTGCAATATTACTTCTGCAATACTACTTCTGCAATATTACTATCTGCACTATTTGTGTAATTTTGCTGTGTCTAAAATTAGTTCAAAATAAAAAGTACATAAGAGGACATCTGTATCAAAAACACCATTAAAGATGAAATTCTTTAGTGGGAGAAGATATTTGCAAAACTTTAGTTGTGAATATGCTCATATATGGAATATATCAAGAACTTCTACAAAGTCAGCATAACTGTTCACCAGTGTAGTCTTTTATGAATTAGTATATAGTATATAGGATTCAGATTTCAACCATGTCATATTTATTTGAAAGAAGGAAACCTCTCACCAACATTGTCACATTGGCACAAACAACATAGGCATGTGGTAGAATTATTTTGATTTTTTTTTAAAGAAATTCATCTTGTTATACCCTTCAAAGGAAAGTCAAGGCCAGACAGTCTAAGATACAGGAATAGAGGGTCATGAAGGAAATACAATTTGGATTAAATGTATAAACAGTGTTGGAAGAGTTAAAGATGAAGGACATGCAATGGCAATAGTTTCAGAGGAGCTTCAAATCCTGGAGTTAAAAATTCCACAGGAGGACAAAGGAAAATTAAAATGTACTTTTTGAAGTTTTCCTGAAGGGTTCCATCTTTTTCTGATGAACTTTTATCTTCTATTAAGTAAGAAAATGATTTTACTTTTTCTCCTATACTACATAACTCTATCTTTCTACCATGTGTTGATATATTTATGGTAGGATATAATCTACCATAAAAGTGGTAAAGTATAAATAAGTTGATAATATAGTTTAATAATAAATAGGTGGAGATTTCCTTCAGACATCCAAAATAAACTATGTATACCAACTGTAGTTTGTTGATAGAATGAGTGTTGTTTTTTATCCCTAAACAAGAGAGTTAGAAATGATTTTCACTGGTACTACAACCCTTTAAAATATTGATGCTCTTTAACATCTGGTTCATAACTGCTAACAGTTACACAATAGAGCAAAAATGACGGGTTAATTAATTCATGAATTACTACATCATGTAACTCTGGAAGAACTAATACAGCTTAACATATAGACATATGAGTGGTTGAGGGAAATGGGAAAGGAGAACTGAGAACAGAAAAAGCAAGATGGAGGCAAAAGCAACAAAAATGAACTACATTCATGCCAGGAGGACCCATCCATTTGCATGAAGTAGGTCACAAATTTAGCTTCATTTTCTAGTGCATTGAGTAAGACACAGTTGAATTTACTGATCTCATGCATTTCTTACCAATCAGGTAGAAGAACTCACCTGATTCCCAAGAGAAACAAAATGAGATTAAAGAGTAATATTTCTTATGAGTCTCATAAAGAGGACACAGCATTACATAACAACCTTTTAGTAAATAAAACAGTAGATTACATAACTTTGTTTCTAATAATGGAAAAACAAAACTTTACAGGAAGCCAATATTGTAGCTGTACTCATCTTGCTGCTATTGCTCTAGAAGAAATAATAATCTTTATATCTTCCAGGCAATCTATAATAAATGTAATTTCTCTTAGCTGACATTTTAATAACTAATTTGTAGCAGTAGGTTTAAGAGGAAAACAAAGTGCAGCTATTCTGTTGAGTTAAACTGTAGAACCACTTGTGTTAACATTCAGGCAAGTTGGCAATAGAATTAATATACTTTCATGGAAGCTGAAGACCATGACAAAAGTAAGTACTGAAAGAGAGGGCCAGCCTATGTCCTCTGCATGGAGAAAGGCCAAGGAGAGATTTTTGGGCTGGGCCAAGACATTCCTCAAGAAGTGGTTTTGGGTTTGACAAAGCAGACAAATGGGGCCTCAAAACCACAGGTTCTACCTAACAGAGCATGGCTATAGTTACTTTAGTACGGAAAAATATATAACTGTATTTATAGATTTTATAAACTATATTATTTTATAGTATTTTATAAATTATATTTATAATTATATATACTATATATTTATAACATATATATTTTACCACATAGTTTACTTAGAAAATCTCAGTAACATATTCATACAGCATTCCACTTAGAGTAAAACAGCAGGTCCCAGAATGTTATTTCATTCAAGGTCATTTCTTTGTAATATTGAGAAAAAAATCAATTCTCAGCTGGGGTCACTGTCTGCATAGGGATTTTGACATTCTCCCCATGTTTGTGTGGGCTTTCTCTGGTTCTGCTTGTTTCCTCCCGCATCCCAAAGATAGTCATGCTAGACAAATCAGTGTGTCTATATGGTCCTAGTCTCAGTGAGTGTGGGTGTGTGGAGTTTGCCTTGTGTTGAGACGGTGCTCTGTCCATGGCTGATTCCTGCTTTGCACCCTGAGCTGCTGGGATAGACTACCCTGAACTAGAATAAACAGGTAAATCATTATCTTACTTGTTTTTATTAATCTTTTTAAAATGTGTGAATAGCTTACATATATTTCAAAATTTAATATTAGAAGTGTTTCAGTTTTTATTTAGAAGTTTGGTGATGTTTTTGTGACCAGAAATACACTACAGGAACTTAACCCATTCATTAGCGTATGGTAAAATTGGTTTTGTTACAGGTCATTTTGGTTAAGGTCACAGTTTCCAAGAACCTATTGATAATATTAAGTGAGAGCTTACAGTCACCTTTCTGGTCTTTCCTCCAAGATAATCAGTTTGCAACATAAATACCTAGATAATTGCTTTAATTTGCTACAGAAGATTTAATATTGACCAGTTTATAGTTTAGGGTGGGTGGGGAGAGGTTCTAGTAATTCTTCAAAAGACTATCCCCTATGTTTGAACATGTCATCTGCAGACAACATAATGCTTCAAATTCCTGAAAATGAATTAGTGATCATAGATTGTGTAATTGTCTCCTGGAAATAGCTACAAGTTAACCAGAGGTCCACTTCTACCTGAATTATGAGAGTAAAATAACTTGGAATCTAATTCAAGATCAAATTTAACTATATCTCATGTTTCTTCAGAGACTTAAAAGTCATACAAAGTCAACAAAACCCATAATTTTGCTTTTCCTCAACTCTTTCTACAAGAAGATAAATTTAAAAAGTGGTCCATAGTGAACTAACTATAGCTACCATTTCCTTAGGTAGAATGTTGATATGAAAAGGCCAGCCTTCCAGTTTATCAAGAAAGAAACTTATACAGATAGTCTAAATGGAATGCCTACCAACCTGAAAATTTGGGGAAGTAAATGGTTGTCCCTAAAAATGGGATAAACTATATTGTGCATCCATACAGCAGGACTGCACCAACAAAGTTGATGAGGGTCTTTGAATAGTTTTAATAAATCTAGTAGTAAATCTTCAGCAGCTGCCTTATTTACTTGAGATTTAAAAAATTATCTCTAGAACGTGCTGAACTATTATTAAGACCTCTTCAGAGAACACTCTTGAATTTGTAGAAAGACAGTTGAATTTGCTTTGTAGAGATGAGAAAATAAGCCTCCTGGGATGTTCACCTCGATGTAAATATTCACCTAAATCACCCATTTTTTTTCTTATTTAAGATCTTCCAACATAAACTTATTTTACTGAGTTCAAGATAATGAATTTGTGTTAGATTTAAATTTAATAAGATCAAAGAGGCATCCTCTGATTTTAATTTCATACATGGAATTTCACCAGCTTTTTTCCCCCTTTTTGTCCTACTTTGGGACAAAATATTTTAACTCATAAATACATTGCATATCTATGAACGGCTGTATTTCTATAACATAAAGGGAGAATAGATTATAAAAATTTTCAGTTTCTGAGTTCCTTCTTCACATAAAGGAGATAGTGGTTTCACTCATTCTTTAAAGACAATAAAATAGAATAAAGGAATAAAATTCTCCAATAACTAGTCCTATGAAAATGTTAAAATTTCTGTAACTCAAGTTAATCAAACTGGAGTAGGGAGCAGTCAAAAATAAATGTGACCTGAGGAAAGCAAATTGTAAAACATACGGCGAAAATTGAAAGTTATAAAGGTAAGTAGAAAAAAAGCACTTACTAATAGTACCAGTAAAAGAAGTAAAGAAAAATGCATACTAGTTTTAGGCAGCTTGGGGAAAGAAAGATGAGGCTAAATAACATTGTCATTTATATCTTTACAATGATAACACATTTTTTTTTGTCTAGGAATAAGAACTTGACTATGAACTCCCAAAGGGTTTGTAAGCTGAAAACTATTATAATCAAGATAGAAAAAGGAAAAAAATCTACTGACCATAAGAATTGTTCACCGTTAGTCTTATTTTCTTGTAGACTTTATGAACATTTCTTTCATAAAGACCCTTAGGCCAGGCATGGGGGCTCACGTCTGTAATCCCAGGACTTTGGAAGGCTGAGGCAGGCAGATCACTTGAGGCCAGGAGTTTGAGACCAGCCTGGCCAACATGGCGAAACCCTGTCTCTACTAAAAATACAAGAAAATTAGCTCGATGTGGTGGTGCGCATCTGTAATCCCAGCTACTGAGGAGGCTGAGGCATGAGAATCACTTGAACTCGGAAGGCGGAGGTTGCAGTGAGCTGAGATTGCACCACTGCACTCCAGCCTGGGTGACACAGTGAGACTCTGTCTCAAAAAAAAAAAAAAAAAAAAAGACACTTAGTAAATACAATTCTCCTGTGTTAGACGTGATAGTGGAACACCACGGGAAGGCAAGAACAGCCAGGGGCCGACGGGAGGGAACTAATCATATGTGAGTACCTATCTTGTTACAGTGTGTGCTGTATGCTCTATATAAGCAATTTCGTTAAATTCTCAGAACAAAGATGGAGTCCTAGAGAATTCAGTGTTGTAGAGGTCAGAAAACATCCCACACATAGTGAGAGACAGAGACAGGAAGTCAGCCAGGATGGTCTGACTCTACACCATGCCTTTTCTCTATGCCATGCCTCCTTTTGGGGAAGAAATGGGAGTGTATCTGAATGTTCACGTCTCTTTCAGATGAAGCTAACAGTTCACCTGAAACAATGTGACATTTAATAAAAAAATGACACAGTCTTCTGTTTGAAAATAAACACGTTTCTTACTTTTTGACTAATGAGAACAGGAGCATCATTTATGGAAGAGGCCCAGTTGACAAAGTCAGTCACATCAATCACGGTTCCTCGGAGAAGCTTTTCTTTCAGTTCAAATGCATATTTTCTGGTTCCACCTCTTATGAGTGAAACAACATCATCTATGAGGTTTTCACTGGTGATGTTTACTGAGGAGAGAAGGAAGATTTAAAGAGAAGCAGAAGAAGTTTAAAGAGAAGCCAGTTATCAAAAGGACATATGATAAACATTTATTGAGTCCTTTTAGTAAAATACAGCCTAATGTATTTATTAAATTTTAATTGTAAATATTGCTTATGCATTTTTTCACCTCAAATCTACAATGGAAATTTACATTAGTAACCAGTTGTAGATTTCTGTCATCTCTTTTAAAAAATAAAAATGATACCCATGGTCTAGATACACTGATAAATTCACAGCTCCTCACATACAAACATGTACTCACGGGAACTAAATATGACTTTGGGTGTAATATATATTTTCTTTTGCAAACTTACCTTCATAATTATATTGTGTACATTTGCTTTGATATGTTTTAATATTACAAAAAGAAGAGTTCAAAAAAGAATAAAGTGAAAAGTAACATTTCTTTCCACTCCCAAATCCTACCCATCGTTTCCCTCAGTGTCTCTCTGTAGATGAAGCCACTTTTAACAAAACTTTGTAAGTCTTTTACAGCTGTGAATTTTTAAAACTGGAAAGGAATTTCAAGATAATTTTTGTCATCCCCTCTTCATTTTTATAGAAGAGAAATTGGAAACTTAGAGAGGTGGAGTGACTAGTCAGAGATCACACAGTTAGCTTAAGGACCAAATATAGAAATTATACCGTATAATGGCAAATTCAGCTTTTTTCCACTACTTCATCATTGGTTTTTCAATCATGGACACATATTATTGGTTGGTATGCTTTTAAATATATCAGGTTTTTCCTCACTTTTGCCTCCCCACTACCAGTTGACTCTTCCTTTAAAGGTGAGCTTTAAGCATTTGTATTTTAAAAATGTTCTCAGGTATTTCTGATTAGAGGAAAAGTTGAGAACTCTAGCACTAATTCATGCTTGTAAATCTGCTAAAGATTAACAGTAGGAAGTAATATTTATACCAAACATATTTGTATTTTTGAAAAGGTTAGGCACCAATTTAAAGTTAAGGATGAATTAGGGATTTCAATTTAGATGGAAGGTGGAGTTGGGGAAATGGTTTTGGCCTTGTCCTTTGTTAATGGATGCACGAACATTGTCGCTTGCTTATTTGGAAGCTTTGTTAAAATTAGGGTGAAGAAAGGAAACTTTTTATGAAGATACTTTTTTACTATTGCCATAATAAATATACAAGTCTAAAATGACTACCGTGTGAATCACACCCCCTTGAGTTGTGTACTGTACAACTGGCACAATAGTGATACTGGTGAATACATGTCCATGCGCTATCGGTGTTTATAGTGGTTTGAAAACCGCTTTAAATGTAAGATAGTTTTTAAGCACAAAGAGGACAGACAATTAAGAGGGCTCATTGCAAGAGGGCAGTGCTCATTGACATCTACCCTCAGGCTTTATAAAATCTAACAAGTGAGGCCACACTTACCAGCTCTACCCTCTCCCCTCTTTACACAATCATCTTTATTAAATTCAGCTCCAACAGAGATTTCAGAGAAAGCCAGAGATACATCCAGATGATACCCAAGGCATCTCTTTATGTCTTTTAGTTCAACACCTGTTTAATGAATTTATTTGAAAATTATTAGATAATGTCTACCAACATCACAAATAAATTCCAATTTTGCTATTTTCAAGCAACATCCTTACTTAGGTTCCTATACACCATGACTAAATTCAAATGTGCCATCATGTCTGTCCTGCTTTGTCCTCATATTAGATTATAGTGACCTCCTTTTGACTTTGCTTGTCAACTTAATGGCAAAGGACACATTAAGTCTACCACATGGTTTAAAGGGATATAGGTCAGACTATGGTGGTTATAGTAAAGTCTTTTATCTGTAATATCATAGAAAAGGGACAACAATGTCTAACATATATTGAATGCTTATCATGTGTCTGGCATCCTTCTAAGCATTTTGTGTGCTTTAACTAATTTAATCCTCACACTGGCCTTATGAAGTAAGTCCATATTGTCCTCATTGTACAGATGAAAATATGGAATTGCAGAGCAGTTGAATAACCTACTAATGGCTCATTACTCAGCTAGTAAGTTTGGATTTGAACCCAGAGTTGTCTAGCTACTAAGCACTTCTCTGTATCAACTTCATAATTTGGATGAGATACATCAACATCTCCTGATCCTCTTTGGAAGACTCAGTTCATCCTTAATGTAGCTGGTTCATCGCTTTGGACAGATGGCTGATGTATGTGGTCACTTTGTTTTCATCCTATGAATGCTACTTGGTAGATATCAGTCTTGGAAGCTGACTCATTATGGTGTGTAGATGCCCAAACAGTTACTAGAAAGAAAAATCCTAATATTTTCAAAGTCTATCAGTTATTATCTGTTTTTGCAATTCATAAAAAAAATAATTATTCCTCTATTTTAAGGGTAAACATCCCAGACCACAGTTCACTGACAATGTCAGTTTTTGCCGTTATTTATCATTTATTTCATACATGCAAACACACACACACACACATACACACGAATTTGTGATTATTTGTTCTGGGAGTCAAAATGCTTTATGAAAAAGGAAAGAAAAAAATGAAATGAGGTTAATCATGGGGTTCTACAAGGAGTATCAGGGGTAGACATCTGGGGGCATTTAGGCGTTTATTCACCTATCAAATATTTCTCATGCACCCACAATTAGTGAGAACTTAGAAATTATCAGGTGGCATTTCCCATGGGAAGGGAAGAGAGAGGATAAAAATCGAAGACAATACTAGAAATCCGTAATTCTAGATTTCTAACCTTATCCTTAAGAAGTGTGAGGACTCTGCTTCTGAAGATGAGGGTGAAAGATAACCTGGGTGACCCTAAAGGGCTCAGATTCTCTGCCTTAGCAGTGGACACTCATGTCCAGACATCTTAAATTGAGGTGGAGGACATGGCTTGGTTCTCAGATATTGGCACTGGAGAAGTGAGAAAGAGCACTTCCTCTTCAAAGTCACTAGAATTGACCTGATGATCCTTGTCTATTAAGGCCAGAAGGTAAGTAGCTTCTGAGTTATTCAGGATTAAAGATCTCTTCCTATGGAGCTTTTTCATCAAAACAACTCCTAGTCTGAAGATTTCTTTGTGTTTTGATCACCACTCATAAGCCTTTCTCTTCTCATTTTCAAGTTACTCAAGACCTGTGTCCTCTTGTACCCTTCCCTTACGTGATATCTCCATCAATATAGCTTCCAGGTGGAGCTCACAGCAACTTCACTATGCTGTGGATATAGCCCTGTGAAAGTGTAAGCTAAGTAACATTACATTCCACTCCCCCCCGGGAAAGCTTCTCTCTGCCCAAAACAAGACTGAGGCATCAAGACCAGCTGGTTCTGGCTATGTCATGTTTTGTTATCCATAAAGTATTTGCTGACCTTGGGGAGAATATCAGGCTTTTACGTCACAGTTACATTCCACCCTTCACTTAACACCTGATACCTTGACACTGACCCCGTAAAAGCCATTAAAGTGGTTTTTAGCAACGCTTTCCTCCCTAAGAGACACACCTATAGTTACAAGGGCAGAGAGGAAGCATCCTGGCATCCATCACCTCCTTAAGGAATATTATAACTAGCCATAATTACTCACAACATGAATGATTACAACTTATTAATATAGTCACTTTGCATTTACTTTTTTCTTAAAAGACTTAGACGAACCCTTTAGGCCAGGCTGATAACTATGTATCAGTAGGCCTATCTTCTACCCATGACAGACATTGATAATTAACCATGGCCCTTTTCCCCATGATTTCCCCATGACCAGAAACCTACTTAACATGAGCCCAATTCAACCACCACCATATAATGAGAAGTGTCATCACATGAGGTAAAACTAATTTTCCACCCTTGCTTTAAGATGTTAGATTTATATGATAACACTGCTTCTTCTTTTCCCTCTAAAAGAAAATTTAGAACAATATTTTCCCTCCAATATTGAAGTATACTCTGGAAGATAACTGTGATATAGAAATTGAACTAGTCTATTGATTAAGAAGTAGGTTATACAAATTATGTCTGTACTTTCTTTCACCTTTTGTTTAGTATTTCACTAAAAGTACCACCTTCTAATAGATGTGAAGCTGCAATACAATGGATCCATCTCTCAGTGCTACTGTTGAGTAGAGTATGACCAAGTCAGCTTGTTTGAGATGGAAGTCAATTTGCTATTTAACAGGGTTTTAGGTGCCAAAGGGCAGGAAGAGAGTCCTCTCAAAGGAGCAGGTTACAGGGCTTTGTATTCTTAAGACTTTAACCATTGAAACAGGTTGGTGAACAAAATAATGTTTGGTCAAAACAGTATTTGAAGTCAGAGCTCTATTTCTAGGCATACCTTTCCGCTTCATGGAAGCTTTATCCAAAACATATATTAGTTCATAGAGTCCTCCTAGAGACCCAGAGCTACTGTAGTGAGTTCCATAGGTTTCCAAAAAGGCAAAATATTCTCCCTTTTCATAGGTAGTTGGCAAAGCTTTTATATCATCCACAAAAGTTGTTGTGAGCACAACATCGCGATTTCTCATTACAAATCTTCCCAGATGAATTTCTCCTTTCACATGCAGAAACATTTTTTCCTGTGTTGTAGAGCAGATGAAGAAGAGAAACATGTGTTTTATCCACCATTTCAAATGAAAATTTATGAAATTTAGAACTTCCATAGGCACTAAATGTTTTAGCAGTGACCATGAGATACCACTCTAATCCACCAGAAGGGCTAAATGTAAAATACTATCAACACCAACTACTGATGAGAATGTGCAGTGACTAAAACTCTCCTACATTACTGGTAAAATTAGACAGCCACTTTGAAGAACTGTGTGGCACTTTCCCATAGTGTTAAGCACACATTTGCTTATGACCAGCCAGCAATTCCACTCCTACATATTTACCTAATAAAAATTTTGTTCACAAAAGTATCTGTATAAGAATTTCATGGCAGCATTAGTCAGAATAGCTTAAAATTGAAAACATCTCAAATGTCCATCAAGAGAGAAATCAATAAACAACCATAGCATATTAATACAATGGAATACTAATCATCAATAAAAAGGAAAATAAAACTACTGATACATGTAACAACATAAATAAATCTCAAAAATATTATACTGAGTAAAAGAAGTCAGACATAGAGGAGTATATCCTATATAATTCCATTTATATGAAGTTCTAGACTAGGCAAAACTAAGCTGTGGTCAGATAAATCTGGTCAGTGGTCACCTCTTAGGTGGTAGGGAACGGAAAAGGGCATAAGGAATTTTTCTTGGGGTAAGAAGCCTGAGTGTCTCTTCATGATGGAATTTTCTTGGTGTGATGTTCTTTAACTCAATGTATTTTAAACATAGATCTTAAATAATTTCCATCTAAATATGCTGCTGTGTCTTCTATGTTAAAACATTTAAAATATTCTCTTGCTAAAGGAGATGGCTACTCTAATGTACATAATTATCAAAACTCATGAAACTATACACTTAAAATCTTTGCATTTTATTTTATGAAATTATACCTCACTAAGTTGTTTTAAAAACAACAGTGGAAGGAAATGGAGACATTATCAATAAAGCCCAATCTTGCTATTATGCAGATGAGAAAACTAATTTAAAGATATCAAGTTATTTGTCCCAAAACATATGAATAATACTTGACAGCATTGGTACTAAAAACCTAGATCTCAGGTCTCCTTGTCCCTTTCAGTCCACCCTCTCAATTTTTAATGACAGAGACAGGACAGACAATATTTTGAGACGTGGAACTCAAGTCAGCCTAAGCAACTCAACAGTTAAATGTTTCCAGGGCCAGGGCTGATGGCTTACCTTTCCCGGAGAAAACTAGGGCAGTGAACTGTGTGATTCAATGCCATAGCTTGTCCTGATGAAAACTAAACTACAATTGACACCCACAATTTTGCAAATGGATCTTTTGAGGGTCTCCTAACAGCTGTGGTTAACATATGATGATTATGTGGGAGTTTAAAATATTTTATTTCTTTTTAAAGGTATATCTTGCAGTATATGAATATCATACCAAACTGTCTGTCTTCTTAAAGCACATTGTTGTCATCATGATTTAACTTTAGGTGACAGTGGGTGATCCAGTCTTTAATAAAAATCTTAGCCTGTATGTTATAGGTCATATGAGCTCTTCATCTCCTGACTTGCACAAGAATTCTCAAATATGCCTTATTCAAAGCATATTTGGATTTCTTTTCAGTTTTGCTAAAACTGGGAGGTATATCTTGGGATTTGGGGTAAGAAAGACATGTGATGTTCTTTGGGTCAATTTACTTCAAAGGTAGCTCTTAGCTCATTATCATCCAAATATGCAGTTGTTTCTTCTATCTTAAAGCAACAAAAAGTTTCCCTTGGCCTCGCTTGCCTGACCAGCCACTACCCATTTCTTTGCCCTCACTAGAAGCAAAATTTATTCAGTTTTCTATACTGTATATTTTGAATTCTCCCCTTCCCTGTTTTTCTTAAATCTAAATTATTCATGCTTCTGACCTCACTACTCCAACAAAATGTCTCTTATCAAGGTCTCCAATGACTTTCATAATCCTAAAGCCTATGATCACTTCTTAGCCCTCATCTTCTTAGCCCTCATCTTCTTTGACATGTTAGCACAATTGACACAGTTCATCACTCTCTTCTTCTTAATAGAGATTATTTTCTTGTCTTCTAGGCCAGTGCTTCTCAAACTATAAAATGTGAACAAACCACCTAGAGAATCTTGTTAAAATGCAACACTGAGTCAGGTAAAATGCAATTCTGGAGCACAGTCTAAGATTCTAGCCTCCCAGCGATGCTGATGCTGCTGTTCCATAGACCACACTCTAAGTAGCAAAGTTCTTGGGCACTTTTTGGTTTCTTTTACTTGTTTTCTATTGAAATTCAGGAAGTTTGGTATTTGATTGTATTCTATTTTCTATGTACACTAACTCTGTTAGTGACCCCATGACGAAGTCAACAAGTCAATGTATAGCTCAATTCCAGGTCTTTTTCCCAAACTCCAGCCTCAAAACACCAACTCCTACTTGGCATTGTCAATTGGATGTCTAATAAACACCTCAAACTTAACCTAACTAAAATTTAATTACTGGTCTCCCTCTCCAAATCTGCTCTATCTGAAGCTTTCTCCATCAGCAACTCCATTTTTCTAGTTGCTCAGGCCAAAAACCTTGGACTTATGTTTGACTCTATAATTGTCCTATCTGAACTACCATCATGTCTCACCTGGATTCCTTCAGTAATTTTTAGCAAGACTCCTTGCTTTGGCTCTTAGCACCTATGATCTCTTCTTGACAAAATACCTTGAGTAATCATTTAAAATATAATAGAGAATGTCAATCTTCTATTAAAAACCCTCAAGTAGGCTGGGCGCGGTGGCTCACACCTGTAATCCCAGCACTTTGGGAGGCCGAGACGGGTGGATCACCTGAGGTTGGTAGTTCGAGACCAGCCTGACAAACATGGAGAAACCCCATTTCTACTAAAAATACAAAATTAGCCAGGCGTGGTGGTGCATGCCTGTAATCCCAGCTACTCGGGAGGCTGAGGCAGGAGAATTGCTTGTACCTGGGAGGCGGAAGTTGTGGTGGGCCAAGATCACACCATTGTACTGCAGCCTGGGCAACAAGAGCAAAAATCTATCTCAAAATAAATAAATTAAATTAAATTAAATTAAATTAAAATTAAAAACCCTCAAGTGACCTCCCATGTCACTCAGAAAAAAAGCCACACTGAGTGGACTTTTAAGTTCTTCATGATCTGATTCAAGGTAACTTTTCTAACTTTTTATCCTTCTGATTCAATTTGACTAACTTTTATCACACCAGGTTTTTCCTACATTAGAGACTTCTCTAACAGTTCCTTCCGTCAGATAAATAATCTGAAATCTTACTCTTTGGCTATCTCCTCTCCTCCAAAGCTTTGGTTACTTCTCATCTCCATGAAGCTAAGCCTGAGCTTCCTTTTTAATCATGCCACCTACAGGCATCCCTGCTTTCCTTCATGTTACTCTAATTTTCCTTGTATCCCACAGAACTTAATACTTTCTAAATACCATATTACTTCTTTTTTGCTATTATATGTATTATTTTTGGCTGTCTCTTTCTGTGGAGTTTTCAACTCCATGAGGACACAAATTTTCATCAGCTTGGTTCACAAATATATTCTAAGTACCTAGGCCAGATAGGTCACAATTAAATATTTGTTGAATGATTTAAAGAATTTTCCACCTGTACACTTGAGTGGGTATGCATGTAAATAGAGAGGTAATGTACAGACCCATACAAAACAATTACATAGTTAGGCATCATATAAGTACTAAGAGTGAATTATTATTGTTAATGTGGGAGAAGCTTGTCTAAATAAGTGACTGTGGTATCAGAAAAGGAAGAATGAGCATTTTACTGGCGTCATGCTGATTACAGAGAGTATATTTTATATTTATTCCAAGAGTGGTAGAACAAACTTCAAAATCTGGTTCAAATATTTTAAAAATCACATTTTCAAAGTCTCAAACGTATGATTACAAAATAATCAGACCAATTTTATGTGCATGTGTATAATTTCATAGCATCATTTCTTTAGAGACACAGTTTGTAGTTAATAAACAGTGATCATTCTAGGTAAGGCATTGCAATGAATTACCAGAATTCTTCAGTATAATTCTTCATTAAAATTCTGATGATCATATAAATTGAATGGTATATTACCACAATCTCAGTCAAAAAATGCTCTAAATTCTTAATACGCATTTTCTGCTCACTACCACCAAACATATTATTCATTTACCACTGCCAAAGATTCTATCAGACTTTTCTCCAGTTAGTATTCTTTCTGACGTGCTAGCTACATATTTGAGAATTTGATCCATGTTTCTTTTCCTTTTTATGATTTCTATTTGCTCAAAATACTTAAAGAGTCTGGGTAGTTTGGAACCTTTCTATATTCCTATATTAACTGTTTTGTCTTACCTTCTTTGAAGAATATGACAAAAATAGTTGGTAAGTTTCATTTTTGGAATATGAAAACCGAAAACTACCCTTGCCATGTAAAGAAATTGAGGAGGCTGTTTCCTCACAACATTGTTCAGCTTTATTTGTTTCAGTGGGTGTAAATTTTAGAGATATAGCTGCATTAAAATTTGATGTCTTCTCTTGGATGATACTTTTAAATGCTTCAATTTGTTCTTCGTAATGTTCGGTTCTGAAATTTTTCTCGCCTTTGGTCTAAAAGAGAATAAAAAAGTGTTGTTAAAAACAAGATACGAAACAAAAGGAAAAACAAGCAGAACAGAACCAAAGAGAAGTCAAACAATTCTTTGAAAGGCAGTAGAACAAAGGAGTTAAGAGCAAAAGTGATGGAGTCAGATTCCTGGGGTTCAAATACAGACTCTGTCACTTTGAAGTGATTATGCAATAATCTCTATGTGCTTAGTATGATTCTTAGTCTATAAAACAGGGATATTCATCATACCTAGCACAAAGGTTCTTATAAAAATTCAGTGAGATAATGCATACGAAGGACTTATAGTATAGCAAACTTTTTTTTCAACTTACTTTAAGTTCTGGGGTACATGTGCAGGATGTGCAGGTTTGCTACATAGGTAAACATGTGCTATGGTGGTTTGCTGCACAGATCAACCCATCACCCAGGTATTAAGCCCAACATCCATTAGCTATTCCTCCTGATGCTCTGTCACCCCTACCCCCAACAGGCCCCAGTGAGTGTTTTTTCCCTAACGTGTCCATGTGTTCTGATCATTCAGCTCCCACTTACAAGTGAGAACATGAGGTGTTTGGTTTTCTGTTCCTATGTTAATGTGCTGATGATAATGGCTTCCAGCTCCATCCAAGTCCCTGCAAAGGACGTGATCTTGTTCCTTTTTATGGCTGCATAGTATTCCATGGTGTATATGTACCACATTTTCTTTATCCACTCTATCATTGATGGGCGTTTGGGTTGATTCCAAGTCTTTGCTATTGTGGATAGTGCTGCAATGAACATATGCATGCATGTATCTTTATAATAGAATGATTTCTATTCTTTTGGATATATACTCAGTATTGGGATTGCTGGATCAAATGGTATTTCTGCTTCTAGATCTTTGAAGAATTGGCACACTGTCTTCCACAATAGTTGAACCAATTTACACACCCACCAACACTGTAAAAGCGTTCCTTTTCCTCTATAACCTTGCCAACATCTGTTGTTTTTGACTTTTTAATAATTGTCATTCTGACTGGTTTGAGATGGTATCTCATTGTGGTTTTGATTTGCATTTCTCTAATGATCAGTGATGTTAAGCTTTTTTTCATATGTTTGTTGGCCACATGAATGTCTTCTTTTGAGAAGTGTCTGTTCATATCCTTTGCCCACTTTTTAATGGGGTCGTTTGTTTTTTTCCTGTAAATTTGTTTAAGTTCCTCATAGACTCTGGATATTGGATCTTTGTCAGATGGATAGATTGCAAAAATTTTCACCTATTATATAGGTTGCCTGTTCACTCTGATGTTAGTTTCTTTTGCCGTGCAGAAGCTCTTTAGTTTAACTGGATCCCGTTTGTCAATTTTTGTTTTTGTTGCAATTGCTTTGGCATTTTATGAAATCTTTGCCCATGCCTGTGTCCTGAATGGTATTGCCCAGATTTTCTTCTAGGATTTCTATAGCTTTTGGTTTTACATATAAGTCTTTAGTCCATCTTGAGTTAATTTTTGTATAACATGTAACGAAGGGGTCCAGTTTCAATTGTCTGCATATGGCTAGCCAGTTCTCCCAGCACTATTTATTAAATAGGGAATCCTTTTCCCATTGCTTGTTTTGGTCAGAGTTGTTGAAGATTAGATGGTTGTAGGTGTGCAGTCTTATTTCTGAGTTCTCTATTGTGTTCCATTGGTCTATGTGTCTGTTTTTGCACCAGTACCATGCTATTTTGATTACCGTAGCCTTGTACTATAGTTCGAAGTCAGGCAGTGTGACACCTCCAGCTCTGTTCTTTTTGCTTAGAATTATCTTGGCTATATAGGCTCTTTTTTGTTTCCACATGAATTTTAAAATGGTTTTTTTTTTTCTAATTCCATGAACAATGTCAGTGGTAGTTTAATGGTAATAGCATTGAATCTATAAATTACTTTGGGCAGTATGGCCATTTTCACAATATTGATTCTTCCTGTCTGTGAGCATGAAATGTTTTTCCATTTGCTTATGTCCTCTCTGATTTCCTTGAGCAGTAGTTTGTAGTTCTTGAAGAGGTCCTTCACTTGCTTTGTTAGCTGTATTCCTAGGTATTTTATGGGTTTTTTTTTTAGCAATCGTGAATGGGAGTTAATTTATGATTTGGTTCTCTGCTTGCCTGTTGTTGGTATATAGGAATGGTAGCAATTTTTGCCCATTAATTTTGCATCCTGAGACTTTGCTGAAGTAGCTTATAAGCTTAAGAAGCCTCTGGGCTGAGACAACGGGGTTTTCTAAATATAGGATCATGTCATCTGGTCATCTGCAAACAAAGATAATTTGACTTTCTCTCTTCGTATTTGAATACCCTTTATTTCTTTCCCCTGCCTGATTGCACTGGCCAGAATTTCCAATACTATGTTGAATAGGAGTCATCAGAGAGAGCATCCTTGTCTTGTGCTGGTTTTCAAGGAGAATGCTTCCAACTTTTGCCCATTCAGGGTGATATTGGCTGTGGGTTTTTCATATATAGCTCTTACTATTTTGAGGTATATTCCTTCAACACTAAAATTTCAATTAGAACTTTTTTTTTTTTTTGCCAACTTGGCTATTGTCAGGTTGTTGTCAGTGAGAGACTTGTTATATAAGTGGTTCAGTTCCCTTTTCAGAAATCTTCTGAATTAGGTATAACTCTTGTCTGGGAAGGGGACACCTGTATCTTCAGACAGTGTCATGGACTGGATTTAGTATTGAGTGGTTGTTCTGCATGAGAAACCTAAAGTTATTACTGTCTCATGAAAAGACTGAAATGTATATAGTTATCTTTAAAACAAGACATGTTGAAGAAACTGCCTAGCATAACAGGGAAAAGCAAACTAACCATTGCCACTTCCCTACTTAGATCTTTCTAATGTATTTCTAATGACTTTAATATAGTCTAAACTAGATTTATTTCTAGTCAATCTCTCCCTAACTGTGTGTCAGCCATCCAGCTGTTCCACAACCCATGCTGTTCTTACCATAAGTCCCTTTTATGCTGCTTTTTCTTTCTAGAATGTTCTCTTACTCTTTCCCCCCAACCCTCCCATAGCACAGACATCACACACACTCCCTTTCACACATACACACAAAACATAGGCCTCAGGTTGATTAATTCCCACTCCTATTTCAAGTCTTACCTGAAACATCACTTCTTTAGGAAAGCCCCTCCTGATATAACAGACTAACAAATATTTTTGCTACAAGCTTTTCTGGCTCCTCTTTTAAAACAAAATAAAATGAAAACCACTTCTTTTATAATTACTTATTAAATAAAACTTCAGCCTTTGACTCTAGTTACATCCCAGCACCCTATAGATATAGGGTCCAGGCTTAACCAGTGCCAGGCCAGCCTCCATGGCCTCAGGCCCGAGGCCAGTTTCACAGACAAAGTTTCCAGCCTCAACTCAGGCTTTAGACAGGCCCAGAATGAGGCTGGTCTCTGTAGCCCTAGACTCAGGATTTTACTTGCAGACTAAGACTCCAGCTATAACCCAATGCCAGGTCAGCACCCGTACACCTCAGCTTCAGGCCAGCTTCCATGACCTCAAGCACCAGGCCAGCACCTGGGACTCAGTCTCAAAGGCTGGTCACTACAGACTCAGGCTCCAGTTTCACCCAGTGCCAGAATGGCCACTGCAAATCCCAAAATCAGGCGCGAGACCAGGGATCCAGCCTCTAGGGCCATCCCAGTGCAAAGCCAGCCCTATTGGCCCCAGGCTCCAGGCCAGCCTTCATGAGTTCAGCCTCCAGGATGGTCCTTACAGCCTCAAGATCCAGTGGACCCACTGGACCCAGGATCCAGGCCCACTTCTGTAGACTCCAGTGCTAGGTTGACCTCTATGGATACAGGCACCAGGCTCATTCCAGCAGACCCAAGCTCCAGGCCTTCCCCAGTGAACCAAGGAACCAATCACGTCTACCCAAGGACTCCAGCATCAAGCCTGCTTGTGGACCATGCCAGATGACTTGCCCAGAATCTCTGGACACACTGATTAATGAAGGGTTATCCCTGCTGCAGTTAGTCTTTAAGGAATGGAATAAGTGCTTACTTCTTCAAAGGCATAGATATGCATGGTCACAAAGATCACACATAATCAGGGAAACATGGCATCACCAAAGGAACAAAATAAAGCACTGGTAACTGACCCTAAAGAAGTGGAAATTTACAAACTGCCTGATAATGAATTCAAAATAATCAGCTTAAAGAAGCTCAGTGAGCTACATGAGAATACAGACAGAAGACTAGATGAAATCAGGAAAAAAATACATGAACAAAATTAGAAGTTCAATAGAGAGAAAGAAAGCATAAAAAAACACAAACAACCAAATTTAGGGAGTTAAAGAACATAATTAGGGAGTTAAAGAACAGAGCTGAAAAATTTCATAGTGAGATTCAATAGCAGATTCTATCACACAGAAGAAAGAATCATGAGCTCAAAGACAGTTCATTTGAAATTACCAATCAGAAAAACAAAAAATAAAAAAGAAATAGTGAAGAAGTCCTGTGGGAACTATGGGGCACCATCAAGTGAACCAGTATATGTATTATGGTGCCCCAGAAGGAAGAGAGAAACACAAAAGTGTAGAAAACTTATTTAAAGAAATAATGACAGCAAGTTTCCCCAATGTGGAGAAAAAAAAGGAGCACCCAGGTCCATGAATCCCAAAGAACCCCAAATAGACTATATATGAAGAGATCTTCACTTAGACATATTATAATCAAACTCAAAAGTCATACAATAAGGAGAATTTTGAAAACAAGAGAAGAACAACTCGTCACATATGAGGGAGCTCACATAAGATTACTAGCAGATGTTTCAGCAAAAGCCTTGAATCCAGGAGAGAGTGAGATGATATATTCAAGAGTATTGAAAGAAAAATAAACTGCCAATCAAGAATAGTATACTTGGCAATTCTGACCTTCATAAATGATGAAGGAATAAAAAATTTCCCAGAGACACAAAAGCTGTGGAAGTTCATTACCTCTAGACCTTCCTATAAGAAATGCTAAAGGGAGTTCTTCAAGTTGAAAGAAAAGAATGATAATTCATAACATAAAAAATTTATGAAATTATAAAATTCACTGGTAAAATTAAGTACATAGTCAAATTCAGAATACTCTCACACCATATTGATGATGTACAAATCAAGTATATCTGTAGTATGAAAATTAAAAGACCACACTATTAGATATAATAATAGCTATAATAGTTAAGGAATACACAATATAAAAAGATGTTAATTGTGACATCAAAAACAAAATGTGGGGAGGAAAAGTGTAGAAGTTTTAAAAATGTGATTGAATTTATGTTGCTAACAGTTTAAAATAGCCTATTATAACTATAGATATTTTATGTAAGCTGCATGGTAACTCATGAAAACCACAAAGCAAACACCTATAATAGACACAGAAAACATAAAAGCAAAGAATTAAAGCATATCAGTACAGAAAATTATCTAATCACAAAGGAAGATAGCAAGAGAGAAAGAAATAGCCAGAAAGAACATACAAAACAACCAGAAAACAATGAAAAAAATGGCAGTGGTAAGTCCTTACCTACCGATAATTATCTTAAATGTACTCAATCAAGAGATGCAGAGTAGCTAAATGGATTAAAAAGCAGGTCCCAACTATTATATATGCTGCCTATGAGACTCACTTCACCTTTAAGTGCCAAAATAGAGCAGGGATAGCTAAACATACCAGATAAAATTTTGACTTGTTAAAAACTGCAAGAAGGGACAAAGAAAATCACTATATAATAATGAAGGGGTCAATTTTGTCAGAGGATATTTAAATTTCTAGACACCCAACATCAGAGCACCTAAATGTATAAAGTAAATGTTAATAGATCTGAAAGGAGAGACAAACTGCAATAAAATAGTAGGGGACTTCTTAATACTCCACGTTCAACAATAGGCAGGTCATCTGGAGAGAAAATTATTAAGGAAACATTGGAACTGAACTACTCTTTAGTCCAAATGGACCTAACAAATATACACAGAACATTCCATCCAAAGTAACATAATACATGTTTTTATCAAGCACACATGGAACATTCTCGTGGACAGATCGTATATTAGGCCATAAAACAAGTCTTAAACATTTTAAGAATATTAAAATAATATTAAGGATCTCTTTTGATCACAATGGTATGAAGCTAGAAATCAATAACAGGAGAAATTTTGGGAAATTCACAAATATGGAAAAATTAACATGTTCCTGAACAATAAATAAGTCAATGAAGAGATTAAAAGTTTAAAAATATCTTAAAATAAATAAAAATGAAAACATTCCAGAACTTATGGAATGCAGCATAAGCAGTTCTAACAGAAAAGTTTACAGTAATAAATGCTTACATCAAAAAAGAATTTCTCAAATAATCTATTGTTACATCTTAAGGAACTAAAAACTGAAGGGCAAACTAAGCTTACTAAACTAAAGTCAATTGAAGTAAGAGAATAATAAAGATCAGAGCAGAAATAAATAAAATAGGTAGTAGAAAAACAACAGAAAAGGCCAACAAAACCAAGAGTTTGTTTTTTAAAAAAGAAACAAAATGAACAAACCTTTAGCTAGGCTAACTCAGGAAGAAATGAGAAAACTCAAATAAAATCAGAAATGAAAGAGGAGACATTACTGTTGGCTCTTCATATCTGCAGGTTTTGCATCCGTGGATTCAACCATCATTGGATCACAAATGTAGTTGGGCCTGCAATGGTTGCATTTGTACTGAACATGTACAAACTATTTCCCTTGTCATTATCTTCTAAACATTACAGTATAACAACTATATAAATAGCACTTACATCACTTAGGTATTCTAAGTAATCTAGAGATGATTTAAATTATACTGGAGGCTGAGCATAGGGTATATGCAAATACCACACCATGTTATATGAGCATCTAAGGATTTAGCTATTTGTGAGTGGTCCTGGGACCAATTCCTCATAGATACTGAGGGACAGCTGTACAACTGATACCACAGAAATATAAATAAACATAAGATATTACTGTGAAAAATTATGCACAAAGAAATTGAATAACCTGGAAGAGATGGATACATTCCTAGAAACATACAATCTATCAAGACTGAATTATGAAGAAATAGAAAATGCAGACCAATAATGATTAAAAAGATTGAATCAGTACTACAAAAAGTCTCCCATGAAAGAAAAGCCCAGAATCTGAAGGCATCAGTGATGAAGTCTACCAGATATTTAAAGAAGAACTAATCCTAGACTTTCTTAAAATATTCCAAAGAATTGAAGAAGAGGGAATATTTCCAAATTCATTTTATAAGACCAGCATTACCCTGATATCAAAGCCAGACAAGAACACTGCAAGAAAAGAAAATTACAAGCCAATATCCCTGATGAACATATATGTATATATATCTTCAATAAAATATAAACAAACTAAATTCAGAAATATATTAAAATGATCATACACAATGATCAAGTGAGATTTATATCTAGGATGCAAAGATAGTTTAACATATGCAAATCAATAATTGTGATACACCACATTAATGGAATGAAGGATAAAAATTATATGATCATCTCAATAGATGTAGAAAAAGCAGTCAATAAAATTCAACGTCATTTAAAGATTAGAAAAACTCTCAACAAATTAGGTATAGAAGGAATGTATCTCGACATAATAAAGGCCATATACAACAAGCCCACATTGACCATTATACTCAGTGGTTAAAACTGAAACTTTTTATCAGACGTCAGGAACAAGACAAGGATGCCCATTGTATCTCTGTTCAAAATAGTACTAGAAGTCTTAGAGCAATTATGCAAAAGAAAGAGATAAAAGGCATTTAACTCAGAAAGGAAGAAGTAAAATTGTCTGCAGATGATATTCTTTTATGTAAAAAACCCTAAAGACACCACCCAAAAAACAAAACAAGACAAAAAATGTTAGAACTAACAAATTCAGTAAAGTTGCAGGATACAAAATCAACATGCAAAAGTCTGTTGCATTTCTACTCACTAGCTACAAACCATCTAAAAAAGAAACTTTTAAAAATACCATTTACTACAGAATTAAAAAGAATAAAACACTTAGGAATAAATTTAACCAAGGAGGTGAAAGAGCTGTATGATGAAATTCATAAAACATTGATGAAAGAAATGGAAAATATACAAATCAATGGAAAGATATCCAATATTCATGGATTGGAAGAATTAATATTGTTAAAATAGCAACACTGCCCAATATGATCTGCAGACTCAATGCAATCCCTATCATAATTTTATGTCATTTTCCACAGAAATAAAAAGAACAATCCTAAATTTTGTATGGAACCACAGAAAATCTCGAATGGCCAAAGCAATCTTGAGAAAAAAGAACAATACTGGTGGCACCATGCTTTCTGATAGAGGGGGTGTAATTTGTAGGCACCTGCACTTGTATGTGAAATGACTAGAAAGGAAATGGCATAAGGCAATTATCAACTCAGCAGCGTAGAGGGCCACTTTCAGATATAACAGATTGTTGGTCAGGGTATCAATTAGGATGTTGTTGAATGGCTCAAGAAAAGGTAGCTTTTCTCACTATGCCAGAATGGTAGTGGCGAGTACAGCCTGAAACTCTGAGGATGGAGTCATCCCAGAAAGCATAGGAATGAAAGCTGAATTGGGAAATGGAAAAATCCATCCATGCGAAAAGAAGTCTAGGCTCAATGTTAAGCATTCAGAAATAGACCAATACTTGTAACCATCATAGAGAGAAAAGCAAAAGTCTTGGACGAGAGACCAAGGGGCAAGATTACAGAAAGCAGAAAAACACAAAGATGGAAGCAAGTTTCTTTATGAGTACTGAATAAACAGATGTTGGAGAAGCTAGATTCAGAGAGAGAAGATCAAGGGGCTTGCATGTTCTAGGAGGCCAGACATATTATAAGGGTCAGTTGAAGTTATCCTGTTTAAGAATTTGTTCATATAATACTCCTTGAAAAGAAATAAACATTGCTTATGGCACTAAAAATGGAAGAGATAGACACGATCAAGAAATATTTCAGAGTTCAAGTTGTGGAGGTTTGGAGAGCAGTTGTAAATAGAGAGTAAGTAGAGAAAACTGTTGAAGATGTCATTAAAATTTTATTTGTACAAATGGATAATAAAACCATAAACCACATATTAGTTATTATTATCAAAGCCATCTCTCACTAATTGAGAGAAGAAACCTATGAACAACAGATTCATTGTAACCTTTTGAGGCACCCCTCTGCCAGAACCATCTAGCCAAGCTACTGTCACATTCTTAACCCTTTAGCCATTAAGTTTTGGGGTAATATGACAGTAAAGGATAACAAGTACAATCCATCTCTATTATCTATAGAATATTTTTTCTGTGCCTAAATCTTAAACGTTTGTGTGCTCTAGGACTTCAGTCTCTATGTTCTTCTCTTCTCCCTCATTGTACACTTCTTTGGTAATCTCAGGCACCCTCAAGAATGCAATGATCGCCAGGCGCGGTTGCTCACGCCTGTAATCCTAGCACTTTGGGAGGCCGAGGCAGGCGGATCATGATGTCAGGAGTTAGAGACCAGCCTGACCAACATGGTGAAATCCCATCTCTACTAAAATACAAAAATTAGCTGAGCACGGTGGCGCACGCCTCAAATCCCAGCTACTCAGGAGGCTGAGGCAGGAGAATCGTTTAAACCCTGGAGGCAGTGATTGCAGTGAGCTGAGATTGCGCCACTGCACTCCAGCCTGGGCAACAGAGCGAGACTCCATCTCAAAAAAAAAAAAAAAAAAAGATGCAATGATCATGTGTATGTTAATTAACACCTAGATCTCTTTTTACAATTTAGATCATTCTCTCCATTTTGATTCAAATAATCTCCTTGTTGTAGGATAACTCCATCTAATTTCATATAGACCCTCAAACTCAAAATTACCAGCATTCGAATCATTATCTTCTTAGAACCCACTCCTTCTTTGGTAGATTTCCTGCACATCCAACTTCCCACATCTCTTTTGATGGCCTATAATTCACTGGTTGTTTGTGTGGGGTTTTTTTTCTTTCCATTTTTATAGGGTCCATCTATAGAAAATTTAGTTTGTGATAGGCACTATTCTAATCACTTCACAGTTATTAACACATTTAATCTTTCTGAAACCCTGTGAAGTGTATACTATTATCATATGATTTTATCATGGAAATTGAGATCCAGGAAATGTAACTAAGTTGCCTAAATTCACATAGGTGGTAAGTGGAGGAAGTTACCAAAATTTAAACCCAGAGAATCTTAATTCAGAACCTTGTGATTGATCATATGCTATACTGTCTCCAATTTATTAATAATTTCTTAATTCTTAAATATGCTGGATTTTATCTCTTCTTCTTCATCTCTACTATTACAGACCCAGATTAGCCTTTTGTCATCTGCTTCTTGGACCATAAAATAGCCTCCTTCTGTTCTCATTACCTCTGGTCTTGTTCCCTTAAAATTTATTTCCACAAAACACAAAGTTCTAAAATGAAACTCTCAGGGTTTTGCTCTCCGGAGTGGCTCCCTCATTATGCTCAGGACTATGCTCAGTGTATTTATTATGGCACATGAGTGCCTTCATGATTTAACCCCTGCCTATGACTTCAACCCTGAATGCATGAGTTTATTTGTAGAACAGAGTCCCTTTCAAGATAGCAGTTTCTATAGGGAAAGACTACATATTTTCCACTTGAGAAACATCAACATAGGACAAATAACCAGGTATGTAATAAGCTTTATCTGCTGCTAGATTTTCTAAATGGGCTTAAGTTGTCAGTAGAAAGAATAGTTGGAATGTGTATTAAGCCTCTGCTTGCAATTTTGCTGTCAACTTTAATGGCAATTCCAATTAAATATTTGTTTTTTGCCATCATTAGAAATATTAACTTACAGTGTTAATATGCTGGCATGAATTTTTTATTCATTCAATAGGCATTTATCTAGCATAGTATACAATATAGTTTTTCAGTATTCTGTGGTAAATAAAAGGGTGAGATAGCAACCAAAAAGCACGTATTATACAGCAAAATATATACCAAATAGAGAAAAAATCAAAGCATATTGCATTTATTTGTAGGAGAAGCATTTTAGAAGATGGAGGATTCAGAGGAGAAAGCTGAGGGTGGAGTGGCAATCAAAAATCAGATCAGGGATCACTTTGTACTCCTTGCCAAGGAGATTGACTACTACACTGCAGGCTATAGATAGACACTCACCAAATTTAAGCTTCAAGGAGAATGATCAGATTTATTATTTTTACACTGAAATGTGGGGAATGAATTGAAGTTGAGAAAAGCTAGAGGCTGTAAACTAAGAACACTATTTTGAGTCATTCCTACATGAGAAGTGATGGGAGCTTAAGGCAGTGGCAGTGGGAATGGGGAATAAGAAACAGATTTAAAGGAGATTATAATAATAGAACTTGAAGATTGATTGGATATTGTGGGTTTTGAGGGAAATGAGTCTGTAAAGAATGTCTTAAGGAGGGATTTCAGGTTTTGAGTTTGATGACTAGGTTGATATTATTTCCACTTACCAAGACAGAGAATTCAAGAGCAAGAAGCAGGAAATTGGGAGTAAGATTGGTTATCAGCTGTAGGTATGTTGACTCTGTGACAATGGCAGACAACTGGATATACAAGCATCTAGTTCAGAGAGAGATGTGGGCTGGAAATATAGGATTTGCATGCAATCAGAATAGAGTGAAAACTGAAGCCATAGGAGAAGAGGAAAAGGAAATCACTTAAGAAGAATATATAGAGAGAAATCAGTGAAGCAATGTAGGAACTCTGGAAAGAGTTCAATACTATTTAAGGATTCTCCAAAAGGGAGCTCAAAATAAGCTTGAGATAGACTTGAAGAGGGTTGAAAAATGCATAGACACAAGATAACAGAGAGTGGGGAATAAATGCAATGCACATATGTTGAGATAGCAAGTGTAGACAACATGGGTATATAGAGATGGCAGAGGTTTCTTCATTTGTTTCTTTATAGATGAGACCCTTGAAAAAGATTTATATATGAAGGCCAGAGTGGAAGGAAAAAGAGGGAAAGGTTGAGTGGAGGCTTAGCAGAATGTCTAGCAATGTACTTGGAGTGGGATCCAGGCTAGGGAAGAGAAAGAATAACTTCCTACTGAGAGAATAGGATGTAAAGAGGGACTGAGTAGCAAAGTAAGTACACAGAATAACTTTGAAGAAACAACTGTGAAAGCTCCTGCCTATGACTTGGGTATTCTCTGTCAAGTTGGAGCTAATGTCATCTGCTGAACCCAGGATCAAAATGGTGAGTAAGAGTAAGAGGCTTGAGGGTGTTGCTGAAAGATTGAGCCTGCTCATGTGAAGAACGAGAATGAGGAAAGCCTGAGAAGGTGTTACAGACCTACTGAACAATGTGGAGGACTCAGTTGAAATTATAATGCTAGCTGTTTTTGTGTGAGCATAATATTCTCTTTAGTGTTCAGCAGTGTAAGTTTACAAGTAGGGCAGAAAACAATAAGGTTCATGCCAAATCAGAGTTTTTCTGGATTGTAGGAGGAATGGAAACAAGGACATTGCTAATATTGGCAAATGTAGTCAAAATGGATCTAGCTTGGATGAACAAAATAATTTAAAGTAGGAAGAGCAAGATATACCAGGAGAAAAAAAGATTCCAAAAAGACTGAAGGTCTAGATGAGGCCAAGAAGAGGTTTGTGGGCATAAATGAGGGTGAGAGCTGAGAGGTTAGACAACTGTGATAAGATGAGAGGGTTAAAAGTTGGATTTTCAAATTTCAGAGACAGCAAAGTTCTGGTAAAGACAAAGCCAAGGGTTAGGTGGCTAGAAATGAGAGTGGCTGTAGTGAAATGGTATAGGAAGTTATGAGGCAACAAGAAATACTTGGCAGTCCACATGATATTGAAGTCACCCAGGATTTTGGCAGGATTGGGGCGAAAACTATGCTTATAATCTGTGTGCATTTTGCAAATTTTTGTTCATCTCCCAAATCTTACATTTTCATGGAGACTCAGATTTAAGAAGAATTATAATGAACACCTGAAACCTGATTTAGGCTTACAAATTGTTATTCAACAACAAAAGTGAAGAAACAACCAAAGAAAAGTAAGTAGAAAAGGACCTAAGTTATAAACGCAATCATCACTCCCCCCTCCCCTTTTTACTTCTACAGTTGTTCTTGGTCATTACTGCTAATTTATAAAGTGGTCAGTAAGTCTTGACCTGCTGTGTGACCACTAATTATGTACCTAGCTTTGGCTAAGTCTTTAACTAATTATACTCTAAAATGAATAATAGCTAATATTTACTGAGGGCTTGCTATATGCCAGTGACTTTCTGAGTGTTTCACATATTTAGACCCATTTATCTCCATGAGGTAGGCATTATTATTTCTATTTTATAGATAAAGAAACTGAGGCACAATGATGATAAGTAATTTGCCTGAGATTTTACAGCACTAAGGGGCAGAGGTGGGATTTCAACCTAAGCAGAGTGGCTCTAGAACCACAGCCCATTAGAGACAAAAGACCCTAAATGAGAGAGTATGAATGGATGAGAATAAGATGTCATTATTTAGGTGCATTCCCATGTTATGATGGACCAGTATAATTCTGTCAAAAATGAAAGCCAATAAATTATTGCCAATAAGTAACTAAGGCAAGAGTTAAAAAATTATTTCATCCAACAAAAACTGGTGAGGATTATATGGAGTTGGTATTGGTAATAAGCTATAAAGAAGTATAATATGTATAATTTGCCTTCAGGTACTACTGATACACATGAGAAAGTAAATGACATATTTCATTAAGTAGTAGGAATTAAAGAAAAAAATCATCTCTAAGGAGTTAAAGTAGATATTTCCCCTCATGTAAGTTTGTGTTCTTTTATGTATAATAATAATGAGTTTGGCTACTTATTTTCCAAGACCATAACAGATTTGAATAAGGGGATTATCAGCAGTGGGAGCAGCAACGGAGTGATGTGGAGGCCTTAGCCAACCCCTATTCAACTCCCACTGCCCCAGTTGGCATCAAATAAATATTCAAGTCCACAATTCCTATCTTCTTTCTAATAAGCTTGACATCAAACTCTTTTGGGGGTATTAATCTCACCTGAACTAGTAAAAGGTATCTATAGTCTTCATTTTTCCCACCATATATGAACATAGATTAGTTTTGCTACAGAAATATTGATGTGTTAGATTATGTGATGCTGCTCCAAACTCCATTGTGATTTATATCACACCACATCACCTTTCTAAAATACCAAACATTCTGAAATGCTGAAACACATGTGTTTCCAGGGTTATGGATAAGGGAAAGCAGTGCTTCCTTTCCAAACGTGGCTTCAAGATCAGTCCTGGGCAGCCCCTAGCCGTCACTATTCTATGTCGTACAAGTTATTACCCCTCTGGAGAAGCTAAGAGCTGATCACAGTGGTGAAGACAGGAAAACCGTAAAATGCAGACTAAACTCCAAACAAACTAAATCAACACAACAATAGCCCTTCTCCCATCAGCAATGACCAAGGTGACCATGTTTGGTATTTTCTATTTAAGAAAGGAGAATGTATGTAATACTTTTTAAAAATAATTGTCATCTTTCCATCACAAAAATCTGTGCTTAAAGAAGTTTAACCTGGCATTATTGGGGAAAACCAACAGCCCAAAAGATTTCCTCAGATTTTTTGGCAACTGACATATTCTGACTTATAGGTATAAGAAACATGACTACATGTGAAAAAAAACATGCCAGTCAAATGGTCAAGATATGACAGTCTTTAGCATTCATGAGAAAACATGATTGCTTCTGGCTGCAATATGTAGAGACTGATTTATGATATTTTCAGAAAGTAATGCTTATTTAAAAGCATACACATTTTTCAAACTGGTGGGACTGATAACAATAAGAGCCCTGTAATAACTGAATAAGGCAGACCTTGTGGCTCTTCTTTACCAATGGGACCACTTTAAGAAACAGACTCTTGTAGCTCCTGGGTCAGAGCAAGCTTATTATTATTCTTCATTATATTTTGCTTGGAACAAAGAAAGAATTTCTAAAGGTGATAAATATTAATCCTTTTAATGGTGGAGGGCTACAGTCTGTCATTGTTCTAGAGAATTAGGTGACTTTAAGAAAGATAGCTAAGTTTGGAATAGTGTTGTGTAGAGTAAAAATCATTTTTATAAATCATTTTCAAGAGGTAGAGGAGTTTAAGGTGAGTGAAAATAGCCACTCACATTAGTCAAGCAGGCTCTTCATAGGCGGATGCTGAAGGAAAACCAACGCAAAGATGAGTTTTCATCAGGAGGCTAGCAAACAATAACAGCAAAACTCAAGTAGCACGTAAGCAGTGTTATCACTACTTAAATCAGCACTGATTTAATTTTTAGTTATGTTAGATCCTGAGATAATTCTTTTTATGGAGTCTAGGTATTTGCCACATCTTTATCACTAGGTGCATGTTACTGAGGATTGAGAAGACACAATTGTATGTTTCTAAAGAGATCCAAACTACATCGCCTCTTCTTTAAGTCTTGTGTTCATGTGAAATTATTATTCTACTGAGTTTTTCACATTGTTTGGTACTAAACTTATTTAAGCAATTTTTCAGCCAAAAGTTGAACAATGTGTTTTCCTCCGAGGAGACTTACTTCATAGATCAAAGAAGCCACGTTCCAAGGTCTTCGGTAGTATGTCAGAGTGTTTCCATCCCGATCCCGGTTACAGAGTCCATTGTAGAACTCATTGTCAAAAGGTGTGCTTAGGGGATCCATCCCTAAAATGTTGATCCTGAGAATGAACAGAGTAGTATCAGAAGTGGAAATACCACAACACAATGCAAGGCAGCCCTCTGTAGCTGGAAAAAGTGAGACAGCTTCAGTTCATGTCACCGTCACCCAATATGTGTGTGCTATAATCAGGAACAGAAGCAAGAGCCTGTTCACCTTGGCTCAGTGTCTCTGGCAGAAAGCATACCTTAGGAGAGGCTTATGAACTCTTTTAGGCAACTAAGGCACTGTTTAGAGTGCAATGAAAGAAATGCAATAAGTAAGGCACATGGGACCATCTGGTTCCTGGAGTTTTAACTTCACTGCTGTAACTCTTACCTAACCTCCCTTAGTGAACCAATAACTGATGCTGTAATACCAACTATTTAAATTATTTGAGAACAGAGCATCTCAGGGGGCCAATATAACATGTGCATGTAATTTTTCATCTATGAATCAACATTGGGGCTTTCTCTCACTCACCCCATTCTCTTTAAACTTAAGCCTTTTCCTCCAGCTGTCTCATTGCTTGTCAAGAACCTCATTCCCTCCAGGCTTATATTATTCCCGTTATGCTCTCCAAGATGAACACAAAAATTTTAGCATCCTGGCAAGGCATTCTCAAAAGTTCTATTTTTTCCCATAGCAAAATATTTTTATTTGGCAAGCTTTCATTCATAAATATAAATTTTATTTAGCTTTTAAAAAAGTTTAATTTTACTTGTAGGCTTAGAAACAATATATGAACTAGAAGCAGTTATTTCCTTGTGAAATATACCTCTGTTCATTGGAGGAACACAGTCATTGCTGTCTAGGCTGTATCTGGAATAAACGGCCCCAAGCCAGGGAGGCCAATAGGTTTGAGGATCAAATCTATAACTTACCTTGGTACAAAAACAAAAACACAAACTCTTCCATTGCCCTAGGCCACATTCCTAACTCCAATGAACTGGATTACAAATCTGGATGTTGGTTTTAAGACCAATTTGTCAAAGAGTGGGTAGTTTACTGTAAACCCATGGCTTATGCAAGAGAAATAATTGAAAGGGTTTCCTACTGGTAGTGGGTTAGTTAAAAACAACATCTTTATATAAATAGCACATTTTACATAAACTTTGAATCTACGAAGTTCCAAAGTGAATCTAAAATGGTTCAACTTTAATGGAAGGCAAGTTAAGAAACTGATGCATGAATATCTTCCTCAAGGCTGACATATAGATAAAATTGACCACCTCCCACTGCCTGTCCCACCAAAATACCTTTCATGAAAAATGCTATGGCCTTAAAGTTCTAATATAGGGTCAAAAATTAGACCTATTAATTTGAATATGAGAAAAAATAAAAAAACATTATATATTTGATTTATTTTTTTAAACACCTTATTCCTCATGATAAATTAAAATTTTGTCCCAATCCTTTACCCATCTCTGCATGTACACCCTTGCCATGACCTCATCACCGGCAAAGTATACTTCCCTCCCTAGTGGCTTTGTGCTTGGCCATGTGACTTACTTTAAGCCAATGGCATGTAGTTGAGAGTGACAGTGGGCCAGTTCAAAGCATGGGAATGAAGAGGCCTCATTCATTGCTTTTGCTTTCCTGTATTTGTGCCATTGCCTTGAAAAGGGCTTCTAATGGGTAGCTGCTGCCCCTTCAACCTGGCTATCCCAGTGATCCCAGTGAAAAGCAGAACCACCCAGCTGTTGCAGCTTGAGGTGAAGCTCCCAGTGAAGCCCAGCCTTGTGAGAAATAAACACTTATATCTCCCTCTCCCTCTCCCTCTCCCTCTCCGTCTCCCTCTCCGTCTCCCTCTCCCCTTTCCATGGTCTCCCCTCTCCCTCTCTTTCCACGGTCTCCCTCTCATGCCGAGCGGCAGCTGGACTGTACTGCCGCCATCTTGGCTCACTGCAGCCTCCCTGCCTGATTCTCCTGCCTCAGCCTGCCGAGTGCCTGCGATTGCAGGCGCGCACCGCCACGCCTGACTGGTTTTCGTATTTTTTTGGTGGAGACGGGGTTTCGCTGTGTTGGCCGGGCTGGTCTCCAGCTCCTAACCGCGAGTGATCCGCCAGCCTTGGCCTCCTGAGTTGCCGGGATTGCAGACAGAGTCTCGTTAACTCAGTGCTCAATGGTGCCCAGGCTGGAGTGCAGTGGCGTGATCTCGGCTCGCTGCAGCCTCCACCTCCCAGCCGCCTGCCTTGGCCCCCCAAAGTGCCGAGATTGCAGCCTCTGCCCGGCCGCCACCCCGTCTGGGAAGTGAGGAGCGTCTCTGCCTGGCCGCCCATCGTCTGAGATGTGAGGAGCCCCTCTGCCTGGCTGCCCAGTCTGGAAAGTGAGGAGCCTCTCTGCCCGGCCGCCATCCCACCTAGGAAGTGAGGAGCGCCTCTTCCCGGCCGCCATCCCATCTAGGAAGTGAGGAGCGTCTCTGCCCGGCGGCCCATCATCTGAGATGTGGGGAGCGCCTCAGCCCTGCCGCCCCGTCTGGGATGTGAGAAGCGCCTCTGCCCGGCCGCAACCCCGTCTGGGAGGAGAGGAGCGTCTCTGCCCGGCCGCCCCATCTGAGAAGTGAGGAGACCCTCTGCCTGGCAACCGCCCCGTCTGAGAAGTGAGGAGCCCCTCCGCCCGGCAGCCGCCCCGTCTGAGAAGTGAGGAGCCCCTCCGCCTGGCTGACACCCCATCTGGGAAGTGAGGAGCGTCTCTGCCAGGCAGCCACCCCGTCCGGGAGGGAGGTGGGGGTCAGCCCCCGCCAGGCCAGCCGCCCCGTCCGGGAGGGAGGTGGGGGGGTCAGCCCCCCGCCCGGCCAGCTGCCCCGTCTGGGAGGTGAGGGGCGCCTCTGCCTGGCCACCCCTACTGGGAAGTGAGGAGCCCCTCTGCCCGGCCAGCCGCCCAGTCCGGGAGGGAGGTGGGGCGGTCAGCCCCCCGCCTGGCCAGCCACCCCGTCCGGGAGGTGAGGGGCGCCTCTGCCCGGCCGCCCCTACTGGGAAGTGAGGAGCCCCTCTGCCCGGCCGCCACCCCATCTGGGAGGTGTGCCCAGCAGCTCATTGAGAACGGGCCATGATGGCAATGGCAGTTTTGTGGAATAGAAAAAGGGGAAAGGTGGGGAAAAGATTGAGAAATCAGATGGTTGCTCTGTCTGTGTAGAAAGAAGTAGACATGGGAGACTTTTCATTTTGTTCTGTACTAAGAAAAATTCTTCTGCCTTGGGAAAAAAAAAAAAAGAAATAAACACTTATTTTTGTATCACTAAGGTTTTGACACAAGCTCTCCACCAGTAAGACATAAAATACTGGAAGCAAATGACCTGGGTTGTTTCTTAAACAAGATCTCAGCTACATTTTCTTTATATGATAGTGAACTACATATCTGGTGTGGCTACTTTAACAGAGACATTGTACCTCTTTATTTTCAGTGAACAATGAAATCAACTTTTGTTTATATTGATGATTAGCTCTTAGGTGACTACTATATCTATGTGTTGTACAGTGTTTGCAATTAGCAGGGGGGAATATTAAGACAGTTTATATTCACTCTCTGCTTCCATGCAAATTGTGTTCAAATTAAGGAGTAGAACATAAAATCACCAATTTCAAAAACTAGGCCAAGGAAGAATACACAATCAGCCCTCCATATCTGTGGGCTCTGTGCCTGTGGATTCAACCAATCATGGATTAAAAACATTTGGAAAAAAATGTACATGATAAGCACGTACAAACTTTTTTTCTCTTGTAGTATAGCAACAATTTATATGGCATTTACACTGTATCAGGTGTTATAAATAACCCAGAGATGATTTAAAGAGTACAGGAGGATGTACATAGGTATGTGCGAATACTATGTCATTTTATATCAGGGACTTGAGCATCCTGAAAGTTTTGTACATGTGGGAGGTCCTGGAACCGATCCCTGATGGGTAGAAAGGGAGGATTGTACTTGTGCCAAATGAGGGGTACATGTGAGTGCTTTACACATTGAGTCTTCTGGAGGAGGAAATCACCATGGGAGGGTCATTAAAAGAGTTTTAGAAGAAAGATTTGATATGGGTTTTGAGGGGTGGGTAAATTGGGATGGGGCTAGTGCAGGAGAAATGTGTGGGTAAGAGCTCAGAGACGGAAATGGCATGTTATGAGGGTAATGGTCTTCAGATACTCTGTTTGTCTCCGCTATAAAGGAATTTTGATAAATTATACTTTCCTGCACATTTTTAGCGTGACATCTAATATTTTTCATCTTAAGATTAAGTAGATGCAAAGAATATAATTCCTAATAATGTTGTCATTATTTGTACTTTAACATATAATTATTTTACCACTTTAAAGATAAAATCAATAAATATAAATGCTGTAGTGATGCTGGGTCACACAGCATTGATATTTTTCTAACAGTTGGAAATTTTTTAGTTATTTTTATTCCTTTTTATTTATTTTTTTAATAGGCTTTACTTTTTAGAGCAGCTTTAGGTTCACAGCAAAAGTGAACAGAAGGCACACAGACTTCCTATATACTCTATGCCCCTTTTTATTCTTGAATCCACATTTCTATTCCATTTCCCTCACAGAATTTTAACCTAATGTAATATAGTTTATTTTTTAAAGTTTTTATTGATTGTCTTGTCATACTTTTCTGTACCAAAAAGATATTAATTGAAATTTAAAAATATTAAATACTCTTTGACCATAGGGTCTAAGTATTAAAAATTCTTTATTAATAGTGCCATATATAGGTATCTTAAATTTTTAAAAATCATTACTGTAAGTAAAATTTTATTGGAAAGCTATCTTAATGAAATGAATGAGTCTTCTTTTTAAATTAATATGTTGGTTCCCACATCCATGAATGAATATTACTTCATTCATTCATTCATGGTGCTAGGAAGAGACAGTGTTCAGTATCAATTTGAGTCCTACTTTTCATTTTTATAGTTGTAAGTGCTGAGAAGTTTTACTCACATAAATAAGTAGATAAGAATAAAAGAAATTTTATTATAACAATGTCACACAATTTTAATCCCTTTTTCTGAGTTATATACCAAAAAGAGATCCCATAGTTAGTGATCTTTCATCAAAAATTATTTTTATGCTCCATTATCTAAAAGTTGATTAGGTAATCTTTCAGTGTTGATAAAAAGAATTAGAGATCACAAAACTTCAAGGTGTCAGAGTCCAGTTGAGTGCTAACATTTGGAGTTGTGTCTTGTTTTTTTTTTCCTCTCTATAGTAAAATGTGAGTGTGAGATGGGTGAGGAGTATACTCTGCTCTTAAAAAGTAAGAAGTAAGTGATTGTTTAAAAAAGCAAGAAAGGAGAATGGGCCTGACAGCTTGAATGCAGCTGAATTGTCATGCTTATTAATTTTGTGAAAAACATGTACGTATGGAAGTTGAGGATTTACTATTAGCTTAGCTACATAATTAATAGTTGAGGAAACTATTACCTTAAGACTTATTTGTCTGCCCTTGGAAAGTTTTTGTGCACCCCATGGTTTGCATATCCTAGTTTGAAGGTTATTGTTTTATAGATCATCAAATTGGCCAGTTGGCTGGACCCATCTGGAAAGTTAAAATGAAGTTGATCCACAGTCTAAAGCACAACAAAGGAAGAAATGTTTCAAAAGCTTTGGACTTGGTTCCACTACTACAGAGACAGCCAGTCTAGTCCAGAATAAGCCAATTTTTTCTGCCAAGAAACATGAACACTTCTCATGGATGGAAAGTCATCACCTGGGAAATAAAAAAAGAATATGTTCTTTGGCAGTGCTTATAGATGCCTGCTTTCACACCTGCATCTAGAACCACGGGCAGTTCCAATTTACCAGGTGAACTGAAGAGAAAGCTCCCTTCACAGAAGTGGTGTTATGCTTAGATCACAAAAAATAATTCCTTGCATATCACTTACAGCTGGCTGGATGTATGCCTTTTCAATGAATGCAAGATGGGTTGGGGGATTTCCCCAAACACTTCTGGAGAATCTCAGATGCCTACAAATAAGAGGCTGAAACATTTGTGATACAACTCAATTCTCCTGGCATAAGAACATAGATGTGAGAGGCCTTCAAATGAAAACAGTATAAATTAATTACCATGAGTGCTTGTGACTTTCACATGTAGAAGAATCTAACTGTATGTGACTATTGATAGGACTTTTTGAGGTTGTCCAGAATGAATTGGGTAGATGTAGTTTATAAGCATGTTGCTATGATTAGGGAGTGTACTCCTATTACCTCTATTTCACAAAGAATCCACAGCTCCATATAAGAATACTGGAGGTTTGTAGTGAGTAAACATGCAACATTAATGGTATGAAAGAATATTACAAATATAACAATATATGTTGTTTTGAAACCTCTTCCTAAATATTAATTACTGATTTATACCACTCTCCTATATTCCTTAATTCAAATATTTGTGTGATAAGTAGCTACTTAAGGAGTTTCATTTTTTAAGGTTAGTTTTGCTTTGAAGTTAAGGTGTCGAAGTTAAGACTTACGGATTTTGTAGTGATGTGAGGGAACCGCTGTGGGTGTTGGTTGGGGTTTTAAGGAGGAGAGGGTAAGGTGGTATGGTAGAAAAATATAGTTTTATGAGACTCAGAGAAACTTGTTTCAGCTCTACTAGAACTAATCAGTCAAATGGCCTTATTTATTTCACTCAGTTCTTATCTATAAAATGAATATAATACCTCCTCTAACAATCTCCCAGTATTATTTGGAAAATCTATGGAGATACAGTGTGGAAAAATATTTTGAAAAGTTTAAAGTATTATGCAAATGAAAGTCGTCATAGAACAATAGGTTTCATGAAGACTAAATTTAACATAGGTTATTACTCATGGTAATGGGGAATTTAATTAAAAAATGTTGATGGACTGATTCTATCAAGACCTACTTCATTTTCCATTTCTGCAGCTGACCTTTCCCCATAGCTAGGGCACCACCTTCTTACACAGCCTTGAAGACTCAGCTGTGGGATGGTTCCTAACACCAACCCTGACTGTGGTAAAGCGTGAGGTATTTAAGAATTCCTAGCTAGCCCTGCTTCATTATGAAACTCTCTGACAAATGCTATGCAACAAATTTTTCTTTTCCCTGAACAAAGGAAACCAATAGATTATGAATGATTGTTTTTCAGCTAAATGGGCCAATATTTCTATATTCTTTTCCTATAAGACAAACTATAAATTTGCATTGAATGAGAATAAATAACATATGTTAAGCTGTTTTATTTAGATTAAAAAGAAAGTTGTTTCTTGGATCCCAATTAAAGCAAAATAAAGTAGTAATGGGCTTTCACCATGGACTCACAATCTTTCCCTGAGGAAATAAATAAAAAGAATCAGGACCATTTGAGCACACCATGATCTAGTTATAAGATTTGGGAAAACTCCCATGCCATTTACTGCCTAAAATTTACTAAGAGGGCCTGCAGAACTTAGGGGCCTAAGACCATCCATTTGATTTGAGATTCCCACCTTTAGGCTAAGGGCCAAAGGCACTGTAAGTAATTTTGAATGCTGCTTGAACAAGATTTTATAAAGTGCATGAAGGGCACGTGAAATGCTTTATCTGGTGCCTGACTCTTGGTATCCTGGGATATTTTTCTTACCTAGATTTAAGAAGTAGAAGTTTCATTTGGCTTAGAGAGAGGAGACATCTCCTTCATTAGCTAAACTTTATAGAGGTCTTATCATAGGAACTGCCTAGTAACTTTGTGTAGGGTTTCTCAACCTCGGCACTGACGCTTTGGGTCAGGCTGTCCTATGCTTAGCATCATCTCTGGCCTCCACCCACTACATGCCAATAGCACTCCCCATTCTCACCCCCTCCAAGATGTCACAGCTACAATGGTCTCCAGATACTGTCTTTTCTCTCTTTTTTTTTTTTTTTTTTTTTTTTTTGAGATGGAGTCTTGCTCTGTCGCCCAGGCTGGAGTGCAGTGGCATGATCTCGGCTCACTGCAAGCTGTGCCTCCTGGGTTCACACCATTCTCCTGCCTCAGCCTCCCAAGTAGCTGGGACTACAGGCACCCACCACCATGCCCTGCTGATTTTTTGTATTTTTAGTAGAGATGGGTTTTCACCGTGTTAGCCAGGATGGTCTCGATCTCCTGACTTCGTGATCCGCCCGCCTCGGCCTCCCAAATTGCTGAGATTACAGGCGTGACCCGCCGCAGATATCGTCAAATGTCTGCTGGGGGAAAAATTACCACTGATTGAGAACCACTGCCTTACCCTTCTACCAGCCTTGCTCTTACCATCACCCCTGTCTTTTTTCCTCTCCTCATCTCCATACCCGGGACTGGAGTCCTATCCGGGAAAAGAAATTCAGTCTTACATGATGCCAATTGACAATATTTTAGAAAGTAGTTAAAGGATATTCATTAATTAATAATTAGCCAATGTATCCACCTACCAAGTATTTACTGAGCACCTACTATGACCCAGGCACAGGAATTATGAGCATAAAGAGACACATTACATTATAGGTGAGGAAATAAAGCCATATACCATCTCTTTCAATATACTACTGGGTGGAAGAATGACCATGTCTTTGTTGGGGACAATTTTCCAACAAATCCACCTTTACCAAAAATAGCAACAAATCCACCTTTACCAAAAACAGCTCAGAGTGAGTAAGAGAGGCTGTGTAGTAGATATTCCTAGGATGCCCTCTGACTATGTATGGAACAGAACAGAATAGAACCGAATCTCTCTGCATATAGTCTCTATTCTGTATAATCCTGAGTTCTAAACTCCAAGACATCCCATCTGAGCTTACAGCCATCTGTCCAGAGCCCCTAGGTTTTGTATGGAAAATGAGTGAAATGTCAGCTCTCTATAATGAGAACCAGAACCTCAACATAATCATCCTCTGGCATCAAAACTACTTCCTCTGATCACATTCCTCCTGGGTCAGCTCCAGAATGCTGGAAACTCCCAAGATCCAGGAGAAGTTCCAATGGAAGACAGCCTTCCCAGCAATGCAAATATTTGAATTGAATTGCTAGATCTCGTATTGGAAATTCATTCCAAATGTTAACATATCATGTCAATGTTGCTGTGGTCTCCCAGAGGTTCCTAAATGAGAGATTTCATCTCTTGCTCCACTGAGAGACAATTATCTAACATCTTGATCATCTAGTCCACTCTACAGACCCCTACTGAGGGCAGGCAATTTGTCCAAATTATCCTGAGATGCTTATTTAGCACTTCCTTTAAGCTTAAAGGTAGTTCAAAAATAATACAGACCCATCAGCTGTATCACCTATGTCCCTCGCACAAATGCTTCTACCAGTCTATCACAATGAGAGAGATGGAGATCATTTTCACTCATTTTCATCTGAAAAAGTACAAGTAAAATACACACCCATAGCCTGCTGTTCGTGCCAGCTCAGACTCTTCTACCACTCTGTCTCTGCAGGGGGGACGGGGCTCACTTTCACAATCATCCTCATCTGAAAAGTCTCCGCAGTCATTGTCACCATTACACCGAAGTCGCATCTTTATGCATCTGCCTGCAATCAAAATCAGGAGAGACTCAATGTATCTAATGTCAAATTTTCTCTTTCTTTCTGAAGTTATCAAATGCATTTTAACCCTGGAGGTGAGGTATCAGAAAAACACATTTGAGTTCTTTGTACAGAATATATAGATGGCCTCTTTTGGGGCCTTTCACGCTTGGAAATCCAAGTGTCCAGAAGCATATGCTTTTTTTTTTCTTTTCATTCAGGAAGGCACACAGAAAGCCACAATGAGCAATTCAAGCACAAAGATTACCTGTACTGCATTGAAAGTCATTTCCGCAGTCATCCTCAGCATCCTCACAGGGCTCTGTGGGCACACACTGTCGTCTGTCTCCCACAGCGTCGGTGCATCTTTTCCCATTAAATTGTCCAAAGACCTCAATGCTTCTTGAACGAAACTGCACAATATCAGTTGGAATGATTAGAATTTCTAATGCCAAAAAAAGGGTATGGTCTAAAGGTGCATCCATACAACTATATCCCTGCAATGAGTCAATGGTTTTAAGATAGAAGTGGTGGAAGAAGTCACTGATGTTATTTAGGGTAACACTCTGCATTCTAGGTTTGGCAGCCTCTTATACAGATGATTCCTCTGGACACTCATTTAGTATTCTGTACAACATAAAGATTTCCTGGAAAAGTTAGCAACATACATTTAAATGTTTATCTCTCTTTCTGGGTTTGGAACTCAGTTGTGGGGCTCCCTGCCTCATAATCATTTTTCTGGAGAGGCTAGCAATACAGTTTCCATTTGGGGAGGTCAGTGGGGAAGGGAGATGAACACTTACCATTTGTCTGAGACAAGGATCGCATTGTGACCATTCACTCCAGGGGCTCATTCTGCAGTCTATGTGTGATGCAGAGCCACTGCTTTCTGTTAGCTCTGGGTCATAACTAAGATAACAGAACATCCCAGTTTATAATGACCATTGTGTATATCTGTTTCCAAGAAGTCTTCATAAACACAGTTCATTTTGTACTTTATCCCCTCTCAAATTATACCACTTATCTTTTTACTATATCTCTCATTTCACCCTCAATTGCATGCTGTTTTGTATTTTCAACTCATCTTTTTGTTAATTCTTGTCTGTATTGTAAGTTAACTTTTAACTTCCCAGGAATGCAAATATTTGAAACAACAAAACAACGGCAATGAGGAAAACTAGCAAAGCATCTTTCCAGGTGTTTTACATAGATTAATCTTATATTTCCAACTAGATTATGAACATAATGAAGCCAGAAATCTGATTTTATTTTTTTGTGTGTCTTCCTTCCCATCCACCATACCCCACCCCTCCCAAGAATCTGGTGAGGCTAAGTTACCTCATTCTCTTGCAAATTTAAGCCAGCCAGCCCAGGCCCAGCCATTCCTGTAGCGGGCACCTCATAAATCAGGTTTCCCCTCTCTGGTATTCTGTATGCCCTAAACTGGATGCCTTGCCACTTCACACTTCACTTCAGGACTTATTCCTGATCTTTCTGAGTTTTAACATCATATATTTTGGCACTTATGCCTCCCTTTCCACCCCTAGGCCCACTGCTCAGCAAGGCTTTTCTGGCTTTGAACTTTCCTTTCTCCGTTGGTTCACCATTTGAGTCTCTTCTGGTTGAAATATCACCCAGGATAATTACAAAAAAAAGAAAACACATCAGAACCAGAAACCACCCAACAAGAATCCTACAAATTCCCTACCTCTACTTGCCTGACCTGACACTGATCCTTCCTATAGTTAGGCCTCTTAAACCACAGAAAAGGCTAGCTGAACAGGAACAGCTCGTTTACAGCTCCCAGCGTGAGTGACGGAGAAGTCAGGTGATTTCTGCATTTCCAACTGAGGTACCGGGTTCATCTCACTGGGGCTCATCAGACAGTGGGGGCAGGACAGTGGGTGCAGCCCACTGAGTGTGTGCTGAAGCAGGGCAAGGCATCGCCTCACCCGGGAAGTGCAAGGGGTCAGGGAATTCCCTTTCCTACCAAAGGGAAGGGGTGACAGACAGCACCTGGAAAATCGGGTCACTTCCACCCCAATACTGTGCTTTTCCAACGGTCTTAGCAAACAGCACACTAGGAGATTATATCCTGCACCTGGCTCAGAGGGTCCCAGGCCCATGGAGACTTGCTCATTGCTAGCATAGCAGTCTGAGATCAAACTGCAAGGGCAGCGAGGCTGGGGAGGGGCGCCCGCCATTGCTGAGGCTTGAATATGTAAACAAAGCAGCCAGGAAGCTCGAACTGGGTGGAGCCCACCACAGCTCAAGGAGGCCTGCCTGCCTCTGTAGAGTCCACCTCTGGGGGTAGGGCATAGCCAAATAAAAGGCAGCAGAAACCTCTGCAGACTTAAATGTCCCTGCCTGACAGCTTTGAAGAGAGTAGTGGTTCTCCCAGCATGGAGTTTGAGATCTGAGAATGGACAGACTGCCTCCTCAAGTGGGACCCTGATCCCCAAGTAGCCTAACTGGGAGGCACCCCCCAGTAGGGGCAGACTGACACCTCACATGGCTGGGTACCCCTCTGATATGAAGCTTCCAGAGGAACGATCAAGCAGCAACATTTGCTGTTCAGCAAAATTCACTGTTCTGCAGCCTCCGCCACTGATACCCAGCAAACACGGTCTGGAGTGGACCTCTGGCAAACTCCAACACACCTGCAGCTGAGGATCATGACTGCTAGAAGGAAAACTAACAAACAGAAAGGACATCCACACCAGAACCCCATCTGTACGTCACCATCATCAAAGACCAAAGGTAGATAAAACCACAAAGATGGGGGAAAAACAGAGCAGAAAAGCTGAAAATTCTAAAAATCAGAGCACCTCTCCCCCTCCAAAGGAACACAGCTCCTCACCAGCAATGGAACAAAGCTGGATGGAGAATGACTTTGATGAGATGAGAGAAGAAGGCTACAGACGATCAGACTTATCTGAGCTAAAGGAGGAAGTTCGAACCCAATGCAAAGAAGCTAAAACATTGAAAAAAGATTAGACAAATGGCTAACTAGAATAACCACTGTAGAGAAGTCCTTAAATGACCTGATGGAGCTGAAAACCATGGCACGAGAACTACGTGATGAATGCACAAGCTTCAGTAGCTGATTCGATCAACTGGAAGAAAGGGTATCAGTGATTGAAGATCAAATGAATGAAATGAAGTGAGAAGAGAAGTTTAGAGACAAAAGGATAAAAAGAAATGAACAAAGCCTCCAAGAAATATGGGACTATGTGAAAAGATCAAATCTATGTCTGATTGGTGTACCTGAAAGTGACAGGGAGAATGGAACCAAGTTGGAAAACACTCTGCAGGATATTATCCAGGAGAACTTCCCCAACCTAGCACAGCAGGCCAACATTCAAGTTCAGGAAATACAGAGAATGCCACAAAGATACTCCTCGAGAAGAGCAACTCCAAGACACATAATTGTCAGATTTACCAAAGCTGAAATGAAGGAAAAAATGTTAAGGGCAGTCAGAGAGAAAGGTCAGCTTACCCATAAAGGGAAACCCATCAGACTAACAGCAGATCTCTCGGCAGAAACTCTACAAGCCAGAAGAGAGTGGGGGCAATATTCAACATTCTTAAAGAAAAGAATTTTCAACCCAGAATTTCATATCCAGCCAAACTAAGCTTCACAAGTGAAGGAGAAATATAATACTTTACAGACAAGCAAATGCAGAGAGATTTTGTCACCACCAGCCCTGCCCTACAGGAGCTCCTGAAGGAAGCACCAAACATGAAAAGAAACAACCAGTACCAGCCACTGCAAAAACATGGCAAATTGTAAAGATCATCAATGCCAGGAAGAAACTGCATCAACTAATGAGCAAAATAACCAGCTATCATCATAATGACAGGATCAAATTCACACATAACAATATTAACCTTAAATGCAAAATGGGCTAAATGCGCCAATTAAAAGACACAGACTGGCAAATTGGATAAAGAGTAAAGACCCATCAGTGTGCTGTATTCAGGAGACCCATCTTATGTGCAGAGACACACATAGGCTCAAAGTAAAGGGATGGAGGAAGATCTACCAAGCAAATGAAAAACAAAAAAAGGCAGGGGTTGTAATCGTAGTCTCTGATAAAACAGACTTTAAACCAAAAAAGATCAAAAGAGACAAAGAAGGCCATTACATAACGGTAAAGGGAGCAATTCAACAAGAAGAGCTAACTATCCTAAATACATATGCACCCAATACAGGAGCACCCAGATTCATAAGGCAAGTCCTTAGAGATCTACAAAGAGACTTAGACTCCCACACAATAATAATGGGAGATTTTAACACCCCACTGTCAACATTAGACAGATCAGTGAGACAGAAAGTTAACAAGGATATCCAGGAATTTAACTCAGCTCTGCACCAAGTGGACCTAATAGACATCTACAGAACTTTCCACCCCAAATCAACAGAATATACATTCTCAGCACCACATCGCACTTATCTCAAATTTGACGACACAGTTGGAAGTAAAGCACTCCTCAGAAAATGTAAAAGAACAGAAATTATAACAAACTGTCTCTCAGACCACAGTGCAATCCAACTAGAACTCAGGAATAAGAAGCTCATTCAAAACCACTCAACTACATGGAAACTGAACAACCTGCTTCTGAATGACTACTGGGTACATAACGAAATGAAGCCAGAAATAAAGATGTTCTTTGAAACCAATGAGAACAAAGACACAACATACCAGAATGTCTGGGACACATTCAAAGGAGTGTGTAGAGGGAAATTTATAGCACTAAATGCCCACAAGAGAAAGCAGGAAAGATCTAAAATTGACACCCTAACATCACAATTAAAAGAACTAGAGAAGCAAGAGCAAACACATTCAAAAGCTAGCAGAAGGCAAGAAATAACTAAGATCAGAGCAGAACTGAAGGACATAGAGACACAAAAAACCCTTCAAAAAATTAATGAATCCAGGAGCTGGTTTTCTGAAAAGATCAACAAAATTGATAGACCACTAGCAAGACTAATAAAGAAGAAAAGAGAGAAGAATCAAATAGATGCAACAAAAAATGACAAAGGGGATATCACCACTGATCCCACAGAAATACAAACTACCATCAGAGAATACTATAAATACCACTACACAAATAAACTAGAAAATCTAGAAGAAATGGATAAATTCTTGGACACATACACTCTCCCAAGACTAAACCAGGAAGAAGTTGAATCCCTGAATAGACCAATAACAGGCTCTGAAATTGAGACAATAATTAATAGCCTACCAACCAAAAAAAGTCCAGGACCAGATGGATTCACAGCTGAATTCTACCAGAGGTACAAGGAGGAGCTGCTACCACTCTTTCTGAAACTATTCCAATCAATAGAAAAAGAGGGAATCCTCCCTAACTCATTTTATGAGGCCAGCATCATCCTGATACCAAAGTCTGGCAAAGACACAACAAAAAAAGAGAATTTTAGACCAATATCTCTGATGAACATTGATGCAAAAATCCTCAATAAAATACTGGCAAACCGAATCCAGCAACACATCAAAAAGCTTATCCACCATGATCAAGTGGGCTTCATCCCTGGGATGCAAGGCTGGTTCAACATATGCAAATCAATAAACGTAATCCAGCATATAAACAGAAACAAAGACAAAAACCACATGATTATCTCAATAGATGCAGAAAAGGCCTTTGACAAAATTCAACAGCCCTTCATGCTAAAAACTCTCTATAAATTAGGTATTGATGGGACGTATCTAAAAATAATAAGAGCTATTTATGACAAACCCACAGCCAATATCATACTGAATGGGCAAAAACTGGAAGCATTCCCTTTGAAAACTGGCAAAAGACAGGGATGCCCTCTCTCACCACCCCTATTCAACATAGTGTTGGAAGTTCTGGCCAGGGCAATAAGGCAGGAGAAAGAAATAAAGGGTATTCAATTAGGAAAAGAGGAAGTCAAATTGTCCCTGTTTGCAGATGACACGACTGTATATTGAGAAAACTCCCTTGTCTCAGCCCCAAATCTCCTTAAGCTGATAAGCAACTTCAGCAAAGTCTCAGGATACAAAATCAATGTGCAAAAATCCCAAGCATTCTTACACACCAATAACAGACAAACAGAGAGCCAAATCATGAGTGAACTCCCATTCACAATTGCTTCAAAGAGAATAAAATACCCAGGAATCCAACTTACAAAGGATGTGGAGGACCTCTTCAAAGAGAACTACAAACCACTGCTCAGCAAAATAAGAGGATGCAAACAAATGGAAGAACATTCCATGCTCATGGATAGGAAGAATCAATATCGTGAAAATGGCCGTACTGCCCAAGGTAATTTATAGATTCAATGCCATCCCTATCAAGCTACCAATGACTTTCTTCATAGAATTGGAAAAACTACTTTAAAGTTCATATGGAACCACAAAAGAGCCCTCATTACCAAGATAATCCTAAGCCAAAAGAACAAAGCTGGAGACATCATGCTACCTGACTTCAAACTGTACTACAAGGCTACAGTAACCAAAACAGCATGGTACTGGTACCAAAACAGAGATATAGACCAATGGAACAGAATGGAGCCCTCAGAAATAATACCACACATCTACAACTATCTGATCTTTGACAAACCTGAGAAAAACAAGAAATGGGGAAAGGATTCCCTATTTAATAAATGGTGCTGGGAAAACTGGCTAGCCTTATGTAGAAAGCTGAAACTGGATCCCTTCCTTATATCTTATACAAAAATTAATTCAAGATGGATTAAAGGCTTACATGTTAGACCTAAAACCATAAAAACCTTAGAAGAAAACCCAGGCAATACCATTCAGGACATAGGCATGGGCAAGGACTTCATGTCTAAAACACCAAAAGCAATGGCAACAAAAGCCAAAATTGACAAATGGGATCTAATTAAACTAAAGAGCATCTGCACAGCAAAAGAAACTACCATCAGAGCGAACAGGCAACCTACAGAATGGGAGAAAATTTTTGCAATCTACTCATCTGACAAAGGGCTAATATCCAGAATCTACAAAGAACTCAAATAAATTTACAAGAAAAAAGCAAACAACCCCATCAAAAAGTGGGCAAAGGATATGAACAGACACTTCTCAAAAGAAGACATTTATGCAACCAACAGACACATGAAAAAATGCTCATCATCACTAGCCATCAGAGAAACGCAAATCAAAACCACAACGAGATACCATCTCACACCAGTTAGAATGGCAATCATTAAAAAGTCAGGAAACAACTGGTGCTGGAGAGGATGTGGAGAAATAGGAACACTTTTACACTGTTGGTGGGACTGTAAACTAGTTCAACCATTGTGGAAGTCAGTGTGGCGATTCCTCAGGGATCTAGAACTAGAAATACCATTTGACCCAGCCATCCCATTACTGGGTATATACCCAAAGGATTATAAGTCATGCTGCTATAAAGGCACATGCACACGTATGTTTATTGTGGCACTATTCACAATAGCAAAGACTTCGAACCAACCCAAATGTCCATCAATGATAGACTGGATTAAGAATATATGGCACATATACACCATAGAATACTATGCAGCCATAAAAAAGGATGAGTTCATGTCCTTTGTAGGGACATGGATAAAGCTGGAAACCATCATTCTCAGCAAACTATTGCAAGGACGAAAAACCAAACATTGCATGTTCTCACTCATAGGTAGGGATTGAGCAATGAGAACACTTGGACACAGGGTGGGGAACATCACACACTGGGGCATGTTGTGGGGTGGGGGGGAGGGGGGAAGGAACGCATTAGGAGATATACCCAATGTAAATGACGAGTTAATGGGTGCAACACACCAACATGACACATGTATACATATGTAACCAACGTGCACGTTGTGCACATATGCCCTAGAACTTAAAGTATAATAAACAAAAAAGGAAAAAAAAAAAACACAGAAAAGACTAGGTGATGCCAATCTCTCCTCAAATTCTCTAGATCCCAGCTCCCCTTAGAGACTCTGATTCATTGAATATCTCCTTCCTTTTAAACTCTCCCTCTCTACTATCTCCTTTCCATTTGTAATATAAAGTGTTCAAGCTTGTGATATTAAACATAAAAAGCCAAGGAATGAACAAATCATGCACCATCCCTGATTACACATTTTCTTCCAACCACTACCATCTCCCTCCTGCCCTTCACAATAACACTTCTTAGAATAAATGCTGGAAGCACATTTATGTCTTTCTGACATCCAAAGAACAAGTCTTATCTCCTTCAAACTCTACATGCCCTTTTAGTTACTTCTAAATTCTCTTTTCTTTTAGCCAAGTTTCTTGAGAAAGTAGTGAGCACCCTCGTCTCTTGTTTCCTACATCCCAACACTTCTCAACCCTCCTGCCCTGTGAACGCTGCTCTTGCCCAACTCCGTGATGACTGCCATGTGCCTCACTGTTCCTTTCAGTCCTTATCTTACTGACTGCTTCATGGCATTCAATGTATTCACCACTGTTGCTCTTCAGGACACTCTCTTCTCTTGGATTATAGGGTCTTTCTTTCATTTCTTTTTTCTTCTCTGCCTGGTACTCCTACTCTTTTATGCAGGCGCCTCTTCTTCTGATAGTCCTTGAAATACTAATTTTCCCTCGAGATCCTTTCCTTGGATGTCTCTCTCTCTCTCTTATTTTTCTCTATATTTTCACCAGAACTTTGGTTTTCATGTTTATGCTAATGACACTGTATTAATCTGTTCTCACATGGCTATAAAGGACTACCTGAGACAAGGTAACTTATAAAGAAAAGAGGTTGATTGACTCACAGTTCCACAGGCTGTATGGGAGGCATGACTGGGAAGGTCTCAGAAACTTACAATCATGTCAGAAGGGTGAAGGGTAAGCAAGTACATCTTCACATAACATCAGGAGAGAGAGAGTGACGGGGGAAGTACTACACAGTTTTTAACAACCAGGTCTCATGAGAACTCCATCATGAGAACAGCAAAAAGGAAGTCCAGCCCCACGATTTAATCACTTTCCGACAGGCTCCTCCTTGAACATGTGGGGATTACAATTCAACGTGGGAGATGAGTGGGGACACAGTGCCAAACCATATCATTCCACCCTGGCTTGTCCAAAATCTCATGTTCTTCTCACATTTGAAAACACAGTGATGCCTTCCCAACAGTCCCCTAGAGTCTTAACTTATTCCAGCATTAACTAAAAAGTCCAAGTTGAAAGTTTCATCTGAGACAAGGCAAGTCCCTTCTGCCTATGAGCCTGTAAAATCAAAAACAAGTTAATTACTCCCAAGGTACAGGCATAGGGTAAATGCTCCCTTTCCAAAAAAGAGAAATCAGCCAAGAGATAGGGGCTACAGGCACCATGCAAGTCCAAAACCCAGTTGGACAGTCATTAAATCTTAAAGCTCCAAAATGATCTCTTTTGACTCCACTAATCATGTTCAGGGAATGCTGATGCAAGGAGCAGCTCTGCTTCTGTGCCGCTGCCTGTATAGACCCTGCAGCTGCTTTCATGGGCTGACATTGAGTGCCTGCAGCTTTTCCAGGTACACAGGGCAAGTTGGTGGATCTACCAATCTGGGGTCTGGAGGATGGTGGCCCTTTTCTCACAGTTCTACTAGGCAGTGCCCCAGTAGGGACTCTGTGCAGGGGCTCAAACCTGACACTTTTCCTCCACATTGCCCAAGTAGAGGTTCTCCACAAGGGCACCGTCCCTATAGCAAACTTCTGCCTGGACATCCAGGCATTTCTATACATTCTCTGAAATCTAGGTTGAGGTCCCCAACCTCAACTCTTCCCTTCTGTGCACCTGCAGGCCCAACACCATGTGGAAGCCACCAAGGCTTGGGTTTGTACCCTCTGAAGCAATGGCCTGAGCTGTACTTGGCCCCTTTTAGGCACAGTTGGAGTTGGAGCAGCTGTGATGCAGGGTGTCATGTCCCAAGGCTGCACAGAGCAGTGGGGCCCTGGGCCTAGTCCATGAAATCATTTTTACCTCCTAGATATCCAAGCCTGTGATGGAAGGGGCTACCACAAAGGTCTCTGAAATGCCCTGGAGGCATTTTCCCCTTTGTCTTGGCTATTAACATTTGGCTCCTCTTTATTTTTGCAAATATCTGCAGCTGGCTGGAATTTCTCCCCAGAAAATGAGTTTCTCTTTTCTACCTTATGGTCAGGCTGCAAATTTCCCAAACTTTTACACATTCCTTCCCATTTAAATATAAGTTCTCTTTGCTTATGCGAATGAGCATAGGATTTTAGAAGCAGCCAGGCCATATTCTGAACACTTTGTTGCTTAGAAATTTCTTCTACCAGATACCTTAAGTCATCTCTCTCAAGTCCAAAGTTCCACAGATTCCTAGAGCATGGGCACAATACCACCAGTCTCTTTGATAAAATATAGCAAGAGGACCTTTGATCTAGTTCCCAATAAGTTCCTCATCTCCATCTGAGACCATCTCAGCCTGGATTTCATTGTCCATATCACTATCAGCATTTTGGCCCAAATCACTCAACAAGTCTCTAGGAAGTTCCAAATTTTCTCTCATTTTCCCTTCCTGTCTTCTTCTGAGACCTCCAAACTCTTCCAACCTCTGCCTGTTACCCAGTTCCAAAGTCAATTCCACATTTTCAGGTATCTTTAAAGAATGTCCCGCTCTTGTTACCAATTTTCTGTATTAGTCTGTTCTCACATGGCTATAAAGAACTACCTGAGACTGGGTAACTTCTAAAGAAAAAAGGTTGAATTGACACAGAGTTCCACAGATTGTATAGGAGGCATGGCTGGGGAGGCCTCAGGAAACCCAATCATGGTGGAAGGGTGAAGGGGAAGCAAGCACATCTTCACATAGTGGCAGGAGACAGAGAGTGAAGGGAGAAGTACTACATACTTCTAAACAACCAGCTCTCACGAGAACTCCATCACAAGAACAGCAAGGGGGAAGTCCACTCCCATAATTAAATCACCTTTCACTATGCCTGTCCTTCAACACATGGGAATTACAATTTGACATGAGATTTGGGTAGGGACACAGAGCCAAACCATATCAGACACCCAGAGATAAGTCAGCAGCCCAGACATCTCTCCTGAACTTTAAACTTTTGAATACAACTTCCAATTGGACCTTGCACTTGAAGGTCTTCATGACTTACTGAACTCAATGCATTCCCAAATGAGTGCGTTAATTTTTCTCCCCTCTCAAATATGCTTCTCCCTTGTATTTATTGTCTTGGCAAATGGCACTTCCATTTATGCAGTCATTCTAATCAGAGACCTGGTGCTACTTGTCTCATCCTGCACTCCAATCCTCATCTATGCCATCTAGTCAACCACAAAAATTTGCTGTTACAGTCTTGTAAATGATTCTCAAACCCATCCATTCTCTTCATCTCTTTCAGATGTTTTTCTTGTCTACACCAACATTATATATCTCCTAGATGACTACAAAAATTACTCTCTAATTCAGTTTCCAGAAGGCATCCAGAGGGGTCTTTTAAAAATGCAAATTTGATCTTATCATTCAGTTACGAGAAACCTTCAGTAGCTTCCCACCACTCTTGTGATGAAGTCTAAGTTTTTTTTTTTTTTTTTTTTTAACATAATGCAATAGGCAGAATAACGACTCTCAAAGATATCCCTGTTCCAATTGCTGGTACCTGTGAATATGTTGCCTTACACAGCAAAGGGGGCTTTGGAAATGTGATTATGGGGAGATCATCCTGTATTATTTTGTTGGGCCCACTCTGATTACACGGGCTCTTTAAAGGAGAAGAGTGGGTGAGAGAGATGTGAAGACAGAAAAGGCAGGAGAAATTCAAAGCATGAAAAGGGATTCCACCTGCTGTTGCTGGCTCTGAAGATGGAAGAAGAGGGCAATGAGCCAAGAAGCACAGGCAGCTGTAGAATCTGGGAATAGCAAGGACATGATTTTTCTTTAGAGCCTCCAGAAAGGAATCTGGCCCTGCCAACACCTTGATTTTAGCCTAGTGAAACCTAATTCAATTTTCTGACTTCTAGATCTGTTAAATAATAAATTTGTGTTTTAAGCCACTAAGTTTGTAGTAATTTGTTACAGCTGTGATAGGAAACAAAAGCACAATGCCTTGAGAGCTCTACATGGCCTATCCCTTTCCTAATTCTCCAACTTTACTTTACTCCACTTAAGCTCCAGCTACACTGAACATTAAAATTTCAAGACAAGCCACTTTTTCTCATGTCTTCAGGCTTTTAACCATGCTATTCACTATTCACTACATTGATCTCATCTTGGACACACATTATATTTTTCTGGGAATCCACCTTAACCTCCCCGTGTAATTTAGTTTTCTATATACATATTCTTATAGCATCTTGTTCTCATATTTCATTGAATTAATTATTCACTCATCATTTATCTATTCATCAAATATATATTAATTTCCTATTATTGGCTAAGCATGGGAGTTATAATGGTGTTCAAAACAAAACAAAACAAAAAACATGATCCCCAAAGTAAGAGTTTACATTTTAGCTAAAAATACCAGTGAGCTTGGGGACTTTCCTGTTTTGTTCAGCTTGAATATCAAATACCTGAAACATAATAGGTACTCAGGAAGGGTTTTTTTTTAAATGAATAATTGAATAATTGAAAGAGGAGGAAGGAAGTCCTTAGTCATGGGGTTTTGGCCAAATCTAGGCCTGTATCTCTCTAGGGTGTGATCTCCTGGGGAATCATCCACATGGTTTTTGAGCAAGGATTGCAAGGCAGGCTTCCTGGCTGGAGGTGGCATTTTTGTAAGCCTGGCCCTTGCCTACACCTTCCAGAATATCTGGAGGTGTGATGAGCTTCATCTTCTAAAATTGCAGGCTAAAAATGTATTACATGGGATGCCAAAACGTCTAGAAGAACCTGCTTTCTTGGAAGTCTGAGTACTAGTGCATATCTGAAACCACATGACTAAGAAATTCTCTGCTGGAATGTTTCCATAAAACTACAGCCTCATCTGGAACTGACAGGCCACATCAAGAGGCAATAGCACATACACCTTAATGCCCTATAGCAGTGGGTCTCAATACCAAGTACATATCATAATCCTTAGATATTAAAAATAGGAATTGTAAAATTGTGATCCCCATTCTATACTGATTAAATCAAGCTCTCTGAGGATTGGCTCTAGGCATCAATGTTTTTAAAAAGTTACCCAGGTGATTCTCATGTTCAAACAATGTTGAGAAACACTGCTTAGCAACATCTGGTGGAAATCCATGATATCTGAAGGGTGGACCTCAAGTAGGTGTAGGAGTACTCATTATATCATTACCCAAGATTGAAACCACCATAGACCTAAAATTGTCACTGAGCTGGTATCCTTTCTGAGTACCTACTATGTTCCAGGTATTTGATATTCAAGCTGAACAAAACAGAAATGTCCCCAAGCTCACTGATATTTTTAGCTAGAATGTAAACTCTAGCTAGTTAGTTTGAGGATCATGGTTTTTGTTTTGTTTTGTTATTTTGAATACCATTGTAACCCCCTGCATAGCTAATAATAGGAAATTAATAAATATTTGATGAATGAATAAATGAGTGAATAAGTGAGTAAATACTTAATTAAATGAAATATGAGACAAGATGCTATGTACATAGAAAACTAAATTACACTAGGAGGTAAAGGAATCTCATTGGAACATCATTGGTTTCAGGAATTGCTCTAGGCTCTATTAACATTTCTATGAATCTTTTTAATGTCTGATTTCTCCAGTGTTAGTGCTGTTGTTGCCTTGAACTGGATTATCTGTTTTTGTCTATTACTTTTGTATTTGTCGTTTACTTAGATGAATATGTTAACATTTTGTTTCAACATTTCCCCAAGATAGATTACTTCCTTGGTTCCAGAAACCTCATCTTTCTCACCTGCCACTCAGACAAGCCTCAGTGAATGCTGGTTCAGAGGATACTGTACAGACTGGAGAATCATGCATGGAAGGTAAAACTCACTGCAAATACTCCAGAGTGAGTTACAGTCCATTACTGGATAAATCTAGAACCCAACCAGGGCTATTCATCTTTCCCACACGTAAGTGACTAGACCCTGCTCCAATGATACTGGCATTACCTCTAGACAGTTCTCTAACATGATTTGCAATAATAATAGGACCTCGTTGACTATGTGTACACTTATTTACTTCCTTCTTAGCTTCTAACCCAAGGACTCCTTTTTGTTTTTTTTTATTAAAAGTATGACTCACGCTTGGGACTTAATAGAAAGCACCAGATCTTTGCCTTTTATCTTTTATTGCTCTCCCGGACTGTGACTTGAATTCATTCTTTGAATGATTCAATCTATCACCATAGGAAGGTTCTTACATATCACTCTCTTGCCCTGGGACTAGGACTTACATTCTCTGGATGTTAAGCTCAGTGTATGAGTTTTCTAGGGCCACCATAACAAAGTACCACAGACTGGGTGCCTTAAACAACAGAAATTTATTTTTTTGCAATTCTAGAGGCTAGAAGTCTGAAATCAAGATATGGTTGTGTTGACTCCTTCTGAGGTCCCACTCCTTGGCTTGTAGATGGCCATCTTCTCCCTGTGTCTTCACATGGCCTTCCCTGGTGTCTGTGTTCAAATTTCCTCTTCTTATAAGGACACCAGTCGTATTGGATTAAGGCCCACCCTAATGACCTCATTTTAACTTAATTACCTTTTTAAAGGCCTTAACTGAATATACAGTCACATTAATAGGTATTGGGGGTTAGAACTTCAACATATGAAATGGTGGTAGTAGTGGCAGAGGATGGGGGGAGATCAGCCCATAACACTCATAAATGATTTTGATTAAGTAAACCCTTATATTTGTCTATTCATTTTACTAGACAATTTTCAAAGCTCATTTTCTCATTAACCTTTACTCTACCTTTTCTTGGTAAACTTTGTAAGCATTACTAGTTCTTTTTTATAGATGGGAAACTAAAAATGGAGAATTACACTACTTATCCAAAGTTGAACAGTTAGTAGAAAACTGGGTCTAGACTCGACAACTCTTAGCTCTTAGTTCAGTGCAATGTTTCCCTGTCTCCTGTGCTGGCTTTTTCCCCCAAACCTAAATCCTCTTTGAAATAAGCTGAGTGGTCATAGCATATTTAGTAACTTCTGCATCTAATAGCCTCATGCCTTTTAGACATCTTGAGATACAGCAAGTGGACAAGAATGCAAGTATTTTTAAACATATAGCAGCCCCAGGCAAAGCACGTCAGTGGGACAGCCTGACGCTTGCCTGGACCTACTTTAAGCTTACACCTAAATGATGTCAAATTAGGCAAAAATAAATTGAAAATTGTTTTAACACCTGGTTGTTTTGCCTTCACTGTGCCAGCTACCTGGCTCACTGGAAGCACAGTGAAGGCAGAACTCATGGGAATTTTTAGCAGAGAATAACAAGTCATGCAAAAAGAATATATTATTGAAAGAATATGCTGCATAAATACTAAGAAAGAACATAGGTGATCTTGAATAGCTTCTTCTGTCTTTCATCCTTTGAGCCCAACACCCCCTCCTCAGCCCACTTAACTCACTCAGCAGATCATCTTTTGTAGTTCAAGGACTGCATATGTACAACACTTACCACCTGCCTATTACCCTGCTGTGCTATTAGGCTGAGTGGAGAAGTATTTGTAAAGCACTTTCTGGATTCTTAGATGAAATGTGTTTATCAAATAAAACGTATCTCCAAGTGTTTCAATCTCAGCTTGAAAGTCACTTCCTAGATCAAAGTGATGTACATCAACATGGCAGGAGATCTACCTCTGGGCCAGAAATGCATCAAATGAAGAGTCATTGATATACGCCTGGTCCTATTATCCTGCCATGAAGAAAAGTTTCCAGTTTTAGAAAAAGAAAGCCTCAGTAGCACCTCAAATTCCAGGATACTTTGTGGTAGGCCCAGACAGGAAAGCACTTACTTTATGAAGGAATCTTTTGGTCAATAAATATGATAATGTGGCTTCTTTGAGGGGAGAAATATAAGCCAATTAGGACTACATTTTTAACCAATGGATTTGGCACAGTTTCTTTAGTTCATGCAACTCGTCAAGATGAAAAGATAATATAACAGCAGTGTCAAACACTTAAGTTTTTAACGAACCTTTCCTGATTTCTCAAGTCTTATTTCAGAGCTTCTCTCATGTGCTTTAAATGAGCCAAGGGTCACCAACCTTTACTGAGGAACTGGTACATGTCGGAAATTGTTCTAGTGGCTAAGGTTGCAAGACAGAAAATGTCCTTGTCATCATGAGGCCTACACTCTAGTGGGTGAGATATAATAAGCAAGTATGCTAGAAAATACAACATGCAATATTTCTTAAGACATGTGAGTTATGAAGGAAAACAAAGCAGACCGGGTAAGAGGATAGAGACTGCCCTAGGACTGGAGTTGGGAGGGAGGGCAGTGAAAGAATCCTCTCGCAGGTGGTGTGGTGCTTTTAAAATATGTCCAGAAATTCTTTGACACTCTTCCCATCAAAAGTAGGGTTTATGTGTGCTTCTATTGAAGTTGGCTGGGCCTTTGTGACAGCCTTGATGAGTAGAAGGCAGAGGAAGTAACACTGTATGAATTTTAAGGCTGGGTTACAAAAGGCCATGCAAATTCTGCTGGTTTATCTAAAGATATTTGCTTGAAAGCCTTTCACCACTGTGTACGAAGCCACCTACGAGCATGGGGTGGAGAGAGAGAGAGAGAGATATTCCTAAAGACACCCAGTTGTTCAGCTCCCCAGCTGATTGAGTCTTCCCAGCCCAAGTGACAGACATGTGAGTGAATAAGCCATCAAGATGACCCCAGCTGCAGCCACCATCTGACTACACCTATGTGGGAGGTCCATGAGAACCGCTCAGCTGAGCCCAGGCAACCCCTGGATTTATGAGCAAAAGAAATAATTGCTATTCTTTTAAGATACTATTTTGGAATGAGTTGTTACACAGCAAAAAAGCAAAACAAAAAGAGAGTAGAAGGTGATAGTCCATTAAGGTCCTCAATGAATTTAGAGAGGAAGCTCTGTGAGGGTCTGGATAAAGTTTTCCAAGCTAAGGGAAAAATAAGTGCAAAGGCCCTGATGTGGCATGTTGGAGGCACAGCAAGCATGGTGTTAGAGCAGAGTGAGCCAAAAAGAGAGTGCAAATGCCCTGGGGAACAGGGAAGGGTGCAGCTCCACCTTGTAGGCCATGGACAGGTGTTTGGATTTGATTCTGAGCTTGCTAGGAATACTTAGAAGAGTTGGAGAGCAGAAGTAACACAAGTTTGTGTTTTCCAATGATTTCTGTGGTTGCTGGATGGAGAATTGACTACTGGGGAGTGGACAAAAATGGAGGCAGGCAAGAAATAATAGTGATTTGGGCTGGAGTGAGTCGTGCCCATGGAGATAGCGAAAAGCAATCAGGTTTGGGATATGTTTAAAGATAGTACCGGGCCGGGCGCGGTGGCTCACGTCTGTAATCCCAGCACTTTGGGAGGCCAAGGCGGGTGGATCATGAGGTAAGGAGATCGAGACCACCCTGGCTAAAACGGTGAAACCCTGTCTCTACTAAAAATACAAAAAATTAGCCGGGCGTGGTGGCGGGCGCCTGTAGTCCCAGCTACTAGGGAGGCTGAGACAGGAGAATGGCGTGAACCCGGGAGGCGGAGCTTACAGGGAGCCGAGATCGCGCCACTGCACTCCAGCCTGGGTGGCAGAGCGAGACTCCATCTCAAAAAAATAAATAAATAAATAAATAAATAAAAAATATATATATATATATATATGTGTGTGTGTGTATATATATGTGTATATATATATGTGTGTGTATATATATATGTGTGTGTGTGTGTATATATATATATATATATATATGTAGTACCAATAGGACTCACTGTTAAGTTGCAAGTGGGAATGACACACGTAGAGGTCTCAGGTATGATTCCCAGGTTTTAATCTAAGTAACTTGGAGAATGGTGGTGCAGGGTGGGTAGAGACGAGTACAGAAATCAATAGGTATTCTCCAGACATGTTATGTTTGGGATGCCTACTAGATTTTTCAAGAAGAGATGTTGACTAAGCAATTGGTCACTGGGCTCAGGGAAACAATTGCACTGGAGATACAGATGTGAGAGTTGTCAGAGTCTAAGTGGTATTTCATCATAGGTATAGATGTGGGGATGTCGGCGTATAAGTGGCGTTTCACCATAGATATAGATGTGATGTTGTCAGAATATAAGAGGGTATTTCATACCACGAGACCGGATGCAAGGGAGTGGGTCTAGAGTAAAGTGGAGAAATGTGCCATTTTTTTTTAAGTTAAAATATGTTTGTATGTCATTGAGATTGATTCAGTAAAAGGGAGGTATTGATGCTGCAGGAGAAAAGTGGCAGCATTATTGGAGCAAAGTGCTCGATTAGGCTAGAGCAGAGGAAGCTGGTATGCAAGTGGACTGGTGAAGCTTCACAGGAGCATCACAGGCCTCACTTGGCTGAGGTGCAACAAGGGAACTTGACTGAGTTGTAATTGCCATTTCCTTGTTAGCATTCCTCACTAGATTGTAAGCCCAGTGAGGGCAGGGACCCTCCGTAATGTGTTCAACATTATACTGCAATTCCTGACACAACGTCTGGCTCATTCGACAAAGTTGATAACTGTTTGCTGTATTAAATGGACAAATACACAAATTATCCTATTTGGCCAAATGTAGTTCATAAATAAATATCTGTTCACTTGCATGGAATATAAAAATGAAAAACTTAGGCAAATATAACCAAAGTAGGAGGAAAAAGTGACATTTTAAATATCTTTGGTTTGTTAGATATCCAAAACTTTTCTATTAATGAATGTTTGGATATTTTTCCAGATTGTTGAGATAAATTGAATTAAAATAAATTAAATAATAGTTGCTAACATTTGTGAGTGCTTATATGTGTCACGAATTCTTCCCTTAAGCCTTTGTATTTATCATCTCACTTAATTCTTATATCATCCCTTAGATATCTACTACTATTATTATTATTATTATACTTTAAAGATGAGGACCTGAGCCACAGAGATGGTAAGGAATTGCCCTCAGATTAGACAGCAGCTACTTGGTGGCAGAGTTGGAATTGAAACCCGGACAACTTCTCTCCAGAGCCCAGGTAACTAGTCACTTTCAGGTCTTCTAAACCCCAATCTAGTACTCCTTAGTTATTTAAAAAGTGAAGAATAAATTAAATATGAAAGTAACTCCACTAAAACATACCACATAAAGTCAAAGGAAGAATGACAAACTGGGAAAAATATGTGTAATTCATATCAGAGACAAAGACTAATTTATGAAGTGATCATAGAAATATGTAAGAGAAAGACAGGAGACTCAATAGAACAATGGACAAAGGAAATGAATAGTTCGCGAAGAAAAACATATATATGGCCTTTCAATGTATGAAAAAAATGTGCAATCTGACTCAATAAGAGAAAGGCAAATTAAAACCGTGCCAAAATACCTATTTTTTTTTTAACCTATGAAGTTGACAAATATCAAAAGGTTGGCCTGTGGTTCCTGTCGCAAGGCTGTGAGAAACAAGTACTCTTACTCTGCTGGTGAAAGTGCAAAATAATACAAATAGGGCAATTTTAGCACTGTCACAAAGTGATTATCTTTTGACTCAGATCACTCTGGGAATTAATCCTCAGGTACACCTAACCACTTACAAAATGATATATAAACAAGGATATTCATTGCAACATTATTTCTAGTGCGAAAGATTGGAAACACCCAAATGTTCATCAGTAAGAATTAATCAGCTATGACAATGAGGAAGTTCCCACATATTGACTCAGAAAGTTATCCAGGACATGCCATGAAGTAAATAAAAAAAAAAAGGAAAGTAAAAGAAAGTAAAAAATAGTATATATAATATGATATCATTTGCAAAAGACTGGGAGAGAATAAGATTACGTATGAGTCTATGGTTTAACCTACAAAATAAGTACTGGAAGAATACTCAGAAACTTATATATGTGACAACCTGTAGAGGTAGGATGAGGTGGGAGCGAAGAAGTGTTTTTAAACTCTTTATATATACTTTACATATAATAACACAAATCTCACGGAAAGTTATGAGTAGGGAAAGTAAGATACTCAATGTATACCTTGTTTTATTTTTGATCTTTGAACCATGTGCATATTTTGTTATTTACAAGTTAGAGAGAAAAGGTAATGATAGCTACACTCACAGAGCACTTCCTGTTTGCCTGGCACTGTGCTAAGCATGTTGTCTTTGTTATCTCAGGTATTCCTCACAGCAGGACACATTATTATTCCCATTTAGCAGGTGAGGTACAGGTTTAGAGAAGTTAAGGAATTTACTTAAGGCGCAGAGCCAGTAAATTGTGGAGCTGGGATCGAACCCAGGCCACCTGGCTCCAGAAGCAACGCTCTGAGCTACTATTCTACTCTCATGGTGGTTTTAAACATTGATGCTCTACCTTGAGAAACATAAGAGATGATGTCCCCCTCATGGCCAGTTCTCATGGGCACATTAATCTTTGTAAAAAAATAAAAGAAAAAAGAAAAAAACAATAGTTAGAAATCCCTGACAGTTCTCCAGTAATAATAGGTCACTGTAGCTGTGGCATGAGATGTCTTCAAGCCATGGGAGAGCCCTGAAGGCTAGCTGTAATTCCAACCCTTCCGTCCTAAACAAGAAAGATAGCAAAGTGAAAGCACAGGAAGGTTATTATTTTTTTTAAATACCTGGCATTTATTAAGTTCTTACCATGCGCCAGGCACAGATGTCATAAGGACATTACATGTATACCTGTTTAATGTTCACAACGAAAACCTTATTAGACAGATGCTATCATTACCATTGTGATGAGTTGAATTGTGCCTGCCCGCCAACCCTGAAAGGTATGTTGAAGTCCTAACCCCAGATAATTATTTGGTCCTAAGTGTCAAATAAGACTGGGACCTTATTTGGAAATAGGGTCTTTACAGAGGTAATCAAGTTAAAATGACATCGTTAGGGTGGGCCCTAATCCAATATGACTGGTGTCCTTTTAAAAAGGGGACATTTTTATAAAGACATACACAATGGGAAGATGATGTGAAGATGGCCATGTGATGATAGACACATAGACTGAAATGATCTGAAACCAAAAAATAAAATACAAGGGAGTGCTGGCCACCACCAGAAACTAGGAGGGACCCTTCCCAGAGTATCGGAGGGAGCACGGCCCTGCCAACACCTTGATTTCAGACTTCTAACCTCCAGAACTGTGAGACAATACATTTCTTTTGTTTGAAGCCATCCAGCTTGTGGTGCTTTGTTATGGTAGTCCCAGGACATAAATAAAACCACATCTTACAGACGAGGGAAGCGAGGTACAGAGAGGCCAAGCAACCCGCCCAAAATGACACTGTTGGTAAGTAAAGGCACCTTGACCTGAGCCTGGGAAGTCTAGCTTCAGAGGATTTTAAAAGTTATTTTGCAAATTTCAGTTAGCTATTATTCAAACAAATCGTCTCACTTCATGACTGAGGGCTCTGAACACTCTGTTTTGACCTCAACCCCCGTCAAAGGGCAAAGCACAGAGCATTCAGAGCAGGGCAACCGGGGCAAACTCAAGAGGGCATAGCAATGGGAGCCCACGAAACCAAACCAAACTCAGCCGTGCAGCTGCTGGAGCTGGGGTCCAGCTAATGGGGCTTTCCGGTCCTCCCTGAAACAGCTGAGTGTGGCCAGGACCCAGGGGGTACGCACTTCAAAGCAATCAAAGCTTCCCCACAGCCTCTCATTTTTGATCAGCAGGAGCTGCAATCTAGGAATGTGGGTTGTTTGAATTATTATTATTATTTTTTAGCTTAAGAAAGGGTCAGGTGAAGTTCAAGGGAGCTAAAGCAACTTGGAGGAACTGCCTTTCCAAATCCCTTTTGTGCCCAGATGCCCACTAAACAAAAATATTTCCTGAATGGTACAATGCTTTACAGATAATATGGAAAGAGGAGGGATGAAGGAAAGGTCTGGTCGAGCACTGGATCCAGGGCCCATGTTCATCTGTGTAGCACCTCTGGGTGCCCCCTCCTGAAAGATACAGCCCTGTGAATAACCCACTTGTTGAGTGGAGCCCAGGCTGAATGGCGGCCTCCAACTGCAGCCAAGAGGCAGGCAAATATGTACTGGAGACGGGCATCAAAGTTCAAAACAGCATTTGGGTAAACCAAGAGTCAAATGACTAATGAGGAATTGGAAGCAGGTTATGGTTATGTCTGAGCAGAGGAACAGGGCTTGGGCAGACATTTCCCCCCAGCCACACTGTTGAAGTGAGGAATATTTCAGTACTCTCCCCAGAACGGATCATCCTGTATTGAATTATACAGGTCGATGTCTACTCTGATGACTCCAGGATGGAAGGAAGGATGCCTCATGTGACCCTAACCTCCACCATTTCTAGGTACAGTGTAGCTGTTCAATAAAAACTTATTATATGGGTGATTTGTTTCCTGGATGACTTGCCATGGGCTTTGCAATTCCGATTAGGATCAGAGAAAAAGGAGAAAAAGTATCTTTGGTAGAAGCATGAGTGACAGGTCTGCATCACTGCAATTCTGGAATGGAAGAAATATGACCTAAATCCCAAATGGCCCTAAACAAAATGCATGCCTCTGAACACAACTCAGGATGTCAAGGGAAAGAAACAAAATAGTTAACCTTTGCCTAATGTGGAGGCAAAAGGGTGATGTATCCAAATGTTAAAGGTGTCAGGCATTGAAGCAGAGTGAGGGAAAGATTAATTTCCTTAATTTTAAACTTCTCAGACATCAGGCACTAATAAACCCAGGTTCATCATACACTGGTGAAAACAAGCTTTATTTTATAATTCCAGATATTTAAAGAATACCTCAATCTTAACATTTGAGTGCCTTGTTGAAAATAAATCCCCAGAAACAGCAGCACATTTCCACAGAAAACTCATAAAGATGCACCCTATGTATTTTCTTATCTCTTTTCGAAGTTTAGATTCTAGGGCTCTGTATATTGCCATGTGGATTAACATTGTCATGTACTTTGCTGCTAAGAAGACCTTGAGATGCTAATCCTACAGGAAACTTCCAGAGACAAGCAGAAAAGTAACTGACTCACCTGGTCGTGTACTGTGCTGTGAGGATGCTTATTTCTAAAATGCAGATTGCAACTGCAAAGCTCCGGCAGGCTGACATGCTGCTCTTGCTGGGTGGCTGCGAGTGGGGTGGCAGGGCAGGTCTGGTAAGGCATTTATTTGCAAAGGGCCAGAGGACAGGGAACAAGCATTGTTTGTCTGCATTCAGAGTTTTTGTCAATTTGGGTGGCCTGGGTACTGAAGTCCAACCAAAGGAGAATCATTTTGTAATTCTTGGCCTCCTGCTTTCTCATATTGACAAGTAGATATGGGGCAATGGGCCTGTGAATGCTAAAGTCCCTAAGATGGGCAGCAGTGCTGTGTGAAAATGGAAACAAAGGCCGGGCGCAGTGGCTCACGCCTGTAATCACAGCATGTTGGGAGGCTGAGGTGGGTGGATTACCTGACGTCAGGAGTTCGAGACCAGCCTGGCCAACATGGTGAAACCCCATCTCTACTAAAAATACAAAAAATTAGCCAGGCATGGTGGTGGGTGCCTGTAATCCCAGCTACTTTGGAGGCTGAGGCAGGAGAATTGCTTGAATCTGGGAGGCGGAGGTTGCGGTGAGCCGAGGTGGGGCCACTGAACTCCAGCCTGGGCAACAAGAGCAAAATTCCGGCAAAACAAAACAAAAACAAAAACAAAAACAAAAAAATAGAAACAAAAATGAAGGACCCCCAGCAGTTCTTAGTTTGCAAGACTCGAGGGGTTGGGTGGAAGATGAGGGAGTATGCAATTTTGGGGAAAAAAAAGCCTGTGGATGCTTCTCATGGAGGCATGAAGTCAAAGTTAGTAAAGAACTGCACTTAGTGGAAAGGATGGCACAGACGTAGATGCTTCATTTTTTTTTTAATCTGCAAATGGGCTAGGTAGGTTATTTCCACGTGAGCAAATGCATTTACAATCCTGGCTTTCCTTATAGGCCGAGTGGTACATTTTGAAGAATGAGATGTAAACTCCCGAAGGCATTAAGGGCGTCCACCAGAAAGAGTGGTCTCCTTATCTCAGCATCACACATGTCAACAAGATAGAATCTGAGACAGAAAAACTTGTTCCTACCCATGAAAAATAGTCTCCCCCTCACATTTCATGCTTCCCAGCACTTGTGGGAAGAGCAGTGCCTTTTTGGGAACACCAGAGAATGTGGACATCACAACTGCTCTTAAAGCACTGACTGCAAAAATAGAATGACCTGGGGACTCTTGAGAACAGTAGTGATGGCTGCCCGCTGTCTGCTCAGCTCTAAGTTAATTGACTTGTGATGAGACCCTGCATCCATGCTTTTAAAAGCTTTGCGGATCATTCTAACGTGTAGCCAGGGTTGAGACTGAGGATGACCACCTTGAGAAGAAAGACATCAGATATCTCTGGATATAGTTCTTAAAGGGACTTTATAAGTATTATTATTACTTATAGGCAAATTTCAAACATTAGCACATATAAAGACCAGCAAAGCAAGGGGTGGAGCTGAGGGAAGACAGAATATACAGCTATTTTCTCCAGTACTGCCTTACCTTTTCTACTGATATTCCTACCTGTGGTAAAAGGTATCTACTCTCACCCACTTTCTTGGCCCCTCTCCTTTTTATGCAGAGAACTTGAGGTCTTCAATGGGACTGATCTCACCTTTTCCTGAGCTTGCTGTGGAGTGTAGGCCATGCAGAACTGCCAAGTAATAAGATGATTCGAATGGATGCCACAACTCGTGTAACTATGTCATGGGATGAGTCCATGCCTGAAAGACACTTCCTGTGAGTCTTGGCTAATAACAGGTGGGCTACATTTGGAAACAGTATGAATCTGTCAAATATGCTGTAGCAGGGCAGGTGCAGTGGCGCACGCCTATAATCCCAGCACTTTGGGAGGCAGAGGTGGGTGGATCACTTGAGGCCAGGAGTTTGAGACCAGCCTGGCCAACATGGTGAAACTTCATCTCTACTAAAAATACAAAAATTAGGTGGGTGGGGTGGTGTGTGCCTGTAATCCCAGCTACTTGGGAGGCTGAAACATGAAAATTGCTTGATCCTGGGAGGCAAAGTTTGCAGTAAGCCAAGATGGCACCACTGCACTCCAGCCTGGACAACAGAGTGAGACTCTGTCTCACAAAAAGAAAAATGCTGTAGCAATGTTGAGGGCTCTTATGAGGCCTCTCTGGACCCTATCAAGATACTTATGGAAATAAAGACTGAAAAGCAGTCAGGATGGGATGCTTTATACTAACTAGATTTGATGCTAATTGATTAGAAGTTGTGATGATTAGACTTGATAAGTTGATGTGACTGGAGATTGTACATCACCTGTCTCTTTGGAGACTAAATCAATGGAAGGGGGATGAGGGAGTGAGGGGATATTTTTGGCTGACTAGTTTGAATAGGAGGCTTTTCTGAATTGCTCAGTTGTATTTATTTTATCACCATAGTTCAGGTTAAATATAATGTAGAAAAATAATGACAGCAGTAAAGTATACTAATAGCATATTAATTATATATTGGCAATATATATTGTATTAGTCCATTTTCACACTGCTACAAAGATACTACCTGGCTGGCACGGTGGCTCACCCCTGTAATCCCAGCCCTTTGGGAGGCCCAGGAGGGCAGATCACCTGAGGTCAGGTGTTCAAGACCAGCCTGGCCAACATGGTGAAACCCCATCTCTATAAAAATACAAAAAAATTAGCCAGGCATGGTGGCGGGTGACTCTAATCCCAGCTGCTTGGGAGGCTGAGGCAAGAGAATTGCTTGAATCTAGAGTCGGAGGTTGCAGTGAGCCGTGATTGCACCACTGTACTCTAGCCCAGGCGATAGAGTGGAACTCCGTCTCAAAAAAAAAAAAAAAGATACCACCTGAGACTGGGTAATTTACAAACAAAAGTGGTTGAATTGACTCATAGTTCTGCATGGCTAGGGATGCCTCAGGAAACTTATAATCATGGTGGAAGGTGAAAGGAAAGCAAGGCACTTCGTAAATGGCATTAGGAGAGAGCAAGAGTGAGGAAGTGCCACACTTTAAAACCATTAGCTGGCTGGGCGTGGTGGCTCACGCCTGTAATCCCAGCACTTTGGGAGGCCGAGGCTGGCGAATCATCTGAGGTCAGGAGTTCGAGACCAGCCTGGCCAACATGGTGAAACCCCCCATCTCTACTAAAAATACAAAAATTAGCTGGGCGTGGTGGCAGGCGCCTGTAATCTCAGCTACTTGGGAGGCTGAGACAGGAGAATTGCTTGAACCCAGGAGGCAGAGGTTGCAGTGAGCTGAGATCGCTCTGTCCCACTCCAGCCTGGGGGACAAGAGCGAGATTTTGTTTCAAAAACAAACAAACAAACCATTAGCTCTCATAATTCACTCACTATCACAAGAACAGTACAGGGGAAACCGTCCCCATGATCCCATCACCTCCTAGCACGTCCCTCCCTCAACATGTGGGGATTACAATTCGAGATGAGATTTGAGTGAGGACACAGAGCCAAATTATATTATATATTACATATTATAATTATATAATTATAATATATGTAATTATATATTACATATAATGCATAATTATAATATAAAATCATAAATATTATATAAATATATAAAATATATGAATAATATGCTCCACATTTTTATGCTTTTAACTCTTTCTTGTCCTTAACATCTATCATGTGTCTGAGGTGTTTTGAAATGAGGCTTATGTTTCTGTGTGTATGTCAGAGAAATAAAGCATCATCATGCATTAGACTAGAGCAGTGAAAATAGTAACATTTTCATTTGTATAACACTTAAAGGCTTCCAAATAACAAAATAAATGTTTATTGAACTTCTAATATGTGTCAGGCCATATTTATATATGCAATCTCATTTAATCCTGAAAATAATCTGTTTTACAGCTGAGGAAATGGAGACACATTGAGATTACATCATTTGTCCAGCGTCAGCCAGGGACGAGTAACTGCACATTTGTACTTGCTATGTCTGGCTCCACATCTCAGGCTTTTCCTACCTTGCTATTACTACTATTGTTATTATTTTAAGTACGTCATGTTGCTTATAGGGTACTTTACTATAAAATTCGTTACTGAGTCCTGTCAACTCCATAGAAGGTAAGCTTTTATTCTAGTCTCACAGATGAGGCTCAGAGAAATACCTGCAAGGCTACACAGAAGAGGCAGGGGTGAGATTTGAACAAACCATGTCTTTAAACTCTGATTCCAGGGTTTTCCACTCTGCTGAGGGTTTTCGCCATTCAGTTGCCCTTTGTTCCCTTCTTAGTTTCAATTTTCTTGGGAACTTTGTGATAGTGAACTAAGTTTTTTGCTTAATAATACTTTTCCCAGTTTTTAAGGCAAACATAGACATATGTACATTAAAACTTTGACCAGCAGGCAGAAACACTTAATTTTTACTGATTTGATATAAATATGTTGAGGGTCATTTCCATTTGACTCTTTTATAGTGAAGGAAACAGTTTCTTGAAAGTCCCTTAGCAGTAAGTTAAGGGATCTTAGTATCCAGGGATCTCATTAGGAATGCCTGCCCCATTCCATAGCTGTTTCTTACTGACTGTCCAAAGATCCACAGGTCTTGCAATGCCACAGTGAAATTTTAGAGCTTCCACTAAGGAGGCAGCATCAGACACACCCGAGAAGCATCCTCTACTCAATTCCAGCCCAGTCATGTTACCCTGTAACTTTTAGAGCAGCAATGATTCTGCTTTCTTGTAAGTAAGATAAAATAATGGTTGAAATCAACCAAGTGAATAAAGAATTGACAGAAAACTCCACAACCAATATCACAAGGAAAAATTAGTCATAAAGAATTTCAGAGTTGGGTTTTTTTTTCCCTTCCATTTTTAACAACCTCATCTTTCATCTCTGCAGAAGGCCAGCTTCTTTGCCACTGAGCAGCCCACACCATGGTCTTGCTGGAGACAAGCACTTGTATGATTTCAGTATGTGGTAGAGGTTTAGTAATTAAATGCAGGACACAATTCCAAGCAAGGGCAAATGAGGGGCTTGGCCACTCATCAGGTGAGATGACAAATGGCTGGCCCTTGTCCATCAGCGTTGCTGTAATTACAACATGTTAACAGAGCTGCTGCCAGTACATAGCCTTGTATATGTCCCTAGGCTGATATTGTACATATCAGCCTAGAACATGAGTTTTTATTTTTAGCAGAAGGGAATTAGTTCAAAACATACCATTTCCCAGCAATAATTATTTGTTTTATTGTTTAGCAACCTCCTCAAATCGTAATAGCTTAAATATTTACCAGGGGCTTTGGGGCAGCTCCCATCTTTTCCCAGATTTTGTATTAAACGTATTCCGGGAATATGGGTCAGAGTCCTCACTCATCAGGTTATTCCACGGTCAACCACACTCCTGGGTTAGCTACATCCTCTGTTCCTTCCCCCCTTTTCTTTTCCTTCCACCTCAGGAAAGACACAAAATTACCCTCTGTTTGGCTCTCTCTAGACACCACAGTTAATATTTTGATGGTAAAGTCTGAGATCAATTGATGAAAGGATCTCTCTACTTCAACACACAGTTTTGTAATAAAATACCATGAAAAACACTCCCTTAAGAGTTGGGGTAGAGTGCAGCTTTTTTTAAAGCATGGATGCCAGTCTTGCCTGAGTAAGACTTGCAACAGTAACAGATCCCTCCTCAAAGGGTTATGAATGGCATCAATGGAATAAAGTTATTTTGCATAAATGGTAAAGTACTTCACAGATGCAAGGTTATTTTGGGAAAGTCTATACCTTCTCCCTTTTATGTGAGAAATTTAAGGGCATGCTGGCTGTTAAAGTTCAGCTTTTAGCTTAGATATATTTGATATGTAAAGGAACTCTCTTTCCAAGATAATAGGGTTACCATGAAAAGCTGAACTTCTGGCACACAGGTGTGAATACCACTGCTTATTAAAGAAATTACAGTTGTCCCTTGGTATCTGTGGAGGATTAATTCCTGCAGATACCAAAATCTGCGGATACTCAAGTCCGTTATATAAAATGGCATATAACCTATGTACATTCTCTCATACACTTTAAATTATTTACAGATTACTTATAATAACTAATATAATATAAATGCTGTGTAAATAGTTGTTATACTGTATTGTTTTTATTTGTATTATTTTAATTGCTGCATTATTTTTATTTTATTTTCTATTCACATATTTTCCATCTGTGGCTGGTTGAATCTGCAGATGCGAAATCTGAGGTTAGGAGAGCCAACTGTATAAGGAACAGGTGTGTTTCCACTTTGCAGGGACACTTCAGTAACTGCCACTCTCTGCTTGATCAACAGTAGTTCCGACTGCACTGAAAGGAATGTCCGCCTCTTGTACACACGAGCAAGTTAACCTGTGGCAAGATCTCACAGATTAAGTCACGTGGAGATAACACACAGGCTCAACGGGTTAGACGCACGGCAGAGCACCTGGATAAGCCAGATAATTTGTGCAACATATTCTTATCAGCAGCCTTCTCTAGCTCATCTGTGGCTTACTTTCAATTCCCCTGGAACCTGCTTTTGTATGGAGTGTATTTCTATTCCACCTCACTATTGTTAGAAAGAGACCAAATGTTTCAGTCAAGGAGAAAGGTAAGGCAGTAATAAGGAACATTCCAAAATATTATACACCAATAGATAATCCTACCCCAAAATGTCTTATTCCTTAGAAAAGTTAGGTTTAATACCAAGACTTCTATATCCATGCAAAGCCCACCTTGGGATTCTCTTTCTTGTAGTTGCAGGTCTTTTTGCAGTGAATGAGAACCTTGAACTTTTATACTAGGTGAGACAGTTTAAGAGCGCCCTAATGCTAAAAACATCTGTTCATCAGCCCACTCACCTCATGCAACAGCTCTCCAGAGGGGCCTGTGCCAGCCTAGAGCAGTCCACACAGTCGTGTCTTGGTGAGGTCAAATATGACTGAGTAAAAAACAAGAGGCAGCCAAGGGTAAAAGGCATGAACCAATAGTGCACTAATGAGTGATTTTATAGTGGATGTCAGCTGAGGTTGTTCTGGTACAGGTCTTATCTACTAGTCTTCCTTACACTCCCGGAAAGGGAGTGTGTGTGGGTTTGAGACAGAAGAAGGTGTGAAATAGATCAGACGGTAATTTACTCACGGTCCTATTTCATGGATTTCCACTTTCTCTTCACTGTTGTGACAATCCAGAATCTATTATAGCTAACATTTTCTCCACTTCAGACTGGTATGTTTTATAGCTTGCCTCTAATGTCAACTCAAAGCAGGTAGAATAAACCGATGGTACCACATGATATTCTGCCACTCCAGTTTATTGAAATGAGTAAATTTATAGCTTTATTTGCATACAGAAAAGTGCATGAGAAAATAAGTATGTACAAAACAGTTGTGTGGCTGATCATGACTTTCAAAAATTCAACTACCTAGAAATAGTTACCTCCAGTTTAGCACATTTAGGTATTTGGACATTTAAAGTACTATTTCAAGTCTGTGTTTATAGTGACTGAGTAGGAAGCTGATAGAAAATTATGCCATATATGATCAACTATTACCATTAAACATAAAACCACAGGACTTTCTACTTGGGGCTAATCAATAGAGGGTCATGTGGCCCCTGTCTTGTTTAGCTTCTGAGCATCACCCTCTTCTTCCCCCTCAAGGTAACATTGGATGTGGCTGATTAACTCCCACAAGAACCTGAGCATTAAGGGTCAAGAGACAACATTAAAAACCCAACATAAACAAAACAAAACAAAACTTATTTTGACAATAATAAACCCTTCAGAACTGTGCTCACAACAGGACTGAAAATGAACTGGGAACGTTTCCAAGTTGTGAGGAGAAAAATATTGCAGACATTAGATTTTCAATGGTAACCCCAAACATTTGTTCTACAGCTTTTTCTCCCCTCTTATCTTCCTACTAACGACATTGAGATTGTGGCTGCAAGAAAAGTTTTCCAGTTACTTGATAAAGGCCTAGCATGACCCCAAATAAGCACCTAATGTGTTTGGCACAATCACATTTAGCTTTGTGATATGTTGCTCTTCAAAATAGAGTCCTTTGTTGCTGAGTTGAGTTCAATTTCTCTTGAACATTAACTGCTCTTCTGGAACTTCAGCTCAAGAGAGTGGCCTCCTCTTCCACAGGAAGGATATAGGTTGTGCCCATTTGCAATTCTAGTTCTTGGGACTAGCAATTACTGAGAATGAAGAGAGGCTCCAGATCTGTCTGTGAATCATTAGATTTTTTTTTTTTTTTGCCCTGTGAGAGTCTGTTGCTTGTGAAAGGGTGGTAATACTACTTGAACCCAGGAGCAAAACTGACTGAAAAAAGAATCAGAAAAAAAAGGGGAGGAGAGATGAATAATGTTCTTCCCTCATTTGCAATAGCTAGCAAGAAATGGGAGAAAAGGACAATCTTGGCCTTGGGAGAAATTGATCTTCAGAAAGAAGAGAAGCTATCTCTTTAAAAAGGTCCTTAAGTGGTTAGATTCCAAAGTGTCTAAGGAGAAGTTGTAGTTGCTTCAATTTTACTTTAGAAATTCTCTGTAACTGATGGTCTGAAGCAAGATTTCTTTTAAGAAGGTGCCTTGTTCTACTATAACCTTTAGGTTTTATGCTCTGAAACAGAACCCCCAAACAACTCTGAACAATAAGGATTTGAAAATTTATTCAAAACAGTATGATATGAAGGGATGTGGTGGCTGCATCTCCCAACCAGAGGGTAGAAGGCAGGTGTTCTAGAAGGTTCCAGGGACACAAGAGGCAGGGTTCAGTAGGGAAACTACTGTACTTCATTTACACTTAAGCTAGAGAGTTTAGGATCTTAATTTATTTAAAGCCATAGATTCAGTTTAGCTTTAACCTAGACAGAAAGTGAAAAGCATTTTACAAGTAGAAGAGGCAATGAGAAATAAGGCAACAGATAATACGTCAAAGCTGGAACAAGGGCAGAAATCAGAACGTGTCTGGCTATCAGCTTTGTTTTTGACTACTAAGGCCAACCTTTTTATTCCTCTGGATGGTCTGCAGACCAAGTTCCTAGAGAGGTATGGAGAAGAAAGAAACTTGTGGTTAGAATTTTTGAACTGAATATCAATGTATTAAATATCAAGTCATTATTAAAGATGTCAGTAATAGTATCTCCTAGGGCTGATGTGAGGATTGATGAAGATGATAAATGTAGAGCATCTAATAAAATGCTTAGCGCAAGTGCTCAACAATGTTAGTTATTTTATCCCATGAGAGTTCCCCTTACCCAATCTATTGATGTAGCAGGTTGACCTAAACTATCCTTCCTTCATGACCTAAAGAAGGAAGGACCTCCAAAGAGAAGTCTAGTTCATTCAATTTAGTCCATACAATCCATCTTGACTCTGAGTGTAGTTTACTCCTTCTATTGGTTTGGGTATATCTCCCCTTGAATGGAAGGTGAGAATGATCTCTGGTAAGACTTCTAGCTCTTAAATATCTACTTACTGCTTTATTACCTTTAGAATCACCTGCACTCTTGTTAAAAGGAAGCATTTCCTTGGCACCAAAGAGAAATTCCTTAGGGCTGCAGTAGGACCCAGGAATTTGCATTTTTAATGATTTACCCAGTTCTCTGAAGCAGTTTATGGAAAGGTACTACAGGAAACACAGTCATTGTAGAACTGGAGTTGAGGGAAAATGATCCAGATGCCTATAAGCTCAATCTTATTGTTTTCGCCACGTTTAAGATATCTATCTATTAAAAATAATTACATTCTAGATGAGCCAAATCACAGTTTAGTAGTCCTGTTTGGATGAGACAAGATTGGAAAAAAAATGGGCTTGGTTTTTGTTGTTGTTGTTGTTGTTTTTCATTATTTCTATTGTTCTACCCCTACCAGCTGGCCTACCTGCTCTAAAATGGGGAGAGCGTTCCTTTCCCTACTAAATTCAGTCTTTTGAGATCAGAATAAAGTTGCTGTCACCTTCTGTAGAGAAAGAGTTACACTGAGCCCTCCCAGGATTTCAGCTGAGGGTGATTCTACCTAATCACTTATCTAAGATAAAGTTCATGAGACAGAAGAATCAACCTTCAGACTCATTTTGAGCTCCTACTGCCTATGAAGGAGATCTTTAATAGTTGTTAAAACTTTCAGATTTAATACCATCAGACTCTTTCAGACTAACTTTGAGATTGCTCACAGTTAAATGGTAGAGAAGTAATGATCATAATCTGTTTTGCTGACTTGGTGGCTTCAGAAAGTCAATGGAATCTGAACCCTTTATAGGAAACCAAATTATTACTAGGTTGTTTTGCAACCACTTCAATATGAAAGTAAAAAGGTTAGAAACCTGTGATGTGTTGTTTTGAGTTTTACTTCCCACACAGAACTGAAAAACCAAGAACATGGAATAAGATAAAAATCCACATCCCCAAGGGTATATTACTATTTTTTGATGTGTTTAGGAATTCTATTCTTAAGTGCCCAGCCTAGTCATTATTGAATGATCTCAGTAGAGATTTTCCTGTCGATTACTCCTAAATTATAGATATTTACCCTCTTCCCAATTCTAAAATTAAAATTTCACTCTTTATTCCATGTCACCCTTTCTCACAAAAACCCCTGAGACAGGCTTATTAGGATCTTCTACTTACAGAATTTAGGCAAAAGGATTTCCAAATGGATCCCTATACATCTCAGAAGATACAGGTTGAGAAGAAGCCACCTAAGAAGATAAAATCATCTAGTCAATAAATACAGTTACAGTCATAAGAAAAAAATCGCAATGAAGACTTCCAAAATTCTTTTAAAAATCGCTTAGGTCATAGGCCAATCAGCCAATCAAACATTATATGGGGCTTACAGTGTTTTGTTTTCATCTGCTTGCAGATGGCAGTGTATATTATTTATGTGAAAATCAAGGTTCAGATGCATTTCATTTGCCTCCCCGAAATGGGAAGTATTATTTTCACAGGCTATAGAAATATTGTTGGAAAATTAAGAACTTAAATTTTTGAAAGGTTTTCAAGACAGTATTTTGGCTCAATTTTCTCCCGAAATGCTTTCATGGGTCAGGTTAAGTGAGATATGAAGGATGTTTTCTATGTGATATTATTTCTCAAATTCAGAAGATAATAGTTCTTGTGCAAATAATCTTTCTCCAGTTTAAATGAATGTTTATACTGTGAAGGTTCTTGGTGACAAATCTTAGCTAAACATGTTTTACCATCAAAAAGCTATTATAGCCAGGTGCGGTGGCTCATGACTGTAATCCCAGCACTGAGGGAGGCCAAGGCAGATGGATCACTTAAGGTCAGGAGTTTGAGACCAGTCTGGCCAACATGGCGAGACCCCATCTCTACAAAAAAATACAAAAATTAGCCAGGTGTGGTGGCACGTGCCTATAGTCCCACCTACTCAGGAGGCTGAGGCAGGAGAATCCTTTGAACTCAGGAAGTGGAGGTTGCAGTGAGCTGAGATTGCACCACTGCACTCCAGCCTGGCCGACAGAGCAAGACTCTGTCTTAAAAAAATAAATAAATAAATAAAAGCTATTATAAAAGCAAGGTTAATTCAGGAGGCTGGAGCTCTATGTGGCATGTACTTTGGAGAAGAGCTTCTAGTAGTTCATACTTACAGAGGCTTGTGATGAACCAAAAGAATCTTTAAAGAAAGGGTTCTCAAATGCATTGTCAGTAGATTTGGTAACTGGCAGGGAAACTTGTCTGGGAGCTGGCTTTGGTGGTTCTAGAAGGTAAAAAATCCAGGCAATCAGTAGACAAGCTTTCCCCAAATATAGGCCAGTCCCCGAGTCAGCTTATTTTTGAAGTTTAGTTCTATACTTTTGAAATTTACATCAGTGGAACAAAAATCAACACCAAATACTAGGTACCCCAATAATTATTATCCTTCTCGGAAGAGAAAGCCATGCATATTTATCTGAAGTGGAAGAGATTCAGAATCCCCTCATTTTAAGCTGATGGGACATGGATGACGCCTTATTACACAGCCCTCCAAGAGTCACCAGTCATCACATTTCAATAGCTCATGGCAGCCCTTTTAAGATTTATCACTAGAGGGCAGCATTGGGTCAGTCCTCAGAAATGACTAAGGTAAATAGTTATCACCAAAAGGTAAATGGTTAAGTTGTCTCCGTAACCCTTGATTACCAACAGAAGCAAGAGCAAAGCTGTTGGCGGGTGGGAGAGGGTTCATTTGGGGAACTCATTTAGGTCCATGTGGCAGTGGAGATAGTTGTTGGAACAGTAGGCAGAGTGGTGAGTGGCTTACCATTGATCTTGTTCAATAGTTGATTAGCATCAAAGTCATCATGGTCTGCATTCTCCTGAGGAATGCCAACCTTGCTGTTGAAATAACTGGCAAAGGCACTCAAAGTCCCAGAAGAAGTCTGCTCTCCCTTCCGCGCGGGCACAGCAGGTGGCTGCCGCAGTTGGAAATCCTTAAACATTTCTTTCACATCCTTGATCTCTTTATCCCCAAGTGGGTCTAAGGCAGTGAAGGCATCACTGGAGATGTCCTTGGGAGGGCCAGCTCTGGGAGGTGGCTGAGGAGGAGTGACCAGGAGAGAGGAGTGCATGGATGGGGGCTGAGTGGACACAGCAGGAGCTGGAAAAATATTGCTCTGAAAAGGATTCCCCAAAGGGCTTGTTGTTGACCAAGCATTGGGTGCCACAGATGCAGAAGGGCCCCAGACAACAGGCACTGGAGGGGGAGTTGAGGCTGCAAAGGGTGAAGGCTGGTTCCAACCTGAAACAGCTGGACTTGTACCAAAAATGACGGGCTGACTAAAACCTGAAGGTTGACCACCCATCATGGCTCCCGGAGCCATTGAAGGGGACTGATTGAAGACCAAAGATGCTGTGTTCCATGGTCCTGCCTGAGGGAGTGTGACAGTTACACCACCTGAAGTAAGAGGAAGAAAAATACTTATCAGGAGTCAAGCTTGAAGAAGATTCTTGAATTTCAGAGAGCACAACTCTCTGGAAAGCCTCTCCACAGCTAACACCTCCATTGAGCCCTGAGGCTGATATGGGAAGAATATGACAGATTAATCACTGTAAAAGTTAGCCAGCTAACACTGTATAGTGAGCATTCAAATGCTGGTTGCATTTTGAGGCCCATGTTCTTCCTACCATGTCTTTTTAACTTTCCTGATTAGAAGGGTAGTACGGTCCATAAGTATCTACTCATCAAAAAAATAAGCCCTTATCATACAGACACTAGTTGTCTGATACATCTCAAACAACTAGAACAGAGCCTGTTAATAGCAGGAACTTATTTAAGTGAATATATTTTTATGCATGAACCATGCTGATTATGATGTAGTTAATTAAGATAATCCATTGGACTCTCTGAGTCACAGATTTGATCTTTTCATTTGGCAACTGGCTCACGTCTGGAGTCTTATGGAAACCAGCAATCACACATGTGCACAAGACCTCAACATGCTTGCATCCTGAAGAAACCATTTCAAAGTTTCTTCACTTTTTATTGCTGCCAAGACTGATACAGCTATATACATAAAGGGAAGATAAAGTTTGGCCAATGCCAAGATAGTTTTAGACGTTTATATATAAAAATGGAAGAAAGGATGTTATCCTAGGAAGACTGTTTCAAATAAAAGTGCTTCCTGCCATGTGCCATTTGCTAAACCTTGCCAGAAGTTAGAACAGAGAATTTAAAAGAGGAGAGAGGACAATGGGAAACAAAAATCTTTCAAGGTAACTAATGGCCTGTGTTGGGGCATCTGATCTTTGTGGTGAATGGCTCCATCTCCTACGACCTTGCTATGTCATCAGGAATTCGTTAAATCGCCAGAATCCAGGCCTCTCCAATGATGGCCTCTGATTCTTGAGAGGCTCGCTCCCTGCATCTTGTTCTAATATACAGGGCACTGTCTTTCCTGCCTCTTTCCAAGTGCATTAATGATTCAGTTAAACTCACCGCTAAGAAGGAAACCTAAATTCAGCCTCATATCTATTAGTGGGTGATGCTTCGCTCTTGAAATCTACTTGCTTTGAGCTTTGGTGCATGGCATTCTTTAGTTATGAAAGTTTTCTTCAGACCTGGGTTAGGGACGTTTATGTTTCCAAGAGGGAATACTTTGAAAATGGTATTTAGGAGTGATGGAGCACAAGATTATATCTTCGAGCTTCTTAGTCTGAGACATTGGTATTACCTGACTCCATTCTCATCATGCATGCTGGCCATCTGGCCATGGGCACACATGGTGTACTCACAGAGAGTGGTGGGTTTCAGAACAGGCCATTTCACTTAATCAGCATGCTTTTTGGAGGTGAGGAAACTGGGTGCAAGAATATTCATTAAAATTGGGAAGGTCATAGTCTGGGATGGTAGAAACTGAAAATCAGGCACACTGGCTCTAAATCCGGCACCCCATTCTCCTGTTCTGCTTCCTTGGCAGCAAGGCATGGGGCAATTTTAATTTTCAAATGCTATGTTAATTCAAATACTTATTTCACGGATACAGAAATTAGACTTCATTTTCACTGAAGAATATACTCCTTTCATAACAAATCAAGAGAAAAGTTATATTCTACAATACAGGCTCTAAAAATGGGTTTAGTTTGAACAAAGTTGTTGCTTGTATTTTAAAACACATTCAATTAAATTGTATTAACAGAAGCCAGATCACTTGCTAATAATTTCCACCAGTTAGCTGTGCAAAAAGGAGGGTAGAATTTTATCATCTTTCATGTTGGACAACTTGTCTTCATTTAGGAAAATATCATATTAGTGAGAATGGTATTTGTAAAAGAGAAAAATATTAGGGCTGGGCGCAGTGGCTTACACCTGTAATCCCAGCACTTTGGGAAGCCAAAGTGGGAGGACCACTTGAGGCCAGGAGTTCAGAACCAACCTGGCCAACGTGGCGAAACCCTGTCTCTACTAACATACAAAAATTAGCTGGGTGTGGTGGCGCATGCCTGTAATCCCAGCTACTAGAGAGGCTGAGGCACTTAAACTTGGGAGGCAGAGGTTGCAGTGAGCTGAGACAGCACCACTGCACTCCAGCCTGGGTGACAGAGTGAGACTCTGTCTCAAAAAAAAAAAAAAAAAAAAAGGAGAGAAAAATATTACATTTGCCAGGAATTCAAGGCTTTCCCAGTATATACTTATACCAGTCTTCATTCCTACCCACCAAATCCCCACATTGTGTTTTAACACATTGAACACATTGAACACATTGACAAAGTAGGGGCAAGGAATAAGGAAAAAGGGGACATGGGTATAGAACATTAATTTTATTACCTTCTGAGGCTAGATTAAAATACAAGCAAGTTGAATCTGAGGGCTCAGCTTTCTACAATACCCTCTCCCCACCCCCCCAGTTCTCCAGGGGAGACAGTCCCCCAGCTGGGTCTAGCGGAAGCCAGACCTACAACCTTCCATGGTTTGGCTGAGGATCCCTGCTAGTGGACAGGGACTATACTGTAGAGCTCAGTTTGAGTCCCATGTCCAAACTTGGAACAATCATCAGTATTCTGCAGTTGTATACCCCAAGCCCTCAACAGGGGCACCTAGCCAAAAAGCTTCACTTCGTCTGAATAAATAAACAGTTATAGGGTCCAGCTGTATTTTCAGGCTGACTTGTTAAATATTGGCTGCAAAAATTCTTAAGGGCATTGATATCAGATAAAAAGCTCTGTGATGTGATCTCGCTGCAGACATTGCATTGCAAGCACTCTGGTCTTCTGTGAGGGAAGGGTACCAACCAGCTCCACTTGGGGGTGCAAGGAAAAGAGCAACGCAGAAAGGGGGAAGCCCCCAAGAGACATGAAGTCTTTAGAGAGAGCCTCTTGATGGGGTAAATGCGAGCAGAGACCTGGGACAAGCTGGCTTTTCATACCCTCACGGATTTCTGCCACTCAGCAGTTGAGTAACAGTCCTCCTCTGGCCACCCTATTCTAGATATGATTAAACAGATTTCTTGTAAAAGAACCAAACTATTTTCCTTTGTAGGAAAACAACAGAGACAGAGAGGAAAACAAAACAAGGATCCTGATGACTGACTGCAGGAGGCAGAGAAAGCCAGGATCCCTGGTCAGATTTTACCGAAGGAGAGGAGAGTCCTTCCTCGTCTACAGTCCTCCACCTCCCAAGCCAGAGTCCATTTGGAGTTTGTAGAGGTGCCAAGAGAAGAAAAATAGAGTCCATAGCAGGACAGCAAAAACTATTGTCAGGGTTTCTGAAAACTGTACCATGGAGTCTGAAAAGAACTATAGGCTATGGACTAAGAATAGCAAGGCCAGCCCTCAGTCAAGTGGACTTTCCCACTGTCCTACCACAGAGTGATCAGCGGCTCACACAAGCTAATGACACATTTAGGAATTAAGAGCGTCAATGCATACTAGCTGTCTGATAAAATTCCATCTCTTCCCTTATTTCTCTCTTTTTTCAACTTTGGCTTTCTAGGACTTATGTTCTAGCTTCAGTAAAACACTCAAGCTAGCCAAAATATTGGCAAGGAGCTCCTATGGCAGAAGTGCTCAGAGACTGATCAGGATGTGTGCCTGATCTACCCTTACCATACACCTAGGAACACAGCTGGGCCCAGAACCTAGGACTTTCACTCTATGACTTATTCTTGCTTCAGACTTAACTTACATCCTTCTTGGGCATATATTCCTTCTAAGAGGGCTATGTGTTGAAAGGACATAGGCCTTCGATCTATTATGGCAAAAGACATGGAAGACATGCATGTTGACAGACAAGCCTCTCTTATGTCAACCCTGTTTTGCTACTGAAGCTGGTCTGAGTTTAGAATCCCTTACAATTGTCTTTCAGGAAACCATGACCAGTTGGTTCAAGTAAGTACAATACTGAAAATGAATTTCTTGTCTCATGCTGCCTCGAGGAGCCAAATGTGAGTTACAAGTCAAGAATATCAAATGGATGTGGGGTTGTATAGTAGAAGTGGGAGAAGGGCTCCCTGGGATGCTCAAATCTTATGCTGTAAAACCCTCTGGGAGTATGAAATCTCTTCCGATGCATCATCATTTTATGAGCAAAAGCAAAAGAGTCATACTTAATTTTATCTCTAGGCACCTACCTAGACCCACCAGGGGCCCCACTGGGGCAGGAGCACTTGTTTTGAAGAGATCCAGAGGGTTGGGCTGCAGGGCTGTAGGTTGTCCTGTGGGTGACGCCTGGCCTGAAGGTTCTGAGACGGGAGGAGCAAAGATGTCTGATGCAAGCAAGTCATTGGCTGAAGACTGACAGGACAGGGAGGGAGGGAGAAGCCTTAGTTACTCACTAACAGTGAAATACAGCCTCATTTTGTCTCCTACCCTATACCCCAATTTGAGAGCCACAAAAAGGAAAACTTTTTTCTTGACAGATGAACAACAACAACTACTACTACAGAAAAAGAGTCCTCCAAAAAAAGACACAGATTCCTACAACGGACGGACTACTGAGTCTTAGTGTCTGACACTACCTAGGACTTGCAAAGTGAAATCTACTATATTCCTTTACACACTCACATTGGTCTGGTCTCATCGCTAAATGCTTGAAGTTGGGGGAGCAAGTGTGTAAAAGGGGCAACTACCAATAAGCATCCTAAATATTTTTGTTCATTCCATTGGATTTTAAGTCAGTCTACATAGAGATCATAGGGTCTTAATCCAGGCAAGCCTGTATATTCTTAGGAGAGGTAAAAAAAGACACCTATGGGAACTGCATTTTAAATTGCTCTTAAATAAAGCTGAGATCATAGTGGTAATAGTAAATACATAAGCTTAGAAAAAGCTTATGTATTTACTCAGTATTTAAAAGAGGAGATAAGCTCGAGAATTTTATACCACCACCATGGACACTGATGCAACATGATGGGTGTGCAGGGCATGTGTTAGTGTCAGGGAAGTACAAAGGGAATCACAAGAACTCTCACCCTCCCAACCCAGAACACGATGATCAAACTTACCAGAGGTATAGAAGCATAGCAGCATTAAAAATGGAAAAACTTGTGTTTAGTTTAATCATAAGTGACAAGACATGCACACGGAAAGCAGGGTGTGAAAAACACTGCTGAGAAGCTTAAAAACGGTGGCAGTTAGAGGAAAGTACTCCTGGAGAACCAAAGTGCCTTATCCCACCTTCTATTTCACAGCAACACAGGAAACTACGAGAGCAGCAGGAAAGAGAGCTTGCATCACACCACCCTTTGGTACCGAACATGCACTCTGCTAATGGATATGTGGAGAAGACAATTCACCTTAGCAGTCCTTCTGCCTCTTCCTGGTTTGGTACTTTGTGGAGGTGGGATAATGGCTATGGAGTCATGTGGTGAGGACTGGACAGAGCTTTCCAAGTCCTGCTTTACGCCATTCTGTATGGACAGTCCTTTGGGAGGGCTTCCCACAAAAGGGTTCGGGGAGGATTTGACAGAGAAGCCGTTCTGTTCTCTTTCAGATACCCCATTTTGAGTTCTCACTGCTGGCTGGGTTTGCGAACTTGAAAAGGGCCATGGGCCTGCCTGAGCTTCCTGTTTGCCAGTCCGGTTAGAGATCTGGTCAAATTGCTGACCAAAGTAGTCAACATCACCATTCAGGGGCCCATTACTCAGCGGAGTAGACGAGCTACTCGAATTCTCTTTCTTCTGATCTGGAGATTTGAGAGAATCAAACGAAGAAGGTGTCGATTGGTCTGGCTGTGTGAAAGGATCGTCACGGAAAGGATCAGGATTAGGGGTGGGAAAGAAGTTGAGATTGGCAGAAAAGGCATTTTCAGGCAAGAAGGATGCCTGAGGCGTTGGTCGAGGAAGAGAACAGGAGGTGATGCCGTTTGTTAAGAATGGATTTTCTCTTAAAGAATTCTGATTGGTGTCGATTTCAGAGTTTAGATCCACTAACAGGATATCTTTGCTTTCCTATCACATTTGGAAAGAAAAAAAAAGAAAGTGTTAGTCCATGTTGTGACTTCAAATGAGAAAATTACATAAGATGACTAGGATTATCAGAATTTCCATTTGAATTTGGTCTTGATAAATCGGTTGATCATTACCTCCTTCCATCAACCCCCGTAGTCCATTACTCCCTAGCTATAGACTAGGTCCTTTCTATTCCTCCCCAATATCATGCCCTTTTATTTAAGTCTCAACCTCATTAGGTGAAATCTTACTGTTGCTTACTTCATGTCTCTGCTCACCCTGGTTCACACATACAGACTGGCTTAATTCATTATGAGCATTGTTTCAATTTGTGACTTTGAAAGTCTTAAAGGGAATTGATTGTGAGTCACTATAAATGATTATCAAAGTATGTTGAGCTTGAAAGTAAGTGATTTCAGAAGCTTAGCTCAGCTTCCTACCTATACACATACAGTCCTCTCTATTGTACCCCCAGAGTCATGTAGGATCATCTCTCTAAATGAGAAAATTCATCGACTAATACATTCATATTTTATAGTTCTGGCTGTGATGAAATTTAAGATCAAATGCATTTCCCTAAAATCGGTCCAGTTCTTTCCTCTAGAGGTGGGAGAGAGGCTTTTCTTTTATATCACGGCCTTCAGGTATGTCTCTTAATATTTAAGGCTCTTGCTGAAGCTGATAGTCAAGTAGGATCTCATCCTCATCATCCCAGTCTCTCCTCTGGGCTTACCCTTTTTGTCTATGTCCTCTGAAAGAGACACTCAATACTGATCTAATTTAGTCAATCACACATTAAGATCTCCTATTTGTACATCTTTTCATAACATTGCTTAGAGTTGCCTGTGTTGTGACAGTAATCTCATCTATTTAGTGGTTAAAGTCAACCAACAACTGATCTTTAATTTATATACAGTAGTCCCTCCTTATCCTCAGGGAATATGTTCCAAGGCCCACAGTGGATGTCTGAAATGGCACATAGTGCCAAAACCTATATACAGTATTTTTCTCATATACATACACATGATAAAGTTTAATTTATCAATTAGGCACAATAAGAGATTAACAAGTAATAAAATAGAATGATTATAACAATATGCTGTAATAAAAGTTATTTGAATGTGGTCTCTCTGTCTCTCTTCTCTCAAAATATTATATTGTACCGTACTCACTTATTTTCAGACCAAGGTTGACCACAGACTTAATTTCAGAAAGTGAAACTGCAGATAAAGGGGGACTATTGTACAAGGTAGAGACATGGGTTTAAGAGTTAATTTGAAAGACATATCAAATATGTAGCTCTACTAATTCTATCCCCTCTCTATCATTTCTCTGGTGTGTTAATTTTTTGGATTTTCAACTGTTTGATAAAAAATTCTCAGCTTAAAAGCAGTAAATTTGATGAATCCGACATGTCTTTATTCCAGTAAAAGACAGAATTATAACTCATCCTAGAACAGAACTTTCATACTGACATCACTTCCTTCTGCTTGACTTTGATCCATTAAATACTTAACTATGCTACCCAGAGAAGAATATAAATGATAAAAAATGCCTTGCTGAAGTGCAAGTTATAGTAGTTATCTTGCATTACCCTGAGCAGAATACTAAATATTTTGATCATTGGGGAAAATAAACAACTTCAAGGGAATATAAAATTTGCAAACTAGTAAATACAAAAGGGTTCAAATAGAACTCCTTGGCTTTTAAAAGAAAAAAAAATACCCAATTGTTTAGAAAGTTTAAGTCCTATTTCATGGCCACAAAAGAGACAGCAAAATCAGACCTAAATGGTAATCTATCTTTTGGATTCCTTTACTGTGAGGCATAAAAATACAGTTTTTATAAGCCAAAGCCAGGCTTTCTCTTTATAAAAGAAGAATTTGTCACAAGAAAGAGCTTATAATTAAAAAAAAATTTAATCAGAGAAATGGATTGGAAGAGCTATTAATCTAGGGATCTTTATACAATCAAAAGGTAGGATAAAATGTATTACAAAAGCTTGTGATTTCAATATTTATTTATTTGTTTTGAGCCACCTCTGGGTTAGAACAGTTGAGTGTTCACAGCTGGTAGAGTTCTCGTTTTCAAATACTTCAGAAGAAGTTCTTAGGACACCAAACAGGAGCCACAATGTTAGACTTCTGAATAGTCACCCTATAAGTAAAATGTATAAGGCTCTCCTCAGGCTGGGTTTGTTATTAATCCAAGATTAAAAGTGTAGTTCACAGACTACAACTGAGAGCCCAAAGACTCCTCATCCACCCACTTGGTCAGCGCCTCATTCATTCTTTGTCGAACTGTCAACACTGCCTCCAGTTGGCCACTGTTTGAGCACCTGAGCCGCACGCACTGGAGACACGGCAGTGCGTTACAGAACCTGCTCGTAGGGAGCTCCAGTAATCGGACATAAATCCTGAGTTCCATAGCCTAGCTCTTCTCTGGGTGGCTAATCTCACCTAACCATTCCAGTTTGTCAGACTGAGGACTTCTCTACTCAAAGCCTTAAGTGGCTTACTGCTGGCTCCCTATATTAAAATAAACCTCCTTAGGCCAAATTTCCAAATGATCCACAATAAGACCCACGTTGTTTCTAGCCCAACTATGATCTATTTTCCTACACACTTCAAAGACCCAACTCAAATTCAGATTCTTTACAAAGCTTTTAGCATCGATTTTTCTGTCTGCACTTGCCCTGTGCCCACCCGTGTTATCTTATGGCATGTACACAAGGACATAAGTGACACTCCTGCTTTGTATCCTGATCCCATCCCTTGTACCAGATTTAATCTCCTTGATCACAGATCATGTCTTATATTCTTTCCATAGTAACTGTGCTTTCAAGTGGTTGTTAAAGTTGCAGAACATGGGTTTTTATGTTTTTCTTTCTTTTCCTTTTTTGAGATGCAGTGTGGAAGGATAATGCTCAAGGGGCTTGCCAATAAAAATTCTGTTCTAGGGGATACCACATAGTTTGCAACATGAGCATTATTTGAAACTCATAAAACTTTTCTGTATAAATTTGAGGGGAGTGACAACCATCTAGGACCAATAATAAAGTCTAGGTAATTTAGATTTCTTTCTCTCTTTACATATTTCAGAGCAATTGTTGAAAGAGTTGAATATTTTTAAACATGCTGGCTTTACCAAGTAGAGATAAATCTATTTTTGACCTATGACTATAGAGTCAATAGATAAGAACATGTCAAAGCCTAACCAGCACATAATTAGATCTGTTAGCCTTCTTTTGGTTATCAGAGAGTATATATTTTGATGGTATTTATTACTTTATTGTTAGTTTAACTAAAACTTGAATTCCTATAAATAAAAAATTCTTAGACTTCATAAAGTCTAATAAAAATGAGACTGAAGATTATCCATGTTGTTTTCCATTTCCTTTTTTAGAACATTCTAGAAGTCTACAGAAGTAGATTATATAGGCAGTACTTCCTTGCCTATTCCAGTGGAATTCCACTTCATATCTTGAGTGCTTTGCTCTCTTTGAATATTACTTGTTTGAATGTCATTTATACTTGGGAAGTAAGTGTTCAGATACTGATTTATTTGAGAAAACATCACTAATGGAGGAGAGCACAAAGTTGACTACAAATCAAAAGGACCTCAGAGTTAGGATGGACCTGTCAGGATAATCTAGTCTAGTACTTTAAAAAGTTTATCCTCAGAACTATAACAAAAATTATGAAGAATGAAAGGTTCTATAGGCAAGTGAGTTAGGGCTCACTGCTAAAATGAATATTAAACAGGCTTCTCTCTTAAAGGCATTTTAGAATGCTACCATGCATTGTGATACTCATATGGTTAGGGTCAGAGAAGAATGCATGAAGTCCCTGCTCCTCTCCATCTCATTTGACCTGAAAGTTTTATGCAGTAAGGATTCACAGGCCTCAAATTCTCTGCAGAAGTCTGAAGGGAGAATTTTATCCAATCTTTGATCCATTGCTTCAACTCCTGTAACCTTGGTCACATAGGCTTCCATGATAATTTCCTGATACAAGAGAGTCCTTTCTAGACATTTCCCCCCATTATTCTAGACTAATTCTCTTTTTGTCTGTTTATTGCCTTCTCATCTTTTATGTTCAAATCTAGAAACTCACTCCTGCAGAAGCATTACCTGAATCTGAACTAGATAAATACCCTGTAGTAACATCAATTACTAACGATGTGATTAGTTTTAATGTTGGTCTCCCTGCCGGAGAGTAAATTCCATGATGTCATTGATGTTGTGCATCTTACTGCTATGCCTTGCAAATAGCAGGTGCTCAGGAAACTGTTACATAAATAAAAGAAGTTGCAAGAAGTCATTCAAAATGTCATGGACATTTTCATTAGAGGTATGTTTTGGAAGGTCTGAAGACTTGGGCCTAAGTCTTGAATCTGGACCTCTTTCCTTTTTATTTTTTTTTCTTCTTTTTTTTCCCTGAACCACCATTTTTTTTTAATTTATAAAGGAAAATACTGTTCTGTTCTTACAGGGTTGTTACAGATCATTCAATATTGAGCAGACTGGATATGGTATAAAATCCTATGAGAATGGGCAGCTTTCTAACAAGGACAAGCTTTGGTGGAATATAACTGAGCCACTTGTTTGTTTTAAATCTTACTTCACACCAAATTTATGCTGCTAAATTGCAACAGACAGAATGCAAAAGAAATGAAGAGGCCAGGAGGCTTTATGATTAACCATCTAACAGTCATACTTTCTTCAAGTAGGCTTATTCAAGGACTATTATTCACCTCCTCCTTCTAATCCTAAGTGATACCAAGAAGGACTACATTGCTGACTTATTGTTCAGGTTTAATCTGTAAGCAATATTAATATAACTGAATTAGTGTGGATAGGTTCCCATGGTGACTTAAGATTCACATTTATTCTAAAAACCATTGACACTTCATTTGCAAAAATCAACAGTCACCTTCCAAGTTTCAATGAGATGCTTAAGATTTCTGGTTATTGCCAATTTGAGTTATAGATGTCATTTTATTACATTGCAAATTTAAAAACAAACACTTACTGTTGGACTATTTAGGTCAGGAGGTGTAGACATGTCCCCAAACAAATCCATCTGGTCAACACCCTTAAAAAAGTATTTGGATTAGATTCAGATGTGTCTACTAAAAAAGATTACTTCGTATATTGTAATCATTTGTTTCCTAAAGTTTAGGAAAGTAGCTGTCACAATTTAATTTCCATTTAACTAATAGATTTCATATTAAGCTGTTTAGGTCAGGAAGTGTAGACATGTCTCAAAGCAAATCTATCTTGTCCACATCCTTAAAAAGTATTAGATTAGATTCAGGTGTGGCTACTAAAAAGATTACTTTTCTAATCTTTTTTTGACTACTTTTGTATATTGACATAGATGTTACACTAATATTTTGAAAAACAGTTGTCTCAATTGGATTTTCATATAGATTCAATACAGATTTGGTATCAGCAACATCTACAGGAAGTAGAACCCATGTTCAGATAAGTAAGAACTGTCAAACGTCACATATTAATACATACCGATTTCAGTTTGTTAGTTTGGTCATCTAGAATCATTAGGGCCTCACTCCCATTCTGAAAAGATAGCAAATATTTAAGGATTTAGTTGAGCTTTGTCTATAAAATGTATTTGTCCACTCTATTAGTCTGCTAAGCAGCAATGGTTTTGGTATCATCTTTTAACTAAACATCTTTCATGATCAGAGAAGTCATAAACACATAGTAATAAGCGAGGTGGCGAGAGTGGTTGGGCAGGTAGAAAACAGGGGCTTACGCATGTCACACACATGATTAACAAGAAGTAAAGATGCAATTTTACCTCAACTGCTTTGCTGGCTTCCTCTATCTAAAAAGAAAGATACATATTCAGTGATCTTCATATTCATAGTGAAAGGGAGTTAAATACACAAACAAGTATGCCTATGGTTCACAGGCATAAGGCAAGAATAAGTCTTGTATATTATTTCTGCCCTCCGTTCCCCTCCCCTTTTCATATCAATATAAGGTTTGAGTAGAGTTACTGGATTTAAACTTGGTTGTCCTGTATATTTCCTAGAATTAATATGAATCTCATAGAGAGAAAAAAAATAAAAGCCAGGGAGTGCAGATTAGAAGTGCCTAACCATAAAAATGTATCCATTGCCCTATTGGGAAGAATAGACAATACATATAGAAGCCAAATTTTCAGATAGACCATATTTATATATAATATTAAACATAGTCCTGAGTACAGTTTTAAGTTTGTTTGTTTGAGACAGAGTCTCGTTCTGTCGCCCAGGCTGGAGTGCAGTGGCACCATCTCGGCTGACTGCAACCTCTGCCTCCCGGGTTCAAGTGATTCTCCTTGCTTCAGACGCCCAAGTAGCTGGGATTACAGGTGCCCACCACCACCCCTGGCTAATTTTTGTAGTTTTAGTAGTGATGAGGTTTCGCCATGTTGGCCAGGCTGGTCTCGAACTCCTGACCTCAGGTGATCCACCCACCTCTGCCTCCCGAAGTGCTGGGATTATAGGTGTGAGCCACCATGCCCAGCCAGTTTTAAATTTAATAGAGCCTTAATCAGGTAGTACTTGCCTTTTTCTTTTCTTCTTCCTTTTTCTTTACATTATAGATAACTTGAAAAAGGTCTTTAAGATCAACAACTAATGGTTCAGCCTGCAGTAAGGGAAAGCACTGTTATCCGTATTTTAATTTTAGTATTTTATTTCCTTTGTCTGCTATCAATTATAATTCATACTGGGATTTTTTTTTTAATCTTAAAACGCCTTACTACCCTCTGCTGGCTTATAGGGGATCACCACCAACCCAATCCTCACCCTTAGGTATATAAAAGACAGCAGGGTTAATAAGTATTTAGACAAAACAAGAGGTATCATGATCATATTTGAAGTCCTTTAAGGTTCCTGAGAATAATTCACCACTGTTGTGAAGTCAGTATTCACTTTATAAGAAGGTCCATTCTCACAATCCTGTGGCACACAGCAGTGCATAGCTATCAATGACATTTTTAAAAGATTCCATAGGCCAATAAAAATAGTCATTCTCGGAATTATTATTTAGCCCTCTTACATCCAATTATTTCCAGTAAATCTTTTAGTTGAGTGACAGACACTCCAATGTCCACAGAGGACAAGTCCCCAGGTCTATGTCAAGACTTAGAGCTCACCTGTTGCCCGGTTTTTATGGCAAAAAACTGATGCTGGCCTTCTCCTCCACACACGTAACCAAATGCCCGGTTGTCTGTCACATCACGGGCAATGAAAGAAATCTTATTTACTGGATGTTCATGCTCTATTACCTTAAAAAAGAACATAAAGAGTAATTTATTAAGAAAACTAGAATCTATTTGCAGGCTAGCACACCGAAGCCTCAGACACATATATGAAGGCATATATGAAAAGTTTAAACCATTTGAAGATAGACTTTTCATTTCTGGTTGAAGGCTAGAGCATTACTCTTTCTAGAAAGGGCTCAAAAGAAAGAAGAATAGAAAACGTAAGTGGGAAGAATGTTCCTTCTTAAAATATTGATACTTTACTCTCCCTGCTTTAAAGACATGATGCCACATAGCCAGGAAGGACTGAGGATTAGAAGACCAAGTGAAGAGGAGACATTTAGCCCTTAAGCCAAGCCAAATAGGTCTACTTTCCCAACTCAAAGACAAACTTAAAAGAACAGCATAACTAAGCTAGAGGAGTGTTCACAGGGATTCATTGACGATGGCTCAGAGTGGCCGAGGAACCATCCTATGTGTTATTGGAACCGTATTCCCAGTATATTCTGGAGGATACCAAATACTGTCATCAAGTGTTTCTCAGCCTCACCTAGACAGCCTAATACATAGTAACATAATGTAGTAATAACTACAGTATGTTAATGACATAATGACTACATCAGTAACCAGGAATTATAAGGGGTGGGGACTGTATTGGCTTAGTGTCTTTTCTTCTATTTTTCCCTCCTTTTTCTTGATCCTTTCAAGCAGTTAACAAGGTTGAACTCTTTAGGGATATTTGTAGGTGGCAGAGTGTGTCTTGGCTTTTTGTCCTGAATGTCTAAGATATCTTAGAGTATCTTAGAAAGTTTGAGGAGACACAGAAGGGTGAGAGAAACATGCCACCTTTCTCTGATGGGCTTGGGAAAATAAGAGTTGACAGATAAAGGCGACTGATAAAGAGAGTGGTGCCTGAGGACCCCAGCACTAGCAGGCTGAGTGGGGTCCACTAGGGTGCCAGGGCCCTAGGTTTGCATGGTAGATAATGGGCACTCTAGAAAGGGATGAATAGTAACTGGAGGTCTCCTCACAGTATCGTGATGCGAGAGAGTATTTTATAGCAATGAAAATGAGCCACACACAACATTTTAAAAAACATGAGTCTTATGATGTTACATTGAGTACAGAAAAAAAATCACAGAAGACTTGATGTATGATAAATAGCTTTCTGATAAGGCTTAAAAACAAGGCAAAATAAGTAAGACTGTTCACAAGTAATAGAACAACAGGAACCAACAAAAACAAGGTTACATCTGTGAGGTGAGAAGGCAGGGAAAAAAGAAATGAAAAAGAGGTAGATGTGTTATGGGTGAGGTTCTAGCTTTAGGTTAGCCGGTAAGTTCACATGTAAGCAATACATAAAAGTGTCACAAACTAGGGGTTAAAATTAATCTAGTTCTGTATACCCGAGGTCAAAAAAAAAAAAAAAAATATATATATATAGAAGTTTTACTTTATAAATTATATATGTATTTATATTTTAATGTATATTTGTATATTATATAAATTATATATATTTATTTAATTTCAAAAATATATATATTTATATATTATAGACATAATGTGAATCTAAGCCTATTAACAGACTTAACAGACTTAGATTCACATTTATTATAGAACACAAATTCAAAATCAAGTATCTTGACTTTTACCTCCTATTCTGTTTTCTGCCTGTTACTTCTGGAGATGTAATATATGATATATTTGTTCCCCACAGAACTTTGAGAACGAAGAAGGGGAGCCGAAATTCAAGTAGCAAATTGTTGGTCAGACTCAGGTGGTCAGAGAGGTATCAGCAAATGTGAATTCTTACCCCAGTTTTCTCATCAATTATTTTTATCCCAGAAAGGGAAATGTTGACCCAGATCCTTTGTTTGTGTTGTCCCTGAGACCGACCAGCTGCCGCCATTCCCTGATGAGGGTGGAAAAACAAGAGAAGTTGAATTTTTAAAAACATCCTACAATGGTTTTAATATTAAAATTTTCAAAGTCAGTCAGCTTTGTTTTCGACTTGATCTGCCATCGATGAGAGGATTCGGCACTTTTCATCCGGGACAGCAAGACGGCATAGAAGACGTTGAACCAGGGCATCCCTTAGTTAGCTGTGCGAACTCGGACAAGTCACTCTAATTCTCTTGGCCTCAGAATAGTCACTGGTAAAGCTCAACTAGAAGATCTTTAGAGATGTTTCTTCTAGGCCTTGAACTATTGAACAAGTATTATTTATTCAGTCAGTTTCACATAGTGCCATAGTACTAAATTTTTAAATTCAAAAAACAGAAAGGCTAGCGCTAAGGAACACCAATGTCTAAGTAGAATCCTCAATTTTATCAGAACAATTCCCAGGTCTAAAACAGGATATTCCGTGCTCTCCACATATAGTAAGACAAGCAATGCAAATATTTGCACACAGCTTTTATAGGAATAGAAATAGGAATACGCTTGGTTCGTCCTAATGTTGAGCTTGCCAGAAGGAAAAGGCATCTAGAGTCCTATTATACTTGATAAAATTAGGTATCTAGGACATCCCTCCAAATATGCAAACACTCACGGTTTCTCAGAAAATGGGGCACTACTGATGGATAATGTGATTAAAAGCAGTTTTCAAGTAATTGAACAATAGGTCAACAAGAGCTTCTAATATAATTCCCTCTCTTGGACTTTTGCTTAATATACAGATAAAGCATTCATTTCCCTTTTACCTTTAGTTTCATCATAGAGTCTTGGCTCATTTTATCCCCTCTTGCATCTGGCACATCATCAATGCCAATCAGCTTGGCCTTATATTTTACACCATCGCCTTTGAACCTTGCTAAGAGATATTCATCTGTCTTTTCAGGGCCTGAGAAAAGAAAGGAATACAGGATGAAGAATGCTAGTTCTAATTATGACCAAATATGCTCTAGACTCTCCAAAATTTAAGTAATATAAATCCTGATTATACTACAACTGATCATGTATGTAATATTCTGTCCTGTCTTATTCTTACTTCCTTTGAGCAAAATCATGTTCCACAATCAACTGTGTATGGAGTTGAGGTGGGGAGAAAATAAACTGTTAGAAGTACAAAATTGACAGCGTTATGGGAAACGTATGGGAATATGGGAGGTGGGAGTTGGGGACATTTTTCATCATAGTTTTTTTTAAGTCTTTAAAGGAATATAAGGATGATAATATATGTATTTTTAATGTAAGAAAAATAAGCTGCCAAGCAATTTACCAACATTTTAAATTATCAATAAGGCAGAAAGGAATTATGCCTAAGTTCTCTTGAAAATTATTAAGATAATTATCCCATCTTTATAATGTCTTTTGCTCCTTTTACAAGGTCTGTGTAGTCCCATTCCCAATGAGTTCAGTAAAATCAAATGGTAAATAAATAACTGAATGATAACCATATAATAATTAACGACTGCATTATTAACTGAACAAGATGCCATGACTGTTTCCCAACTGGACTTAAGTGGGTATAATCGCAGGTTTCCAGAGATGTCTTATTACACGTGAGATGAACCAGTCTCTTCTCCCAAGGTACAACTTTCCTATTAGGAGAACATGAGACTAAGCTGAGGTTGAAGGAAGATCAGAGCCAGCCCTTACTTTATTCTGAATCTCACATTTCTCCAGGGGTAACCATCTCTAGCTCCCTTCCTTGGCTTCAAGTGGATTTCTCCATACCTTTCTTTTTTTCCTTCTTTGAGGGTGCTTTTGGTGCGGCCTGTTGGTCGGGCTGACCATTGGTTGCACTTGTTTCTACTTCGTTAGACATGGCAAGAAGGCAGGCAGCAAACCTCAGTACCAGTGGACACTTGGTGACACCAGGCGATCCCGATGGAGAAGTCTCAAATAAACATAACCTCCCACAGACACCTGTAGGCAGAGTTTAGAGGCATATTGAGATCAGAACACAGCAGACCCAGACTTTATGCCAGAATAGGCTTACAACTAGTGACTTTCTTTTGTAGTTCTTTGGACTCATTTTGTTCCTTCTCCTGCTGTATTAGACTGAAGACTGAAAGCAGGGGAGTGGGTAGGAGTGTTTCCTTTGTAGTTTCCAAAATGGAACATGTGTGCCTATTAGTTTTTTCTTTAAGCACTTGATATCTGGTAACATTTAATGATTATCTAGCTAAGCAGTTTTTATTAGAACTTTCACATAAAAAGCAAGTATTAAAGATAGGGATCGAAAACTTGCTAGGCATTATTGCAAAACAGAAATAAATTGAATGTTAAGCCTGGTAAGACTGCAAATGCCATTTGAGATTGGGCATTATAAATTTCAGTTCTTCGGAAAATTGCTTAACTATAAAGGCAGTGACTAGAGTAGAGTTATGACCTGTATCTTATTCACATTGATAAATTTGTTTTAAGTATTAGGATTCTGCATATGATCCCCAGGGTTATCCAAGCACTATAAAACACATCCTTTTTTGCCATTAACACTTATTTGTATCAGGGAAATAATGGATTGAGGGGGTTCCAATTGTGCAATTAATCTAGTACATTTTTATGCTATTATTCAGCATCACCATACTCCAAACAGTCTGTCATGTGCTCTCACAACCTCTGCCCTACCCACAATGTATCATAGTAGGAGAAACAGGAAAATGCAGTCATTGTAACCACGCAGAAGTGAGCTAACTTTCCAAAAGGTTCTCTCACTTCCCAGGAGCCAATGTTTCTATATGCTGTAGAGAGAGCTAGGGCGAGTAGATTAACTTTCTACATTGACTGATGACCAAAGGCAAAGAAAAGCTATTCATTGTTTTGTAATCGTGTTAAGACAACCTGTGGGCTGGCACACTAACCCCTCCACAACCCTGCCTTCAACAAAAGCCCTCTTCATTCCGTGCCTATACCACCCATTTAAGTGAACATTGTAACTGAAGGACCAAGCCCACCACATGGGAATAACTGTCGTTTGTTAGATACTTAAAGAATATCTAAATAAAAAGTAAGTCTCAAGTTTTTACTCAATTTAAATTGCACTTAGCTTGTTTACAGATGTCAACATGTTTTCATAGGGGTCAGTACTTAATTTCTCCCACTGTGAGTTTTAAAAGTCTTTATAATCTGAACAGTCTTTAAATACATACATTCATGCAATCTATGTATGAGTAATGTTATCTGAATTGCTTCATTTGGAGATTTAGTAGTTAATTTTGCTCAAAGACACCTGGCTGGTTGGCAACCAGGGAGACAGTCTGTTTACAGATGAAAGTCTTACACAGTAGGAGACTCAAAGCCATTCTTAACTCAGGACTTAGGTGGGAACCAGGCACTATTAACCTTTTAATTGTATAACTTTAAAAGATTCATAGTAGTCCTGTGAGTATTACTGTATCATATTTCATTTTCCAGAGGGAAGGCTAAGACACAGATATTCTTTTTTTTTTTTTTTTTTTTTTTGAGACGGAGTCTTGCTGTGTCGCCCAGGCTGGAGTGCAGTGGCACGATTTCGGCCCACTGCAACCTCCACCTCCCGGGTTCAAGCGATTCTCCTGCCTCGGCTTCCTGAGTAGCTGGGATTGGGATTACAGGTGAGGGGCACTACGCCCGGCTAAGTTTTGTATTTTCAGTAGAGACGGAGTTTCACCATGTTGGTCAGGCTGGTCTCAAGCTCCTGACCTTGTGATCCGCCTGACTCAGCCTCCCAAAGTGAAGGCAAAGATATTTAAAACGACATACCTGCTAAGTGGTAGAACCAGGTTTGTAACCCAGACTGTCTGGCCCCAAACCAGAGTTCCTCAACACTGCAGTGACAAATCTCAGCTGAGAAGCTGTATTCCAGCACAGCTTCACGTAGTCCTCTTGAAATACACATGTCCATTGCATGGTTTACACACAAGTCTATTTGCTTGTCTGCCCACACACTGGACTATAATCTCCTTGAATGTAGGAGACTCATTTCTCAATGTCTGGGATATAGATGGCATTCATGCAGATGGTAATGAGGGCAGTTGTAGCTATGCGTATTTTCTTCCTTGCTTGTTATGTGTATACACTGGTATGTATTACCTATTTTCTTATCTCTCTATCTTCTCTTTTAATGCAAGTATTTTTGAAGTTAAATGTACAATTTTGTCTTTAGGCAGTGAATTATTCAGATGGGACTGCAACTGAAGTCTAGGGGTGGTTAATGTAGCCCAAAGACAGTAACCGTTTTCCAGAAATGAATGTGATGCCTATGGGGTCTTTGCAGCTTCCCAGTTTGGGGAGAGGGTGAGAACATCTTTCTCTGAATGAAAGACAGTTGCACCTTTTTAGATGGAAACACTTGTGTGGCTGTCAGAGGAAAAGTTGAAAGGTGTGGAAGGGTGTATGTGGATGCTGAGTAGCTGGAGGGGTGATCTGTGCCATTTAAGTTGTCTCAGCTTCAGAACCACCTCTATCTCCGGTTAGTGAAGCCAGAGCTAGACTGTGCAAACATTCCTGCTTTGCCTGCTGGCTGCATGTTGGCTCTGCCAGTAAGGTGCGCTGGAGGGAAACTGCCAAGCTGGTGAAGGGACTCGGACATGTCTGCTTGCTCCACATGGACTTCCTTATGACTTGAGACTCCTGGGAGTGTGACTCTAGTAGAACTTCTTCACTCCAGCAGCAAGAGTTTCTTCCTAAAACAGCCCCTGAATCCAGTTTTAACACTTGCAGAACTAGTCTCATCATGCCTGTCCTGGAGACATCAGCATCAGCCCTCTGGCATACTCTCTCCAGGCCAACAGGTCCCAGGCCCTCAGAGCACAGGGACTCCAGTACTAGCTAAGCAGTACTCCCTTCTCAGAGGCCTCAGTATCAGCACCATGAGACCCCCTCCTGCAAGCTTTATAAACTTTGATGGTTCCAATGTCTTAACTTTGTCCCCTCAGCCCTAGAGGTGGTAGCTGCTTTCTGTAGTTTACTTACCCAGTGATGACTTGATCTTCTCTTCTTACTCTCTCAGTTTTCTAGCTAACAACTTATACCTAGTTAACACTTAATATCTGCGGCCATACAACCATGAACAAGCCTGATTTTGGAAGCTAAGCAGGGTCAGGCCTGGTTAGTATTCGAGTGGGAATTAATGCTTAACATTAAAATCTTTTAAAATAACTGGTGTGGACTGAACTCCAACTGACACAATGGTAAGGCTAATCTGTTTTGATTTTCCAGATCAAAAAACTATTCTTTAAGGGTACCCTAAATGTGGCAGATTCAAGTGTTTCACTTGAATATTAATCCTTATATGCTTTTAAAAACCATATTATTTTGGCTTTCAAGGCTATATTTATATACTTCGATATCTACTTTTAACTTTCTAGGCCCAGAACAAGAACTGCAACAATATATTCCAAAACAGAATACATTCTATTTTCTTCATGGGAGGCAATTGAAGTGTGTGTGACTATACCTTCAGATCTGTCTTGCTTAGGTCAGTATTATGTTGAGTTCATCAATGCATGTGTTGATAGCAGCAGCAAGATGGCCCAGAACTGGGTTAGAATCACTGGCTGAAAAAGTGACCTGGGCTTAAGAGTCTGTTGCCCATCTTTGAAGCCGGATATCATACTTCACTGCAAGGTATTATTTCTGACATGAAAAGACTTAGCTCATTAAATTTGGCAATTTGTATTCTTACATGAGACTATTTTAAAAGAATTTGAGAAGTGCCACAAAGCACTTTGAGGGGTTTTGGGGGAGGGAACGGTGGCATCTGGGTTTAGTCATAAAAGTAACACAAGACGTAGCTGAAGACCAGGTATCGAATCTAGCGTTGGCAGACTGGGCCAAATGGAAGGATTCTAAGGTGAGTGGCATTACCTTGCTGTAAGTTTTTATAGCAAAAATTTCTCTGTTCAGATATTTAAATACAGCTTTTCATAGCATTGGAATTGCTTTAAAGGTAATTGATTTCCTTTGACTATATCCTTTCGCCATTTGGGTATGAGCAATTCCAAGGGACAAGGAAGAAAAAAATAAGGAGGAAAAGTTTCTGTAATATAAATTCCCTGAAGAAAATGGATGTGTATGTTGAGTTGCAATAGCCAAGGGTAAGTCTCCATTGTAGGCCATACAATTGAAAATATATCTATCTCTACTTCCTGAAATGATCAGAAGGTAGACTCTGCTTACAGGCCCCAAGACTACAAACCCCTTTACAAAAAAAATGTTCAAGACTTATTGCAAGATTTTAACAAAAGTGTACATCCAGTTATGCATACACCAGAGTGATAATTCACATTTCTCCCAAGGTTTAAAGAGCACGTCCCCATCATAGACTTGTCAAATAGGCAAGTTATCATTTAACATGCAGTGGGTAGAAGGCAGCTCACTTACAGACTTAGATCCATCTGTAGAGAATAATTGGTTTAAACTTAATAGTCAATATTCAAATGTAATGCATTTGAATATTGTCACTTGCATCCATAAAACTTTTAGCAGGGTTTTTAATGAGTTGAATTTAAAAAAGGGATTGGGCCTAGAAAAGGGATCTGAGGACCAAAAGTCCCCTAGTTAATTCCTTTGATTACCTTTCCAAACTGGGGCTCTGTTGAAGAAAGTGTCTAGCTTATGTTAAGCAATGGGGTCTGTTTGAAAGCTCTAGGATGGTAAAAATTTCTTACAAAGGGAAGCAAGTGAGTGCAGCACAAGGAGGAAGTATACAATTTTCTCACTCGTTGGGTGTAGTCTCAGGTCCCTTCAGTTCAAAAAGTGCAAAATTAGTCAGGAAATACACCCAAGGGGTGTTATCACAAGGCAAGGATTACAAATGAAAGCTCAAAAACATATAAAAAGGCTCACAAGCACAGTTCCCCATCTAAAAATAGCTAGTTTGTTATCCTGGTTCTCAGGGACTGGCTGTTTCCTTCATTAGAAGATTGAAAAGAGAAGTAAGATGACACATGTAAAAACAAAGGAAGATCTAAAGTTATCTTATAGTCCTGACTCCTTTTTAAGGCCTCAGATAGAACAGAAAGCTGTAAAGGAAACTCTGCTATATGAATAAAATTAGCTTCCATTTAAGTGAAGATCTCTAACTTGGATTTTGGACTTAATGCAAATCTCCCTGAAAGAATGCAGAGACTTCCCCCTTCTGTGGGACTAGCATCAGATGACTGCAAGAGATTCTGGAGCTTGCAACATCTCTCCTGGTTTCTGAGAAGGCTCTGAGAAATTTATTCTGGAAGACTGCATGAGTCATCTTAGAATGACTATGGGCTTTGCAATAATAAAAATCAGCTGTTGCTTAGTCCTTAGTGATTCATATAAAATGTCTAGTGTTTTGAATCCTTCAATTGCCAGCATGGTGGACAATGATTAGTCTAGGCTTTATAGGGGTAAAGTTGGTTGGCACTTCTTATATATCCTTATCCTTTCTACCAGTAGGAATGTGTTGGCATCAGCAATGGTACTACTTAATGATTCCAAGGTTTTGAAGCAATATCATAATACAAGTGTCAACCATCCTCCCCTGTGACTCCCAAGCCTACCTTCTTACCCTAATTATACAGAGCAGGCAGGAAAAGTGCTTTGCCAGTCTCAAAATGCTGGTAAAAGGAATAACTTGAGTTAAGGACTTAGTGGTAGCCCCATTCAACAGATGGTAGGGAATTTATTTTTAACATTAAGGGGAATGGGACAAACACCTAGTATACCAACCACTAAGAACACTTATTCCGAAAGGCCTATGAAACAGAATGTGTCTCTCTTTTTTTTTTTTTCTTGAGATAGAGTTTCACTCTTGTTGCCCAGGCTGGAGTGCAGTGGCGCAATCTCGGCTTACTGCAACCTCTGCCTCCCAGGTTCAAGCCATTCTCCTTCCTCAGCCTCCCGAGTAGCTGGGATTACAGCCACCCACCACCATGCCTGGCTAAGTTTTTGTATTTTTAGTAGAGACAGGGTTTCACCATGTTGGCCAGGCTGGTCTCGAGCTCCTGACCTCCCTCAGGTCCTGCCTCGGCCTCCCAGAGTGCTGGGATTATAGGTGTGAGCCACCGCATCCGGCTGAATGTGTCTCTATTTTATGAATAATGAAATGGACACAGCAACAGAAAATCAATCCGCCATAAGCCATTGGGCTCAAAGTGAGCATAGTCTGTGTTTTCTCTTCTCTTATATATACTGTCTCTCTTGTCTTTTCTTGAATCCCACTGATTTTAACCTGGATTTTATAAGCTACTTTCAAAAAGTCATCATCCCACTGACATTAACACACCATTAATTTTTAGCAAGAAGCCACATATAATAGACACAGGGAAAGGAATTAAGGAGACTCAAGAAGAAAGCAACATAAACATATTTGTTTAGAATGTCCAGTACTTTGTACTGGACAGAGAATGTGCTTCCTTGTTTCTTTGAACTTTCTGCCTGCCTCAGCTAAAGTGCGGAATTAGGACAACATGTGAAATATTAACCTCTAAGACAGACCTCGGGGTCCAAGAGGGCAGCAAACAGCCTTCACTGCTATCTTCAAAGTAGCTCTTTAAGAATAGGGGTCATTACCAGCGATGCTGTAGCAAAGTTAGACTGTTTCTGATACTTTATGCAAATCCTTCCTTTAACTGCTTTTTTGGATTCTTATGCTTTTAGGAAGGCTCTTCTGCTCTGCAAAGACCAAACTGAGCAGACAGTAAGATTTTTACAGCCTGTTTCACTGAGGAATGAGACTATGCTAATGCATACTGAAAAGGAGTCCTTAGAAGATTTTCTTGTAAATGCTGACACTACTGTAGGGGCCTCACTAACAAAACAAGCCCGAGTCAATGAGCTATCCACAAGTTATGCATTTACAGCGAGGAGGTATCATTGCCTTTAATCTTTGAAAATGATATGGCAGGACTTAGAGGACTTAGTAAATCTTGAACCAAGATGCTTTCCCTGTTTTTGGAACCAAGTCAGACCAGAGTTAAGATTCTATCAAACAGTTAACTTTGGGTAGAGGTGGGATAGCATAGCAGCTAATAGCTCAGGCTTGTGAGTCCCACCCACCCAGGATTCATCATTTCCTGGCTCTGTGGCTTGAGACAATTTATCTAATGTTCATTTCTTCATTGGTAAAATGAGAATATAGTTTGCTGAGCTATTAGAAAAAAAATCAGTAAGAACTTACATAGCGACAGCTGCACCTGGCTTAGAAAGTGCTTAACAAATGGTAGCTGTATTAGTCTGTTCTCACACTGCTGTTAAAGACATACCTGAGACTGGGTTATTTATTTATTTATTTATTTATTTATTTATTTATTTTTGAGACGGAGTCTTGCTCTGTCGCCCAGGCTGGAGTGCAGTGGTGCGATCTCGGCTCACTGCAAGCTCCGCCTGCCGGGTTCACGCCATTCCCCTGCCTCAGCCTCCCAAGTAGCTGGGACTACAGGCGCCTGCCATCATGCCTGGCTAATTTTTTGTATTTTTGAGACTCGGTAATTTATAAAGAAAAAGAGGTTTAACGGACTCACAGTTCCACGTAGCTGGGGAGGCCTCACAATCGTGGTGGAAGGTGAAAGGCACGTCTTACATGGTGGCAGACAAGAAAGACAGCCAATCGAAAAGGGAAACCCCTTTTAAAACCATCAGACCTCATGAGACTTATTCACTACCAAGAGAACAGTATGGGGGAAACTGCCCCCATGATTCAATTACCTCCCACCAGGTCCCTCCCACAATACATGGGAATTATGGGAGCCACAGTTCAAGATAAGATTTGGGTGGAGACAAAGCCAAACCATATCAGTAGCTACTATTAAACCAAAGCTAGGTCACAGAAGCTATGTGTTGTGTAGTCTTGTGCTCTTTCCAACATTGCATTTCCACAGTAAGTGTTTAAACACTTTTAGAACAGTAAGAACCTATGCTCAAATGACTAATAAGTGGAAAGGTGGAATGGTGTAATACTTTATTTATTTATTTATTCTGAGACAGAGTTTTGCTCTTGTTGCCCAGGCTGGAGTGCAGTGGTGCAATCTCAGCTCACTAAAACCTCCACCTCCTGGGTTCAAGTGATTCTCCTGCCTCACCCTCCCAAACAGCTGAGATTACAGGCATCAGCCACCACACCTGGCCAATTTTTTGTATTTTTAGTAGAGACAGGGTTTCACCATGTTGTCCAGGCTGATCTTGAACTCCTGACCTCAGGTGATCCATCTGCCTTGGCCTCTCAAAATGTTGTAATTACAGGCTTGACCCACTGCACCCAGCCTAGTATTTTAACTAGTAAAGCCCAGGTGGAAAAGTGAGATGGTTTGCCAGTGTAAGAGCCACCTCCTGCTCAGCTCTGCCTTCTGAGCCTACAAAAGTTGGGTTCTGATAGAAACAGACTCTGGGAACAAAATCTACTCTAAGTTACCCAGAGATGCCTGTTCCAATGAATCCTGAGTTAAAATTCATGCCTACGTCATTATCACGGACAGTTTAGAAGCTCTGCTTCACATCATCTGGGAAAATTTTACTGTGGAATTCTTAAAACATTGATATTCATGGCATTCCCAGATAAATTAGATCACAGTCTCTGGGCATAGAGACCCAGGTATCAATATATTTTAAAGATTCCTAAATCATTTCAATATACTGACCTATGTGAGGTGCGATGGTTTACTTTAACAACGCTTTATCTGCTTAAAGAAATACCAAGTGGGTTAGACTTGAGCTGGAAGAAAAATAGAGAATAATTTGGCCACATCATTTTATTATAATGATTAGAAAACTGAGGGCAAGAAAGAGAGTTTGACTTGTCTAATTGTGAAATAGCTGGAGGGGACAAAGCTGGCACCAGGAAAGATCTAGCATGAGACTGTAATGCCTTATTCCTAGAGATTACCTGTGTTTGTTTTTAAAAACCATTTTTTAAAAACAGGATGTACAAAGCCCATTACATGGGGACTGAACCAAGAATGCCTTCCATTTAGCAGATATACCAAGCAAAAGAACAAGAAGATAGCTTAGCAGGGTAATTTGAACATGGTATTTTATAGATGTTTTCTGAATCAAAATAGAAAAAGGATCTTACATGGTCTCATTATACATTGTCACTAGATTCCTTTTTGCCTAGGTAGCAGGAGTTACTTGGTCAAACTGTCTCATTAATATTGATTTGGCTGCTTTGCCTAGGTCTGAGACTTGCAGATCAAAGCATTTAAATTTATTTCGGTACATTCTCTACTATTCAGTGTTTGGCCTTTTAGTTTTAGTTTTTTTGGAATTTTTTTTTTTTTTTTTGAGCATGATAGGAAGTCTAAGCTCTTGAATTGGCAACTTTCAATACTCTGGACTCATTATAACCCATCCTAATTTTGTACCCACCTCTACCCATTTTGTTTTTTTTAATAACTTGTTATTAAGAATGTCTCTTATTGGAGCATAAGAAACAGTCCTCTCCTTGCGATAGTTTGCTGAGAATGATGGTTGCTAGCTTCATCCATGTCCGTACAAAGGACATTAACTCATCATTTTTTATGGCTGCATAGTATTCCATGGTGTATGTGCCACATTTTCTTAATCCAGTCTATCATTGTTGGACATTTGGCTTGGTTCCAAGTCTCTGCTATTGTGAATAGTGCCACAATAAACATACGTGTGCATGTGTCTTTATAGCAGCATGATTTATAATCCTTTGGGTATATACCCAGTAATGGGATTGCTGAGTCAATGTTCTCACTCATAGGTGCGAATTGAACAATGAGAGCACATGGACACAGGAAGGGGAACATCACACACCAGGGTCTGTTGTGGGGTGGGGGGAGGGGGGAGGGATAGCATTAGGAGATATACCTAATGTTAAATGACGAGTTGATGGGTGCGGCACACCAACATGGCACATGTATACATACGTAACTAACCTGCACATTGTGCACATGTACCCTAAAACTTAAAGTATAATAAAAAAAAAGAAAAAGTAAAATTAAAAAAATAAATAAATAAAAAATAAATGCATGTATTATTATCTAAAAAAAAAAAAAAAAGAAAGAAACAGTCCCCTCTATAAAGAACGTTTAGAAGAGTTTAAACTTCAAAGAAGCTTTATGCATCCAAATAAGGGCACATTCTTTGTTTTTGGATTTTGGTTTTTGGGTTTTTTTTTTGAGACAGAGTCTTGCTCTGTCTCCCAGGATGGAGTGCAGTGGCATGATCTCAGCTCACTGCAACCTCCACCTCCCGGGTTCAAGCGATTCCCCTGCCTCAACCTCCCAAGTAGCTGGGACTACAGGTGCCCACCACTAGGCCCAGCTAATTTTTGCGTTTTTAGTAGAGACAGGGTCTCACTATGTTGGCCAGGCTGGTCTCGAACTCCTGGCCTTAGGCAATCCACCCGCCTCGGCCTCCCAAAGTGCTGGGATTACAGGCATGAGCCACTGCACTTGGCCTTTAGACGGGGCAGTGCCACCCAATTCACGGCAAGTGTCTGAAAGTGTTCACAAGCTGAACAGAAGTATTAAGGTTATGATCAATTTTGCAATTGTATTTTTGCTTTGTTGTTTCAGCACAAGGGCTATTAGTTTGAACACTTAACTGCACTAAAGTTGGAAAAAATAGAAAGTGTAGTCTTCACAGTGAGAACATGTTCTGGCCTCTCGGCAAAGCTGGGTGTAAGTTAATATGCTTGTATGAACACAGACATGCAGAGACAATTGATTCTAGAATCCCTCTTTACACTTATTCAGCTTCTAAGAAAGAGAGCAGTGTCAGAATGTCCTTTTGGTCTTTTGATCACGTGGAATTTTTGTGAATATGGACATATGAGGCTTGAGGTTGAATTAATTGGCATTAGAGAGTATACACCCATTTCAGCTTTAATGTGGGAGAAGAAACATATTCCACCCCAGTTCTCAAGTATAACCTCCTCTGGCTTAGACTACACAGAACAGGAATCCAACTTTCTCCTTTAACTCACTTCTACAAAGGAAAGGAAGTGACATTGAAACTTCAGGGAAACTACAGAGGTTAAAAATCACATTTCTGTCATTGCCTTACATTGCTGGCACTGAATCATTTGGGCTATGACCTGCTTTACATCAGGGACCATTTGGTACGTGAGTTTCATATATCTCAAGCAAGCTGGGTAGGACAATGTTGTGGGCACAACTTGACAAGGAAAAGACAATGGGGAATTACAGTCTAGCGCATAGCATGCTGCAACGTAGCTTTTGCAGAGCTCTGTATTTGGAGGTTGCTAGGCACCTATGCCCATGCATAATTCTTTCCTTATATGGTATGTCTTTCCTTATGTGCTGTTCTCCATTTTGTACTTGTCCCTGGGAAGTGATGTAGGGAAGAGAGATTGGCAAGGTAATGACTACAACCTTGAGCCCAGAGTTGTGATATTAAATGTCATCTCGAACCACCTCACTAGCTGCTTCTCTTTCTACTTAGAGAAATATCAAGTCACCTATGGAAGAAGCCATGAGTGATTCCCATTACTTCTGAGGAAAAGCTATTATGAAACCATTGTTCTGGGAAAAAGGATAATATGGCTTTATTATGGGGTTGGAAGAGTTTGGCAAAGGCTACTCTTTCCCATATACTTTAGGCTTTAAAGCTCAAAGGTATCTGGGAAGCTGGTGAACAAGTCTATAGAGTAAGCTGAGGCACTTCTGGGAAATGATCAATGGGCTGAAGTGGTCTGACACAGTGGAGAGGGCCCAAGGGAAGAATTCCCATAACAGGAAGGTAGGCAGTCTTAACTAAAGACCTGGCACAAGCATTAGGTGTCCAATCTGACCCAGCCAAGCAGACTCGGGCAGCATGGGCATGCCTTGGTGCAGTGGCTGGTGGGTGGCATGCATTATCACACTGAAAGAGCCGTGTGACCAGAGGGCCTGTAGGGACATGGCGGAACTCTACTGAGCACTTCCCATACCTGGAGACACTACTGCAGGACCAGAGATGGCCAAACCTGCCCCGCTCACCAGAGCACTTTCTTCAGTGGCTAAAACCCACCAGGTTTTGGTGGTAGCCCAGTCACTTGCACTAGGTGACTGTGATGAGGCTGAAGACTTCACACCATGGTGACAACAGCAGGAAGGGACCCTCATAGGAGACCCCAAGACCAGGAAGGCTTGGTATTTCTAGTTTTGAAGTGATATTAATCAGAACATATACCAAGAAAGCACTTTTGGAAGAAGATTTTAGAAAGCTAAAGTGTTCATAGGCAACTGGAATGGGTCAATAGAATAAACCCGTTTTAAAATTTGAATTTAGAAGAACTTTATTTTGTATCATTAGATGGTAAAGTAGGATATTATATTTCATTCTGCTTCCCTCCCATCCTAAATCCAAGGGCATACAATTTTCTAAAGAACGAACAACTTACATGAAAAATATTAGAGTTTTAATATTAAAAAAAACTACTACTGACATAGAAACCTCTAGAATTTTTCTATTGCAGTGTCTTTGGGGCAGTGACTTGAAGAGAAGCACTCTGGAACTGATACAAAACACAGTAAATGCATGAGTTTTACTTTAAATTTGGCATCTAAATATACAATGTATTATGCTTGATCCTGGCAGGAAAAGGTAGTCAAAAAGTTAAGACTCAGAGGCAACGCACTCACACCATTCATAGCTTTTACTACAATCCTCCCTCATCATATACTGACCCAAACTGACCCAGCAAATGTTTTACTGTTTTCATGTCTGTCCTTTCTAAGCTAGGTTAGATATTTCTACCAAAAATAACTCCTCTTCCTATTTCCATGCTAGGTTTTTTGTTTGTTTGTTCTGTTTGTGACGGAGTCTCGCTCTGTTGCCCACGCTGGAGTGCAGAGGCGCGATCTCAGCTCACTGCAACCTCCGCCTCCCAGGTTCAAGCGATTTTCCTGCCTCAGCCTCCTGAGAAGTCGGGACTACAGGTGCTTGCCACACTGCCTGGCTAATTTTTGTATTTTTAGTAGAGACAGGGTTTCACCATTTTGGCCAGGCTGGTCTCAAACTCCTGCCTCAGCCTCCCAAAGTGCTGGGATTACAGGCGTGAGCCACCATGCCCGGCCCACCATGCTAGTTTTAAAATGAATGATACAAATAATCTTGGCAGTTTGTTCCTAGAATATACAACATTAGGTTGTGCATTCTCATCCCCGTATGAAATAATCCTGAATTAAGTCAACATAGATGTGCAGCATACCTCACTCGTGGACTTCAGGATACAATCATTTCTTCATCCACGTCCCTCTGTGACTTCACCTATGACGCATATGCATATAAATCCTAATTATTGAATACTTCCCACTTTCTATTCAAGTGCCATGACAGTAGTCAGCTTGAAACTCTATGCGGATGTTAGAAGAGTTTTTAAAAAGCATGTAATTTAGAAGCATCTGTGCTATAAACATTAAGCTATAAATGAAGGGCTACGTACACTAGTAGAATTATTTTATGATATATACCACACCAGGGCACTTTAAAACAAGCAGGTAATCTTAAACTTCTCCTCTTCCGAAAACCAGTGCAAGAAATACTGCCTGATATTTGGTTTCTTCTTTAATAGCCTGGCTAAATTATATAAAATCCCAATGTGGTTTCCCTTTCCAGGAAAAGCCCCATATTTATATAATCCTCAAAGCCATTGCTTGAGTGTTGCTGTACCCTTTCTTGCAACTCATGTTTCAAGGACACACTGTTTAAAGAGTTTGAAGGAAGAAGAATCCAGCTGCCTTGTAAATCAGCACAGAGCAAACTAGGGTGTACATAGTGATTGTATACAGACAGGTGGAACGTATTTTTTGTTGCATTTCTGTATAGAGAGCAAAACCATGAAAACACTTCTTACAGTTATGCAGACTCAAAACAAGATCAGTTTAACTAATCTAATTCGAATATGTTGTCTCTAGGTTCTAGGTGGCATGTCCTTTGTTTTGATATTCAACCTACCCATAGAGTTGGCATTAACCTTCCATGAGAGACTTGCCGCTGGGTCACATTTCCACATCTGATATGATCTATTCGAGTTGGGGAAGACATCCACAACCAACATGGCAGTTAGGCTTCATCTCCAGGAATATTGGTGGCCTTGCTAATCCCAGTGGCTATGAATAGCTATGTTTGTTTTGATTTGAAACTGCTTACTATTTACTGTCATCTGGTGTGCTCAAAATATTATCATTTAAAAAATGGTTCTTCATGATTTAGTTAATTTCCTTTAGACAAGACATGGTTGCTTTCAAATTAGATGAAGGAAAAAGGAGTCATTTAAAAACAAAAAGTGACTTGATATTTATTTGTCAAATTTCAGGTTTGCAGAGAACCAGCAGCCTGACAACCAGCCATCTCTCCTCTTGATACCAGTGTTCAAGCAGGCTGAAGGTCAGAATCTTGGCAGTTTGTTTCCTAGAATATACAACATCAGACTGTGCTTCCTAAAAGTCCAGGAGAGTTCTTCTACGAGTAAGAATATATTCCTTATTTGCTTATTTCTTGGTTACTGGACAAATTAGATAGGTTAATGGATAAGAAACCCCTGGGTAATTTTCGTTTTTTGTATACAAGGGAGAGAGGTGAATCTGTCAAATTGGTGTCTTGCTTTTTGTGATCATATAATAATACCACATGAGTCGAATTCCAGATCCAAAAGAAGGCCTCCCAATAGTTAGCCTACCTGCTTGAAATTGTGCTTATGATTATTAAAAAAAAAAAAACTCTAAAAAGCTGCTGCAGATTGAGTACAAGATGAACAAAATTGGCAGAAATGCACAAGTATTCTTGAGCTAAAGTTCACATCTGTCATTATTCTCTCATCTGTTGGGAAATAGTATTGGAACAAATATGTTTTGTGGGAATAAATAAATGCACTTTTAAACTGAGGGATGTAAAAATTCCAAATGACAGTATTCTACTTTATACTGAAGTAAACAGATTAGTTGTTGCACAATTGGAGCATTTACATTGAACAACAAAGTGTTCTAATGTATTGAAATATCTGTATACAGTTCAGTAACTGCAGAAATAGATGAGCATAGAAAGGTTCACTTATTAATACAATAAAACACCGACTTAATATCAGAATTTTGCTTATAAAGTCTGTAAGTGAGACAGGTTTTGTTTCATGAATTCTTTATATAAATCCAAGTTTACATACCTAAAATCACACCTGTTAGTATCATGTAAGTAATCACCATTGACTGGTCTACCCTTTCACAAACATGGCTAGACATCTATCTTTGGGATCAGGAAGCACACTCAGCAAGTTTGGAAGCATAATTCAAGGAACCTTGTGTCTAGTAGAGATTTCAGAAAAGAACCACCCCTTGGTGACCCCAACCATTAAACATTGTTCCTAATCCAGAGAAGACCTCAGGAATTCAATTTCTATACCACTTTTCACAAGTCATTTAGATGACCTCTACAGATAAGATTAAAGTGAATGATAGTGTTTCGGAGAACTAAGACTTCTTAGGAAGGAATATATATTAAATAGCTCACACATCTTCTTTCTTGGTTGTAATACTCCAAGAACACAAGGACAGATCTCAAGTTTCACCTTAATCTGTACAGATTTCAGAAAGTTTATTCTAGGATTTATAGAGGGACTTTGAAGATTTTCTAATATGTACACTCCACTGGATTGTTTTCTTTGGTCATCTATTTTAGTCATCTCTAATTAATCCAGGGCTGGGGAAGGGGAAAAAATAAACTTTGTATGAGTTGCATAAAAACAAGATATCCTAGAAAAGCTACCTGGTTATGTCATCAGCTAACAGTTTCAAAGGCTCAAGTCTTGACTACTCCATTTACATTTTTTAAGATAAGCTCTTGAGATGGTATTAACCATTTTGGTATTAACAAATTTTGAGGATCGTAGAAAAATCTAGTTTTCTTTCCCAAAGGCAACATCATATTCTTTTTACTTTTGATCTGGACATAATCTGTAAGATTGAAGTAATTAGTATCTTAACTTTATATTAATATGAAGTAATAGCCCATGCAAGATGTTGTTTCTTATAAACCTTATACTACTAGCCTGATAAACAACTCTGTTGGGATATTTTAAAAGGCAATGCATTAATTAAACAAATCATTAAATCATAGGGTACCAAATAAACTGCTACTTCCCTAAGGGCTTAACTTATTTGACATGAAAAATTTATATACTAGGACAATTGAGTTTTTCTGGTTTTCTAAGCTGTAAAGACTCATTTATTAGATCTATGTGTGTATCTTTTAATATGTGTTATTCAAAATCATCTCCAGCTGTAGATAATTTTACAGTGCATCTAGTACTGGCCAGCTCTTTACTCCTTCCATGTTAAATGAGTTTGGTTTATGTTAATGTTGAGATTACTGTATTGTCTAACCTGCTTAAAAAAAAAACTATGAATTATATTGTTTTCTAGTTTGCAGAGTATTGGCTAGAAATTGTATTGAGTATTTTTCCTTTTCACTAAAATTTATCATTTACATACCTGCCTAGCCCTCAGTGTCACACATATCACATTAATGGTCCAGGTTTGACTTTAGGCAAAAGGTTGGTTAAAAAATCTGACTTAACACTGGGAGACTTTCCCAGAGTAAGCAGATGGGATAAGGGTTCTTCTTTCTCCAGGCCTGTTGAATGCACACCAGTCTTTAAGTTAACTAATCATGGGGGTACCACTCTGGTTTATAGTTCTAGCATGAGGTGAACTAATAGGAATGGTTCTTTATCAAATGACACTTAGCTGAGTGTCAGCTGAGACCTCTTGGCCCTTTATGAAATACTCATATTTATATTGAACTAAAAAAAGGTTTCTGGTTAGTCTACCCGGGAATGTCAACATCAATGAGTCATAATAAAGGAAGTTTCCTTGGTTCATAAAAAACATAATACTTAAGCAAGATGTTTCATTAGCTTTTATTTTCTTTCAGAGCAGTCTCCTCTGTTCTCTGAACCACTAATGACCTGCTGCAAAACTCTGTACCTATTAGCAATTGCCATTTCAATACTTAAGGGAAATGTGGGATGGACACAAGTGATTAGATAGGGGCTCCATTTGTAGCCTCTCTGTATGCTTCTTACTATGGTCATTAAATAAAAGTAACTTGATTTGGTCCTTGAAGCCTTGGAGGATCCACTCCATGGTAACATGTGCTATTTTCTAGTCCTCCTATGTAGGCATTTTTAGCATCAGAGAATGCAATTCGATCATTTGTTTCCTTAGCTGAACGCTATAGCCCTGTGCAAAGACAAGTCTTCTTTGAAAGCCACTATTAAGTTCCTAATCCAATCTTTATTAAAAAGACTCAATATTGCAGACAAGGAAGTTAAGACAAATCCTCCAAAAGTAATGACCAAGCCCTTCCATTCTCCACAGGAGCCTTTTAGTAAAGCAAAATGTGAAATCAGAAAAATATTTACAGTTGCAGTGTTTTTTTAACTAGCAATGTGTTCCTTAATTAACATACTACAGAAGCATATGAACAATTAGTTCCATCAAGGAAAACAGTGAGAGAAACAACACTACCAAGTTTGCATAGTACCTCCAAAATAAGCAAAGTTCTACTTTTAGAGTTAATTATCAGAGGTGAGATGTGAATAAAGTTCCCTTCTCCGAGTCTGTCATTCGCTCTCAGAGCTGGGGCGGTTTCCTACCCTAAATGCTATTTTATATTTGCACCTGGGTCCAAAACATTCCCTTAAGGGGGAAAAAAACAAATGTCTTTGACTCTTAAGAGTATGTCATTTCCCTTATATTGTGCATGGCCAGAGAGATGACGCAAATGGTAGGCCACTAGCTACCCTAGATTTTGCTGTGAAACCATGATTATGACAAAACTTGAAAAGCCTGCAGACACTGACAGCCTTTTTTGTTGTTGTTGTTTAGAGCACATGGGGGTCTGGTGATTGATCCCAACTTAAAGCCATTGCAATTTAGAGACTAGAAACCAAGTTTGCCCCTGAATTCCAGTGATCTTTACCAGCAAGTTAATTCATGTAATCAAAACTGCATCCCTACTAAGTGCCAGGCATTCTTCTAGAGCTTGGGATATACCAGTGAGCAAAATAAAGATTTGTTCCCTTATATGGTTTACTATCTAACAGGGAGCAAAACATAAGTGGAGTATAGACTTTCAGAAGATGAAAAATGCTCTGGGGAGAAAGGAGAGTAGAGGAAAATAGATTTGGGAATCCAGGACTGAGAATGTCCTGGACATGTTCCTTAGAAACACAGAATATTAGATTTTTAAAAGTTAAATTTACCTAATGTTTATTGTATACCAGATGTGATGCTAAGACATTATCATTTAATCCTGGACAGTATCATCCCTATTTGACAGGAGAGGAGGCTGAAGCACAGGAGTGAAGCAACAACCTGCAAGTCACACCAGCCTAATACATATGCTTTAATGTCTTTGCTTTACAACAAAAGAGATAATTAATTTAGTTCTTCAAAGACTGGGGCAACGTGCATAGCCAGAAAGTACTTTCAGGAAAGAGGAACTAATAGCAATGCGTAAAAGATATTCATGTCTGCTTGGCTATAATATAGGGCCTGTGCTGGGTTATACCAGGGGAAAAGTTAAAAGGTGGGTCAAACTGGATTAGGGTGGGCGATAGCACTCTGTTTTGTCTAGATGGGACTGGGAGGACTTTCAGGTTTTGAGTGATGGTGTGGAGGTTGGGGTGGTGACAAATCCGAGTACAGGGACATGGCATCAAAGAGTCAGAGAGCTCTGCAGTATGACAGTTGCACAGACTTGCCCTTTGGAGTGATTCAACATTGCCGGTTTCTTTCAAATATTTGGCTAATCTTCTGGAAACAAAGGCTTTTAATTGAAAGGTTAAGGACTAACAATCTCAAACATTAGATTCAAGGTTATCCCATCTTGCCAAGCTCTGATGCTTAGTGACCCTCAAACTTCAAATAAATATAATGTCTTAAAGGTGGCTTTTTAAAAAGTCAAAGGCCATTATGTCTTACACCCTACATTCTAAGATCGATTTCATCATACAAAAGGGCCCCCCTAATGTCTGCTTTATAGAAATGTATATGAAGTGGAATGACATTTTGAAATGTGAGCTCCTTTAAAACAAAAAAAGAGCATCTTTTGTAAATGGCAGCTATTTACTAAGATAGTCCTGCATTTATAGCCTCTTGTATGAAGCAGAATGTATTAACATGATTTTTCCCAATTTATATATGTTTTTCCATAAAACTGTTGAAAGTCTGGAAAGACCAGTGCCAAGAAAATGCTCATTAAGAAGGGCAGTAGGAAAGGAAAAGACAGATTTCTGCTTCTTATACATTTAGAATAAGTGATATTGGGGCGATGCGCTTTCTGTATTTTAAAAATTAAATTCCTTAAAGATGTGCTAATTTGGTAGACAGCAAAGCTTAAAATGTAGGCATAAGTCTACAGTCTAACTTGGGCTAAAGACAGAATCATGAAGATGCTCTAGGGTTCAGTCACTTTCAATTAAACTCAAAAGTGAAGGGAAACCACACATAGAACATAAGCATATCTGAAATCACATAGAACAGTGCCCATAGTCAGCTGTCAACACTTTCATCTTAGGCATCATTAAATGATAGCTAGGCAGAGTTGTTGGGGAAAGCTCCTGACATATGAAAAATTCAACAGTAAGTTTTCAGTCAAATGATAAGTAGAAGTCAAAAAACTCTTATGCTAGGATTTTCAAAGTTGGTCAGTGGATGGCCTATAGTTGGTTTCCAGCCTGGGGTTCTTGGAAATGCTGGGGTCTGTGCAGACAGTAATGAGTTTGTGACCTAATTTTAGCATTTTAAAGAGCCTAATGGATATCTTAATTCACAATACAGCTGCACAGGGAAATAAGAAACAAAACAAAACAAGATTCTTTGATTTGGGCAGAAATTGTGTTAAGTCAAAGCAATAGCCTTAATTATCCAGTGCTAAGCCAAAGGTCTTACCTATTTTCTCAAATTTTATTAGTAATTTTATAAACAATTTGGTGGACACTTTTAAAAGGAGAAACAGAAGGAGAATAAGAAGTTGTTTGTGGATAAAGTATCAGGCTGAAATCTATTCACCACAATTCTTATTAGCCAGGTGATTACATCCATCAGGTCAGACAGATATATGAGCAATGATGAATACTCCATTGGTAGAAGTTAAACTAGCAACTTGGAAAGACCACACCATCTGGAGAATTTCAGTAACAGCTTGTCTGCCTTCCTCAGGCCCTGAGCAGATATAAACTAGAAGAACATATGGATATTGCTCATTATAAATAACCTTAAAGTTAAAAAAAGGGGGGGGGGTGGTCAGAATTGTTTTACTTATACCAACAGATGATAAGGCAAGCTAAAGTTTTCCATTTTGCTCACTCTATAATAAATTGCAATTGATGTTGTAAATGAAAGTGGCTTGAGTTACTCACTCACCTGGCCATCTGGTTATTGTTTATTAAACACCTACTATTTGCCAAGCACTGCATTATCCTATGTATAGAGTGACAAAATAGACATGGTCTCTACTCTAAAGGGGCTTAGAGGTTAGGTAGGGGAGAAAGAACAAGCAGGTCACAGTTATAACTGATGCTATGTGTTTTGGAGGAATTGTTTCTGATTAGGGTAGAAAGCTTCATTGCTGTTAATAATACTTCATAAAAGGAAGAAAAAGTAGTATTACATCAAGGAATTATATATAAATTGCTGTATTGATATCAATTATGGAAAGATGCAAATGTTGTCTGAAGGGTTAATAACCCTCTTCAACAATTTTTAAATTATGACACAAATTGAGGGGATATTTACATTTAATATTTATGAGTCTCCTATAACCACGTTACAATCTGAAGGACCATCTGTATGGCAGTAACAGAAGGAAGCAATTCTGTTATACCTGAGGGTATTGAAGAATTTCAGTGATGTTTCCTTCAGAGTTATCATAAGATCCAAAGTTCTGAATCAACACTATCTTCATAAACACCAGAAGGAAACACTATGCTCATTTGGCATTCAGTCTGGCATTCACTTAAGAAGTACAAGCAATTCAGGGAACTTCTGTATTCTAGAACCAGACATGTTCTGTGGCACTTTTAATTACCAGATTTTCTAAGAATACAACGTGTCACTTTCAGATCAGGCCAAACATTGAACCTCAGATTTCAGTGAAACAATCTTATGAAAATGTAACCAAGGGTCCCTACAGCTTGCTTTAGTTATTTAAAGAGCACTACCAAGTCACAAGAGCATTATCAAGGGGCTACCAGGCAGCACTTGGTCAATGTCAGTCTTCAAGGAAATGGACTTCATGATCAATACAAGTAGTGAGCCCTCCACAAATGTTGGCCGCATGAAGTGTAAGAGTCCAGATCCTAACACAGAACATGGTTGTGCCCACTGTTTCTATGAAAGAGTTCTTGTGCAGAAAACTGAACATTTGCATCACTATACACTAAGTGGGAACAGCATTACAGAATGTACTTCGTATGCAGATATACCTAAAAGATCCACAACAGTACTGTCTGCAGCTTAGAATGAAGCTAAGATTTTATCCTAAACTGTTCATGTTTAATGAATGAGTCAAACCTCTGAAAGTCTACTTTTCATAATTACCCTTTATTTTCACACCTCTCCTCCCTCCCCATCATATTTTTTTTTTTACTTAGTTCCAGCATTTTTCCTCAACCTTGCCTCACCGCCACCCTGAGTTCCTCCTCCCTAAAAAGCTATACCACGTTGTATCATACATGTCCCTCATGATTAGCGGACTTATATTATGGTGTTTGTTGATCTTTTCTACACACATAGCATAAGTACTCCTTAATATATTTAAAACACTTGAAGTGAAAAACAAACAAACAAACAACTCTTTATGGGATGAGCTCTTTCTTCCATTTTCTCCAAAGGGCTTCAGTGAGAATCTAAGGTGTAAGAGACTCTGGTTGTAACTGATCTCCCTTTATGGCTAAATTTTTGTAGGAGTGTTTACTGGCCTCCTAGCTTTCCTGATTTTGAATTAATCAGGTATCGGTGTTCAATTCCTCCATTCACATTCAAGCTGAGATTCAAAGCCCTTCTAATCAGGCTGTGGACTATACATATACATGGCCACCTGCTCTCTGAAGAGGCCGTTGTCTTCTGTTTCCCCTAAACAGACACATAGACACACCAGACCTTCTTATGTGGTCTGCTAGCCTGTAATATGTACTGCCTTCACCTTCTTGAATTTCGTGAAAACCTTCATTCCAAGGCCACTCAAGATGTGTGGTCTCAGGGAAGTCTTTACCGGCCTCTTACCAGCCATTTCCTCACATTTGCCATGACCTATCATTGCCCTCTGATTCATGTAGAGCTCTTCTCTCAATTCAATAAAGCTTTTGGGATCCGAAAATTATTTGCCCTACTTTTCTAGGCTCGACACAGTCTGTTAATGAGCAGTGCGCTTAAAACATTAGGGGTAATAAATATTTCTTTTTGCACCTTAATCTTAGGTTAAGCAACCCTTTTCTCTACTTTGATGATTTTTGAAGAAATATAGGCTTTTCTTCAACTACTAAGCAATCTCCACTCAAACACATTCTGCCAATAGAGCCAGGTTAAGTTATCCCAATCAGCATTTGGTTTTCCTGCTTTAATGACGGATCTGCTTGGCAAACACCGCATATTCTCATTTGTAAGTGGGAGTTGAATAATGAGAACACATCAACACAGGGAGGGGAACATCACACACCGGCGCCTGGTTGGGGGGTAAGGGGAGGGATAGCATTAGGAGAAATACCTAATGTAGGTGATGGGTTGATGGATGCAGCAAACCACCATGGCACATGTATACCTATGTAACAAAACTGCATGTTCTCCACATGTACCCCAGAATCTAAAGTATAAAAATAAAAAAAAAAAATCAAAATTCTTATCCTGACATCCATGGCTCAGTATAATTCATCCCTACTTTTCAAACTCAGACACTTCTCAGCCCTATGCCACCTGTACTGTTTCTTGGCCAAACTGACCAGTCAGAGTTCTTTAGGCATATCCTAAGTTCATCCAACTGCATGATTTGCATATGCGCTGCTGCCTAAAATGCATTTTCTCTTCTTACCTTTGCTTATTTGACTTCCATTGTTCCTTTAAAAGCCAAATCCATTAACACCAATGGCCTTTTTCTCCCTCTGGATCCACACAACACTCTGTACCACTTAACTACAATAAAATCATATGTTAGTTGAGTAGTTACTATTTTCTCTAACTATCTTATAGGCAGCTCTTGTCATATATGTGTCCCTCTAAGGTAAATATTTGCACCCAACTTTCAATTACTATCAACTTTTAGTCATTGGGAACTTCAGACCAGTTAGACAAATCAGAAATCACAAAGAACAGGTTTTCAGGCAGTTAAGCAAGCATTTCTGCATCAAGCTATCCTTTAGAAGACAGCGTGGACATTAAATATAACTGTCTATCATTTCAATTCTAGTACATGTATGCTCTCTGAAAAGCCTCAGCTATAGTTGAACCTTAGCCCAGGCAGAAATCAATATTGACCCTCCTTACTAGCAACCAACAATTGATGGAAAAGCCTGTTCTATCAGCTACATACTTGTTTTTTCTACTTCAAAAATGAATTGCATTTAAGTCGCTTAATTTTAGAGGTAAAGGGGGCAGGGAGCAACACAAAACAAAATCAAGTAACAACAACAACAAAACCTAATGCTGATATAACTAAAGCACAGCTGACCCTTCCCTTTAAAGGATGGATATTTGAGCACCTACTATGTGTAGCCACAGCAACTTCTGATCTTCTGACTCAGAGGGCAGTTGTATGTTGCCCTAGTAGATTCACATTTCGTCCCAAAGCCAAACTGGTATAGCATTCTTCATATGATTATGTCAGCCCTCTGACATATGTTCAAACACATTTGGTTTATTTCTGTTGCACTAAATGGTAACAAAAAGCACGTTAGCATCTGTATTACATATTACAGAAAACTAGACCAGGTCTTGGCCCCCTAATAGGACACTTAAAATATAAAAAAATAAGTGAGATCATTTGGATGCAATATTTAGAACCGAGAGGGCAGCTGTGTTCAATATGGACACAATTAGGGATGAAGTTATTCACTTTCCAGTTCTTTGGGTATGGATTAACTATAGACCTTAAGAGGACTTAACTGCCCTGCTCAGATGAGGTTTAAGTGGTACCTTAAAGTTAGTATTTGTGTGCCTCTACTGATTTATGAAGCATTGCCACATTCTCCTCCTTGATTATTCACATTTAATAGTTTAAAGATATATAGGAAAGACAGTCTTCTAATTTTCAGCCTGAATGTGTGCATCTCTAGAATTTAGCTTGCCTGATACTCAAAAACAATGAGAACAAGACCATTTAAAAAATATCAGCTTAGTTATTGCATTGAGAATTGCATTTCTAGGACAGGTAAATTTCAGAAGCAGCCGCAGGAGTTCTGAAGAGTTTTTAATTTTAAAATCGAGGCAACTCATTTTCCTGATGGAGAAATGAAGCTCAGGCCTTATATAGCTTGTCTTACATGGCAAAGCTAGGCTGTGGGCACAGTCATTTGCAGCTTAGAACCCAAGCTCTTAACCATGAATCTATGTTGGCTTTTCAAAATCAGAGTTCCAATTATATACTTGTACATCACACCCTTGTATTTTTCAGTTTGAGATGTGATCTCTGTTTGACATCAGGCATTCTTAGGACTGTTTTTGCAAGGTAAGTGAGACAACTAAGGGCCAGAGACATTGAATAGCATGCCCAAGAAATGGTAGCACTGCCATTCACATGTAAGTCTGTTTAACTCTCTATCCTATGTCCTTTGCCACACATGAGGAAGACTTTTGTTTTGATTTCTGCTCACTGGGAGATTTTCCATTGCTAACCTAGCATCAGACTTCACATAGTAGGTAATTGCTAAGTATTCAGATAAACGCCAAGGTGCAAATCATAAAGATTCATAATTGAATCCTGGCTCTACCACTTAATGATAACACCTTGGGCAAGATACTCATCATATTGGAGCCAATAAATAGAGATATCTTTTCTATTTCAAGTTACTTAAAGTGAAAGTCGAATGGGAGAAAGGAGCAGTGCTTCGTTAGCCATTAAACTTTACAAAAACTAAATGAAGTAGACTCATTTATGGAGAGGACTTCATCTGCACTTCTAGACATGGCATAAAAACAAAATAAAAAGTTTTATAGGTTAGAGAAAACCATCTGGTTCAAGGGTAATGATCTAGTTTACTGGAATCCTTTTTAAAAGAAGTAAGTGGGACAGTCTCCTAATAAATGAAGATTAATTATACTCTTTAAAAACCCCAGCAGAGGGGAAAAGATTTGGAAGTGAGGTGATAATATCAAACCAAAAGTATATTGGATTTCCTAGGATCAAGAAAGTCATACTTGGTATATGGGAAAAATATCCAAATCCCATGCTTTTTAATCTTTCTGCATCCTAAGATTCAGTTAAACTGCACTGTGTTTAAAGGCTTTTGCTTTATTATCTCCATGACTGAAGGAATTCAAATACTTTGTTATGATTTCCACTGAAGAAGTGAATCCTAAAACCACTGAATTATGAAAGTTACTCTTGGATCACGTGGTGGAGAGCTAGTTTAGATACAGCTGGATGGGCCCTACTTCCAGAGTTTGCAGTTCTGACAGGTCCCCAGCTGATGTTGATGCTGCTGGTTTGGGAATCAGCTCTGAGAACTATTGTCTTAGATGAGTTCCCTCAAGCTGTGAAATACACATCAAGCTAAATGTCCAATTTTGAAAGACTGAATTAATTTGTCAAATGCAAACTTGTGTATGGCAGCTCATCTTTCATATAAAGATCAAAGTCTTTTTGGGACTAACATTTTGCATCATATTGCTAGGTAGCAATAGGGTAGTTTTTTACCAAGAGACAACATTAAACCATATTTCCCTCATCCAGATTTCTTCTAGGTTGAAAGGTGCTTCAAATCCAGCATTCTAGGATTGTTACTTCCTATTTACCTGCTCCCTTTACTCTATGGTTACCTGAAAATCTAAGTGACAGCCCTCATACATTGTTTACCTTCAACGTAACACTCACTCAGCCTGCCCCATTCACTTAGAATTTTTACCAGTTGACTTAGTTAAAAATCACTTGCCCCTAGCTAGCTAGTACAAATGTAGTAGGGAAAACTTGCCAGGCTGCTTCTATATTGAGGTAGTAACTTTTAGGTTCCAGAAATTTCATAAGCTTTCATGTTTTGCTATCTAGATGATGCAAGAACTAGGAAGGTTAGAAAATTAAGTATTGGGATTAAAATAAGTTTGGAGGGGGTGATATAAGTAGAGAGGAGATTCTACTTCACTTAGTAACTTCCATTTTTAGACCAGGAAGCAATTTGTTCAGATTCTACTTCCCCTAGAGAGGCAGGCTTCCTTCCAGGGTAGAAGGATGCGGGAAGGGGAGTAACCATGGCAACCTGCCCAGCTATGTGGGCAAGGATAGTATGGGGCCTGCACACACTCGGAAGAATTTTTATTTCTAGCCTAGTCATTCAGTTTAATCCGGGTGGTCCCTCCCTTCCCACTTCCTTCTGTGACAATGCTGACTTCAGGGGGAAGGATTGCTCCTTCTCTGTCAGGAGTCTGAGAGGGTGTGGGGAGGACTTAATTGAGACCAGCGAGGTCAGCCTGACCAAACCAAAGTGCAGGCTTCCAGGACGAAAACAGAGAGTAACTCCCTGTCTGTTCTAGCATGAGCACAAGCAAACGCACTGGCTTTATTAAAATCAAGTGCTTGAATAATTAACCTTTTTCAAGTAGGTGAAGGGTATTCAATTTTCATGAAGAAATTTTCCATTTGCTTTCAGTTTTCACAAAGACACTTAATTCAGTTGTTCAGGGGGGAGTAATAACAAACAAACAAAACCTTCAAAATCAGATGGGAAAAAGTATTCCAAGTATATTAGATTAGCTGTCTTCCCAGCAATCCTGGGGTAGGTACTATTATTCTCCCCAGATAAGCAAGCTGAAGTACAGAGAGGTTATGGAATGTGCCCAAGGCCATGTAACCTGCAACCCTGTAGCTAAGATTTGAACCCAGGAAATGGTACTTCAGAAGGTAGTTCTCAACTACTATCCAATTGTGCCCTGTTGGAGGCAGCCAGTGTTGAATGTTAGCCCTCTGTGTCCGTACCAGTCATCATTTGTTCCCCTAACCAGGAATTTGCTTGTTTTCTGTCTTTAAGTAAAGACTGAGGAGTCTGCTTTCCTTCTGATTTCCACCAGTTAATCCAGTCAGGATATGCTGATATTATGAGTTGGGTCTCCTTTAAAGACACATATCTGGTGTTAAATCTGATTCATCTGGCCGGGTGTGGTGGGCTCATGCCTGTAATTCCAGCACTTTGGGAGGCCGAGGTGGGTGGATCACTTGAGGTCAGGAGTTCGAGACCAGCCTGGCCAACATGGTGAAACCCCGTCTCTACTACTACTACAAAAAAAAAAAAAAAATATTATCCAGGTATGGTGGCGGGTACCTCTAATCCCAACTAATCAGGAGACTGAGGTCACAGAATCTCTTGAACCCAGGAGGCAGAGGCTGCAGTGGGTCAAGTTCATGCCAGTGTACTCCAGCATGGGCAACAGAGGGAGACTCTGTCTCAAACAAAACAAAACAAAACAAAACAAAAATCTGTTTCACCTAAATATGATTTTGGCCAACCTTTGTGCAATTCAGCGGCACAGCTTCAACTTTGGAATTACATAGCAGTGCCAGGGAGAATTTTAAAATACCACATCCTGTTACTCAGGTGTTTCATATTGCCAATCTGGTTCCCATTCTGGTTCTGTCTAAAGGGTAAAAAACCTTATGTGTTTGGTTAGTTACCTAAACCTTCCTGGCCAGTAAGCTTTCGAATCTTTCCAGCTGGGGAGGTATGTTCTGATGAGCATTAGGACAACTTCAAACCCCAGGAGGGCTCACTCTCAGCAGCTTTCCCAAGCATTTCAGCATCTTGGCTTTGTCTTTAAGAAGAGCAATAATTAAATCCTCAGGTCAAAAGAATGAGGAAGAGAAACACGCAGAGCCTTCAAAATTATCCAGATGAAATATCAGTGGTAGCAAACTTAGGTTTATGGACATATGAGGGTAGAGTTAGAAATGAAGCAGCATAAGAGCCTATGTCACAGCAAAGCCTCCTGCTTGGCCAGGAGCACTCAGCAAGGAAGATATCTTCCTGCTCCCTTAACCTTCAGATAATCGAGGCCTGGTTGAGCAGGCCAGTAAATATCATCCCCAAACAGCTGGTCAGCAGCTGCCAGAGGTCCCTGTACTACCTTCATGCCAACAAGTGCCTTAAAAGCCGTACCCTTCAACCCAAACAAGGCCAGTGAAATCCATTCAACCTTTGGAGAAAGACAACAAACAGGCCTAATGCACAGGAATTTGGACTTCCAGTTTAATCTGAAACTATAAAAGTCTTTAGCAGAAACACAAACTCTGGAGTTTGCCCTTCACAAATTAGACAAGGTTTGTAACAAGTGCTTTCTTCCCTCACTTACATCCTCAGGTAAAGATCAACCATCAAGATCAAAGATCCCCAGAATGGCAAATACATACGTGTATGGGCTCAAAGTTGGAAGACATTCCTCTACCATCTACTTATTCTGGTTATACATTAAAGCATAGGAGGGCATAGCTGAAAAATGACTGGTTTCTAGGTCAGTCATTTGGATGAGAAGGGATCCTTCCAGCTGGGAGTGGGAAAAGAAGGGGGAAGTTATTCACCAACAACAGGAAAAAGAATTTAGTTGGCCTTAGGAGGAAACTGACTAAGGATTTGGAAGAAGTGGTCTGTCCCAGAAATCCACATTGGCAAAGACCACTAGGTCTTCTTCATGCTTTCTCTAGAAGACTTTCCCATTGTACTCAAATACTCCCGAATTCTCAAGGCAATAAACTTTCTTACAGTGTCACTGAGGGCCATCTCCCTTCCAAGAGGGGAGACACAGAACCTGGAGTGGGCGGGGCACCTGGCTCAGAGAAAAGTAGCCTCCCAAAGTCTGGCTGCTGGGGTAAGAAGCATGGTGACAAGCCATTTGGTAGCTGCAAGCTCCCTCCTCCCCAACAGCCAGTAGGTGCTTTTGTGTGAGAAGCCAACCTCAAGACTGTAAGGACAATCAAGTATACATCTCATCAAAGCCATTCCAAGAGGCTTATCAGACATCTCAAAGGCATTTTTTGTAGATGCCTGCTTTCCACTCCCATTACTTCTGTTTGCATTAGTTATATCTTACCTCCTTCTCCCCCATGCCCCTGCTTTGCCTGACTAAGGCCAGAAATTTTTTCATGAAGTCACTTTATAGAGCAATAGCAACATTTACTATTCGTGAAGTCGCCCCTCCATAATTTTTAAGTCTTTCCATGTGTCTGGAAGCTTGTTTCTGCTCTTCTCGGTTTACAGAGCGGCTCTCTTCCTTCCAAACAAAAACTAAAAAGAAAGGGGAAAAGGTGGGGGGTGGTTGGGGTGGAGATAACACCCAGATTCCTTAAGTGTTTTTAATCCAGTTGAATTTCCCTTTGGACTCAGCTCCCTGCTGAAACTGTCTGCGGACCAGAATTCCAGGCTCAGAATTAAGTCAAGAGGGAAAGACAGCAGAAACAAATAACAGAGTCAGCTCTATGCTATGAAAACCGCTATGTTGACTGAGGCTCCACGGTTTTAACCCATTCATTTTTCCCCCCTTTTTTAGAATTCTTACTTAATCTTTTTAACCAGCTTACAACAGGCAGGCAAGCACCATATAAACCATGCTCCCTGCGCCGGGGGATATAAAACAAGTTTCTTAAGTCCCTTGGGTAGATACTTCCTTAGGAATGCCGGTGTAAGACAAAAGTTCACATTTTAATGCCATATGTTGTCAGTCACCAGGAAAAAGCTCCTTATGGGCACAAGCCAGGTCCCCAGCCTTTGTCACACAGCAAAAATAAACACCCTTCGAGGAGTTAATTAGGCGGTCAGCAGCCACCTCAGTGTCCTAGGAGGGCTGCCCGCAGACCTTTTACACACACACACACACACACACACACACACACACACACACACACACACACACGACACAAAAGGAGGCGTTTGTTAAATGTCACAAGCTGGGCATCTGGAGTCGGATTCGAAAGGTAAATACATTCCGCGGAAGCATTCCTCAGATGTCAGGCCACAAAACTGCTGGTTTCCCCAAGCACAGGGTCTCATTTCTAAGATTCCCCACAGCCCAAGGTCTGTACTCAAAGAAGGGTAGCGGGGGGCGGGGGGGTGAGAGAGGGGGAGCAAAGGAGAGAAGGAGATCTTTAAAAAAAAAATGGAGCCAGAGGGAAGAAGGGTTTCGAAGCTACTCACCGGCTAGCTATTGCCTCCGTGAAGCGAGCATGACTTCCCCGCGCCCGGAGCCTCCAGGCTACAGCGCAGCGGATGCGGCGGGCCTCGCTTAAATAGCCGCCGGCCGGGAGCTTCGGAGCCGCGCGGCCACTCCCGGCGAGAGATATGGTTCTAATCAGATGCTGGCAGCTGAGGACTCCCCAGGAATGTGCCAGGATGTTTTTGCTGCCTGGGCTTGGTAACTCCCCCTCAACGTGTCTGCAGAGTCTTCCAAACTTAACTGTTTATTAACTCGCGCTGCAGCGGCGCAGAGGACCCCGCTCCCCTGAGCTCCGCGAGCCCCACCAGCTGGGGGCGATCGCAGGGACCCAGCGACGGGAGGGGAAATGTGTTCGGGGAGAAGTCAAAAGCCCCAGACCGACGCGGGCGGGGGGCGGGTGCAAATAAGGACAGGAAAGGGAAGCTCTGGAGGAAAGGGGTGGGATCCACCGAGCTTCGTTTCACAGATCCGTTCCCTGGATTGCCACTGCGAGTGATGTGGCACACGGAGTCATCCTAACCAACCCGTTGGGGCCCTTTGAACAAAGGACTGCCTTTACTCCTGACTTTTCTGACAAGGGACAACGGTTCCTGCGCAGATCTGCAGTTTCTAAAGTTGATCGCGCGATTGGATTTGCTCCCCTTAGAAGAAATTAGTGTCTCCCTCATTGCAGATGCAAATGCGCTTAAGTTAGTGGGAAATCTATGTGTGCATATGTGAAACATACTGTATTTACCTATGAAATATAATCATATATATGGATATAAAAATAATATTCTCTCTGAAATCGATATGAGCAAAACATGTTCACGTCTATGTAGCCTATCAAATAAGTTATAATTCTGATACAATCAGAGATTCTATACAGGCTTCCCTTACAGTGTATATACACCTATATGTAGACACATAACATGACTTTATCTGCATGAATTTCCATAGCACTTCCTATAACTCTAGGAAAAACATGAACTGCAAGAAATAAAATATTTAAAAATGTTAACGTAGAGTGCTGAGCGGTAGAAGGTACTCCGCAGCAAATCCTAATGAGTGTTAACAAGCTGAGAATTCATTTTCTCCATATTTTAAAATCAAGAATTATTGTAAAACATCCACAGAAGCTCTGTTGCTTTTTGGAGAATTCTGAAATTACTCTTGTGAAAGACGTGTCTCTTTTCCCTTTTTTTAAGAAAAAAATTTAATTGTTTAAAGTCAGAGGCAGCACGTAGTAAATGTGAAAATGCTAAATTGTATCTCGGATGGGAGGGGGTTATTGATTTTATCGAGTAAGCAACACAGTGGATTTGCATTTTACCTCTGGAAACTGAGGGTTCAAATAGGGCTCGTGGGACATCAAGGATATATTTTGTGGTCCGTGCCTAGCCTCGACTGCAAAGCCACTGTGTAATTTGGGGTAGCTCAATGTGAGTGGCAATGTCTGCTCTCAAGTAGGTCAGGCTTGAAACAACCGTTGTTCGGGGAGACTGAGGGGTGCAGAGCAGCACAGCTGGCCCAGAATTCTACTTCCCCAGCCTCTACTATTTCTCATCCCCTGACACACCTAGGGGTGTGGAGGCAGGGAGGGCCATGCTGGCAGTTTTCAATATTCCTCAGAGGTAATTTGCTATTTTAAAAAATGACTTTGTGTGAATGACAGGAAGTATACAAATTTTAGTCCTAGGATAGTATTCTATTTATAACATTTATGCAGAGAAATGTAATTCTAGTACATTTTAGAACACAAGGCTTTGTTTCTAAAATCTAGAAGTCCAGTTTCATTTCTATTGGCTAGGTAGCTGGAAAAAGGGCTGCTGACTTCAGGCAAATAGAGACTTTGATAATTAGAAAGACATGGGTGTCTCTTTTAACCTCAATATGTAATATTTTCTAGACTAAGAAGTGCTCACTCAATTCTATTTTTTTTTTTTTTGAAAGACTCTTACCAAGAAATACTAACTTATGTTTGCTCTACCCCACCAAATGGAAGGGATTTGTCTAAGAAGCCAGAGGAAGAAAATGATTTCATCTGCTATGAGTTGTAGTTTCAAGAGAAGACTTTGATGAAAACAGTTCATTTAAGAGCAGTGGGCTCACACTTACAACTTAAAATAGACACCTCTTATTTTGCACAGAAATCTGAAGAGTCGACAGTGGAGAATTCTGGTTTGAACTGTATTTTTATATCTCTAGGGCACCGATATTGCTTCTGGCAGTAATTCAATGTCCTGCTCACATTAAGAAAAAAAAAGAAAAGAAATTTAACTCTTTTTATCCCTCGTGAAACATTGTCTCTGTCTCATCTAAGTTGTTCACTTTTCAACAAGTCTAAAATGAACATCTTTCCCTCTGGAGAATCACGCCAAAGCCCACCCAGATATTTACCCTGCCTAAATAATGGTCTTTTCTTATCACCACTGAAATTTATGTTTAGAAAATTAAGGGGAGGAAAAGTCAGTTCAATGTTTGAAAAACAATAGTCTTTGAATGGCAATTGTCCGTTGCAGAAAACCTGCCTGTGAGAGAGAAGGAAAAAATAAAATAAAACAAATGACTGTGCTCCCAGCCTAGGAAAGGGGTAGTTAATCCCGTGATGGCTTGCTGAAGAATGCATGGTTTATTATTAAAGTAATCTCTTAAGATTTTCCTGGAATGTGCTTCCACAGCAACTCTGCCTGTTCGACCTATCCTATGCATGTGTCTTTTCTTCCATAATTAAGCTGTTTTCCTCTGTTAGCTCACAGACCTAATCCTTTATCCTTTCTCTCCTCCTTCTCCATCACTTCTTCTATCCCCCTCTCTACTGCTCTTGTCTTCCTTAAACTGCCCCTTTTGAAGCCTGTCATTTCTCCTGAATTGTAAATGGCACTTTGGAACTGGCTGTAAGGTAAACTGCCTGTGTGCCTTTGATGCCTTGCTGGACACTTAGAGATGTTAAAATCAAACAAGGATTTGTTGAAGTGGACCTAGTAAGGTCACATCTCTCTCTCTCTCCTTTTTTTTTTTTCCTTCTCCATGTCATTAAAAAAACAATGAAGAGAATGGCTATTGTTCCCAGAAAATGTTCTTTGACCTTGACCAGTCCTGCATATTTAACATTACAGAAAAACTGACCCTACCAGATTTGGTGGCTGGCAAGTCAAAACAAATACTGGAGGTTTTTTTTCATATCTCTGTCTATCCATCTACCTGTCCATCTTCTGATCTAAAATATTTGGAAGATAGTTTCATAGAAGGCAGCCTGTTTGTGTTTTGTTTTCTTGCTTATACCCCTATAGCATCTCAGAACTAATATGTATTTTTCTGTTTTGTGCAATTTTAATGAAACTCAGGTGGTAGACTACTAGGGTACTTGGAAAAATTGGTACTTGTAAAATGAAGAACATTTAAAATTCAATAATATAAATGTATATAACTAATTACACCTCACTTATCAATATAAATTTTTATAATGAGAAATTGTGAAAGGCAAGTAAATACCCATAAAAATTACCATTCAAATAAATACTGTCTTACTTGGAAAGAAACCTAGCAGGAGTTATCAAAAATGAAAATACATAAAACCCTGCAGGAATTACTAATATTAATTGTTATTGTAGCAAACACATACACTTCTCTATCCTAGGAGTAAGAATCTATCCACTAGAAATAAAGCACATGTATAATATGCAAGGATTTTTTTTTTTTTATTTTTCTGAGATGGAGTCTTGCTCTGTGGCCCAGGCTAGAGTGCAGTGGCAAGATCTCGGCTCAGTGCAACCTCCGCCTCCCGGGTTCAAGCAATTCTCTGCCTCAGCCTCCCGAGTAGCTGGGATTACAGGTGCCCACCACCATGCCCAGTTAATTTTTGTATTTGTATTTTTAGTAGAGACGGGGTTTCACCATCTTAGCCAGGCTGGTCTCATGATCCACCCGCCTCGGCCTCCCAAATTGCCGGGATTACAGGCATGAGCCACCACTCCCTGCCCCCAAGGTTGTTAATTGTATCATTTATAGCAGCAGGAAGCTAGGACAAAATATGCCTGTCAATGGAGAATGACTGAGTATGTTATGACTTATCCATACTGTGAAGTCATATGTAACCATTCAAAGGAATAAATTAGAGTCAAATTTTGTGACATGGGAATATTCCTTTAGGTTTTTTTGAGTGAGAAAAGCAAGGTACAGAAAAGCATGGAAAAGATGTTTCTATTTTAGTAATATAAAAAGCAACACCTATTTATATATATTTGGGTATATATGTTTGTGGGTATATATGAAGGATTATCAAGGAGGTTGCAGTACAGATTACTAGGGGCCTGGTGGAGACAAGGGCAGAGAAAAGGGGTGGGAGCCATGCAAAAAGGAAAAAACTGAAAATAGTCTTTATGCAGGTATAGGTCACATTTATGCATTGAAGTGAAATGATATACACGCAGGTTTGTGGGTTTTTTTTCAAAAAGATTATATCATTTTAAGATAAGGAAAGGAAGAAAGGAAATCCTACGAATAGTTTTCATGGAGGTCTACCTTTAGGCTTTTCAAAAGTGAGTATTCATCAGTATGCTCATTGCTTAATTCAGCCTCCAGAGCAATAGTTCTCAAATTGTAGTATTTACGACAGTCATCCCGGAAGTTGGCTACTAGAGTAAATTCCTGGGCTCAGCCTCAGAGACTTCTCTGGAAAGGTCTGTGGTGGGGGTACCAGGGAATCTGTTTTTTGTTTTTTGTTTTTTGTTTTTTTTTTTTGAGACGGAGTCTCGCTCTGTCACCAGGCTGGAGTGCAGTCACGCGATCTCGGCTCACTCAAGCTCTGCCTCCCGGGTTCACGCCATTCTCCTGCCTCAGCCTCCCGAGTAGCTGGGACTGCAGGCACCCGCCACCACGCCCAGCTAATTTTTTGTATTTTTAGTAGATACGGGGTTTCACCGTGTTAGCCAGGATGGTCTTGATTTCCTGACCTCGTCATCTGCCCGCCTCGGCCTCCCAAAGTGCTGGAATTACAGGCGTGAGCCACCGCCGCCCGCCCGGAATCTGTGTTTTAATCAGCACTTCCAGGTCATTCTGATGCAGTGGTCTTGGGGACCACACTTTCAGAGATGCTGCTTTTCTCCTGAGAGAAATGGTGAAACCGCGTCTCTATTAAAAAAAACACACACAAAAATTAGCCAGGCGTGGTGGCGCACACCTATAGTCCCAGCCACTCAGGAGGCTGAGGCAGAAGAATTGCTTGAACCCAGGAGGCGGAGGTTGCAGTGAGTGGAAATCGCACCAATGCACTCCAGCCTGGGGTGACAGAGCAAGACTCCGTCTCAAAAAAAAATAAAAATAAAAATAAAAATAAAAAGACAAAGAAAACAGGTCTAACCATTCACAGACATTCGATTCGGTCCCTAAACACTTCTGCTCCATTCCAACCATGCGCATGTGATGTGCTTAGGTTTCTGGACTGATTGAATAGCCTCAGTTTTAAAATGGAATGGTCACTTGTGAATGAAGAAGGAATACCATTTGCTGTACTCGTTTAATGCTCATGCTCAAGGTCACGTCTTCATTAGAGAATGGAGGGAAGCTGTGTCTGGACTCCAGGATGATTTAACTCCCTAATGAGTGTGAAGCACATGTACATGCACACGCTTCACACAAGCGTCTGTGTGCCTGTTCGTATATGCATTTTCTGGAGAGGTGCACTATAGATTTCCCTGGATGATCAAAGGACCCCATAGCATAAAACAAGGTTAAATTCCATTGCATTGTGGTTTTATGGCCATTCCACATTCTTTCTATTTTTTTTAATCTGAGGATTTTATCTAATCTTTTGTACCAATCTTATACTTATCCTCACAACATCATTGACAAACGGGTTAGGCAAGTAGTCCTGTTTCTAAAGGTTAAGAAATGTTGGTGCAGGAACCTTGATTTACTTCTGTTCAGAGTGAGAGACAGAACTAGAACTACTACCCAAGTCTTCTGAAAGATCTAGAACTGCACAGGTCACACAGCCTGACTTAACCATAATTATAGTGGCTAGTGACAACTCTTCGGGTTCACTGTACCCTGCAGTGGTCTGTCCACACCAGGAAAAGCGTTTTCTGTTATGCATACTCTTTCATGAGAAAGACACTGACAAATGGAAGTGTGTCCAGAGCAGGACCACTTGGACAGTGAGGGGACCCTTCTGGGAATCAGAACTGCTGAGGGCTCCCAATGTGGCCTGACTGAAATGGGCATGTATGGCCAGAGCAAGAGAGCCTTTATGTTGCAGGGTGGGGAGGGAGGGGACATCTGTGACTAGCACAACTCTTCAAATATTCAAAGGCTTGTCATAAGAAAAGTGGATTAGACTCCTTTCCTTGGCCACATATGGTAGAAAGGGATCCCTGTACTGGTTTGAGTAATGCCCCTCCAAAATTCATGTCTACCTAAACCTCAGAACGTGCCTGCCTTGGAAATAGGCTCCCTACAGATATAATTATTTAAATGGGGTCATATTGGATTATTTGAAGTCTCATCCCCTTCAATGAAATCTTTTTATCTGTCTTAAAATGCTTTTTTGGCCAAAATATCTTGGCTTTTTATTATATTCTATTTTGCGTTTAGCATGATTCTGAAAATAATGCCTCTAGGTATGAATCCTAACTCTGTGGCTTACCAGTTGTGTTATTTAAGGAATATTGCTGAAATTCTATAAAGTAAGGGAAATAGTATAACTTCCCTCATAGTGTTGTTATCAGAATGAAATAAGTTAGTTGTGTCAAGGGTCGACAGTAGTAGTTAGCACATAGCACGGTGCTGATGATAATGCAAAATAACATTAATTTTTCCAAACATCTTAAATGAATAATTTAAAAAATATTAAGTAAATTTTAAAATAAGCTTACCTTAAAACTCAGACATTTTACTTCTAAAACAGCCTGCAGTAACCCCCACTTGTTTGCTAAGAAATATGTCTAAGAATGTTTAGAATAGCCAAAAGTGGAAATAACTTAAGTGTCTATCAATAGGAAAACAGACAAATAAGTTATGGTGCATGCATCCGTTGGGAATACTCTAACAATAACAACAATGGTGTGGCTCTATGGCCCAGAGCTGCTTGTATCAACATAGATGGATTAAATAAGCAAAGCAAGTTATAGAAGACAGAAAGCATGATGCCCTTTATACATGGTTTAAATATGAAAAATAAAATTATTGCTGAGAGGTACAAATATTCATATAAATAAATGTATATAAAAATAGTGGCAATAAGTCACAAATTCAAGGTGGTGGTTACTTCTGAGAGGAAGTAGGGAGATAAAGAAAAGGGCACTCCAATCATGCTAGTAATCCTTTTTCTTGATGCTAGGTGCATGGATGTGTATTGTCTTACTTTCACGTCTATTTATATAGACACTCTTCTGAGGTACTTTACAGGTATTAATTTATTTAGACCTCATAAAAATCCAGTTCACTAAAACCTATCGTCTCAATTTTACAAATGAGGAAACTGACTCAGGAGTCACAGAACTAGTAAGTGGCAGAGCCAGTCTTTAAACCCAGGTAATCGGTTCCAGGGTTTGTGCTTTTAACCGCTAGGCAACACTAACCCTTGCTACAATTTTATGTAGAAATGAAAAGGCTATAAGTGGTGCACACTCTCCAACCCAACTTTGGAATGCACACTGATCATGTTCCTCTTGTTTGCTCCTGTCACTGCTCCGTGCTTTCAGTCTGCCAGGCTCCTTGTCCTTCTCTGGCTTTCTTTTTTCTTTTTGAGACAGAGTCTCAGCCTCCCAGGTAGCTGGGATTACAGGCACCCGTCACCACGTCCAGCTAATTTTTGTATTTTTAGTAGAGATGGGGTTTCACCATCTTGGCCAAGCTGGTCTTGAACTCCTGACATTGTGATCCACCCGCCTTGGCCTCCCAAAGTGCTGAGATTACAGGTGTGAGCCACTGCGCCCAGCCACACTTTGGCATTGTATCTCAGCTCCTGCCGTTTGTTTCTTTCCTCTGCATCAAAGGCCTCATCAGATTCATTTTTTCTGACTTCGATTGTGACTCAATACCCTTTCGAGGCTGTCTCTGGTATCTGGACTTTCACCACAAGACTCTAAGCCTGGGTCTGGCTTACAGAGGCTGCAATGATTGGTGAGAGAGGGAAGATAAAGTGGGAAGTGATACATTATGTCTGAGCACAGCAATGAAGGGACACAGAAAGAAGAAATGTCTCCCTGAGAAAGGGCTCAGGAGAGTTTCTGTAGCAATATGTGCATGTGTGTTAAGCGTGTGTGTGTGTGCATGGTGCGTGTGTGTATGTGTGTTAGTTCAGGATACATGCTGCTGCTTTTTAGAATAAATAGTGGTGGAAGATACACGTTGTGAGGCTAATCCAAAATAACCAATAACCTCTGCACAATTTCTACCTCGCTTTCAGATATAATAACACCATCCAAATGGAGCGACTCTGACTTTTTTCCCCATGGCAAATAAATCATTCTTATTTTGGTTAATATTCAAACTGGTTCTCCTTCTCAGTCTCTGTTGGTGAAAGGACATTCCTCCAGGGCAACCCAGAGAAGGAAACGTCACCACTTGCTTCTATTGAGAGAGAAGCCAAAGCTCTGGAAACCCATGTCACAGGCTTCCACTGGATTACTGTCGGCTCAGTCTTCCATTGAAGAACTGAGGTTACCAAAATTGTATTTGCTGAAGAAACACCAGCTGGGAAGGCTATGCTAGGTGTTGGTTTGCGGAGAGGGAAAACCAGTCTAGAATTATCCAAGTTGTGGCTGAAAATGCATTAAGTCTTATAGTCATTTTGCTGAGGCAAACCAGGAAACACACAATCACAGACTTATGTAAAACGCATTTATCTGACAAGTAGACAATTTCTATTATTATGACTTATATTGAACATGAGGCAGTTTTAAAAACTAATGTTAGACGTTAACCACACCTAGCAAGTTGATGATGCTGTCTCTTCTCTTCTTCCTCCTCCTCCTTTTCTTCTCTCTCTCTCTCCCTCCACCCTTGGCCCACACACGTACACACACACACACACACACACTTTTATATTTTGTTGTGATTGAGTTTGAATTATAGGCAATAGTAGGCTACTAAACTATATCCATGAATTTAAAACGCCTTGACTCACTGTATTTGTTGATTTCTCTGTGTTGAAAACTTCCACCATGGCTTATTTCAAGCTGTCATGTGGCGTTACTGACTGGAGTCGGGAAAAGATGAGGACAATTGGCTCTTATTAGCATCAGCACTGGCTCTCACACACCACTGGTTATGAGATATGTACTAGTCTCTTTCTTTCCTAACATTCGACTACTAAAGTGTCTCTTTCCACCATCTTCCTGGCCAATTAGTCAAATTGACTAATCAACTACTTACAAGTAAAGAATCTTAAATGAAGTCTCTCTAGAACATGATGCTTAAAAATCTGGACCACAATGATCAGGAAATAATGACTTTTTTCATAATTAACACTATAGCTTTATGGAAATACTATAGGATTGAATTAGGCATGCATAAATTAGAATCCTGGCTCTGTTATTATCTAGTCGTATGGCTTTAGATAAATGACTTAACTTCTCTGAACTTTAAGTTTCTTATTTGCAAAAATGAAAAACCATGCTTGTGTTGCAGGTTTATTTTGTGGATTAAATAATATAATAAATGTAAAATAAATTCCTGGCTAATAGCGGGTCCTATGGTGGTTATCATTGTGAATTGCAAGAACAAAGGAAGCATTCAGGTTCTTCTCATTTTAAGATTTTCTCATAAAAAGAATTCTTAAACTTTTGGGACTCGCTTTTATTGTCTGATAATGGATACTGACAAGTGACAAAACACTTTGATATGTACTAGATAAGTATTGATGGAAAAAAAACTTGAGATATTTTTATGTATTATTTTTATTTTCTGATAGTGTCTCACTATCTCCACTGCTACTACCTTGGCCCAAGCCATCATTGCCTCTCGCGTGGATTAATGAAATAACCTCTAACTGCTTTTGCTGTTACCCTTCCCACAGTCTATTGTCAGCATAGCAGCCAGTGATCTTCATGAAATACATCCAGTAATGTTACACTTTTATTGAGAACCCTTCAGTAACTCCCATCTCCATCAGAGGCAAAGCCAGCGTCCTTATAAATGGCCTCCAAGGCTCTATTGATTTGCTCCTCCTATCCCCTGCCTTAATTTTTTAACAGCTGTTCATACAGATCTTCCCCTCACTTCCTTCACTCCAGCCAACTGGTCTTCTTCTGTTCTCTAACCATGTCGGGCTCATTCATATCTCACACCTTCACACTTGCTATTCTTTGCCTGGACTGTCCTCCTCCTGAATAATGATTGCTCAGGTCCCGTCCCTTAACTGCTTTAGATATTTGCTCAAATGCCACTTTGTCATGGAGAGTATTTTTGACCATTGTACCGGGTTGAATAGTGTCCTCCAGAAATGCTGCCTGGAACTTGTGAATGTAACTTTATTTGGAAATAGGGTCTCTGCAGATGTACTCAAGTTAAGGCAAAGCCATACTGAATAAGGGTAGACCCTAAATTCAATCACTAGTGTCCTTTTAAGAAAAGGGAAATTTTGATATACACAGGGAATAAGGCAATGTGAAGCTGGAGGCAGAAGTTAGAGTGATATAGTTGTAACCCAAGGAACACCAAGGTTTGCTGGAAACCACCAGAAGCTAGGAGAGAAGCGTGGAATAGATTCTTCCCCACACCCTTTGGAGGTGGCATGGCCTTGATGGCATCTTGATTTTGAACTTCTATTCTCCAGAACTGTGCAAAAAAATCAATTTCTTTAAATCACTTCCTTTTCAGTAATTTGTTAGGGCAGCCCCAGAAACCTAATGCAATTATTATATTTAAAGTTGCTGCCCTAATACCTTATCCCTCTTCTTCAATTTACATTTTCTCCATAGCACTTATCACAAACTGACAGAGATAACTGATTCTTAAGGTTCTCTTATGCAGTGTATTTCACTGACTGTGACTATCAGCAAACCATTATAGTCCCCAAACATCATGGTTTAATTTTCCCTTCTCACCTACTCTTCCAACTTGGAAGTGTTTATACACACGAGTGGCAGTCCTCCTCTAATAAGGAGAATGCCAGCTAAACTTGTCCAACTTATACTGTTGTTCTTGTCCCCAGTTTGAGAAAATATTTGCGTGCAAATAGTTGCTGCCTATAGTTTATTATTGCACCAACACAGATCCATTAAAACAAACCAAATGAGAGAGAGAGAGAGAATATTGTTTAATTTGAGGATCTGATTTCTAGTAGGTCCAAAATAGAGACCTGGTACATTTTATACTTGGCATATAGTCAGGCCAAATTAACTCCTGCCATTTGGTATGTTTAAAAAGATTACTCCCGTGAGATGCAATAGGAAATACATAGCCAACAACAAAATTCACCTTAAGTAAACTGAATCTGATCAAACCTCTAGATATGGCTACCAGTATCGAGGAATTACACAGGTAGAGGATTTGCTTAAATGACACCACAAACCATGTCAGCCAAATCCAGAATGTGGTACTTTTTATGGGGCATATGACCTGATTTTTCCAGCAATTCAATAATATTAATAAAATGGAGTGGGATGAGAAAGACAATTATAGATTTACAAACATTTAAGAGATAAAAAAAAAAATACACAATTTTGCCCGGTACAGTGGCTCACGCCTGCAATCCCAGCACTTTGGGAGGTTGAGGAGGGGGGATTGCCTGAGGTCAGGAGTTTGAGACCAGCCTGGCCAACACGGTGAAAACCCGTCTCTACTAAAAATACAAAAATTAGCCGGGTGTGGTGGCAGGTGCCTGTAGTCCTAGCTACTCAGGAGGCTGAGGCAGGATAATTGCTTGAACTCAGGAGACGGAGGTTGCAGTGGGCCAAGATCACGTCACTGCACTCCAGCCTGGGTGACAAAGCAAGACTCCATCTAAAAAAAAAAAAAATACAATTTTGCGTGGGAGTCTCGTGGATTCTGATTCGAACAAATCAGTTGTTTAAAAAATATTTTTGAGACAGAGAAATTGTAATTTTAGAAGATAAGAAATTATTATCAAGTGTGTAAATGCATCATCTTTGTGAGTCAGAGATGTATAGTGACGTATTTACAGGTGAAATGATATGATACCTTAGATTAAAAAAATAACATAGCTCACCTCTAAAAATGAGGGAATAGACAAAACAAGATTGTTGAAGCAGAGTGATGGGTATATATAGATTCAATATACAGTTCTATTTTTATTTATATTTGAAAATTTTCGTAACAAAGAAAAATAACGATCACTGCCACCATTAGGTGCCCCATGGAGTTCATTCATCCATCTGTTCATTCATTCATTCATTCATTCATTCATTCATTCGACATTTTTCTTATGCCAGTTACTGCTAGGTTACCTGTGGGTGCTGCAGACAAGTCGTAACCTCACTCTAGGATTTCTATGATTTGTCTTGGAGAGCTTCCTACATTAAACTATTTTGTAGAAAAAACAGTATTATTTCAGCATGTAGAAACTCAGAATTCAGATGCAATATCATAGTACCTCATGATTGAGAGAGTTTGGCTTTGTTTCCCCAGTTCCTCCCACCCCTAGAGGTAGATCCAGGCATCTGGAGGCTGGAGGAGCACTTTCTGGGGTCAAGTATCAATTGAGTCACTTTTACCATCCTCTCCTCAATATTAGACCTTATCAGAATGCCCAAGCCAGGCATTCTTTTGATGTCCCTAGGTTTGATGTCCCTATGCTCCTCAAGTACTTTTTTTACTGGGTTACTGATTTCAAGCTGGAGTCAGATGATTTGCTAAATGACCTCATCTTCCTGTCTGTTTCACACCACGGGGGTGAAGAGAGCAAATAGGTACAAAGTCTGTTTGGCTTCTGAGCCCTAGAAAGAGGCCTGTATTGCTGTCATGTGCTTGTCTGGTGAGATGTTCCAGAGTCTGTTTTCCTTTCTCCTAGATTCATAAAGTCAGGAAATCAATCTACAAAGCTCCAAGTAAATTTTCTTTCAGGGGCATTTTTGGTAGTCAGGACATGGCTGCAAAGGGCAATACTACATTATGAAAGCACTGCTGATATTTGGGAATGGGGGAGATTCCCTTCTCTTCTTTATCCTCTTGCCTCTCAACAATCAGTAGCACCTCCACCAGTGGACAGAAATAGGAATGGGATAGAACTTGGAAACAACTTTGATCTTGATGAAGATAATGCTATTTTGCATTATTTGCACACAATTTTTTTAGTTTAATATAGCTTTTAAAAATATTTTCAGGCTGAGGTGGGAGGATCATCTGCATATGGGAAGTCAAAGCTGCAGTGAGCTGTGATCCTGCCACTGCACTCCAGACTGAGTGACAGAGCGAGACCCTGTCTCAAAAATATATATATATTTATATATTCATATATATGTATATATTCATTTATATATTTATATATTCTTATATATGTGTATCTATGAATATATATATATATATATTACGGTTTGGCTGTGTCCCCACCCAAATCTCATCTTGAATTGTAACTCCCGCAATTCCCACATGTTGCAAGAGGAACCTGGTGGGGAGGTGATTGAATTATGGGGGCAGGTGTTTCCTGCACTGTTCTCGTGATAGTGAATGAGTCTCACTAGATCTGATGGTTTTAAAAAGACAGAAATGCACATATTTTCTTTCTTTGCCTGCCACTATCCACGTAAGATGTGATGCTCCTCCTTGCCTTCCACCATGATTGTGAGGCCTCCCCAGCCACTTGGAAAAGGGAGTCCAATTAAACCTCTTTCTTTCATAAATTGCCCAGTCTCAGGTATGTCTTTATCAGCAGCATGAAAACAGACTAATACAATGTATATTCTCATTTGATTCTTATATTAATTTTTTTCAAGTGAGACCATTGTCATTGTTTTCATTTTCAAGACGATAATGTTGGGTCTCAGAGAGGTCAGGAATTCCTTCAAGTGCACATTGATTGCTGGTGAAGGTGCCAATTCTTCTCTTATTACTCTGCCCTTATAATTGATCTTTCAATTATTCTGCATGACCTCTTAAATATTTGATAAAGGAGAAGGTAGAAGGAACAGATAATAGCGTTTTAAACTGTCCATCATGTCTCCATTAGCACAGATGCTTTGAATTTAGCTATATTTTAATTTCTCCCCTTAGATGCATACGGTTTTTAATCTCCAAGTATCTCTAAGCATTATGCTGTAAAACCATAGTGCTTTCTATTTCTATTTTGCCTAAAATATTTTAATTGGATCAGAAAATTGTTTTGGTACCATATGTAATATATGGTACAACTTAGTTCTCAACTTTGTTTGGGCTTTTGCTTCCCAAACAAGTCAATTTCTTGCTACAAACAGGTAGGGTCCTTTTGGTTTATACCTGCCATCGATGTAAGACAACTGTCCTTGGTTATTTGGATTAGTGTTAAGTCTCGGAGTAGCAGTAAGTCCTATGCCCTATGAAGAAGGATTGCCCAGAAGAGACGTGAAGGGGAGCATTAGCATCTCTTCATGGCCATCTGGTTCTTCTTAGCTGAGGAATGCCCACTGGTTGTAGCAGTTCTGAGCAAAACTCATAGAAAAAGGTATAGCCTTCAAGGCAAACCCAGAAAAAAGTTCAAGAGAATAGAGTTAGGGCTGTCACGGAAGTGCTATTTACAATAAAAGTAAAATCTGATATAAATCTAGTAAAACATTTACCTTTTGGATTGGGAAACATTTTTGGCTGAAATAATCGTCTTAGATAATTTATATTATTCATTTTAATTGAATAGTCTCCAGGCTGAACTGACATGTAAGTCTGAACACAACAAAAATTCAAGTATTTTTAAAACAATAATAGTATTATGTTAACTAAAGAAGTGAGTAGAGATACTTGTCATTTAACTGAATGGATCTTCTTAAAACCTAATAGAAGATGCTAACTAATGAACACAAATGATAATGAGGAAATGAAACCATAGGGTAATTATTCATAACAAGGGAGGCTAAGGTTTGATATTCCTTAGTAGAAAAGATGCTTTTACCGTCTAATAGAGGGTACCTAGATTGGTGTAGCGTTGACCTGGTGTCCAATATTGGCACACCCATTACGTTGTGTTCTGTAGCAGATGACTAATTCCTAATTCCAAATGTCTAATTTAATGACACATTAGAAAAATGTGTGGCACTCTTCTGATGTGAAAAATATCTGTCCTGCATATTATGATTGAAGAGATGAAATCAGTCATGACAGAAATGTCATAAAATGCCTCTATTTTTAAAAGAGCTATCATTACATACATTTGTTATAAAAAGGAGGATTAGACTCAATCAGATTTTTGCTTTCAATTGATTTATGTAAATCAAAAATGATTTTAAAATGCAAATAATTTGATAATGCTCTGAGTTAGAGATCATCTTATTTTTTAGAGAGCTTATTAGCAAAGCTTATTTCTTAGCCCAATTCCAAATTACATATGAAAGACCACATAGAGAAGATATTGTTATTTGTGTTGAGTATATAGTAGGTCTACAGAACTGAAATAAATGTACTCCCCACAAGCAACTGGCATTGTAAAACTGAAAGTAGATTATGATTCATTTAACAATAATGATATTAGATGATTTGTTTATGTCTCCTGCCAACAAAAAATATGGATAGATAAGAAAGTGTTCTGCGTATGCTTTTAATAAATCATTGATATAATCATAAAATATATAGAGTATTTTAATATGTATCCACATACAATCTCCTTTCAATTTTAACATAAATATTATGCAGACCGAACTACTGGATTATATAGCAATGAAGCCAGATATTCCAATTAAGACTTCTAAGAAGTATTTAAATGGAATCAATTTTTTCTCTTGTTAAGTCTACCAACAGATATGAAACATTAAATAGATGTTTTTACTCTTCTAACAGCTGTAGAATTCCTCTTAAAAATGTATTCTGGCGTGAGTCCCAACTTTATTCTTTCATACTTGCTTCTCTCTGAGTGTCAACAGAAGTTGAATTTTTCCAATAACCAAAAACAAGGTTTCTCTTAAAATTGTTAGTTTTTATCATACAACCTTGCATAAAACTGATTTAATAGAATAAGAAACATTCTGTTTTTTATGGATACTTTTTAGAGCTTACTAAATGCTATCAGTGTGTCAGGAATTTTAGCCTAAATATTAATACCAGGATTTACTTTAGCTTTATGTTTTTTGGGGAGGTGAGATGGGATGGGGAAAGAATATTCCTATAAATGTTACTACAGCAGTGCTACTTGCTGTTCAAACTGAAAACATTAATGATGGTTTGGAAGGTGACGCCCTACAAAAATATTTCAGTCATTCTGAATAAGGCTTGAAAAAAACATTTCTACAACATTTAACTCTGAGTAGAAAGCAGGGGCCTTGGGCATCCAAACAATGCTGCTTCTATTAGCAACAAGCCTAAAATGAAAAGGAAATCATATTGCCTTTCATTTCCTTCCTTCCACACTCTTAGAAAGAAGGAAGAAAGAAAAAAAGAGAGAGAGAGAAAGAAAGGAAGAAAGAAAAGAAAAAAGCTTAATCAAGCCAAAACTATCTGGACATACTTTAGGAATGTTGCATGCATATGTATGTGTGTTTATGATTGTATGGGTATATGTATGTCGTATTTCAGCTAGGGAGTATTTTCCCCATCTCTACAGTTTCTACACCAGCTTAAAACCAAATAATATTTAATTACTTCCATAAAAATGCCAAAATAACAAAAACATGCCTGAAAAAGGCAGCAATAAGAAGAAAGCATGCTATATATGTTATAGCCAACCTCAAACATCATTCACAAAACAAGCAAGTGGCCTAACTAGGAATTTTCCAAGTGCTTTTCTGGGAGAGGTTAACTCCCATATGGAGAGCTTCAAAATAGAAGAGGAAAATGACAGGTTAGTGTGGCCCCGTTTTACTGATTTTTCCCTAAAATAAAGATTGCATTTTGAATTACAATGCAAGTGCCCAGAAGCTGCTTATGAGAAGGCATCAGGAATTCTAACAATAATTTAGCATGCTGGCCCTTTTTTACAGAAAAGAAAACTCAGTCTTGACCAGGAGGAGATGTCTTTGTAAGAGGCAGGCCCTGATGGTTCAACCTGATCAACCCTGTTTTTGGAAGCTTTTCCACTTTGGATTCAGTTGACTTCTGCTTTTGGTGTTTTTAGAGACCAACAGAGGTTATCCAACAGGAAATACTGGAATAGTTTTTGCAAGACTTCCATTTCCCCGTCACTGGCTTGAACAGGAATAGGGACTACCATGTGATATTGCTGAACTTTGCTAAGAAACTTTTGAGGCATGATACATTAAATCAGTTTAGTTCTATTTGAGGAAAATTGAAATGGTGCAGGTCTGCACAGCTCCTAGAACTATAGCCTCTCCGAATCTTCAAGAACTCTGGGGTTTGTGTGGTCCAGCCTCCCTTCCAGTACTTTCTCCCTGCCCCAAGAAAATTTACCCTAGGAGACATTCAGCGAAGGGGATTTTCTGGGGTATTCTACTGAGTCCTTACTTAGGTTGAATACTTTTTCTGTTTGGTCCTCACCAAAAGCATAAAATTCTGTCTTTTTTAGACAGCTTCAGGTTTTGCTTGCATTTTTCAAGGCTCAGAGACCTTGCATAAAACTAACCCAGATGTCAGCTGATGTACTCTGAACTTAAGAGTGGGAACCTTGAGTTTCTTCCTGTCTCTCTGAAGATTCTCAAGGGGAGACGATTTATAGTTTTCCTGGCCACTGCTGGCTTGGAGCTCTTGTTTCTGCTGATTTTTTTTCAGTTCATGGTTCACTCTGCTGTCCCTTGCCTGTCATCTCTATTTTTCACCACATCAAACTCAACATCCTTCCTTGATCAGTCCCTAGCCCTTACATGAAACCCACCTAAACCAAGACTGTGTGCCTATAGCAGTCCTTTCTGAAGGTGTGAAAATGAATGGGATTTATTTTGACATATACATATACATATATATATATACACACACACATAGTTATTAAATTTTTCATATATATTTTAGGATATATTAAAATACAAATATATCTATTTTGACATACAGTCATGCACCACATAATGACATTTCAGTAAATGACAGACTGTGTATACTGCGGTGGTCCCATAAGATTATAATGTAGCTGAAAAATTCCTATCACTTAGGGACCTCAGAGTTATCGTAAAGTCATAGCACAATGCATTACCTTTTCTATGTTTTGCTATGTTTAGATACACAAATAGTTACCATTGTGTTACAATTGCTTACAGCATTCAATATGGTAACATGCTGAATAGGTTTGTAGCCTAGGAGCAATAGGTTATGTGGTATAGCCCAGGTATGTCGTAAGCTATGTCACCTGAGTTTGTGTAAGAACACTATGATGTTTGCACAATGACAAAATCATCTAATAATGACCAGAATGTATTCTTATTGTTAAGTGATACATTGCCATATATATTAATGTTAGACATTCCTATAATTCTTATTCTTTGCTTCCTTGCCCAACTATACACTTCTTCCATCCTTCAATTCCTATGCTTTTCATATGAAAAGTGATTTAGAAATCTCGTTTGCTCCCTCCCCTCTCTACCATTGCCAAATGTTTGTAGTGATTGGCTGACATTTTATCACTCTCACCTCTGGTCTTTACATGCCCTCATGTTCTTATCTACTCCAAAAGTATATCAAGACTTTTTTTTTTGAGACAGAGTCCACTCTGTCTCCCACTCTGTCTCCCAGGCTGGAGTGCAGTGGCGTGGCGTCGGCCCACTACAACCTCCACCTCCCAGGTTCCTGCTTTAGCCTGCCTTGGCCTCCCAAGTAGTTGGGATTACAGGTGGGCACCACCGTGCCCAACTAATTTTTTGTATTTTTATTAGAGATGGGGTTTCACTATGTTGGCCAGGGTGGTCTCAAACTCCTGACTTCAAGTGATTCCACCTGCCGTGGCCTCCCAAAGTGCTGGGATTACAGGCGTGAGCCACCGCACCCGGCCGTTATATCATGACATTTTAAATGAAACCTGCTCCCTCCTTGAAGAGGACAAATACGTTATTTTTTTTATGTGGTATTTGACAATCTTTCCAGATATTGCCCCATACACAGTGCATTTGCTAGAAGATTACAAGGAAAAAGGAAGAATTCAAACAACTGGGCAAAAAAATACTGAGTACCGATTTAATTTACTGAGCCTACCACAAAGTTAGGATTTTTCAAACTGTAGTTGTCGGTTTAGTTATGCTGTGCTAAATAAAAAAAGTAAAAAATATGTCCTCCTGAGCTAAGAGGGGAAAGGTTGACCTTTATCTAGATTAAACACTTGTCTAAGTCTGAAATTTTATAAATAAATCCATTGAAGTATTGGTGAAAGTACTTCAGGGAGACCAAGTGAGAAAGTTGAGATCAAGGGGGAAGTTTTTCTGACATTACTATTCTATTTTAGCTTATGGCTTTAGAAACTTTGATCAAGGCCACAAATATTATAAAAATACAAGAAAGCAGAGCATAAGAGTTAGCTAGGAAATATGGTCATACACTCCTATTTTACAGGACAGCTCTGCCTTCAAATGTTCTGTCTTTAATGTCTCTTGTACAAGTCTTTATGTCTCTAATATTTATTAATGCATGGCTCAGAATATATATATATATATATATCATACATGAGACGAAGGAATTATTTGAACTAAAACATTGCAAATCTAAATTGAAAATGTAGTATACAAAGGCCAGGAGTGATGGCTCACACCAGTAATCCCGGCACTTTGGGAGGCCAAGGTGGGTGGATCACTTGAGCTCAGGAGTTTGAGACCAGCCTGGGCAACACGGCAAAACCCCATCTCTATGAAAAATACAAAAATTAGCCAGGTGTGGTGGTGTGGGCCTGTAGTCTTAGCTACTTCGGAGGTTGAGAGATGGGAGGATCACTTGAGCCTAGGAGGAGGAGGTTGCAGTAAGCTGAGATTGTGCCACTGTACTTACTCCAGCCTGGGTGATAGAGCTAGACCTTGTCTCAAAAAAAAATTATATACATATATATATGTATATATACACGTATATATATACGTATATATATACACACATATATGTACATATATACATATATACACACATATATATATACATATATACATATATACACATATATGTGTGTATATACACATACATGTGTATACATGCATATATACACATACATGTGTATACATGCATGTATACACATGTATGTGTATATATGCATATACACATGTATGTGTATATATACATATATACACACATATATACACATATATGTGTATATATACATACATATATATAGTATTCAGTTAAAGAAGGCATTAAACTCACGTTTATCCTTTCTCTCCCTTAATACACCACTAAACTGTTATTATGTGAATAAAAAGCTGTCTGACAAAGAGAATTCCTAGGATGACATCCCAGTGTCAGGTCTGGACATCAACTGCCATATACATCCTATAGAACAAGGATGAAGGTGTTTCTGATGGAGGCATCCAGGGAATGAATAAAGTGAGAAGTATGGCAAAGTATTTCTGTTGTGGCAACTGCCCAGGAGAAGAGAAGAAAATAAGATGACTTATCTGCTGGAGCGCTTATACACACTTTAATAAACTCTATTTATGTAGCCAACAATAGTGCTTTAATAATATTAAGAAGATGATGTGGAGAGGTGCAGATGCTGTTATGTATGAGTTAAATTTTATAGGAAGAAAAAATTTAAAAATCACTGGATAATATCTGAAGTTGTAAATTAAAAACTAGCAGCATGCCTTGATTCTCTTATTTTAAGTTACAATAATAAAAAAGAATCAGTTGGAAAATATTTTGCAAAACTGTCAAGTTGTTTGTGATCTTTTATTTAATTTTTGAAAATGTATTTGTGTTACTTTTGGCTTTTTTATTGCCCTAATTACTAGAAACTTTACTTGTACATCTTTGAACTTCTGATCTTAAACTGTTCAGAGAAAAAGCTAAAGGGTTTTATCATGTCAAGCAGAACCAGCAACATAGCTTAAAAATTAGTATGGAGGTAACTACAAGAAAAAAACAACTGAAAGAACTAAAGATGATTTCTTATCATTCAGAGATGGAAGATGAGGGGGCGGGAGCCAGAAATTAATGTTTTCCTCAATAAGCCTTTCCTTACTTGATGAATTTTTTATTATACATGATTAATTTTATTCTTACAAAGCAAAAATAAAAAATTTTAAGCTAAACTGATCTTTTCATTGTATGCTTAAGCCCCTCTCTGGGTCATCAATTTCCTCAGTCAATTTTGAATTATCCTGCACGGCACACAAGTCCATGCCTGAGCTGGTTCTAGCTCACCTTGTTTCTTTCTGTCCTGCAATCTTAGGGAACCTTGTGTGTTTGTCAGAAAACAGCCCAGACATTTCTCTTGCTGCCTCCTGTTTCCTTAACCTGGGATACCCTCCCTCCTTTCCTCACCTGGGATACCCTCCCTCGTTTCCTCACCTGCCTTGTCCCTGTGAAGGGCTAACACTACTTGTTCATCTTTGAGATCTTGGCTGAAACATTGCCTTTCTGGACAGCTCTTCATAACCCCCAGAAGGCTGAGTTAGGTCATTTTTCACTGTGCTTCCACAGAATTCTGTACTTGTGACTAATATAGTGACAGTCACTCTACTGTCATTCTCTAGTCCATTTTTGTATCTACTCCCAAAATGGGAGCTTCCCCAGCATAAAGTCTTTCTCTTATTTACTGTTTGTCCCTGGCAGGTACCACAGGGCCTGCACGTAGGAGGCATCACGTATTTTTTTGGAATGAAAAAATTAAGGGAAGGAAGAAGTAGGCAGGGCTATAGATAACCAGCAGATCAGAATGGGGGAAAGTCAGTGGTTCTGCGAATGCCTTTGTAAAAATATTTAAAGTATTATATTTTCTTTTTTGCCTCAAATCACATAGTTCATCAATTCTAAGATAACTCTTTTTTCTATTTTAATATCTTAAATAAGAATGTATCACACATTTGATGGCATGCATAGATTTTCAAATGGCAGCTTTCTTGGTGGTAGGAAAATAATGATATGTCTTACCATCAAGAGAGTCTTGAGTCAATTAACTATAGTACATAAAAATATAGCTATAACATGTCTGTGAAGAAATAGAACAGAATTGGAATTCTGAGTTGGACTTACATAGGGTGTGAGGAGCAAGAATTGTAAGAACTGAAAGATATCAAAGTTTCTTGGCTTGGAGAGAAAGTTGGGAACAGAGCTGTGTGGAAAGAGAACAAGAGCAGTCTAGGCAACTCATGGTTTCTTTTCCCAGTTAGTAAGATAGGCTGCAGAGTGATAAAGCTCCTTACCCACATACTCCTGCCCACGTTTATGACAAAGTAAGTGGCAAAGGCAAAAGGTTAGTTTGACTCATTGTTCGGTGGCACTGAAATAACATGTTTTAACTCAGTTTCACAGGCCACCCTGTCAGAAGGGGAAAAATTATTGAAAAGAAAAACAGGGATTCTTGTTTCAGGATGCATCACCAGTCAGTTAAGAAAACTTGGAAAGTGGAAACCCTCCACATTGTTTTAGGTCATGACGCCAAAACCCAAGCCCAAATTAACCATTGTTGGGTAAAACCCCTGATTTTGCAAAACCCAGTTCCAAACCAACTCTGACTGATACAATCAAGTGAGGGACAATATTTAGAAAATATTTCTTAGAAAAATAGTGTAACATTCAGTCCAAAGGAGAGAAAAAAAAAAAAAAAGCCCTACCACTGAACCATGAGTGAAAATTAGGGAAGACAGGTTACAGTAATATTAGAGTCTTAATTGTGCTAAAAATATTTGCTTTTGGCAATTTGTGAGCACATTAATAGTATATATCTCCAAGTAAGCAGCATTTCTGTCTGTGACTTTTTGCAGTACTAAATGGAACAGGTCAATGAGCAGAGGGTTGAGCCAAAAATAGAATTTAATTGATATCCTGATTTTAATTAAATAAACTCCCTGCTTTCACTACTCTTGGACTTTGTTAACTTATGGACAGCCATGAGTAACTACAAAAATTGTCCTAAAAATGAAGAAAAATGGAGAAGTAATCCACAAACCATTATTTATTTATTTATTTATTTATTTATTTTGAGACGAAGTCTCACTCTGTCGCCCAGGCTGGAGTGCAATGGCGCGATCTCCGCTCACTGCAACTTCTGCCTCCCAAAGGGCTGGGATTACCGGCGCCCGCCACCAGGCCTGGCTAATTTTCACCATCTTGGTCAGGCTGGTCTTAAACTCCTGACCTCAGGCAATCCACCCGCCTCGGCCTCCCAAAGTGTTAAGATTACTGGCGTGAGCCACAGCGCCCGGCCCATGAACCATTTTTTAAACATGAACTCCAGAAAGGGCTAGATAATAATGCCTTACTCTAATGCTGAGTAAACTGACCTTTGGCTATAAACTGCTCACCACCAGGAACTGAATCACCTGTTTCCTGGTAAGAAAATCCTATTTAAATACAAGGGAAGAAGTCCATGACTGAGTGTTGCTTTTTCGGAAGATAGATCATTAATGTGCTCACAGATCGTCTAACCATTAGTTTTTAATCACAAGCCAGTTGTGGATATTGCTGTGAAGGTATTTTTCTATTTTAAGTGATGCATTTCTCTCTACCTCCACTGTGAATTATTTTCAGGCTGTATTAGGGTTAACTAGAGGGACAAAACAAATAGGGATATATATATATATATATGAAAGGGAGTTTATTAAGGAGAATTGACTCACACGATCACGAGGTGAAGTCCCACGATAGGCCGTCTGCAAGTTGAGGAGCGAGGAAGCCAGTAGTGGATCTGTCCAAGTCCCAAAACCTCAAAAGTAGGGAAGCCAACGGTGCAGCCTTCGGTCTGTGGCAGAAGGCCCGAGAGCCACTGGCAAATCACTAGTGTAAGTCCAAGAGTCCAAAGTCTAAGAACTTGGAGTCTGATGTTGGAGAGCAGGAAGCCTCCAGCACGAGAGAAAGGTGAAGGCCAGAAGACTCAGCAAATCTCATCATTCTACCTCCTTCTGCCTGCGTTAATCTAGCTGTGCTGACAGCCAACGGGATAGTGCCCACCCAGATTAAGGATGGATCTGCCTCTCCCATTCCACTTATTCAAATGTTAATCTCTAGCAACACCCTCACAGACAAGCCTAGAAACAATGCTTTGTATCCTTCAATCCGATCAAGTTAACGCTTAATATAAACCATCACAAAGGCCTTAATTATCTTAGAATGTTTTCTTTAAACTACAGAGGTAACAAAAAATGCTCTCTTTTCCCATGTCTGGAAGAAGGAAATGAGTGAATTTGGACCTTTAATTTTCTTTCTTTTTTTTTCTGTCACCCAGGCTGGAGTGCAGTGGCACAATTTCGGCTCACTGCAACCTCCGCCTCCCAGGTTCAAGCGATTCTCCTGCCCCAGCTTCCCAAGTAGCTGGGACTACAGGCGCCCGCCACCACACCTGGCTAATTTTTGTATTTTTAGTAGAGACAGGGTTTTGCCATGTTGGTCAGGCAGGTCTTGAACTCCTGACCTCAAGTGATTTGCCTGCCTCGGCCTCCCAAAGTGCTGGGATTACAGGCGTGTGCCCCCGAGCCAGGAAGGACATTTAATTTTCAGAGCCGCCTCACTCACTATTAGGTGGCAAAATTACCTTGATACTGAGCTCAATTTGTCCTGCTAGAACTTCATCTTTATAAGACAGTGTACAGTCAGTTTGATTTTCTGAAAGCTGCTGAAAGACCAAGCAACTCATGACTGTACTTTCCAGCAACACTTCCAACAGTTCTAGAGATGTATCACATTTCTGATAAGGAATCACTGTTGTTTTTTCCCAGGTATAAAGAGTTTTGTGTGAACTGGTGCTTCAAGCAAACAACATGTATCTACAAATTGAATGAATGTTTCTTAGACAAAGATGGCCATTGTAGCCTCAAACAAGCCTATTTACTTGGGTGAAGGGAGTGTTTTGTGAAGGAATAATAGGCTGACATATATTTATTAATGTCTCGCATACTGTGTGACAAAATCCGGCAGGGTAACTGTGAATGGAACAATTTGTCACAACTTTATGGAACCCTTTCACACACAGAATCTATGCCTTTGTTCAAGCTGCCTTGAGCACTTAAGTTTTCTAAAAGATTTCTTGGGCGAATTTCCCACAAAATTTCCCCTATTATTTACAAGGCTTTCCGTTCTTCCTTACATACGTGAAATAACTCTTAAACATTCTTCTCAGAAGAATGTATCTCTTTCTGAAATTATTACGTTCTGGAAATAAGACAAGTCTTCAAAGCAAAGTTGCAGAACTTACATTTATACTGGGTATTTTCTTATTAAAATCTTAAGTCTGTAATTTTTTATTTTTGATATTTACCTCTAACAAGAAGTTGGGTTATAATTGCCACTCAGCTAAAACATAGAACTCAAAAGGTGTCCCCAAATGTTTCAGTGGCTGTCATATCAAAAATATATATACAGTATGTTTATATAAGTTATATAAATATATGTATTGTTTATTTGTTTATTTTTATGTATACATAATATACACATATATAATATATGTAATACATATGTGGTCTTGAAAGGCTCAGATGGTTGACCAAAGACAAATTAGTGAAAATTGTAGGGGGACATAATTTGACTGAATGTTTGCTTTCGAACCATCAGGATGATCCTGCTTCAGGGAGCAGGGATTTTTCATTCCTAGGGGTGTTCAAGTAGAGTCTGGGCCTCTTGTTGGAAATACTGACAAAATGTTGACGGTATACACTAAAAAGTCTCTAAGGGCCCTTCCAACTATGGGATTCCATGCAATTAAAATATCGTCTGAGGGAAATTGGGTTTTAATTTTAGATGTTGTATAACATCTAAATATTGAACCAGAAAGAAGTCTTCTGTATGAGGGAGAGAAACATCATTAAAATTAATTGAATGCCAAATGTTGAATTTTGGACAATCAGTTTATATAGCATGGTATTTGTTCTCTAAATGTTTGTATTAGATGGGATCAGGACCATAAATAACACTTAATCATGCTGAGATTACTTTAATAGTAATCTTTTTTTATTAACTGATTTTTAGGCTTTTATCCAAGCCTAGAATGGCCATTTTTTTTTGTTATGAGTTGAATTTTGTCCCTCAAAAAAAGATATGTTGAAGTTGTAACCCCAGGTACCTCAGAACATCACTGTATTTGAAATAGAGTGGCTGCAACTATCATTAGTTAAGATGAAGTCATTCTGGAGTAGGGTGAGCTCCTAATTCAATATGATTGTTGTAAGGTAGAGGAAGAGATAGGAGCGATGCATCTACAAGCCAAGGAGCACCAAGAACTGCCAGCTATTCCCGGAAGTTAGAAGAGAGGCATGGGGCAGATTCTCCCTCCCAGACCTCGGAAGAACCCAAGCTGGCCAATAACTTCATTTCTCACTTCTAGATTCCAGTACTCTGAGGGGATAAATTTCTGTTGTTTTAAGCCAGCCAGTTTGTCATCTTTTGTTATTAGTTTGCCCCAGCAAACTAATATACCTTCCTTACAGTTAGCCACCTTTAGGAGTCATCTGTGTATTTATATTCTTCCAGAAATGTTCTATGCATATGCATGCACACACACACACACACACATACATTATTTATTTTCTTTCCAGTGTACTTTGGAATTATGTCATAAAACTGCTCTGTACTTGGCTTTATTATTACTTTTTCAATGAACGTAGTAGAAGCTTTTTTATGTCATAACACAATGAACTACTTTGTTCTTTCTAATGGTTGTGTAGTAAGCCATTGCATGGATTTAATAGTTTTCTTTCTAACCCATCCTCTATGGATATAGTCATTTAGACTGTTTCCAGTTTCTTTCTTTTTTTCATATAAACAGTGCTGCAGTGGACATTCTTGGATAAGTGCCTTCGTGAACACATTCAAATATGTGCATATGATACAAATATGATAAATTTCCAGAAGTGGAAGTATCAAGTTCAAGAATATATGCATTTTAAAACTTGCATATATATTTTGCATTCTTATCTTCATATGAGCCTGCATCTTTGCACTCTCATTGGCTGACACTGTGTGGGATAATACTTTTGATTTTTATAATTTTCTAAACTATGAGTGAAATATAACTTCATATTGTTTGGTTATTTCTATTTTATTTTTATACAAAGTAGCCAATTTTTCTAATAGATTGCTCTTATTTATATGTAGGAGCTTATTTTAAAAATGTATTTCTTAGTCCTATTGAGTTGATATGAGGAGGATAGTGCAAGTGTCAGTTATTAAATGTGAATATTTTTGTTCTCAAAGTGACTTTTGTATACAAAACAGACTATTCAAAGGCTCACTTTTGCTTAAAAATTTAGCAATCAATTTATTAAAGTTAAAAATCCAAAAACTGCTTCTCACAACATTTTTTTTTTTTTTTTTTTTGAGACGGAGTCTTGCTCTGTCGCCCAGGCTGGAGTGCAGTGGTGCAATATCGGCTCACTGCAAGCTCCGCCTCCCGGGTTCGAGTGATTCTTCTGCCTCAGCCTCCTGAGCAGCTGAGACAACAAACAGGAGCCTACCACCACGCCCAGCTAATTTTTTGTGTTTTTAGTAGAGACGCAGTTTCACCGGCTTCTCACAATTTTTAAATGCAGCTTCCTGATCTTATTATTCTATTTGTAAATCTAAAGAATTTTAGTAACCACATTTAGGAGAACTTTGAATGTGTGTAATAATATTTATGCACTTATTAAGTAAATTCCTTCATACATTTAAAAACTAATTTTGTAAATTTAATATATTCAACAATCTTTTGAAGTGTGTCAGTTGTCTAAATGAAAAACTTTCCCAAAGTACTTAATACTTTTAAATATCTTAAAGGAAAGCACATAAACACAGTGAAGCATAATCCTCTTTCATATTTCAAAGCTTTTATAGACATTGTTGTATCTGCGTTTAAATCACAAGTCTATATCAATTAGTTCATTATGCATCTTAAATTGTAATTATGGAGCTCATCTCTCATTTTAATATGCCAAATTCTCTTAAACATTACTAATATTTTGTAATTACCAAATATGAACATAGCACTGACCAAAAGCATCAATAAGATTGTTTTAATTCTTTTAGGCATTCCTGTACTTAATTCTAAATTTTTCTAGGGTTAATGTTTAGCTACTAAAGGAATTATGTCATCTCCATCATTTTTAGAGTTGCCTAATCACCCTGCTGGAGGTTGTGGTTGTATAACATTTAAAGATTTAAGTCAAGACATTCATTGAATTCTGACAAAGCATACTGAGCCCTACTTAAGAACTTAAAACAGTGGTCCTTTCGTCCTCTTACTCTGGGAAGCTAAAGTCCATGGTGCTTGGAATAGCTCTGTGTCTCCCTTCCAGGCTGATCGTCTGACAGGTTTAACTTTTCTTTTAGGACAGAGATTGTCTTACCCATCTACCTCCAAAGGCTGTAAAACTTGATGGAATCCTGCATTCCCTAAATCAGCTGCCATACTTAATTCTTACAGATACTAAAATAATATGAATTGGAACTGAATATTTTCTCATGGCTTTTTCTTTTCAGTCACAACTTCAAAGGACATTTGGCTGGCAAGAAGAATGGCTTGGCCTTGGTTGTAATTTATATGTATCCCAAATACCTTTGGATAGTCACTTGTGAGTTGATTAAAAGCCTCATACATCTTGATCATATGGCCACCAACTGAAGGTCAGATACGTATTATACACACAGATTTAAATGTATTTATGAAGGCATTTATTCAAGAGTGCCCACTGCAGCCTTGATTGTATTAAAAAGATTGGAAATAATCTAAAGGCCCATCAATAGAGGACAGGTTATATCACCTAGTAAAGGTTACAACATCTATGTAAAAGCACTTAGGATTCAACTTCACATTTCATAGGACTGAAGATGACATATTTTGGGGGTCTGACAGCTCAGTTTCTGGCAAGCTTGGTACCATACCCTCCTGACTCACCATCATTCCCAGACTTACAGGGAAACAATCTGAAGTCACTTCATCATACAGGGAAGGTAAGAAATATATCTGGATGGAAATAGAGTCATCTTCTACCAGTATATTCCATCTAATCTACTTTTCCATAGTGTGACATTGTGATCAAAGAATATACAGTATTTGAAAAGGAGTAGATTTGAACACCTTTTTGACATAATGAGTAAGTCACTAAAGTATATTTTAGCATATATACATTTCAAAAATAGGAAGCTCTGAGGCAATAGGGACAGACAGCCCCTGCCTTCAGAAATTTATCATCAGAAAGAGGAATATTTACTTATTCTAATGTTATTTTATATTATGGCACATAACATATTATTGCTGAAAGAACTATTAAAATTAATTGTTGTACATTCTTATTGCATAAATAAGGTAGGACCCAGAAAGGCTAAATTATGTGATCCAGATTCCATAAATAGTAGTAGAACTGTGTGAGTGGTAGGGACCCCAAATCTTAGAATCCATGTAAGAATAGTTTATATATTGTTATACCATTCTCAGACCAAGGGTGCGGATAAATTCTGAATTTTCTAAACCACAAGTCAGAATTCAATCAATACTGCTTTGCAGTATTGCATGAACAGAGATGTTTAAACAAGTATCTAGAAGCTACAACAAAAGGATTTTAAGAGCAGGCTTTCTTTCTTTCTTTTTAAAAAATCAGCCTATGACTTCATATAAACAAGGTAGCATTTTAAGAGTTAACTGTTAAGAACAACATAAAATTGGTAGCACGGTTTATGGGCAGGAATGGCAGATTGCTACGTTTCCCAAACTATATCAAGTTTTTAAAAGCACATGCAATGCAGCTGGGATTCTTAGTACAGAAAGTAAAGAAAGTCCCGGAAATTTTATGGAGAAGTTTTCATTTAAGTGAATATGTGTATTTTCTGATCCGATAGAAGACTCACAGTTTTTTTGTTTGTTTGTTTGTTTTTTGTTTTTTGTTTTTGAGACAGACTCTCCCTCTAGCCCAGGCTGGAGTGCAGTGGCGCGATCTCGGCTCACTGCAAGCTCTGCCTCCCAGCTCATGCCATTCTCCGGCCTCAGCCTCCCTAGTAGCTGGGACTACAGGCCCCTGCCACCACGCCTGGCTAATTTTTTTTGTATTTTTAGTAGAGACGGGGTTTCACCATGTTAGCCAGGATGGTCTCCATCTCCTGACCTCGTGATCCGCCCACCTCTGCCTCCCAAAGTGCTGGGATTACAGGCGTGAGCCACCACGCCCGGCCAAGACCCAGAGTTTAATAAGATTCTCAGGGTTTCATGAAACTAGAAATAGTTAGGAGTTACTAATTATTACCTCCTAAGTACTATGACTAAAATCCTCTGCTACCAGCAACAGGCAGCTCCTTTTAATATGTTGATTGTCCAGTCCCAGAAAATTTAGCCCACAATACCATCAATGCTTTAGTTTTTATTTCTGACACAGGTTGTGACTCCTTAATAAAAAAAATACAGGCTTCACTAAAGATAATTATAAAGTACTGTTTTTGCAAGCTATAAACATACATATAATAGAATACCAGACATGAAAATAGCTGCATTCAAAATTAAATAATTTCTCCTGATGAATTTAACTATTAATCAGTGCTTATGTAATCCAAATGAACATGAGAGTGGGAGGGAAGTCATCCTCTCTTTAGATTTAAATAAGAAGCGTTTTGTCCCTTATCCCACATTCTTATTGTTTCCCCCAATAAATCCAGAGATTGGATGGGGGAAAGGGACTGCAGGAATACTTGTTTTCTCTTCTGTCTCATCTCCCCCAGTTCCTCGTTTCTACTTGCTCCAGGTCATTCTAAGCTTGAATAAAGCCAGTTACCTTGGTATTTTCTGGAAATGTTGGCACATGTGTAGCCGACTTTACTGAAGGTTTCTAGCAATGCAGGGGATTCTTATCACAGCACTAGAGACAACTTTAAATTGAGCATTGACCCCTCTGCTCACAAATGACCGCCGGCGACCGCACCCCTGGGACTTTCTCATGGAACCTGCTTCTACAGGCTCTGCCACCTGCTGTATTTCCTAGCTCCCTCCTTCCTTCTCTCACTTCCTTCTCTCTTTTCTCTTCCCCCTTACCCTCGTCACTGAAGAACTTTCAGCTTTTTTTTTGAAGAACAGCTTACCTAATCTTTAAAAAAAAAAAATGCCATATTACACACCACGTTTTAGGAGAGGGTCTCATTTTTTCCACCCAAAACAATTTTTCAAGTTATTTTCCTAAACAAAGGTAGCTTGTATCATTAAGAGAAACTCTGGTGTCAAGTAAATGATTAGAATAATTTATCTTTTTTTCCCCCATCATGTTACACTTAATTTTCCTTTTTGTCCAACTAGAAAGCTCTTATTTCTTCTTACCTGGTGAGCATCCAGTGCACTCTATGGATGTTGTAAATATGTCCTTGGTTTTATCTGATGCTTGGTTTGAGATCTCTTGTTGGCTTTTTCCTGCTCTTTTCCAGTTCTCAAAACTGACATTTCTTTTTCAGAAATAAAGTTGCCTTATGATCTTTGGGAAGGCTTGTATTTATTTCTTCTCTATGCTTACTGAGCTTTACTTTTTTTTTTTCTTTTTTTGCACGATCAGAAAAGTAGAGGAAATAAATCCTCTTCTCTACTTTGCTAAAGTCATCTTCCAACCCTGAGGTGCACCCCCCCTTTTTTGACAATAAGGGGAAAGCAGCTAATAAACACAGACTAACTCATTTGGTTTACTTTCCCTCTCCCTATACTTGATAAAATACTTGATTTGCAATAAAGCCTCTCTTATAATTCTATATCCTTAAGATATACTTTAGTCTTTATTCAGGGGTTAAACGTTTTATTCACTGAATGTTTAAAAACATGGTTTGAACAAACCATGCTGAACATACTTTATGCTGAATCCTATGGAATCCTACCCACACAAGCAGCTCATGATGTTTTGGAGATGTGCAGGAGGTTGATATTTTGAGTAAGGCAGTGCAGGATGCTCTGTTGGAGGATAAGAGATACAGAAAATGAAATTAGGTTTTAATTAGAAAGCCATTTTAGGGGTTTCTGGATATTAAGACAAGATGCTTTTGGGATGGCAGTGAGGACACACTTGAAGAGGATGGCATTGGAGAAAGGGTTGTCCAGAAGGAAGAAGGTGGTCCAGATGAGAGAAGCTGAGCACCATCCCAGCAGAACCATGGCAGCAGGACTACAGGAGAACATGAACTGCATAAAGTCAATGTCATGCTCAGCCAACTTTCTGAACATGGAATGTCAAAGACAGTAAGAAGCTGAAGATTTCTCAATGTCTACACTCAGAATACCTGTGAGGTTATTACAGAGTAATGATCAGTTCTTGTCCGGGTAGGGACATAGTAAATGGAAGACAAGTTGTTAAAACTTTGTAATATTCAAGGTCAATTGATATTTGTATATTCATTTCAGACAGTGTGTCAAATATGACTGATTTCCTGGAAAATTTATGTCTCCTAAGGAAAAGAGTTTCTAATTAGCATCTGTTTCACTTAGACCATGTAAATGGCGAAAACCATTCAGGCAATCTGTCATACATCCTAAATTATATGAAAAGCTGTCTACATTAATCAAATAAATTGTGTAGCATTAGCCTTTGGGTTCTCAGACTATTTTTCAGCAAACACACATGCCCCACAATGCTTCTACTTCTTCTTTTAAAAGTCTATTTTTTAAAAAAATGTGGTATGTCTAATGACTTTTCCCCCTTCAAAACCCTGTGTGTGGGAGAATAACTGATGGCTTATAATGAATTGTTTCAAATTTGACTCTCTTCATAGGCAATGTTATCTAAGCCACAGGTCTAAAAACCACTTATATGCCAGCAATTCCTAAATTTATATCTCTAGCTCTAACCTCTCCTCTGAACTCCAGACTCATATACACGCTACCTCTTATATATCTCTACCAGGAGGTCTGAGAGGCGTTTCAACCTAACAGGTCCAAAACAGGGCTCTTCTTTCCCATCAACCTGCTGCCTCTTCATTCTTCCCTCTCAGTTGATGTCATCATCCACTTGGTTGTTCAGATGAAAATTTAGGATTCATCCTTAGTTCTTCTCTTTCATCCTTGACATTGACACCACTGGGTAAGTTGGGCCAATTCTATCTACAAAATTCTTTGTGAATCAGTTCACTTTTCTCCATCTCCTTGTTACTACCCTGAACTATCTTCTCTCCTAACATTTAACCCATTATCCAGAAAGAAGCCAGATTAATTGTTAAAAAAAAAAAAAAATCAAAATCATGGCCCGGCACAGTGGCTCATGTGCGTAATCCCAGCACTTTGGGATGCAGAGGAGGGTGGATCAGGAAGTCAAGAGATCGAGACCATCCTGGCCAAAGTGGTAAAACCCTGCCTCTACTAAAAATACAACAATTAGCTGGGTGTGGTGGCGTGCACCTGTAGTCCCAGCTACTCGGGAGGCTGAGGCAGAAGAATTGCTTGAACCCAGGACAGAGGTTGCAGTGAGCCAAGATTGTGCCACTGCACTCCGGCCTGGTGACAGAGCAAGACTCTGTCTCAAAAATAAATAAATAAATAAATAAATAAATAAATAAATAATCCAAATCAAAGTACATCCATTTCCCTCATGCTTGGAATAGGAATCTATGTGATCCTATACCATCTACCACTCTAATTATTCTCCTATTCGGCTCTAACTATTCTCCCCTTCTCATATGGTGACACAGCCACACTGGCTTGCCTTATGCTCCTTGAAGAGTTCAGGTTTATTCTTCCTTTATGAATTTCACTTTCATCAGCTGGGACTATCCTCCTTCTTGAGACTCGCATGTCTGGATTCTTTTCATTCTCTAGTTCTTATTTTACATTTCACTTCCTCAGCTAACCCTTTCTTGATTCCTTGTCTCAGTCAGGGTCCACCCAGGAAAATGCAATAATGCTTAAGTGTTTAAAACACAGGAAATATAATACATAGTATTGGTTATCAACATGGTTGAAGAGCTAAGAAGCCAAACAGGGGGTGGTAAAACAACCAAGAGATTAATAAAAGCAGAAAGTCACTACCAATCCTAGTCCAGAGGGACAAAAAGTGGAGGTGAGTTTACTGGAGTTCAGGGACCACAGCAGAAGCTAGAATTACATCAAACACATCTGGTGAGAGCCAGGGGGTGTATGCAGCCCTGCTGAAGATGCCGTCTAAGGCAGAGAGAGAGGGCAGAAGTACTCTAGCTTTTCCCTTCTACCAGTACTCCATTCTCGTATCAGTGGTTCCTTTATTAAATCCAGCCTTAAATCAGCTAACACAGGAGACAGCGAAATGCCTGCGGGGGTCAGCCCCACCACAGTACAGAGCAGAGCAAGACATGGGAGAGAAATTAGTTGGAATGGAATCAGGCCAAGGATGGGAATATTGCCCAACTTAGTAGCCCTTCTTGCTCAAACACATCTTATCCCATCATTCCATTTACATCACAGCATACATCATCACTGCATAGTTTCTTGTTTGTTTATTTTTTATCTTTGTCTCAAGGTCATGTCCAACACAGCACCTGGCATATTTTATGTGCTCAATAAATAATTGTCAAATGAATACAATGGGAGAAATTTTTTATCTATAAAATCACATCAGAAAAGATGTATAAAGTATTCATTTAATAATCCCTTCCATGTTTGTGTACATTGTAACTAGAAATACAAGCTGGGTTATTCATGAGATCAATAGTAACACATTTCTTATGGGGACCTTAGAAGTTAGGTTGGATCATGGGGTTGGGATGGGGAGAAGTGCCTACTGCTATATTTTTTTTCTGAAGAGATGACTGTAATACTTTTAAAATAAATACCTGATTCAGTCTCACAATTGTGTTTTTGCTTCCTTAGTCAACATTCATCTTTAAGAATAACTTTACTGAAACAGGATAACATGTTTTTTAAAAATTGTAGAATGCTTTTGGTCACAAGTAAATGTTTCCAAAATCAAGGAATGCTAGAAAAGATTTAATTCCTAAAGATTTAAATTAAGAATTTAAAATTAATAAAAAATTAAACATTAAATTTCAGAATTTCTCATTTTCCTTCAAGTCATCAACTTCCCTTAGTAGTAATAAGTTCATTGAGTTCATGCTGTTTATAACACAGTTAGCATAAAGATCTCAGAGCTGTAGATGCAGTTTAACATACCATTCTCTTGTTTTTCATTGAGAAACATGAGATTGAGGAATACCAAGAGGTTTCTCTCAGGATTATAACACCAGAGGACCAAAGGATCCTTAACAAGATAATCAAATCCACTCCCTTTGCCTCCAAGGTATGCAATGAATTATCAAGCTAAAGCAGGATTACATGTAAATCCACATTTGCTGAGAGCTCTTGGGGAAGAAGATTGTAATGACCCCATTTTAATAGCATTTACTGTTCATAAATGTTTCCTGATATTTATGCCACATCCTTCACACTACAATTTAAGCCTATTGAGCTCACTCCTTCCTGACCTCCCATAATATGCTCAATTTTGTGTTGCCCTTTAGTTTTTTCATATACGAAAGTTCTGTCTTTATAACAAGATCATCTATAAGAATTACATGGCTTTACATTGTTTCAGTTCTTCCTGGAGTACAGGTTGAGAGACTTCTCAACTAACTGATGGACACCTTTTATAAATTTAGAAGTTTTGCAAGAACATAGCCACAAAAGTAGTTAAGAATATCAGATTTTATTCCACTTTGAACCTTCAAGTTTGTCAATTGCATGGGTTGCTAAAAGACTTCTGTAGTTTCCTAATTCTTAGCAAGATTTTTTTCCCCACATAGTTAGAAGGGTTAAGCCTACGTGATAACAGTACTCTTTCATGTTGATATTGCCTTTCATACAGATGCATATAAGTAAATATGGACAGAAATATTCAAATAACTAGTCAAATGATAATAATAAAAATCTAAATGTTAGAATCTATTTTGGAGACTTTTAATTAGCTAGTTATTGATGTACATGTGTAATGTACATGATATTAGTACATAAAGAGATTAAACAATAATCATAATAGGCCAATATTTATTGAGTTATTGTTACATTCCAAGCCCTCTTCTAACTCTCTTTATATATAAAAACTTAGTTAGGCTTCATGACAATTCTGGGTTGCTACTATTAATATCTCATTCTAAAGAAAAAGGAAAGCTGATACACAGAAATGTAAATTGTCCAAGAGCATGCAGTTGGTAGGTTGCAACTGATGTTCATATCTAAGAACCTGTGCCCCTAACCACTAAACTCCGGCTTCTGTGGTGAGAGGACTTTAATATTTAATAGGAGGTGTCCAGGAAGTGGCACATGATGGTTCTGGTTTCAGTTCTCACTACAAGAAGAAGTGACTTGCTTGCCACAGCAGACAGAAGACCGCTGTTCTCTCAGAGGAAACGCAGCTGCCAGGGAGAAGGCACATATAGACACAGTAAAGCTATGGTCAGCATTTGAGGGGGCTACTGGAGGGAAGCAGAACTTTATGAAGAACTCAATCTATAAAAGTGAGGCTTTGAGCTAGTAGTGGCATGAGCAGTGACCTAGACTTAGAAATAAGGACCCTGAAGTAAGATATGGACATTCCAGCCCAACTAGGCATCATAGTATGTCAATCATCCTGCCCACATTAGAAGAGCACCAGACAGGATCAGATCTGTTTCCATAGGTCGTAGCCACACAGATAAAGTGTTATGACTAGTTGCTTAGTAGAACACACTGATGGTTTCTTGTAAATCATTGTTTATAACTAGAAAGATAAATTGCATACAATTCTTATTTGAGAGTGTGGATGGAATTATTGTTAGTAAAACCCTTTCATCATCGTCTGAAAGTTCCTAGTCAAAAGAATCCTGCTATGTTTTGATAAATATGAGTTTTTGGATAAAAGAATAGGGTGAACACATACTCTGACTTCAAAGTTCTTTAATGTTTATAAAATTTAGGTGCTACCTGCTGCAAATATATATATGTATGCATATATATGTGTATATATATATATATATATAATCATCTAATGCCATATTTCTCAGCTGATAAATACACATGTACATATACAAATACATATATTTGCATACATAATCTTCTAATACATTATCCTCTCCTGTTCCAGTCTCCTCAATTGATTGTCAAAATCTCCCCATGTTCCTGCCCTACGATACTGAAAGAACATTATTTTCCAATTTTATATTACTTTCTGCAGACACAAAATCATGCCATGTCCCTTCTTACCTCCAAGCTTGTTGTTCTTGTTGCTTCTGCTGGGAACGACCTTTCTAGATAAATCTAAATCCAGTCAATTACTCTTCAAGGCCCAAATCAAGTGCAGTTTCCTCAGATATTCTCCACCCAACCCTGATTATTACCATCTCCATCCTCCCTTGGTACTTCCTGCTCGAGACACTTTGGCAGTCAATCACATGCTGCCCTGAACATTGCCATGTTTCATGTGTGCATACATTGCCTGACAAATCATTTGTATATTTCTTGGGGCTAGGAACTGACTCTTAAACTTTTTGCCTTTGCACAACTTCTAGGATAATGTCAGACGTTCAGCTGACTCTCAATGCATAGCTGTTTGCAACAAAATGACTTGAAAGCACGTAATTGTTTTACTTCAGACTTACTGACGTCAATAACTACGTTATTTTTGAAGGACATTTTTTCCCCTTAGGTCCAGAAAGACCTGTAGGGCACACTGTACATCACAGTCCGGGCTCCCTCTAAATCCACTGCATGTTCAGTGACAGGAATTGAGTGTATCCTCTTGTCTCCACATGCTTTTTAATCCGGGTAATTTATATATTTCTACCGTTGGACAAAAAGCCATTTCATTGGAAGGAAAATGTCCTATTATTATAGAGGCACACAATTATTTGAGTTTAAACACATTTTGATGATAGTCCGCCAAAGGAATTTTCTCACATGGAGGTGATGCCTATGTCAGTTTAAGTCCTCTGTGTCCAGAAATTGCTACAATTCAGCTTTATTGGCATTGGCATTTAGGCAGGCAGCTGTTGAATGGACTAATGAGACATGGTGAACATAAAATATATGGTTTACTTAATGGGTTAAACTCAATAATCACACAGCATAAGAATATATCTCAGCCTCAATCATTCCAATGTATCTTAAAAACTGTAATACTTGTGGATCCATCCACTGTGAAATTACCTAAAATCTCCAACTTAGTGCTTTTCATCTTGACTACCTCCTGGAATGATGGCTTCAATAACATTAATAGCACTAGCAGTTAGCATTTAGCAAGTACTTCTTATATGCCTGTAATTATCTCCATTAATCTTCACCACAAACCTGTGAGAGATGAGGAAATTGACGCCTAACGAGATTAAGTGTCTCAGTCAAGGTCAAGAGTACAGTTAGTAAGTGGTAGAACCAGGGTTTAGTGCTCTCTGCCTCCTCAAGTCAGGCTAGTCTAAACTCTCCCTATGCTCAGCATCAGCATCACCTGGCAGCTTGTTAGAGACCCTGAGTTTCAAGCCCCACCAGGACCTACTGAACCATAATCTGCATTTCAACAGTTTTCTCAGGTGATTCATACACACATTAAACTTTGAGAAGCCCTTCTCTAAACCACCGGGTTATAATGCCACCCTTCCTGCCCAGTCTGTATCTCCCATCATTTGTTCTGAACTTACCTCTCCAAACTTCAGGGCAATGTCACTGTCCAATTTATAATTAAACCTTTGGTGGTTCTTTGGATTTTATCTCTTCTTTCCTCAGCTTTCAGTTTTTTGAGTAAACTTTTAGGGAACCTTCTTTAACACTCAAAAATGTATTGTTTCAATTGCATTTCTATGGTCATTTCCCAGCTCTCTATGGGTTTCTTTAAAAGAAATGATGCTGGCCGGGCACAGTGGCTCACGCCTGTAATCCCAGCACTTCGCAAGGTTGAGGCAGGCAGATCACGAGGTCAAGAGATCGAGACCATCCTGGCCAACATGGTGAAACCCTCACCTCTCCTAAAAATACAAAAATTAGCTGGGCATGGTGGCACATGCCTGTAGTCCCAGTTACTCGGGAGGCTGAGGCAGGAGAATCACTTGAACCCAGGAGGCGGAGGTTGCAGTGAGCAGAGATCGTGCCACTGCACTCCAGCCTGGTGACAGAGTGACACTTCGTCTCAAAAAAAAAAAAAAAATGATGCTAAGAAATGATGCTAAGACCACAGACTGTTCCAGATAGAGTCACCGTTTGTCTTTGCTCTTGGGAGTTATGGTGACTCCTAAAACAATTTATCATACGTCCAGCATTGCATTGGCTTTTTTTTTCCCCTTTGATTCAGGAACGCACACTCACTAGTGTCCTTAGGGAGCAATGATTACCTTGGCTAAAATAGATGCTCACTTACCATATCTGAACTGAGAAAGAATGACGACAAACAGATTGTTTCTGATTCTCTTTGCTGAGCCCTAGTCATTCACCACCATTCATTTGATATGTCTCACTGAATTTATGAGTCCCTGAACGATCCATGCCTCACATTATTTCCTAACTCAGTGGTAGGACGCCATCTGTCCAGTTATGCAAACCAGAAATTCAAGAGCTGTTCTGGATATCTCTCTGTCCTTCATCTCTCTTTCCTTCTGTTGATGATTTCACAGCCCAAATTTCTCCAAGTCCTCGTCATCTTTCACCTACCCTATTGTAGTAGCTTCCCATGTACTCCACCTATATTTTCGTTTTCTCCTTTTTCTGATTATGCTATCTCTTCTTTCTGATTATGCTACCTTTCCCTCTGGCTTAAAGTATTCAGAGGTTTCCCTTTGTCCTTAAGATAAAAACAAGACTCTTCAAGTGATCTCAGAGGACCTGTCTCCCCTACCTTAGATCCCAATCCTATCTTGCACTGATGACTCCATTCCCTCTTTGTGGCAACTACCCCCATCCCCAGGCCTTCCTGCCTTTCCTCATGTTGGCTGTGCTTCTCCCTTGCGCTGGAATGCTCCCTTTACTCAATAAGCATCCTTCAGAGGGCTGGGCATGGTGGCTTACGCCTGTAATCCCAGCACGTTGGGAGGCAGAGGTGGGCTGATCACTTGAGCTCAGGAGTTTGAGACCAGCCTAGGCAACATGGTGAAACACCATCTCCACAAAAAATACAAAAATTAGCCGGTCTTGGTGGTGTGCGCCTGTAGTCCCAGCTACTCCTGAGGCTGAGGTGGGAGGATCACCTGAGCCCCAGTAGGTCAAGGCGGCAATGAGCTGTGATAGCACCACTGCACTCCAGCCTAGGAAAGTGAGACCCTGCCTCAAAAAGATAAATAAATAAAATAAAATAAGTATCCTTCAGAAATCTGCTTCACTTAGGAATCCTCTGACAACTCTCTGTTAGATCTCCCTATTGTGCACTCTCATCCATTCATTCATATATTCGTTCATGTAAATAATGCAACAAATATCTATTGAGCTACTTTTCTGTACCAGAGTCTGTGCCAACGGCTGGAGACAAAACAGTGAACAAAGCATGTGTGGTTCCTGATCTTATCATGTAAAGTGGAAATCAGAGCACAAGTCTCTCTCATTTCATAGAACTTATTGTAGGCCCAATTTGACACTAATTTTTATGACATTATATTTATATTTGTTTCTTATATAGACTTTAAGCTCCATGAAAACAAGGATTTCTTTCTCACTGTTTTGTTTCTGGAAGCTAGCTAGCACCATAGCTCTCATTTAGCAGACAAAATAAATACATATTGAGTAAGTGGATTTTAGCTATTTAGACCTAAATGTCCATATTAAAATTCATCTGCCACATATAGACTCATTAGATCTTAAAATGTTTATTTTCCTCTTAAACTTGTCATTTTAGGAATCATAGCTCAGTGTCAGTCACAAACATTGGATTTTTAAAATAATTTATTTTAAACTATTTATTTGTTGCTAACTGGTCAATGCTAGCTCATTCATCTCTATAATTTCTCCAGATAATAAATAATCCCTGCTTGGAGAAAGAGCCCTGAAGTATCTTGGAACACTATTTCCTGCAGAGTTTGGTCCACTTATTCATTATGTTGAGTTTTCTATTGTTAAGCCTCATTCAGAGTTTCTTATTCATATCTAAATATCGCTCTCAGTCCCTGAGTGACTAAAGTTCTGAAGCAGATTTTATAGTAGCTTTAAAAATCTGAGTATACTAAACATGCTTGCCTCTCCCTTCCCTCACTTCCTTGAAGAAAATAGCATGCCTCACTTTGTCTTCAAAGGGTTCCAAGGTCAAATACTACTGGGAAACAATGGCTTAAACACAGCAAAACAAGTTTTTTCCTGTGGCACTTTTTCTTAGAGCCCATTAACTTGCTATTTGACACGGTGAATCTTCAAGTGTGAGGGGATACTGCATATTCAGAACACCAGATTTTTCAAGCACATGTGATAGTGGGACTCTCTTCTCCATGATCACTCATCAGAAAACTTTGGGAAGGGTTGCTTTTAAATCAGCCTGACTTTAGATGTGGAATAAAATGTCCGCAGGTCATTGGTTTGGTTATTACTAAAAAATGAACTGTTTCGGTTTTCCCTGAAACTTGGCTGATTCCTGGAAGAACGTGTGTCCCACTCAACTCAAAAAATAATTATTGAACACTTGTTCTGTGAATGTCTAATGCTGGGAGCTCTCTTGGCCAAGAAGACTACAGTGAAGTCCTTGCTCCTGAGGAGTAGGAAGAGAAGAAAATAGTTGACATTGAGCCCCTGTTCTGTTCCAGACCTGCTGCAATGCTGACACACAGCACCCCTAAATGGTAGAAATAATTATTCCTGATGAGAAGACAATGGATGCTCAAGGTCACACAGCAGGTAGGAGAGCTGAGAATAAAATCAAGGCCTCTTTCTTTCCAAAGCTTGTCTCTCCTTCCCTACCCCTATCATCCATGACCTATGTACAATCTTGTGTGAGAAACTCACTGAAAATAACATGAATATTATATCAGCAAATACAAGTAAAGTCCTATGGAAATCATAAGGGCTGTTTAGCTGTTTCAAAAAGATGATGTTCTTTTCCTTCCCCCCAAAAAAGGGTTTTCACCCAGAACCAAGCTTGAAGAGTGTATTTCGGTGAATTATGTAGCTAGGAAACCCTCTGCCTTTGCTGCTCTGTCTTCTTTAAGTAAGTTGTGAAATTTCCATTAATGCAGAAGTAGAACTACTGTTCAGCAGAAATTCATAACTTGTGCTTGTGGTTTATATTGGTGGTGGCAGATGTGATTTCCTTCACAAAATCCCAGAACTGGAAGGAAACATAGAAATTGTCATAAGGCTCCATTCATCACAGTTAGGGCAGTGGAAGCCTAGAAAGACTCAATGAATTATTTGTCCAGAATCACATCAGAAACAATAGTACAAGTATGTATTAATGATGATGGCCAAACCATCACTTCTGTTTATTGAGAATCTACTAAATAATGTGGCCTTTATAATGTACTTGTATATTACGTATTATCCCTATTTTCAGAACAGGTGTTTCAGGCTCAGACAGGTTAAGCAACTTACTGTAGGGCACACAGCTCAGAGGTGGTAGACCCAGGGCTCCAACACAGTCATTCTGACACCAAAGTTTAGGCTCTGTCCACCATGCTGCTCCATGTTCCTATAAAGTGGGCTCATCAAGACAAGCAATCAGGAGTAATTCAACCTAATTCCTCTTGACCCCAAATCAGATGAAAATCTGGGGGCCCAAGAAAGCCTTGAAAGCACATCATTTATATGAGATGTGATTGAAGAACAATGGGCCTGTATTTTAAAAAAGTATGTAGGAGGTCATTGATCCAAAGTCAGGGGTAGTCTCTTCAAATACTCATTATAAGATGATGGCTTTATTTCAGTGATGATGCCACAGCCTGAAACCACTTGAAAAAATTCCTTTTTTTCCCCATTACATTTATAACCTGCAGTATGTTCTTTTGAATAATCACCATAATGGTAACACCATTAAATCTGTTCTTCTTTGGGAGCAGATTTAATTTTTCACACTGTTTGGAATTTAGTTTGGAGAATGAGTGACTGGGTGATAATGGTCAATATCATGTCATGAGACCACTTTTCTTGATTGTCTCAACACAAACTCAGAAGGTCTTATTCAGAGTTAAGCTTGGTCCCTTGGATCAACAGTGGCATCTATGGAATCCAAGCCTCTCAGATTTGCATGGCACCTAATAGGTATTCTAAACCCAGTCTATGTGTGCTACGTAAAGGTAAAATAATTTAAAACAGCTACACTTTCATGAACAACTTCTGTATTAATCTTTATTTCAAGGAAGTGTGAGATTATGATGATACGATAGTTACAATCATTTAGGTATTTTTCATAGCATAATTAGTTTCTTATTTTAAAATCTTACTTATCTTTGAAGGCCCAGCTGAATCCTATTTGATCCATGACAATACACTACCAGAAAAAATCTAAAATTATTTTAAAAAGTCTAAAATTTAGAAAAAGTCTAAAATTACCAGAAAAAATATAAAATTTGCTCTCTGTTCCAATTTCTGAGTATCTAATCAGCTACTACATTATATGTTTATTTCATTTTTCATAGTGATTGTTTTATCTTCCTAAAATACTATTTAAAAAAAGTGGGCAAAGGACAGGAATAAACACTTCTCAAAAGAAGTCATACAAGAGGCCAAGAAACATGAAAAAGTGCTCATCATCACCAATTTTCAGAGAGATGCAAATCAAAACCACAATGAGATACCATCTCACACCAGTCAGAATGGCTGTTATTAAAAAGTCAAAAAACAACAGATATTAGCAAGATTGCTGAAAAAAGGGAGTGCTTATACTTTGTTGGTAGGAATGTAAATTAATCCAGCCACCGTGAAAAGAGTTTGGAGATTTCTCCTAGAACTAAAAATAGAACTACTATTTGACCCAGCAATCTCATTACTCGGTATATACCCAGAGGAGAATATATATTTCTACCAAAAAGACTTGTAAGTTTATCACAGCACTTTTCATAATAGTAAAGACATGGAATCAACTTATATGTCCATAAACCATGCATTGGCTAAAGAAAGTGTGGTACATAGACATCATGGAATACAATGCAGCCATAAAAAGAACAGAATCATGTTCTTTGCAACAATGTGGATGCAGCTAGAGGCCATTATCCTGAGCTAATTAACACAGGAATGGAACACCAAATACTGCATGTTCTCACTTATAAGTGGAAGCTAAACATTGGAAACACATAGACGTAAAGATGGCAACAATAGACACTGGGAATTACTAGAAGGGGATGGATGGGAGTGGGGCAAGGGTTGAAAAACTATCTATTGGGTACTATGTTCACTACTTGGGTGATGGGATTGATAGAAGCCCAAACATCAACATCACACAATATACCCAACATGTGCATGTACCCCTGAATCTAAAATTAAAACAATTTAAATAAAGAAAAAAAGAAAAATATATATTTTAGTTTGTAAGTTCTTCTGTGTTTTTCTGCTTAGCCCTGTGGTGAATGTGTGGTAAAATGAATGTTTTTAAGATGTGATGCTTCCCTAAATCTCTTCCTCATTTTTGCATATCTGCTGTTTATGAGTATAAGCTTAGTTTTTGGAAGATTGTCAATATTCAGTGTTTTCTTTCTTTTAACCTTATTCGCTCTGATGTTCATTTTCCCTGAAAAGTTCCCTTTACTGACATTTCTCTTTCATGTGAGAAAACTGCATTGACTACAGTCATATTCAGTGGTGGACTGAAGTGTAAAGTTGAACTATTTCAGGGACTTTTGGTCAATGTAGGCAGCCTTTATCATAATTTAGGCCCAAACTTCTATGGAAAGTTTAGATATTTAGAACTATAAAAGTTGTATCTTTAGCTGGGATAGGTAAAATTTCTATTCTCCTGGCGTAAGAGGCAAGTCTTTTTCAAATGTATAACCTAAGAACTATTGATAAAAAGGTCTGTTGTTGCTCTTTGATAAGATTAACGTAAAGTCAAAAATATTTATTGAAAAAATTTTTATAAACACCTACTATTTTATAAACACCTACTTTCTGCACAGCCCTGGAATAGGCAGATCCTAGAGTGTTGAACTCAGGAATACCGTGTACCATCAAAAAAAGGACTTCAAAGTCTTGCAGATTATTTACTTCTGGTAGAGTTAGGGTGACTCATACATGTAATTCCATTCTAAGAAAGCCTCAGAACAAAAGAAGGCAGAGTGGATCAGTACCAAAATCCTGGAGTTTAAAACCCATCAGCTCCAGACAGAGGAAGTCCATGGTGAGTGGGAAGTAGACTTTTCAACCAGCGGAGAAGCCTCCCTACTGAACAGGAAGCATGCTTTGTCCCAGAAAGACTGAAGAAAAATGCAGAGAGGGTGCCTTTCTACTTTTTCTATTATAGGAGAAGGGTGGATCAAGAGGCTGGCAAAACCACGAAGAATAAAATATTGCTGGCCCATGGAAACAGACATATTAAGAAATCAGGAAGTCACCCTGCTGCTCCAGAAGTGGTGTCAGTGAGTGGTGCCCCAGCATCCGAAGTCGTTTTGGAGAAGACAGTAGTCTTCAATGCCTGCTAATGGGAAACCTTCAGAAGAATCGGTTCATAGGGAGAGACTAGAAAGATAGGTGATAAATAATGACAGGGCTTGAGAATTCCATCTATGATGGACCTCAGTTTAAAATCCTAGTATCTTTGCACTCTTCCTAGTTTATAAAGACCCATGGTGTAAGCGTTTATACAGCATTACAAGCAAGGAATTCCAAAATTTCAACAAAGACATATCTTTATCAAAGCAGTCTCATTAGCTTGTAAATTTGACAGGGAAAAAATCATAGGGAAAACAAACTTGAATTGTTTTGTATCGAGGAAGGTCAAGGTAAATTTTCAATAAGGATGAAAACAATCTGGAATGGAGTGGCTTGCCCTTGTTTTAGCAAACCTTAACATGGAGGGTCAGGATTGTTCCTAGGAGTCTGGATTGTCAAATGAAGTGGTTTCCCAGAATGAGCTCTTAAAAATACAGATTTCTGCTCTCGCCACCACATCACCACCACCATCAATTTCCTCCTCCACCCACCTCCACCCCAAAAAACTCTGATTTAATCCCTCTGTGCTTAGGAATCTGTGTTTTCAACAGCATTCATCAGCCATGTTTGGAAACCTCTGGTCAAGGGAACCAATCAGGATAATTCATGCCGGTAGTTTTCCACCCTGACTGCATATTGAATCACTTGAGGAGCTTTTAACAACATCAGTGTTGGAGGTTCCTCTCCCAGAGACTCTCATTTAACTTACCAGTAGTGTGAATTTCCTAAAAGCTCTCCAGTCAATTCTAATGTGGAGCCAGGTTGAAGAACCACTGACTGAAGTCAAGTTAGACTCCAAATTTTCCATTTTGAACTTTTCTGACTTGCACCAATTTGACTTTTGAAATTGTGGGCATCTAATTTTTAGAAATTTCATACATCACTATCCCTACTTTTGATCAAAAATTCCAAACTGTAATATTAAAATTGGTTACATTTCCATGACTGCTGTCCTTCCTCAGGTATTGCTAGGCTGTGGTAGCAGCAGCAGTGAAAGAGTCTTTGACACACAGGCCCTATTCCTTCAAATCTTCTCTTACAAATCTCCTATATTCTTTGAGAGAGTATATTTGCTGAAAGGTTGATACAGCAGAGAGATAACTTCAGAATAAACAGGAGATTCTCCAAACCAAAAAGGCTAGCCAGGAGTAAGAAGACTCAGAAGAGATGCCTCAGTTGTCAAAAGAGAAAAGGCAACAGAAGACTTCTAGAAGCTGCAATAAAATTCTTTCCTGGAGGTGTCCTGCTGTTATAAGCCATTCTGCCACCTGACTCATTTGACTGAAATCCTCTACTCTGCCCTGTAGACTGTCCAGGTACCACCTCAGACTCTGCAACTAAGATATTTGCCTCTCTATATTGTAATTGAGTCTTTGAGATCCTGGGTATTGTGAATCTCATGACTACCCAGCCCCTCATTATTTTATTTAACCCATCAAATTCATGTTGGTAAGCTAAAGAGCATAACCTTCTGCCTGCACCACTGGCCAGTGAACCAAGACTCATAGTGAAAGGACATTCTGGACTGTCCCTTGACGGTTAAGTCATCTACATACTCTCCACTTAACTTGACTGGCCCCCTGGTAATGACTGGATAGAGCTTGAAAATGTTAACCAATACATGGTAAAGACTTTGTGGTAAGAGTTCCAGGACACAACAATTTCAGAGTGCATGAGGGCATTCTTGTCAGAAGCTTGTGGAAAGCAAGTTGTGAATGAAGCAGTTAGAGGAGACTTCCTTTGATGAATACAGCCTTCAAAAGTGTTTTAGGAAAGGAAGGTTATGGAAAGCAAAGACGGTATTCAACCGTCTCAAAATAGCTGGCTTATTACTACAGTAAAATGATAAAATGGGGGTATGTTAGTCACATTTCCTTATTTGTTATTGTACCAAAAGTATCCAGTGAATTGCAATGTTATTTTGCATTGCTGTTGAGGCTTCTTAAATGCAGCCTATGACTGCAATGAGCAGAAGAAAAAAACTATCTAAAGCAAAGCACAAGACTTCCTAACAGTGAGTGACTAGTATCATTAGTTTGTACAATTGGTCCTACATATCCAATTGTAAGTTCAGAATCCCTGTATTAAACCAACTGTGGATCAAAAATAGGTAGGAAATAAACAATAAAAGATAACAATACAATAATAAAAATAATACAAATAAAAATACAGTATTACCACTGTTTACACAATACCTACATCGTATGAGGATTATAAGTAATATGGAGATGATTTAAACTGTATGGGACGATGTGCATAGGTGACGTGCAAATATTATGCAATTTCATGTAAGTGACTTGAGCATTGTTGATTTTGGTATGTGTTGGGGTCCTGGACCCACAGATACTAAGGGATAACTGTATTTGCTTATTTTATGTTGTTGGCAGGAAGCTTAGCACTGTTTCTTTAAGCAATCTGGTTTACTCCCAGGGTGTATAACCCAAGAAAGTCGGGCATCCTTTCTTGCTTCAACCTTCTTTGCTGTTCACATAAACATACAAATTTGCTGTAGATCCTCTTGGTCTACAATGGGGACTCTCATTTATTATCTATCCATTCAACATATATTTATTAATCACCTATTGTGTGCCACCACTTTCTTTTTTATCACATTGGCTTATGTCACCTCTTGTTGTAGGAGTGAGTCATACACAATAGTGATGCCTCCAGCTTCCATTTTGTTTCTCTATTTGTCCATAACAATAAAAATAACAGCTAATACTCTATAGTGTTTACCTTATACAAGATATTCTTCCAAGTGCTTTAGCTATGTGGAGGAGCAGGCATTTAATTTCAAATGATAGACATACTAAAGACATCTACTTGGTGTAGTAATTTGACAAAACACCTTTACTGGTAAATAAGTTATGATCCAGACAGGAAGTCAGGAGGTGACTCTGTGGTCTCAGCTATAGTTTATCCACCTCTGGAGGCAGATCAATTGAATAATTCAAATTGAAAAAGAATCACTCTCAGAGCTGAATCATCTCGTTTGTGTCTCTCATTGATGTATCTCTCATTGATGTGATTAACAGGACATATGCCAAATCCCAGTTTTACTGTGTGCTGCGAATGCCTTTTGTGTTAGTATATATTGTGAGAGTACTCTGTGCACTCCTGGGGAGAAGGCATCCCATGGTACTATCAGCAGTTTTTCTCCTTCTGACTTGTTATGATAACAACTTTTGTTTATACAGTCAATGCTTGGAAATTCAGGATAATGTGAAACACTCAAAACGTATGACCCAATTTTTCTGGAACTATCCTGACTTGAAATATTTATCCAATCATCCCCACAAACCACTGTCTGAGAAAAGTGAAGCTGCTGAAAATGCTGTCTTTGGATTTGGATGAACTAAGATTTTAATCACAGCTCTGCCACCTACTATGCTATGTGACCATAGGCAAGATGCTTTACGTTTTGAAGCCTCAATTATTTTTTATTATGTTCTTCCTTCTTAGAGTTAAAGCAAAGATAAAATAAGATTATTCATGTGAAACAGTAACACAATGGCTTGTATATAGAAAATCCTCATAATTTTTTTCCAGTATTATTCATTAATTCAAATATTTGAATTCAAAAATTCATACCACTTGTTCCAAACTGCCTTTCATATCCAGCAACTCCCCACAAAAACTTTTCAAAATTCAATATTTTTATTTCTAAAATACGATGTCTACAGCTAAAGAGAATGGAGGGTACATTAAACAGATAATCTCCATGTCTGTTCGAAGTTAGTAATAAGTAACAAAATGCACTTATTTGAATTTACTTTTATTCCTTCTTTGGCTATTGGTGTTTTATGAAATTGCTAAGTGAAATTACCAAGTGAATGAGAGACAAATGACATTAATAGCAAATTGCAAATTCATTTCTCAAATAATTTAGATAAGACAGAGCATTTCTTTCAATATATTATAATAAATTCCAATTTGTTTTAATTGCAACCTTGTGACTTGCTGAAAGGAAAAAATGATTAGCCCATTTTAGAGAGGGGAAACTGAGTTTATGGAAGTTTGGGCAGTAAACTCCCAGCAAGCCTTGGCTCAGTTGTTCACTGCTCACTAATGGACTGCTTCCTTTAGTCACTGAATCATACTGTTTACTGGCTAATTCATTTAATTATTTCTTCATTCAGCAAGTATCTACTGAGCACCTGCTACATGCTAGGCACTGTTCTAGTTGCTGCAGATACAACAGTGAACAAAGCCAACCCAAATCCCTGCCTTTGTGGAGCTGATATTTAACAGGGAAAGAGAAACATTCAGCAAATAGTACACTGTATGTTATGTTATATGCTGATATAGACCATAGAGCAAATTCAATCAGGGCAGCAGGATGGAGAGCGAGGTTATAATTTTAATGAGGGTGGTGATTAGGGATGTGCTTGCGGATAAGGTAACATTTGAGTCAGGACTTGAAGGAGGTGAGGGATCCCCAGTGTGGGGATCTGAGGACTCCATGCTCCAGGCAGAGGAACCAGCACCTGCAAAGACTCTTGGCAGGAGGGTTAGGACATGTTGAGGACCAAGGAGACCTGGAATGAGTGGACAAAGCGGGAAATAACTGGGATACAGAAGGTGTAGGGTCTTGCAGGCCTTTGTGATGACTTTGGCTTTATCTGGGACTAAGTTGTGTTGGCACCCAGAGGTTTCTAAACAGAGGAATGGCACAATCTGAATTCACTTTTATTGGGGTCACTCCATGCTGTGTGGAGAATAGACAGTGGGGGTCAAGGGTTGAAGCAGGAAACCAGGTGGGGGAGCTGGAATAATCTGCCCAGGCTTTAGCAGAGTTGGTGGTGAGAAGCAGTCAGAGGGTGAAGCAAGAGTCGGCAGAATTGGCTGAACAAACTGGATGAGGTTTGTGAGAGAAAGAGAAGAAATAAAAATGACTTCAGGGTTTTTGGCCTGAGAAGCTGAAAGTGTTGAGTGATCGCCATTATGTGGCTGTCTGAATAATGCAAGGTCTTGGTTCCAGAAATAAAGCTGCAAATTCAATCAATGGTAAAATCATTTTATTTGCCATCTATTCATTTGGAATGTGTAAATTTTATTTGGACAGGGCCTGAGATGACATCTACCATTGCTTTTTCTTGAAATACCAGACTATCTAAAGAAATAAATCATATAAACTAGGCTCCCGAAAGAATATTTGGACAGGAATGTGTATCAGAATTTACAAAACGGATTTTTAGCAGACATACTCTCCTGACTTCATCACAGACTTAAGGAAAGATAATTGACAGGACGGGTCCTAGGTTTAAATATTTTTTAAAAATTGCCCTAGATGATTCCAACATACTTTATCCTTTCCCCTCTGTCTTGTGAGAACTATGGTATTTTATGAAGCTAGCAAATCTGTTTAAGTCTGGTGAAAACCACTGTATTTTTTTTGAAGCTAGCTGATGTTTTAAGTACTTCTAAAGCAACTTAAAAATGGTTTGTATGTTAAAAACCATACACAGGGCTCATTTCTGCATTTTTTAAAGTTCTCTGTTAGCATATTGGAATTACAGTGTTAGAAGAAACTTTAAAATCATCTAATTCCATAATTAGGCTTAATATTCTGTGCCAAGGTTGACAGACTGATGGCTGCTTCCTGGAGCTCTGCGTTAAGAAAAACTCTGAGGGTGTTTCTGGGCCTAATAGAAAGATCACTGTGCAGCTTAGCCAGATCGGCTGTGGGAGCAGGATGGGAAGTGACTGTGCATGCACCACTCTATTCCATTCCATTTTATTCTACTCCCAACCTCTCCTTCCAGGGAAACTTGCTGAGACCCCATAGGTTTTCAGGGGTCTCAGTGGTCTTCATCTCCAATCCAAAGCTCTTTTCAGCACACTTCACACACTGGGCCACTGTGTTGCCCTAGGAAGTAAACAACTCACATGGACATTTCTATGCATGATAAAAACTTGAATATTGAAATTCAATAGCTTGTAACCCAGACATTTCACCAATCTAGACAGATCCGAATTAGTGAGCTTTTATTATATAGGAAGGGCAAGTACCTTAAATGTAAAAGAATGGTTCTGTTATTTTTATTTCTCTTTTCTTTTAAAAAACTTCATGATTTGGCATGAAGAAAGAACAATGAAATAAAAGCTATATTTTACAGACTATGGTGGAGGGGATTTACAACTAACACTATGATTCACAAAAACTGGCATAAATAATTTTTTCTTTTTGTCTCCAGGGCCATGGAATGTAAAGGAAATGGCTGAGCAGCAGCTGCAAACAATTACTAAGCATTTTCAATGGTCTTGTGAAATGCTATGAATTCAGAGCATCACTTCAGAAACCCCGATTGCATCCCTCAGAAAAAGTGCCCAGCCACCGGGCCAAACCCTCTTATGCCTCTCCTTGGCAAGGTTTGAGGATCCAGCTTTTATGTAGGCCCTGTCTTCTGACACCCTAAAATAAATAGTCCTCTTTTTCTTCTTCTGGACCCCTCTCTCTCCTTAACTCACTTTAATTTTATCTTCCAGAATGTGTTTCTTACGATTCCTTTAGTTTTAGCACATCACAGTTCATAAATGCCCAAAACTGGCTGCTGGAGAACCACAACCCCTTTCTGCACATGCATGAGGAAATTTTCCTTTAGGCCCTGAAAGCAAAGTCCTGTCCAACTCAAGCAAGCTAATTGTGAGATGCTGCCCGTATGAACTTTCCTATTATTGCACTAGAGATTCCTGAGTTTTAGTCAACTTGAAAAGAGATTTTTTTTTTTTCTGAAGGAATGTAACTCCTTAGACTAACATATGAAATCCAAAACATAAAATGCAACTGAAATATACATAGTAAACTATGGTTGCCACAGTCACCTTTAACTTGTGTTCTGAGAGAAAAGGGTTCCTGGGTAACTGTGAGTGGAAGGAGTTGGAGACCTGAAAGAAATATCAGTGATGTAACCAAAGAGTGGCTGGAAACGGATGGCATCCTGGCCTGGTCAAAAACACCACACTAGGCTATTGATTACACAGTGGCCTCAAGTCACAACCTAGGGACCAGGGAAGGTCAGCAATTATGGACCTGTGTAGCCATTTGTTAACAATTTACTTTTCTGTCATTGCCACAGTGAAAGAATAACTCTGCACTGTTATTATTCAACAAAACTAAGCCAGAATATCATGAGCAGAGAACTGGTAACAGCATTAGAAAAGACATCTCAATTTTTCTTCTTCTATATACATATATAGAAGACATACATGTATATAAACATACATACATATCTATCTATCTATCTATCTATCTATCTATCTATCTATCTATCTATCTGAAAGGAAGAAATTGTTGGATAAAATACAAACGCTCCTCTGACTGCCACAAAGTCAGGTGTCCTATGTGTAGGAGTCTTGTGAATTTCCTTTTCTCTGTAACTCCAAAACAAAATAAACTGTTCTGATGGTCTGTCTGCAAGTATAGAAAATATTCATTATTATGTCATAATTAAGCTTGAGCAAATGGTGCTTGATTGTGAAGTGTAAAAGTCAAACTTCGGGATGCAACTGAGAGAGCAGAATGAAAGTGTTTATTTTAATTGGGTAATGAAAAACATGTAGTTTCAAGTCAGATTTAGGATTAGAAAGAAAAGTATCCCTGCAACTTTGGAATAAATTATTAGGAAATATAAACATTTTAAATTGCAAACATGTGAAGCCAAGTTTTAGTTGTTGTTTGTCCCCTCCCCCTTCCTCCAATGTATTTCCCCCCC